>NC_000008.11:102589222-103214222 GCF_000001405.40 Homo sapiens
TCAATTTGGTTATTAGCCTTTTTCTTACTGAATGATAGGAATTTCTTATTTATTAAAGAAATTAGCCCGTAGAATAAGGTTGCAAATGTTTTTCCTAAATTGCCATTTATCTCTTACTCTGTCTATTTCTCTCCCAGATATTTTTAATCTATATGTATCAGATTGGCTATTCTTTTCCTTCGTGGTTTCTGGATTTCTAATCATGCTCAGGAAGGCCTTCCCTACTCCAAGAAAATAAGTGAAATCTTTGATCTATCTATATTTATTCCGGAGGGAGGAGACAGGGAATTCTGCTTTACTTTTTTTTCCACGTGGCAGTGGCCCTAACACCGTTTCTCAGGATTCCTTTGAACGGTAAGTGCCATTCAAGAGCCAGTCTGGGGGCCCTGCTTAGCGGAAGAGCAGGTATTGATTAGATGCCTGATGTATTTGGAATGCCATTTTATTTAATCCTCACCACTGCTCTGTGAGCTCTTGATATCCTTGTTTTTCAAAAGAAGGAACTGAGGTTCAGAGAGATGGAGTAAGTGGCCCACAGTCGCACAGCCAGGAAGTGGCCGTGCTGGGATTTGAATGCAGATCAGTCTGATTGCAGTCCGTGCTCTTTCTGCGAGCCACAATCATGATTCAAAGGGAGAAGCGGGGCTTCACGGAAGTATTGAACGGGTGACTTTTCAGACTTCTCATCCTCTTCATTCCTTCCCTCCAAAGCCCTCCTGTACTGTGTTAGGAGAACTGTAAAGCACAATAACCCCTGTTTATTGGTTCCTGAGCCACTAGGGATAGTTATGAGCTGCCCAACTGACCAAAGCGCCCTTGGCCAGAAGAGAGATGTCTGTCCCAGAAAAGCTGCCTACTAATCAGGAACGCTGACAATGAGCTGTTACATAAACAAGGAATCAACTTTTACTGTGTTCGCTGAAAGGTTGATTTGTAACAGCAGCTAGCTAGCATTAACCTAAGTATGGTCACAAGCTGCATAACAACATTTTGGTCAACGAGGGAACCACGTAGATGACGGTGGTCCCATAAGATTATAGTACCATGTTTTATTGTGCCTTTTCTATGTTTAGACATGCTTAGATACACAAATACTTACCACTGTGTTACGTTTGCCTACAGTATTCAGTAGAGTAACATGCTGCACAGGCTTGTAGCCTAGGAGCAGTAGGCTCTGCCATCTAGCCTGGGTGTGTAGCAGGCAACACCATCTAGATTTGTGTAACTACACTCTGTGATGTTTGCAGAACAATGAAATTGCCTAATGACACATTTCTCCGAACCTGTCCCATTGTTAAGTGACGAATAACTGTACTACAATTGTTCCGCAAGGATGGATCACACAGAGGGAACCAGATTAAGGGTAGTTAATCTCTGAGATCATTTCCTTTGTCCCTGGGTCCTAGAAGCAGTGAGTCCTCTCTCCCATCTTGGTAGCCCCAGGCCCTTCGTCCCTTCCTCCCCCTTCCCTTCTTCCTCTCCTTTTTCCTAGCTCTAGTCTTAACCACTCTTTGAGAGCTGAGAAGCTCACGTGCCAAGCATGCATCTGAATATATTCTGTCTCATGCTCAGGCCAGAGGTTGGTAAAAAAAATCTTGATTCCTCCTTTGGGTAGACTAGAGGAAAGGATAAGGGTCCTAGAGCAGTAGTAGTGAGGGGCAGAGGGGAGGGAAATTCACAGGAAATGCTCCGAAGTGGACCCTTCCACCTGCACAGTCTTGACTGGGCCTGCTGCAGGCTCTGTGGGCTCTACGTGACTAATTCCCCACCAGTCCCTCCAGGCCGGACACAGACCCAGCAGGGAGTCTGTCTTGGCTTGATTATGATATCCAGCTTTTGTTACTGTTTTTTCTATATCTTATCAGTGGGGAAAAGGGTACGGGCTTTAAGCATGTGTCCAAAGATAAGAGCCAGGCCTCACAGCAGTTCTCTTTGACCCAACACATGTAAGTTACACTTTGAGAGGTCAAATTTAACAAGAGAAAGTTGAGGTTGCCTTGTAGATGGTGGGTGGCAGTAGCAGGGGCAATGGAGAAAGATGATGGGAAGGTTATCAGCAAGGGCAAGACCCCAGAGGCCACTGGGAGGAGGCTGTCTCAGTAGAAAATTTAAAAATGCCTCCATTTCCTAAAAAGTAAGAACTAGGACTGAAATTAGTTAGACTGTTTGCTTTCTTTTTGTTTTTTAGAGATGGGGTCTTGCTACCTTGCCCAGGCTGGCCTGGAACTCCCAAGTAGCTGAGACAACGGGTGAGGGCTGCCACACCCGGCTTTTAAGACTGTTTGCTTTCTGATAACGGTGCCCCCGTCCTTCCAGATGACAGGAGCTATTCTGTGCTGACCACTCATTGACCTTGCTGAGCAACAACTAGAAAGTGTTTTTGCCCCAAATTCTTTCTATTTTAAAACTGATTACAGCCAGGCATGGTGGCTCACGTCTCTGTAATCTCAGCACTTTGGGAGGCCGAGGCGGGTGCATCAATTGAGCTCAGAGGTTTGAGACCAGCCTGGGCAACGTGGTGAAACCCTGTCTCTACCAAAACTACAAAAATTAGCGGCCAGGCGCGGTGGCTCACGCCTGTAATCCCAGCACTTTGGGAGGCCGAGGTGGGTGGATCACGAGGTCAGGAGATTGAGACCATCCTGGCTAACACAGTGAAACCCCGTCTCTACTAACAATACAAAAATTAGCCAGGCGTAGTGGCGGGCTCCTGTAGTCCCAGCTACTCGGGAGGCTGAGGCAGGAGAATAGCATGAACCCGGGAGGCGGAGCTTGCAGTGAGCCGAGATTGCGCCACTGCACTCCAGCCTGGGTGACAGAGCGAGACTCCGTCTCAAAAAAAAAAAAAAAAAAAAAAAATTAGCTGGGCATGGTGGCATATGCCTGTGGTCCCAGCTACTCAGGAGGCTGAGGTGGGAGGATCGCTTGAGTCCGCAGAAGTCGACGCTGCAGTGAGCTGTGATTACACCACTGCACTCCAGTCTGGGCGACAAAACAAGACCCTGTCTCAAAAAAAATTTTTTTTAAATAAATAAATAAACTGATCACTGTCACTCCCTAAGCACTGCCCATGATGCTGCAAGGATGAAAGTCCATTTGTACCTTTCCAGTTCTGGCTAACTGACTTCTTCTCTACAACTCAGTTTGGGTGTCATCTCTCCCAGGAAACCTTCTCAGATTCCCAGGTCGGGTCTCAACTCCCATCTCTGTGCTCTTGGCTGTCTGCATGTACTTTTCACATACCCTCCCCCTCTGTTCCTCCAAGGCCCTCTGGTCAGGTGGTAAGCCTCTCAAAGGCAGAGATTGTTCCTTACCCAACTCTGTACCCCGCCTCATCTCAGTGCCTGGCAGAAAGCAAGTGCTCAGTGTGTTCAACTAAATTCAACCTTTTTAGCTAATGTGGAATACTTTTCAATAGATGGTGCTAGAAAAACAAGTATTACATGATATGAATGGAATCTCAGGACTTTAACATTGTGTGGACCTTACCCGCCATAATGGGAAACTGAGGCCCTGGAGATGAAATGGCACACCCAGAGCGCAGTGGTGTGTCAGAAGTCAGGCCAAGCTGTGAGCACCTTTGCTGGTGGAACAACGCTTGTTAGTGACAACACAAACCATCTGGACTTAGGTTTGTTGGTATATAAAACAGCTGGAAACATGCTTATCAGCCACTGTGGTCTTTGTCCCTCAAAGTCTAAAAAATTCATTGTCTCTGGATTTTCTCTTTTTCAGTTCTACTACTTATCTGTCTTTTTGAAATTTGCCTTTTATTAAATTTTGATTATAAAAGTATATATGTTTATTATAAAGATTCTGGAATATGCTGAAAAGGAAAAGAAAGAAATTTTTTTTTTTTTGAGACAGGGTCTCACTCTGTTGCCCAGGCTGGAGTACAATGGTGAGATCACTGCTCACTATAGTGATCTGGAGGTTGAGGAGCCGCAGCTGCCCACCTCAGCCTCCCAAGTAGCTAGGACTACAGGTGCAAGCCACCACACCCTCACTCATTTTTGTATTTTTTGTAGAAAGAGGGTCTTGTCATGTTGCCCAGGCTGGCCTTGAAGTCCTGGACTCAAGCAATCCACCTGCCTCGGCCTCCCAAACTGCTGGGACTACAGGCATGAGTCACTACGCCTGGCCTGAGAAAATGTGAAATACTTGAATTCCACCAACCAGAGGCAGCCTGTTATTTCTATAGCATATTGTCACAAATAAATATGGATAACTGACTGGAGCGGGAGAGGGAGGGGGGATTTGCTCACGCCTGTAATCCCAGCACTTTGGGAGGCTGAGGTGGGTGGATTGCTTGAGTTCAGGAGTTTGAGACCAGCCTGGGCAACATGGTGAAACCCCATCTCTACAAAAATATAAAAATTAGCCTGGCGTTGTGGCTCGTGCCTGTAGTCCCAGCCACGTGGGAGGCTGAGGCTGGAGGATTGCTTGAGCCTGGGAGGCAGAGGTTGTGGTGAGCAGAGATCATGCTACTGTACTCCCGCCTGGGTGACAGAGGGAGATTCTGTCTCAAAAAATAAAAATAAATAAAAATAATATATATGATACGGACAGGAGACAGGGAAACACTAGGCAGGAAAGGGTGGTTCCCCCAGCAAAGGCCCTACCCTCAAGCCTGAAGATCCAGCAGCCCTAAATGAGGACAGGCATTCCTGTGTTTGCACCCAAAAAGTTGTCTTTTGGCCCGCCACGCCCCTATCCTGTACCCACATAAACCCTGAACCCCAGGCTCCAGAAGCAGACGAGCAAGCGAGGAGATGAGACAAGCAGATGGACAGTGGAACCATGCGGCAGAGAGAGAGAAGAGGAGGAACATCTGAATGCCAAGAGGAGTTTGGCTGGGGGCAGTTCAAGAGGGGTTCAGCTGTTGGACCGCCGGGCTCCAGAAGAAAATCATCTTCCCACTCCATCCCCCACTTCGGCTCCTCATCCATCCCACTGAGAGCCACTTCCACCCCTCAGTAAAACTCCCGCATTCATCCTTCAAGTCCGTGTGTGACCTGATTTTTCCAGGATGCTGGACAAGAGTTCGGTATACAGAAAGCTGTCACACCGGCCCTCTGCCCTTCCAGAAAGGCAGAGGTTCCACTGAGCTGTTTAACACTCAAGCTATCCGAGGACGGCAAGGCTAAAAAGGCACACTATAACACAGGCCCGCTTGGGCTCCTGCATTTGTCTATGTGCTCCCACTCCTGTAAGGGGTTTGAGCAGCTGTGGCAACTGAACAGGTGAGCCACACCCCTGTCCAACGTCCTGCAAGGGGCATCAGGGAACTCTCCCGTTTCATATACATGTATTTTATATGTAAATATATAACATATGTTACATATATTATATGTAACATATGGCATATGTTATATATTATATCATATATTATGTTATATATAATATACAATATATTATATATAATGTTATATATTATTATATAGTTTGCGTTATAATATAACTAATATAACCAAGATTGAGCTCTATGTTGAATTCATGTTTTTCTTCTTTCAGTAATTGTTGGATTGTGAGCATTTCTCCAAGTCCTTAAAAATAGAGTATTTTCTTTGTAGCCTTTGTGCTGCGAAGCTTTTCAATGAGTGCACTTTGTAATTAGTTAATTTATAAATAAAAAGAATCTAATAATAAAAATAAAAAGGAAAAATGCTACGTAATCTATTATTTGTAATAGCTACACGTTAATCTACATAGATATACCGTATTTTACCTAACATCTAGGTGGTTTGCAATTTTTCATTACAATAAATGAAAAATATGTTTATTTCATCATCTCACTGTGATGAGACAATATTGTCAAATGAAATATCTGCTTGTATTTCTGATTATTGCCTTGGGAGTAACATATTGTTTATGTTCTCAACTTTGAGGAAACCATTTTTCAGAGAACTGTTTTGAAATTCAGGATCAGCTCAAGAGATAATACTATTTTTCAGGTTATCTTAAAAGCATTGATTACTTTTCAATCAGAAAAAGGAAAGATTATTTTTAGTAAACAGAAAAGATATAATATAGTGAAATTATGGGAAAAGCCTGCAACATGAGACCTGGCCCTTAACATTTGAGAGACGAATTGATTTCTGTTTCTACCTAGAGGTGTAAATTAGGTGTTGATTGCCATTAGGTAATGCTGAAGAAGACATGTTACTTTTTGAACTATTTTCTCCATTTGTATAAAAGTTAAATAGTTTGAGTTCAAAGGTAAAGTAATTAGAAAGAATATTCTGGTTCATAGAACATGGATGCCTCCTTGTTAGCATAGTAGTGAGGAAAAAAATAAATAAATAAAAAAGAACATGGATGCCATGGATACCAGTTACTAGATTTAAGTTAGTAGCCACAGAAAATGCCAAACTAAAATAAAAACTATTTCCAAATAAAATGATCTCAGGAAAGACTTTCATCTTAGTCCCCAAAATATGAATTTTAAACATCTGTAGCATCATAAAATATAAACAAAGTAAAAACTAAAATAAAATTCAGGTTTGACAGATTAAAAATGCAAGCAAGTAATAAAATAGCCCCCCAAATGTTTCTATTTTCAGGTTCTAAAAATATATGGAAATCATAGAGATACTGGGTTATGGTGATTATACTTTGATTTCACAGACTTTATATCTATTTTTACCATATGAACATAGCCAGAATGTCAAATCTTATGTTACTATGAAATGAACAACAGAAATAATTTTTTAAAAGGTAAACCTTCACCTTGAAGCAGCTTTCAACATGGCATGTTTTCCAATTGCCCTTGCATCATTTTTTTTTTAATCACTAGAGGAAACTGCTTAAAAACAGGATTAACGACGGACAAACAAGATTACTATGGATGTGATTTTGAGGCTACAAAACAATTTTGAACTCACACAAGACTAAACCACTGAGGCTGTCTTCAAAACAAAGACTCGTGTTTCAGGAGAGAGTTCCCCAGGGAGAAAAACTGTAACAAGGTGAGCCCTCCACACACATCTTTCACTGATTTCTGAAAATAAAATAATTGCCCACATCCGTTACTATGCACCAGGAACTGTGCGGGGCACTTTGCAAACATTATCCCAGTCAACCCGGGGCACAGCCCATGAAGTGATTACTGTTAGGATCCCCATTTGACAGCAGGAGAAGTGGATTCTCCCGGAGGTCCAGCTTCTTGGGCTCCGGTGTGGCTGGGATTCAGTCCAGATCTGTGTGATGACAAAGATCCATCTTTTCAATCCCACCCCCTCCCTGCTCATTAGGCAAGTTTTTGAGAGAAAATAGAAAACAGACTGGACATAAAAGCAGGAAGGAAGACAAAGCCCCCCAAAACTGGTTCTCTAAACTAAAATGCAAGGAAAATGCGGTGCTTCGGCAAAAGAATAATGTAGGTTCTCAGAGGACGCTCCATGGATATGTGGCTCAAGGGTGAGAGCTAAAAATACAGCTGAGCGAGACACTTGGGTCAGACACTTGAGACACAGGCCCTTCTCTCCCTACCCTTGGCCTCCCTTGGAGAGCGGGCTGCTCCCACTGGCCTTCAGTCCCAAGACCCCTTTGGTCCTGCTTCCAGGGTTGCCTCAGAGTCCAGACAGGTCTGCCTGCCCCTATCTTGGTGCCATGGACTCTCGAGGCACTCATGCTGGCTGGAGTCAGGGTATGACAACTGCCCTGAGGGAGGTGCGGAAGAAGTCCCATTGCCCCCCGCCCCCCAATGGTCCCCTGAGTTCTTTGGTCTAGGTTTCCTAGTAATAAAACTGATGCTTTACTTTGCCATGTTGTAGGTTACTTGAGTACATTTACTCTTAAGGCCTGAAGGAGCTGGGCTGAGTGTGGGCTCTTAGATCTCTTTGGGCCCTAAAACCTATGCAATCGATTCAAAAAAAAAAAGCTATGGCCGGGTGTGGTGGCTCACGCCTGTAATCCCAGCACTTTGGGAGGCTGAGATGAGTGGATCACGAGGTCAGGAGTTCAAGACCAGCCTGGCCAACAAGGTGAAACCCTGTCTCTACTAAAAATACAAAAATTAGTCGGACGTGGTGATGCACGCCTGTAATCCCAGCTACTCAGGAGGCTGAGGCAGGAGAATCACTTGAATCCGGGAGGCGGAGATTGCAGTGAGCCGAGATCATGCCACTGTACTCCAGCCTAGGTAACAGAGCGAGACTCCATCTCGAAAAAAGGTGGGGGGAGTGCTAGAAAAAGGGGTAAGAGAGTAGTTACTCACGTACACACACTCACACACATGCACATTTGAAGCTCTGGCCTTGGACTATTTAAAACCTAAAATATTTATATTTAGAACCTAGACTATTAAAAACCAACAATCTTTGAAAATATCATTTTTGGCAGAAAATTCAGCCCAGCTGAGTTGATAAAGGTGTCCAGGGATTGTAACAGATACAATTTTGAATACCCTGGTGTTGTAGATGTGTCTACTTCAACTCGACTTCAGCCACCCAACACTAGCCCCTCTTGAATTCTCTTCATCACAGAATTGCAACATCATCAGTGTGTTAGTCCAATTTCATGCAGCTACAAAGAAATGCCCGAGACTGGGTAATTTATAGAGGAAAGAGGTTTAATTGACTCACAGTCCCACAGGGCTGGGGAGGCCTCATGAAACTTACAATTATGGTGGAAGGGGAAGAGGCATGGAGTGCCAGCAAGAGCAGGGAAAACTGCCTTATAAAACCATCAGATCTCATGAGAACTCATTCACTATGAGAACAGCATGGGGGAAACTGCCCCCATGATCCAGTCGCCTCCCACCTGGTCCCCCTCCCCACCACGTGGGGAATGTGGGGATTGCAATTCGAGATAAGGTTTGGGTGGGGGACCCAGAGCCAAATTATATCAATCTTTAAGGCTTCCTGAAATTCACCTCTCTGGTCATAATCCCATCTCCTCCTCTCAAATCTATTCTTCCACTTCATTCAAACTTGAGTTCTTGTATTCCTGTTTTCTAGCATTCTAGAGAACATGGGTCACTTGCCTACCGGGGATCCATTACTCCTTTGTTCCACACCAACTATTCCTTCCCCATACAGTCACTGTGTGGCCTAAGTGGATAGAAGTGGGAGATTTGTGACTCAGGCCTGGCCAACATATCTGTTCAACAAATATTTATATGATGCTTACTCTGAGTGAGGCATTGTTCTAAGCACTTTATAAATGTTAGCTTATGTAACCCTCATAACAAGTCTATTAGATAAGTACTATTTATCATCTGCATTTTAAAATGAGAAAACTAAGGCACAGAGAGGTTACATGATTTGCCCAGGGTGCACAGTTAGTAAGCTTTGCTTTCTCTGAAGTGGGGTGATTGGTTCAGGGATGAATATGTGACCTACAAGCCAACAAGACCCAATTACTGGGGCTTCTTGGCAAGAGACTTTTGGTTTTCTCCCCTGGACATGAAGCTGGGGTGGCTGTGAAAAGCAGTGCAGCCACCTGGTGATAACAGGGAGAAAGCTTCTTTGAGGATGGAGCCATGGTAGAACTGAGAGAAAGGAAAAGAAGGAAGAGACCGAAACAGTCCCAATGACAAAATGGGAGTTCCTGAGCAGACTGCCTGTAGCCAGCCTACTCCTGGCCACTTCAGTTTGGTGAGTCAGTGAATTCTCTTTCTCCTTAAAGCGGTTTGGGTTGAGTTATCTTTCACTGGAAATCAAAAGATTCCTCAAGGGTACAGTTCAGTTCACCAATCTCTCAATTCAGCATACATATCTTTTACTATTATAAGGTCAATTGATGAAAAAATGATATGCTTTGATGAACATAAACACTTAAATATTTAAATATTTCGTTTTGGTAGCCTAGTATTACACAGAAAAATCATAATTCACACAGATAAGCATCATATACACATAATTTCATAAGCACAAGTGCAAATGAGCCTGGTTTGTTTTTCTCAAAAGGCCAATGCAAAACTGTAAATGTCCAAATCAGTGACACACTTACAAAAAGTATGCACAAAGATGGCAGAAACTGTATTTTTACCTCCATTCTGGTGTAAACTCCTTTGCCTGATTTAAGTCCCCCTTGATCTGCTGAAATACTGGCCAAATCAGAGTCTCTTGATAATCTTCGTTTATGTGGATGCTTATGCTGCATTCAGCACTGTTTGCCTTCTGGTTTCCTTGCTGTCTTGCTTCGGATTCTCTGATAGTTCACTTCTTTGGTTTTTCTCTTTTCCTTTTGTGTTTCCATTTTTCCCACTTGTGTCTCCCGAGTGCTGGCATCCCCCAGGATTTTATTCCCAATAGAAATTTTCAGTATTAGTATAAGTAGTACGTAGGATACAGGCTTAGCTGCTGTGACAAAAAGACAACCCCTCCCCAAATTAATCAACAACAGTGCTCCAACGAGAAAGAAGTTTATTTTTCCTCCACTTGCTAGTCTGGAGCTACGCAGGCAGTCCAGGGCGGTGCCCCGGTTCGTCCTGTCCTGCTCTACCACCATTCCTAGGTGGTATCCTCATTTTCATGCTGAGGACTGCCGTACCAGCACCGTGTCAATGTTATAAACTGTCGCAGGGGGAAAAAGAATGGGGAGAAAGAAGGCAGCCTCCTTTTCAAAGGACATGACCTAGAAGTTGCATGTCATCACTTCCACTCACATCCCATTGGCCAGAACTTGGTCACATGACCACACAAAGGTGCAAGGGAAGCTCAAGTCGGGTGTCCATGTGCCTATTTCAAACTAGGGAGACTTATCACTAACATGAAGGTGGGAGAATGGGTCCTGGGGGCCACGAACAGTCTTCTCCCGGCCTTCCTCTCTTCTTCCTCCATGCGGTGGTCTTTGTCCATCTTGCCTTATCTCGTGGCTTTAGCTCTGCCCTACACACAGTGACTCCCAAGTATCTAGTCTAACTGCGTCCTGGACTTCACTCGCAGATCAGCATGCACACTTCCCCCTACTTCCCTCTGCCTTCCCTGTCCTTTAGAGGGATACCACCAACCTCCTCGTCATGCAGTCCCCAAATGTTGCGTCTTCAGCGCCCACTCCCTGCCCTCTGTTCTCCAACATGGAATGAATGACCATCTAAGCCCTCCTGCACATTTCCTCCCGCTCATTCTTCCCAACACTTGAGCTGCTGTGAAAGCCTCCGTCCTGGTCTCTACAGCCAGCTTTCTTCTTCTAGTACATCCTTACCCACAGCTCTCCAAAAGACATTTAAAAATTATAACTCGGTTCACATTACTCCCTGTTCAAAAACCTTTGACTGGGTTTGCTATGGTGGAAGATCTGAACTCCTTGCTGTGCAGGTACAGTTTACCCTCCCTGCATTTTCTCCTGTACTCTTGTAAACTCTGGGTACAGGAACATCTCCCCATCGCCCAGTATGCCCGGTTGCTCTTATTTCTGGCTCAGGTTTTTTCAGCTGTTCTCTCCTCTCACCCCCCATGTGCCTGGCAAATCCTGCCCATCCTCCAAGGTCCCCCTCTGGTGCCACCTCTTCCCGTCTCTCAGCCACTGCCCCAGCAGCCCCGCCCTGCCGTCCCTGCCACAGACACCCAGGCTTCTCTGCTTTCGCAGCCTTTTGCTTGGAAACTCTTTTAGTCCTGACCCAGTCTGCCTAGCTGTGCCCAGATGCCCCCTCCTGGAGGGCCCGGCCTAAGCCTCCTCCCGACGCGTTCACTCCCTGCCCCACCCTAAAGGGGCTGGCGCTGTCTCTCCGTCCTAGAAGGGGCTCAATGCCTCTCGGTGTTGCCGCAAATCTAACCCTAGGATGCCTTTCTTATTAAAGCGGGAAACTTCTGCAGGGGCCACGGGACAGCGTGGAGGGCTCTGCGCGCAGGGCAGAGACTGCAGTTCACTGCCCTGCGGTTTTGCACTTCGCCCCGGCCCTGCTCTTGGCTGCGCTCCGATGTCAGCGTGACCTGGAGTCAGCTGCCGCGCCCTCCCACACCCGCTCCTGCCAGCACCCCCGTCTGCTTTCCGGAGCTGTTCAGACTGCAGGGTAAATGCTGTCTGGAACCCGATCCAGGGTTTAAAAATAATCCAAAGGTCTGACCCACTGAGATCCTTCTCTAGATCTTCCAGTTGGGAAGCTCTTCCAGGCAGCACATGTGCATGATTTCAAAGAACCCAGGATGCAGACCCCCGCCCCAACACAGGCCACCCAAGCTGTGGCCTGTGAGCTGCCTGGGGCCGTTCCTCTTTCAGTAGAGCCACCCTTGGCCCAAGTTTGGGGAAGAGCCCTGGCTTTCTCCCTCCCTGTGAGGCTGCTGGTGCGGTAGGTCCCGCCCCTCCCTCCTCATCCCAGGCTGAGAACTTTTGAGGTTACAGCCAGATGCTGCTAACTGGGCAGAGACATCAGTTCCTTCAAGCTCGCCTGGCTGATCGCCCCCTCTCACCCTACTCCCCTAGCCGGCCAGCCTGCCCCAGGCCCTCAGCCAGCAGCCACCACAGGGTGAGCTGAGGCAACCATTTCTGTCACTATCTTTGCTTCCCAAGCCCTGTTTCGCCCAAAGTGAAGGTCAGGTGGAAGGTTCCAGCTCATGTTTTTCTTTGGGAGGCTGCCGTTGGAAGTAGTGCCATATGGGGACTGGGCTTTTACTTCCTTCCCAGGGCAAGAGCCTCATCTTTAGCAAAAGAGAATCTTCAAGGCTCTGCCATTTGGAACATGCTTCCAGGCAGCAGATGACACCTGCAGCTGTGACTAAGGCCAGAGCGAGCCAAGTGCCCCGGGACTCTGAGGTGGAGGGCGGGAGATGGAAGAACCATAGAAGTAAAAAGCAGAAACCCATTTAAAACTTGGTCATAAAAACTCATGACTCCTTTGGGTGGCTTAATTCCAGAATTGTACCCTCTGGTGGAATCCTAAAGAATTCTGTGCTTTTCTTTTTTTTTTTTGACAGGATCTCACTCTGTTGCCCAGGCTGGAGTGCAGTGGTGCAATCATGGCTCACTGTAGCCTCAACTTCCCTGGCTCAGGTGATCCTCCCACCTCAGCCTCGCTAGTAGCTGAGACTATAGGCTCATGCCACCATGCCCAGCTAATTTTTTTGTATTTTTTGTAGAGACAGGGTTTTGCCATGTTGCCCAGGCTGATCTCAAACTCCTGGGCTCAAGCAATCCACCCTCCTGGGCCTCCCAAAGTGCTGGGATTATAGGCATGAGCCACTGTGCCTAGCCCAAATTCTGTGAATTATTTAACACAATCCCACCCTCCTGCACCAAGACCACCCCCCACATGTATCTCCACCACCATCGAAAACCAGAAAGAAGAGGTTAGAAGGAGGTCAGAACTTACCTAAGAGAAGAACCTGAAACCAGTGGAGCTTGTATTCCTGGTTTTCCCTTTCCCTAGTTCCTTCAGGTTCTCCTTGACCTGAGGTCTCCTTGATATCCCATCTGGGCCAGCTCTTCTCTCAATCACTCAATAAAGAATTAATTGATCAGCACCAGTTAGGTGCCAAGTGCTGTTGTAACAAATATCAGTTTTTAAATCCAGAGGAATAAGAAATGTACGGCCGGGCGCGGTGGCTCACCCCTGTAATCCTAACACTTTGGGAGGTTGAGATGGGCGGATCACTTGAGGTCAGGAGTTCAAAACCAGCCTGGCCAACATGGTGAAACCCCGTCTCTACTAAAAATTCAAAAAAAAAATTAGCTGGGCATGGTGGCGTGCACCTGTAATCCCAGCTACTTGGGAGGCTGAGGCAGGAGAATTGCTTGAACCTGGGAGGTGAAGGTTGGCGTGAGCCGAGATCATGCCACTGCACTCCAGCGTGGCAACAGAGCAAGACTCCATCTCAAAGGAAAAAAAAAGAAAGAAATGTAATTTTATTTTTCTAAAACTTAAAACTATTAAATTAACTGAAATTCTATTTTAGTCCTCACTTAGGTTGGTGAGTTTGTAACGACTCATGAGAAAGAAGCTCCTTTCTCAGGCTTATGTGGAAGAAGAGTGGCTGCAAAGCTGAAGAATAGGCCTCCAGTCTTCAAGTTTCCAGGCTCCCAAGATCTGCAAATGTAGAGGCAGTTCTAGAGGAGACTTGGATTTTCAGTCAATGGGCCCTGATGAGACACCAGGCTCCTGGTTGCAGGAGAGTACAGGCCAGCAACAGAGTACTGTATTCTATTCAAATTCTGTCCCTGAATTTGCCTTCTCTTCTCCCTTCCAGAGCTCCTGGTTCAGACACTCCTCACATCATGTCTGTACTATAACAATAGGTTACAATCGCAAACAACTATTTTTGTGATCCCAGAAAAGAGCTCTTTTTCTTCTGGGAAATTCTCCTTCCCCATCTCTGATTATGTGTTTTGAAAGGAAACCGCCATTGCCTCGAGATCTTGTTATCTTGGCCCTGTTGATGGGACCAGAGATGGACACCTGACCCAAACCTGGCCAATGACAGCCATTCCTTGGGATAATTGATCTTGGGACAAAGGGAGTGACTGTCATTTCCTGGCACTAGTGACAGTGTAAGAGCTGAGGCCCAGGACCATGAACAGTCTTGTGTGATGTAACGTAAGTCAGCCTGAGAGATTGAAGCTGACACAGACAGAATCAGAGTCAGTCATGTGATGGAGAAGCCTGGCAGTGCCCCTGAAGCTCAGCAATACCTCTGCCCTTTCCATGGTCAGGTGAGATAATACAGTCCACTTTTTGCCAGTTGAATTGGATTTTTGCTAAAAGGACCCTGTAAATACATCTCCTAATGGGTTTTCCTGCCTCCAGGACTGCCAACCTCCAACCCATCCTCCAGATTGCTTCCAGATGGATCTTTCTATATTGCTGATCCAGGCACACCATTTTTCTGCCCAGAACTCTTCAGGGATTCCCCACCATTGAAGAAAAAGGTCCAAAATTGTTAGCATAGCATTCCTGTAAATTCTGCCTTCTAGATCACTATCTCCAACCTCTCCTCCTGCATTTTCCATTTCTTCAACTCACATGAGGCCACTGCTTTGTGCCAGAACCATGCTGTGTATGTTCACAGCTTTAGCACTTGCTTAGACTTCTCTGTCTTCCTGAAGCCATTTCCCTCTAAACAGACTTCCAGTTGTCCTTCAGGCTTCATCTTGGGTGATGATGATGACTTTCCCAATACTTAAACTAAAATCAGTTCCCTTAGCTTCCATTTTAAAGCATTTTATTTATGCATTCACCACTCAACAAATGTTTGTCAAGCAACTCCTAAGTGCCAGGTACTGTGCCAAGAGCCTGAACCCAAAAGACACTGCTCTTGCTCTCATGGAACTTATATCTAGTGGGAGTAGTGGGGAGGCAAGTAGGTAGTATAGATAGATTAGACAGGGTGATTTCTGTCTAGATGTAGGCACACTCACACACTTCAGTGGTTCAGAGGTGTCTGAATCTGGGGATACCAGGTAGGATAAGGGGCCTACGTTATAGGACTGCTATAGGATTAAATGAGTTTATACATTTAAGGCAATAGAACAATGCCAGGCATGGTGAGTGTGAGTTATTTATAAGCTCAAAGATGTATGAAAAACTCACCAATGGATGAAAGTATAAGCAAAATATGACACATTCACTCAATGGAATATTTTTCAGCCATCAAAAGGAATGAAGTACTGATACATGCTATGGCATGGGTGAACCTTGAAAACATGATGCTAAGTGAAAGAAGCCAGACACAAAAGGTCGCACATTGTATATTTCCATTTATATGAAATATCCAGACTAGATAAATCCATAGAGACAGAATGTAGACTGGTGGTTACCAGGGGCTCAAGGCAGGGGAGGAGGGAGCATGATTGCTTAATGCGTGCAAGGTTTCATTTTGGGGTGATGAAAATGTTTTAGAACTAGATAGAGAATATGATTGTATAACATTGTGAATGCAATGTGGTGGCAGGCACCTGTAGTCCCAGCTACTCGGGAGGCTGAGGCAGGAGAATGGCGTGAATCGGGCAGGCGGAGCTTGCAGTGAGCCGAGATCACACCACTACACTCCAGCCTGGGCGAAAGAGCGAGACTCCATCTAGCGAGACTCCATCTCAAAAAAAAAAAAAAAAAAAAAGAATGGGGTAGAGTTACATAGGGTAATTTAAAAAGACTTCTGAGACATATTGTCATGAGAAAAAAATGAATCATAAAGCAACGTGGTAGTGTGATTCTCTTTATCAATCACAAGATGATATGTATATGTTCATCAGTTTATAAATGTATAAAGAGGGGCTGGAGCTCACCTAACTCTAGAGAGTCGTTACTGCAGGGGAGACACGAGGGCATGAGGAACCTCTTGCTTATTACTTTGTACACTGAAATGGTATTGAAGCCCTTTTGATGAGACTCAACCCAGGAAACACAAATTAAAGACAAAATGAGATATCACTTTATACGCACCAGATTGGCAAAATTGGAAAGAACTGTAAGACCTATTGCTGGTGGGGATGTGGGGAAAGGGTGCTCTCATTCAATACTGGTGGAAACGGAAACAGCTGTGATACATTTTCACCTAGTAATTTCAATCATTTTTAAATAACAGCTCTATTGAGATGTAATTTACGTACCATAAAATTCACCCATTTTAGGCATACACTCCACTGGTTTTTAGTATATTCAGAGTTGGGGAAGCATCACACAATTAATTTTAGAACATTTTCGTTACTCTAAAAGGAATCCTGTTGCACCCGTTAGAAATTGCCCCCCGTTTCTCTGCCCTACCCCGCCCCCTGAAGCCCTAGACAGTCATCAATCTACTTTCTGTCCCTTCGGATTTGCCCGTACTGGACATTTCCTATTAATGGAATCATACAGCATGTGGCCCTTTGTGACTGGCTTATTTTGCTTAACATAATGCTCTCCAGGTCCATTCATGTTGCAGTAATCTCATTCTAAAGAATCCGTCCATTCCATAACAATAAAGGCACCAGTGCCTCTGGACATATGCAGGATGTTTATTGCAGAATCTTCCATAACAGTAAAAGAAAATAAGGGAAAGAAAGAAGAAAAAGAAAGAAAGAAAGAAAGAAAGAAAGAAAGAAAGAAAGAAAGAAAGAAAGAAAGAAAGGAAAGAAGGAAGGAAGGAAGGAAAAAGAAAAGAAAGAGAGAGAAAAAGAGAAAGAGAGAGAAAAAGAAAAAAAGGAAAATGGGAAACGCCATGAATGCCTGCTAATAGGAACACAAGTAAAGAAGAATGCATTGGCATTCTTTTTTGTTTTTTTTTTTTTTTTTTGAGACGGAGTCACACTCTGTCGCCAGGCTGGAGTGCAGTGGCACGATCTCAGCTCATTGCAACCTCCAACTTCCTCGTTCAAGCAATTCTCCTGCCTCAGCCTCCCAAGTAGCTGGGATTATAGGCACGTGCCACCATGCCCAGCTAATTTTTGTATTTTTAGTAGAGATGGGGTTTCACCATGTTGGCCAGGATGGTATCTGTCTCCTGACCTCATGATCTGCCCACCTTGGCCTCCCAAAGTGCTGGGATTACAGGCCTGAGCCACCACGCCTGGCTGGGAATTCTTTAAGCATGAAAAAGCAAGATGCAGAATAATGTGTATAATCTTCTAATTCATTCTTTTTCTTCTTCTAATCCAATTTTTGATAGACGAACTTAGTTTTTAAAAATGCTCCTCTAGGCTGGGTGCCGTGGCTCATGCCTGTAATTCTAACACTTTGGGAGGCCAAGGCAGGTGGATCAGTTAAGGCCAGGAGTTCGAGACAAGCCTGGCCAACATAGTGAAACCCCATCTCTACTAAAAATGCAAAAAAATTAGTTGGCTTGGTGGCACATGCCTGTAATTGTAGCTACTTAGGAAGCTGAGACACAAGAATTGCTTGAACCCAGGAGGTGGAGGTTGCAGTGAGTGCTGATTGCACCACTGCACTTCAGCCTGGGTGATCTAGCAAGATTTTGTCTCAAAAGAAAAAAAAAATGCTCCTCTATATTTAAGCCTTATGCCCAAATATGAAAAGACCTGACCTGGGTTCAAAGATTGCAGAGAGAAACCCTTGAATACTGCTCAGTCCTATCTATAAGCTTGCTTGAGCCTAAAAAGTATGAAAGCAAAGCAGACAAAGGGTATATCTGAGAGAGGGTTGTTCCTCGGGAGTCCCCTTCTCTTCCTCCAGTAGAGGGTCCCAGCCAGGTGAGGTGAGGAGGTTGCCCTGACCAGTGGCTTGGCCTTACGCCATTGTAAGGGCTCACCAGCATCTGGTTATGCCAAACATCAGTCAGTACTTCTGAGGAACTACATACAATTCCATTTATGCATCTGGATAAAATTTTACATATTTTAAGGCATTTATAAAGAAATTAAATGTAAAAATTAAAAAGACAAAGAAAGTATATATGCTACTTGGATAATTTAAAAAGAAACAAAATACAAAATGCCAGCTGCCCAACTGCGAGAAGGACTCAATTCTTTCTCCTCGCTTCCCTATCTTACCCCAAGGATGAGTTTTCTAACAGAAGACTGTGAGCTTATGAGCTGCAGTTTGGCTTCGTGCATTCCCTTAGTGATGCTTCCTTGAGCATATGAGCTGTTTTCTTACAAAATTCTACCATGAATAATTGAAGTTAAGCATTTCCAGTCAAAATAAATCAACACTGAATGGTACCCTTATATTTTCCTATTCTTTACAGCTTTTCTAATCCACCAAAAGTGGTAATTCAAATTAAATGGAATTTCCTTGTCATGTTGCTGAATTTTCCGGGTTCCACTAAATTAATTGCTAGGTTAAAGCAGCAAATGAACTACAAGGAAATGGCAAGTCAGAGGCTTACCCAATGTGAACCTAAAGGGAAATTGTTGGCTCTCATTTTTCTGGGGCTCCAGAACTTCTTAACTGACGCAATTCTTAGTGATGAGATACTTCAGGCTCAAATGAGTGGCTCAAAAACCATTGATGAGTTGATGATGTCATCAAGACCTGGGTCTTTCTAATAACACTGTTCTCTGCCATTCTCATATGTCGGCTTTCTATCCTTAGCCATGTTGCCTCATCGTAGTAGGTTAATTGGTGCTGGCCTTGCAACAGATGTGTCCACCCAGAACCTGTGATTGTGACCTTATTTGGACAAAAGGTTTTTGCACGTATAATTAAGGTAAAGATCTCAAGATGAGATAATCCTGGATAAGAAAAGGGCCCTAAATCCAATGAGAAGTGTCCTGATAAGACAATAAATAGGGCTGGGTGTGGTGGCTCATGCTCATAATCCCAATGCTTTGGGAAGTTGAGGTGGGAGGATCACTTGAGCCCAGAGGTTGGAGAGCAGCCTGGGCAACATAGGGAGATCTCGTCTCTACAAATAAAAGTAAATTAGCCAGTCATGGTGGTGCACATGTGGAGTCCCAGCTACTAGGGAGGCTGAGGTGGACAGATCTGCTTGAGCCTGGGAGGTGGAGGTTGCAGTGAGCCATGATCGCACCACTGCACTCCAGCCTGGGCAACAGAGTGAAACCCTCAAAAAAAAAAAAAAAAAAAAGAAAGAAGAAAGAGAGAAAGAAAGAAAGAGAGAGAGAGAAAGGAAGGAGGGAAGGAAGGAAGGAAGGGGAAAGAGAGAAAGAGAAAGAAAAGAAATGGGGAGGAGAAGCAGATGTGATGACAGAGGCAGAGATTGGAGCGATGTGTTAACACACCAAGGAATGGCAACACCAGAGGCCAGGAAAGGGGCAAGCGAAGGACTCTCCCCCAAAGCCTCTAGGAGGAACCAATCCTGCTGACAACTTGGTTTCAGACTTTTGACCTCCAGAAGAGTGAGAAGTAAATTTCTGGTTGTTTTTTGGTTTGTTTGTTTGTTTGTTTTTTGAGACACAGTCTCACTCTGTTGCCCAGGCTGGAGTGCAGTAGCACGATCTCGGCTCACAGCAACCTCTGCCTCCCGGGTTCAAGCAATTCTCCTACCTCAGCCTCTCGAATAGCTGGGACTACAGGCGTACACCACCATGCCCAGGTAATTTTTGTATTTTTATTAGGGACAGGGTTTCACCATGTTGGCCAGGCAGGTCTCGAACTCCTGACCTCAAGTGATCCACCTGCCTTGGCCTCCCAAAGTGCTGGGATTACAGATGTGAGCCCCCACGCCCGGCCATTTTTTTTTTTTTTTTTGAGACGGAGTCTTGCTTTGTCACCTAGGCTGGAGCGCAGTGGCACGATCTTGGCTCACTACAAGCTCCGCCTCCTGGGTTCACACCATTCTCCTGTCTCAGCCTCCTGAGTAGCTGGGACTACAGGCGCCCGCCACCACACCCGGCTAATTTTTTCTATTTTTGTAGTAGAGACGGGGTTTCACCGTCTTAGCCAGGATGATCTCAATCTCCTGACCTCATGATCTGCCTGCCTTGTCCTCCCAAAGTGCTGGGATTACAGGCATGAGCCATCACGCCTGGCCAAATTTCTGTTTTTCTAAGCCACAAGTTTATGGTAATATTTTACAGCAGTGCTAAAAAACTCATGGTCTAAATATGGCTGTCACACCACAAACATCACATCCTCACACCATTGTATTCAAAGCAGAAAGAAACAGAGTTTGGACAATGAATTTTATTTTTTTATTAGCAGATCTTTACTCTCCTTACTTATTAGCCAGGATATGTGGCCACTTCTGGCTGCAAGGGAATATGGGAAAATTAATATCTGGCACAAAAGAGCAGCAGGAGTTTGAAAATGTGGGGAAACCATGTTAGTTATCAGCAATGGTGACCGTCATTTAACAGGTGGCAACTAGAGATCCTAGTGATACTGTTACGTGCAGGATATCCCCACACCATGCAAGCTGTTGAGGCACACTGGAGATCAACTATGAGTTATCCCTGTAGGCTTCTATCTGGCTGCCCTGTTAACAAAGAACAGGGAAGGAGGGGGCAGGAGGGTTGGCAAGACAGCCAGGCACCTTACAAGGACTGCCACACATGGACGTGACTCACTAGAATTCAGTAGGGAAATGAAGTTGTTCTACGGGACTGTGGCACACAAACTGACTGGGATTGTAACAGGTATTCTTGGCTTTTGTTGGTGTGTGGCCAGGTTCATTCATTCATTTATTCAGTGAACACAATTCAAATGGACTTAATTGGAAAAAGGTTCAATCACTAGTATACATAACCGAAAGTCCAATGGAAGATTTTCTGGAGCTTAGGGGGTCCAGTGCTGTCATCGAGACTTGGTCTCTCTCCATATCTGTCCCCTGGCTCTGCTTTCTGTGTGTTGGTTTCATTCAGTCTCCTCCCACTCAGAGGGAAAATGGCCATCAGACATTCCAGATTCACGTTCCAGTCTCTCAGGTATCCTGGCAAAAGAGCTTCTCTTCACAAGGGTCCAATAAACATCCCTGCACTAAGTCTAACTGGGTCATCTCAGGACAAGTACCCATTCCTGTGCCATCTCTGTGACTTGAGGGTAGATTACACGGTCTGTCAAGGTTTGGATAGAGCAGAGAGGAGGGTGTGTTGGAAGTGGGGACATGGGTTCAGCCACTCAAACCACGTGCACTCAGAGTAAGGAACAAATACCTGCTACACTCGCAATTTGTAAAATGAATGCCATTGTGGACAAGCATGAGATATGCGGGGTCAGTGCAAATTCATCATCACTCTTGGTGGTAGGGAGGACAACTTAGAGTGTAGGAAGGACCTTCTAATAGGGCAGGAGGTTATAGCATCCTCAAGATACACTGTAATAATTGACCCTCAGGAACAGAAAGCTGAGGAAACCACAGTGGGAAATTACATTCAATTAGCATCTGTAACACTTAACAATCTATAAGGCGGCCGGGCGCGGTGGCTCACGCCTGTAATCCCAGCACTTTGGGAGGCCGAGGCGGGTGGATCATGAGGTCAGGAGATCGAGACCATCCTGGCTAACAAGGTGAAACCCCGTCTCTACTAAAAATACAAAAAATTAGGCAGGCGCGGTGGCGGGCGCCTGTAGTCCCAGCTACTTGGGAGGCTGAGGCAGGAGAATGGCGTGAACCTGGGAAGCGGAGCTTGCAGTGAGCCGAGATTGCGCCACTGCAGTCCGCAGTCTGGCCTGGGCGACAGAGCGAGACTCCGTCTCAAAAAAAAAAAAAAAAAATCTATAAGGCATAATATTGGGCATTAATCAGGCTCTCTGGTTTCGTGTTGGATGTGCAACCCAAACATCAGAAGCCATCAAAGTGGCATTTCAATGTTGCTTCTGTCTATTTATCGATTTATTTATTTTGAGACAGAGTCTCACTCTGTCGCCCAGGCTGGAGTGCAGTGGCACAACCTTGGCTCACTGCAACCTCCACCTCCTGGATTCAAGCGATTCTCGTGGCTCAGCCTCCTGAGTAGCTAGGATTATAGGCACGCACCACCACGCCCGGCTAATTTTTTGTACTTTTAGTACAGATGGGTTTTCGCCATGTTGCCCAGGCTGGTCTCAAACTCCTGAGCTCAGGCAATCCACCCACTTCGGCCTCCCAAAATGCTAGGATTACAGGCGTGAGCCACCGTGCCCAGCACCTTTTCTATTTAATTACTATGAATGGTCATACACATTACACAGCTCCTTTGTGAAGAATGGTATGAGTTGTGAGTGTTTGGGAAGATTTTCAAGGCAATGCTTTTGGTTTACACTTCAGTAAGCATATTAGCCTATTGTTAAATACTTATTAACCTTATCAGAAGAAGAGGAAGAAGAAAAAGAAGAGGAAGAAGAACAATACAGTAGAGAGTAGCATGTTACCAAGCAACAGCTTTAATAACACTGTTGGTGGGGGTTTCAGAAAGACAATTGCTGAAATGATTTGATTCCATAAATGGAAATGGTCTTCTCTGTATGGTTTTATATTGTATGAGCATCTCACACCAAGATCCTAAACTATGGCTGTTGTATATCACCAGAGTATGACAAATATCCCTGCACTGTGTTAAACCAGTTCTTGGCACTGGCAAAGAGAGAGCTCTAGTTCACCATCTTAGTCCATTTTGCATTGCTATGAAGGAATACCTGAGACTGGGTAATTTTACAAAGAAAAAAAGGTTGATTTGGCCATGATTCTGCTGACTGGAAGACTGGGCATCTGGTGAAGGCCTCAGGCTTCTTCCACCCAAGGCAGAAGGTGACGGGGAGCTGGCACAGCGGAGCTCACATGGCGAGAGAGGAAGAGGCAGGAGAGAGCAGGGAGGCCAAGCGCGGTGGTTCCCGCTTGTAATTGCAACACTCTGGGAGGCAGAGGTGGGAGGATCACTTGAGGACAGGATTTAGAGACCAGTCCTGGCAAGGTAGCAAGATCCTGTCTCTACAGGAAAAAAAAAAAAAAAAGCAGGTGGGGAGGTGCCAGGCTCCCATTTTAGCAACCAGCTTTCATAGGAATGAACAGAGTGAGAACTCACTCACCCACTCTCCTCCAGGGATAGCATTCATCTATTCATGAGAAATTTGCCCCCATGACCCAAACACCTCCCATTAGGCCCTACCTCCAACATTGGAGATAAAATTTCAACATGAGGTTTGCAGAGACAAACATCCAAAACATAGCTGTGACGAGACTTTGATTCATTCTGAAGTTATTTCCCCAACAAAATTCTATCTTGCCCTTAAAGATGACCCTTCTATAAAGGGTTGAGAAACATGGAGAATTCCAACCTGGTATCCTAGGAATGGCATGGTGGTGGGAGCTGTCTTTTGTCCTTTGGAGGGCAAGGTTCACAACTTCAAGTTCTCTCCTTCTGGCTGCCTCCCCAGACATGCAATTCAATGCTGAGAACACGCTGCTTTTAGTTACTGCTTGCTTGATTGGTGAAAAATCAAGTGTATCTCAGACATACTTTCTGTCTCTAAGATTCTCTGAAATTTAGGGGCATGTAATTTGCCTAGAAATGTTCTAAAGGCTTCCGGATGTCAAAACATGGTAGTTGAGTGGGTGGGGCACCCAGGTGTTTGGAGAGCTGTGATCCTGCAAAGTACTTCCTAATGTTCTGCATTCTGATATGTCATGTATCTGCCTTTCAGTGCACATTGGTTATTTTATTTTTAATTTTTATTTTATTTTTAATTTTGAAATTAAAAATTAAAATGGGATCTATTGCCCAGGCTGGAATGCAGTGGCACGATCTCGGCTCACTACAACCTCCGCCTCCCGGGTTCAAGCAATTCTTTGCCTCAGCCTCCCGAGTAGCTGGGATTACATGTGCCCACCACCACACCTGGCTAATTTTTGTATTTTCAATAGAGACGAAGTTTCACCATGTTGGCCAGGCTGGTCTCTAACTCCTGACCTCAAGTGATCCACCGACCTCGGCCTCCCAAAGTGCTGGGATTACAGGCGTGAGCCACCTTGTCTGGCCCACGTTGGTTATTGAAAAGATATGTAGATCTGGCATGAAAATGTTTTAGAAGGCATCAAGAATCAAAGTTCTGTATAAGTAAATATAGTCTTCTGCTTGGATGTCCATAGTAGTAACAATAATTAACATATTCTGTTCCAGACACCCTGCTGGGCACTTCATATGCAGCATCTCACTTAACCCTCACACTATCTCAATGGGGTAATATTATTCCTGTTTTACAGATATGGGGAATGCAGCTAAAGAGGTCAAATAACTTGCTCAAGTTTACACAGTGACAACACTGGAATTTGAACCCAGCAAGACTGACTTGTCACTGCCATCCAATACTAATCCTCATCAGCATCAGGTTCGCAGGGTTGGAGCCCCTTTCTTGGAAGACCTTCTGTGGTAGGCTCTTCCCTAGTGGCCTCTTTAGGAACAATGCCTCTGACCCCTGGCCACTAGCTGAAGTTCTGGTCCAAAACAGATGAACACCCTCCCAATGATGTCCCAAGCATTGCCACTTCCTGGAAACTCATACTGCCATGTTCCACTCATCTGATTGGATTTCCGTGATGTGGATTCTTGCCTGGACTAGTAATCATACTAAGCTGTAACTACTTACCACTCAGTGTGAAAGCACATGAGGCATATTGCTACTGATCCTTACAAGAGTCTGCATGAAGAGAGTGTATCTCCCATTTTAGAAGTAGCTCAGAGGAGTGCAAATGATGGCCCAAAACCACACGGATAGAGCATAGCAAAGTTAGCATTCAAACTCAGGTCTGCTGACATCACAGCCCATATTCATTTCATTGTTTCTAAGTTTGCTAGTCCCCATGAAACACTCTCAGTTGAACCTCTGACCACTCCCCTTGGGGGCCAGCCTCAACCCCTGGTTAGTGGCCTAACCCTAGTCCCACCCACCACAGCTTCCTCTCCTTCCCCTCCTTCCCTCACCCTAGGCCTGCCAAGTCCACATCCCACCTTGGGATTGAGCTCGTCTGGGGTGTGAGCTTTATTAATCCAAAATGTTCAAAAAACTTTCCATAGACTATGACTCAGAATATGTTTAAGCCATCATCCTCAGCAAACTAACACAGGAACAGAAAACCAAACACCTCATGTTCTCACTCATAAGTGGGAGTTGAACAATGAGAACACATGGACACAGGGAGGGGAACAACATACACCGGGGCCTGTCCGGGGGTGGGGAGTCAAGGGGAGGGAGAGCATTAGGACAAATACCTGAGGCACGTGGGACTTAAAATCTAGATGACGGATTGATAGGTGCAGCAAACCACCATGGCACATGTATACCTTTGTAACAAACCTGCACGTTCTCCACATGTATCCAGGAACTTAAAGTAAAAAAATAAAACACAAAATTCAAGTATTAACTTCTGCTGTCTTTGTCATTTTCCTTTAATAGAGGTACATGGGCAATTTTAGCTCCTTGGTAGGGGGATGCTGAGAACTCTCAGGAGACAACTGTGTTATTCAGGACTCTAGGGTGAAAAGGACAGAGACTCAGCTCAACTAGCGTAAGAGGGAAAAAAGGAGAACCTATTAGCTTACACAGCTCAGAAGTGCAGAGCACAGCTGACTTCAGGCATGACCAGTTCCACAGCAGTGCTGGCTAATAGAAATATAAGGCAAGCCTCATATGTAGTTTGAAATTTTCTGGTAGTCACATTAAGAAAAGTAAAAAGAAATAGGTAAAGTTAATTTTAAAATATATTTTCTTTAATCTAATATATCCACAATATTATCATTTCAGTATGTAACCAATATAAAAATTATTAATGATATATTTTCATTCCTTTTTTTAAAATACTAAGTCTTTGAAACCCTGTGTGTATTATATACTTATGGCACATCTCAATTCAAACTAGGTACATTTCAAATACTCAAAAGCTGCATGAGGCTAGTGGCCACCATATTGGACAGTGCAGACCTAGAGACTGACGATGTCACCAAGCATCTTTCTCCCTCTCTCTCCAGACACTCTCCATTTGAAGCAAAATGGCCACCAGTAGCCCCAGATTAGTGCTTAACCACTTTGGAAATCTAAGTGAAATAATTAAAGGGGGAAAAAACCTCACAGGAACTGTTTTGATTGGCCCAGCCAATTATTTTCCAACAATTAAAGGGGGAAAAAATTAACGGGAACCAATTTTGATTGGTTCACGAGTGCCCATTCCTGAACCAATCACAATGGCCAGGGAAATAAGATACTCTGATTGGCTGGGCTTGGATCTTGCGGCTTGCATTAGCTGATGAAATCTAAACAGAAGTAACTTATGTGATTTCCACAAGTTACTTCTGTAACTTTTGTTACCTGCCTTTTAAGGGCGGCAGCATGCATCTCCAAGCTCTCTCTTCCCCTTCCACAGTGAAACTTGTGTTGATGTGAAGGTGCCACATATTCAGCCTAGATCGCTGAGCCAACTCTTGGAGAACAGGCGCCCTGGAAGGTCGTTTGAAATCACAGTGGACTTTTTGTAAGGGAGAAATAAACTTTTGTTGTATTAAGCTACTAAGATGTTCAGGTTGTTACTGAAGCATAACCTATTCAACCTAATTCAGGGATTCCTGTGATTCTAGGAGTTGCAGAATCCATGATGTGATAGAAGTAAGACCAATCAGAGTATTGCATCCCCTGGCCATAAGTAAATTCCCGTCCGAGGTGGTCATATGCCGTAAATAGGTCTAGTCAGAATTATTCTCAGGACTTTTGTTGAAAATTCTGGGAAACAGGTATTTTATTTTGCTTTGGATGGTGTGTTATTCAAATGAAATACCTGGATTATACACAACAATCTTGTTATCACATGAAAAGTCAGACTGAGGACAAATCCATTACATGGAGAAGGCAGTGCTAACAGTATTGCAGAAACATTGAACTGGAGTCCCAGATCATATCATGTCTGAAGCCTCATCTTCAGGCTTTGGGCTACTTATGTGAGCCTATAAACGCCCTTCATGTTTATACAAATTTGTGTTGGATTTTCTCTTGCCTGTAATCAAAAGCATCCTAACTGATATGAAACTTGATCACAAAGCACCCAGGGAAGAGGAGATTTAGAAACTTTCCAGCTAATGTGCTAAATGTTGACAGACGAGACACTTTTCAGAAGTGACCAGTAAAGACCGGCTGTTTTTACATCTCAAAATAGCCTATAAAAGATTCTTATCATTTCTTCACCTGTTGCTGGATAGGCACAGAGCCCTACGTGTAAGGCTGCTAAGCACAAAATCATAATCTTCCTAGCATTTTTTTTCTGCAAAAGGAGACTTCCTTGTTTCAAAGAGGAGATGGATAGAGTTACTGCTATGGAATCTCCACTGGCTTTAGAAATCCTCATGAGATCCATTCCCCAAACAGCCTCAGCCACACCCTTCTCTCATCTTCCTTTATGTTCCACCTAAAGCAGTGGTGTTTGCTATACACTGTGGTATAAAAAACCCCAACACTTAATGACTTAAAACAGAGGTTGGCAAACCTTTTCTGTAAAGGGCCAGCTAGTAAATATTTTAGGCTCCGTCTGCTGTTGATCATGAAAGCAGCCATAGACAATATGTAAACAAATGAATACAGCTGTGTTCCAGTAAAACTGTATTTACAAAAACAGGCAGTGAGCCAGAATATGCCTGCAGGCAGTATTTGCTGACCATAAGCTTAGCTTAAAACAACATACATTAAAAAAAAAAAAAATCTCTTCCAGTTTCTGTGGGTCAGGAATTTGGGAGTGCCTTGCTGGGTGGTTCTGGCTTGAGATCTCTCATGAATTGCAGTCAGAATTACTGAGAGCTCTCCACGTGATTCTAATATCCATCTGGGCTTAAAAACCCCTCTCTCTTCCGGGTGCGGTGGCTCACGCCTGTAATCCCAGCACTTTGGGAGGCCGAGGCGGGTGGATCACGAGGTCAGGAGATCGAGACCATCCTGGTTAACACGATGAAAACCCGTCTCTACTAAAAAAAATACAAAAAATTAGCCGGGCGTGGTGGCGGGCGCCTGTAGTCCCGGCTACTCGGGAGGCTGAGGCAGGAGAATGGCGTGAACCCGGGAGGCGGAGCTTGCAGTGAGCCGAGATCGTGCGACTGCACTCCAGCCTGGGCGAAAGAGCGAGACTCCGTCTCAAAAAAAAAAAAAAAAAAAAAAAAAAACCACTCTCTTAAAGGCTTTGCTGGATCACGTAGACCTAACAAACCCCCTGACCTGCTAAGGGTGTGCCTCACTGAGTATGTATCATAAAGAACAGAAACAACAGATCCTCACACCCAGGAAGTTAAGAATGTTGCCTTCTGGAGGAAGTGAAATCTTAACCAGCCATTTTATGGCAGGTGTAGCCAAAGAAGAGGGAAAACAACATGCTGTGTCCCCCACAGGAACCTGAACGAGGGTCCCAGGCTAACCATTGTTTAACTCTTGGTCACTCAGCCCATCTCTCCAGCTTACATCAGGGGTAAGCTGCTTCTCACTGTAAAGGTTTTTGTTCCAAGAACTCACTATCTGATAGGTGGATGGCTATTCTTGCAGCACATGGGATCCTGTGATCACTGATATATGCCTTCAGAGAGCAATCCCATGCCTGTCCCGTAGCCTATGGGGTAGCCTACACTCTTCTATGCTTTTCTGGGAAATATAAGAGGGAAAAAGAGCAGTAGGGGTATGTCATCCATGGCAAATCATGGAATTTGACTGTGCTTAAAAAAGGTAAACTCTGTAGGCTGGGCATGGTGGCTCATGCCTGTAATACCAGCACTTCAGGAGGCCGAGATGGGCAGATCACCTGAGGTCAGGAGTTTGAGACCAGCCTGGCCAACATGGTGAAACCCTGTCTCTACTAAAAATACAAAAATTAGCCAGGCGTGGTGGCAGGCGCCTGTAATCCCAGCTACTTGGGAGGCTGAGGACGGAGAATAGCTTGAACCTGGGAGGTGGAGGTTGCAGTGAGCCAAGATTGCGCCACGGCACTCCAGCCTGGGCGACAGAGCAAGACTCCGTTTCAAAAAAAAAAATGTATACTGCCCAGCACAGTATCTGACATAAATGTGATGCTCAACATTCAATAGTTGTGCGTTTCCTTCCCTCGTCTCCTCTCTCCTTTCCTATTTACCTCCCTCTCTCAGTTGCAATCTGCTGTTCTGCATGTACCTATGTGACTTTAAAATTTCTTTTCTTAAGCAGGCGTACACGACCCAACTTTGAACAGCACATGGAAAAGGCTTCAACACAATGTAGTTAATAATGTAACTTTACACCCCCATGTCCTCATCCACGGGACCAGATGGATGGAGAGCCACCGCCTCCTAAGGTTTGGCCTAATGCTTTAAACAGTGAATGTGTTAGCTTAGTACAGTTAAGTGCTGCATGACGATGTCTTGGTCAATGATAGACCATGTGTATGATGGTGGTTCCATAGCATTATCATGGAGTTAAAACATTCCTATCTCCTAGTGTCATCACAGCTGTTGTAATATCACCACAGCAATTACGTGTTTGTTGTGATGCTGGTGTAAATAAACTCACTTCGCTGCCAGTCACATACAAGAATAACATACAATGATGTACGGTACATAATACTTGACAATGATAAAAAATGACTGTGTTACCGGTTTATGTATTTAATATGCTATACTTTTTATCGTTAGAGTGTACTCCTTCTTCTACTCATATATATATTTAAAAGTTGACAGTAAAACAGCTTCAGGCAGGTGCTTCAGGAGGGATTCCAGAAGAAGGCTTTGTTATCAGAGATGATTGTTATCAGAGGAGGAGAAGGCATTGTTATCAGAGGAGATGGCAGCTCCATGCATGTTGTTGCCCATGAAGACCTTCCAGTGGGACAAAATTTGGAGGTGGATGACCATGATATTGATGATCCTGACCCCGTGTAAGCCTAAGCTAATGTGTATATTTGTGTGCTAGTTTTTAACAAAAATTTCCAAAAGTAAAATAAATAAATAAATAAATAGATAAAAGCTTATAGAATAAGGATATAAAGAAATAAAATATTTTTGTACAGTTATCCAATGTGTGTTTTAAACTGTTATTTTTAAAAGAGTCAAAAAATTTTTTTAAATTACAGTTTATAGGCTGGGCATGGTGGCTCATGCTTGTAATCCCAGCACTTGGGGATGCTAAGGTAGGCAGATCACCTGAGGTCAGGAGTTCAAGATCAGCCTGGCTAACATAGTGAAATCGTGTCTCTACTAAAAATACAAAAATTAGCTGGGCGTGGTGGTGTGTACCTGTATCCCAGCTACTTGGGAGGCTGAGGCAGGAGGATCACTTGAACGCGGGAGGTGGAGGTTGCAGTGAGCTGAGAACACACCACAGCACTCCAGCCTGGGCAACAGAGCGAGACTCTGTCTCATAAAAAAATAAATAAATTGTTGCAGCACTATTCACAATAGCAAAGACTTGGAACCAACCCAAATGCCCATCAATGTTAGACTGGATAAATAAAATGTGGCACCTATACACCATGGAATACTATGTAGCCATAAAAAAGGATGAGTTCATGTCCTTTGCAGGGACATGGATGAAGCTGGAAACCATCATTCTCAGCAAACTAACACAGGAACAGAAAACCAAACACTGCATGTTCTCACTCATAAGTGGGAATTGAACAATGAGAACATATGGGCACAGGGAGGGGAACATAACACACTGGGCCTTGTCGGGAGGTGGGGGGGCAAGGGGAGGGATAGCATTAGGAGAACTACCTAATGTAGATGACAGGTTGGTGGGTGCAGCAAACCACCATGGCACACGTATACCTATGTTACAAACCTGCACGTTCCACACATGTATCCCAGAACTTAAAGTATTAAAAAAAAAAATGGCTGGGCACCATGGCTCATGCCTGTAATCCCAGCACTTTGGGAGGCTGAGGCAGGCAGATCACTTGATGTCAGGAGTTCAAGACCAGCCTGCCCAACAGGTGAAACCCCATCTCTACTAAAAGTACAAAAAAATCAACCAGGTATGGTGGCGGGTGCCTGTAATCCCAGCTGCTTGGGAGGCTGAGGCGAGATAATTGCTTGTACCTGGGAGTCGGAGGTTGCATTGAGCCTAGATTGTGCCACTGCACCCCAGCCTGGGCAACAGAGTGGGACTCCATCTCAAAAAAAAAATTACAGTTTATAAAGTAAAAAAGTTATGGTAAGCTATGGTTAATTTTTATTGAAGAAAGAAAAATATTTTTAATATAAATTTAGTCTAGTCTAAGTGTACATGTTTATAAAGTTTGTGGTAGTGTTCAGGAATATCCTAGGCCTTCACATTCACTCACCACTCACTGACTCACACATAGCATCTTCCAGTCCTGCAAGCTCCTTTCAAGGTAAGTGCCCTATACTGGTGTACCATTTTATCTTTTATACTGTATTTTCACTGTATCTTTTCTACATTTAGCTATGTTTAGGTGCACAAATCCTTATCATGGTGTTACAATTGCCCACAGTATTCAGTACAGTCAATATGCTGTAGCTATGGATTTGTAGCCTAGGCACAGTAGGCTGTATCTAGGGTGTAGTAGGCTATACCACCTAGGTTTGTGTAAGTTCATTCTATGATGTTTACCCAGTGACAAAATTACCTAGCGACCCATTTCTCAGAACATATTTCCGTCATTAAGTGACACATTACTGTACAATGTTTCCCAAACAAAAAAATCATGTGGGAAGCTTGTTACATACCTAGATTCCTAGGCCCTACCCCAGGCCTATGGGATCAGACTACGTAGGGGAAGGGCCTGGGCATTAGAGAGAGAGAGAGAGTGTGTGTGTCTTTCTGTCCCAGGCTTCTTTATTTAAGACCAAAGTGATGTGTGATGTGAGGATTAAAATCAAGAGCATCATTGAACATGACCTTCCCACCAACTGGTTTCCCCAAAATCCCTGCCTCAATCCTTCGTGTTCTCAAATCCTTCTTTAGTAAATGAGGAACTTAATCCCAAAAGCCCTGCTACAAACTCCAGGGTTCTCCTTCCCTGGTTTCTCTCCTTTCTTGTCTCCATTCCTGGGAAGGGCAGGACCTCTGTCTGACTACATGGGAGAGCCCAGAGGGAACGGCTTCACCGTCAGGAAAGGGACCAGGGAGTACAGGTAGTGAAGTGAGGGCCCCCATAGCCTGGGATACCAAAATGGGGTTCTGCAGCCAGAGGAACAGACACTGGTCCCCTGAGAAAGGGGGCAACTTCAAAATCTCCTTGCTGTGAACACTCATGGATTGTTTGTCCTTCTGGCTCTGGTTACAGAACCACATTGGTCCACATCTTTCTCAAGCCCAAGCAGCTCGACCATGGGGCTAATCTGAGGCAGTGAGGGTTTCGGGCACTGCAGGAACAAGTTTTCAGGTTGCCTCCCACTCTGTTCTCAATAAGCATTTGCTTTCTATTTTGGTCTGCAGGAGGGTCTCTGTTTTGCACATCTCCTGAAGGTATTCATTGCCAGCTTCTGCCACTCCTGCAGCAGGGCCCACAGCTAACATGTGTTCTTGAAACTGTGCTGCGGAGCCTCAGAGCGGCAGAGGTCATTTGGCTGAACACTTTCCCAAAGAGAACCCCCCGGGGACCTCCAAATGGGTCTGGGAATATTCCAGGGTGATCCTCCTCTGCTTCAGGAGCTTGGCAAATTGCTCGAGGTCTGTCTGCAGAACTTCGATGTCCTGGGGCCCCTCAGGTTTTGCACCAGTTTCTCCTTGTCCAGCTTCACAGCCCCAGTGTGGGCAGTGCTGGGCTCCAGGGAGGGCCCCCGGGAGTTGCTCTCTACCTGGGCTCCTGCCCTGCCCTTGGGCTGAGAGGTCTCCAGGCCACCTCATCCCAACCTGACGTCCACAGCACACCACTCCACTGCAGAACTCCTACAACAGAGGGCACAGGACTTCCTTGTGGCATCTGAGGTTTTTGTTTTGTTTCTGAGACAAGGTCTCCCTCTGTCACCTGGGCTGGAGTGCAGTGTTGCCATCACAGCTCACTGAAGCCTCGACCTCCCGGGCTCAAACCATCCTCCCATCTCAGCCACCCCAGTATCTGGAACTACAGGCATATACCACCATGCTCGGCTAATTTATTTTTATTTTTTTGTAGAGACAGGGTCTCACTGTGTTGCCCAGGCTGGTCTCAGACTCCTGGGCTCAAATGATCCTCCCACCTTGGTCTCCCAAAGTGCTAGGATTACAGGCATGAGCCTCCAAGCCTGGCTGCATCTGAATTTTTAATACCTGTCCTGTGTGACTGCCATGTCTGGGACACTGGCTGGTGTAAAGAGCTTCAGACCAAGAGCTGCCATCCAGAAGCTCCTCACCTTGGTGAGAGCAGTTCCTGCCTCTGGGCCACAGTGGCCACATAAGTAAAATTTTTTTTTCAGTTGGAGTCTTGCTTTGTCACCCAGGCTGAAGTGCAGTGGCATGATCTCTGCTCATGGCAACCTCTGCCTCCCAGGTTCAAGCAATTCTCCTGCCTCAGCCTCCCGAGTAGCTGGGATTACAGGCACCAGCCATCATGCCTAGCTAATTTTTATATTTTTAATAGAAACAGAGTTTCACCATGTTGGCCAGGCTGGTCTTGACCTCCTGGCCTCAAGTGATCTTCCTGCCTTGGCCTCCTAAAATGCTGGGATTACAGGTGTTGTGGCCAGAGGACTGAGAATCTAATAAAATTGTAGCTCTTTCCTTCTCATATTTCCATCTACCCTTCTCCCCCAAACAAAACACACACATTTTGTTCACAATTTCAAGGAGTAACAGACTCCAAAATGTAATCCACACATCTCTAGGGGTTCATAGGTTCCAGGCTGAGACTGCCCCCTCCCCAGAGGTTCTTTATGTGTCTTCTTAGATTGATTGTATTATATTTGATTCCAGCTAAACGGGACCACATATGGCATATTATCTTTGATTAGTAACCATTCGTTTAAAATAATATTGGATGCCTTCCCTAATGGTTATTTCCAATGATTAGAGAAAATCATTAATTTCCACATACTTCATGTTCTAGGAACTGGGAAGACTGGGAATAATGAGGGATGAAGATGAACAAAACTCATCGGCCTGGCTCAGCCAGCTCACAGGGTAGGAGTGTGATACCCAGAAGAAGCTTCTGATGGAGCAAACTGGATCCTAGATTTCTGACACTAAGAATCCCAGGTATTGTGACAGGCAGAGGAGAGTAACAGGAGCATTTACTAGCTTTCTGATCTAGCACAGGGCTCTTCTAAAAATAGCTGGGCCACTGTGGAAGTCAAAGCCACATCAAAACTCTATTAAAGCTCACAAAACTCTCTGGCAGCCAAAGCCCTCCCTGAGAGGTCAGCAAGAAGTCAAGACATGGTGCCTATGTTTCCTTAGAACATTTTCTAGTGAGTGCCCTCCACGCCTACCATGTTGGGTGCAAAAGTTTGGTCTTTCCTGTGACACCGAGGTGGGTGAAAGAGCAGGGGAGGATCTTTCCAGCTCACTGCTCTCTCCGGAAAGAATGGGGTGGGCTGAACAACAAGATGACTGAGGATGGACAGGGCCCTCGGAGTCCAGCAAGGCTACCAGGGCCAGGATGCCCCCGAAGAGAATTGCCACTCTGGTCTTTATGCCAATAGACACCCTGAGTCTTTGATAATGACTGATTTTTCCAGTAGTTAAAGGAAAAAATATATATGTATATACTGGTAGAAATATATATATATCAGGGCTCAGCATGGTGGCTCATGCCTGTAATCCCAACAGTTTAGGAGGCTGAGGTGGGAGGATTGCTTGAGCCCAGGAGTTCAAGACCAGCTTGGGTAAAATGGCAAGATCCTGTCTCAAGCAAAAATAAAAATTAGCTGAGCATGGTAGCTCACGCCTGTGGTTCCAGCTATTTGGGAGTCTGAGGTGGGAGGATCACTGGAGCCCGTGAGGTCAAGGCTGCAGTGAGCCCTGAATGCACCATCATACTCCAGCCTGAGCGACAGAGTGAGACTTTGTCTCAAAAAATAAAATAAAATAATATATATCTATATATGTGTGAGTATATATATATACATCTGCATCAATTTAAGCTCACATCTTTTTCTGTTTCCTGTGAATGGACATTGTAGCCTGTCATCCATGTCTCCAGGAAGTACCTGAAGTGAGTTCTCATTTGTCTTCATTCTCTTCTCCTCCATAATAATCTGTTTCTCCAAGGCCTGGACATTTAAACCTCAAGCATTACTGTGACGAGATGCTGGTTTGGGCTGAACATAGAAAGACACTTTCAAAAATGCCCAAGTTATTTCCTTTTTTGCTTTTCTTTTTTTGGAATAAAATATACATAATTTTCCATGTTAATCATTTTAAGTGTACAATTCAGTGGCATTAAATACATTCGCGTTGTTATGCAACCATAACCACTATCCATTTCCAGATTTTTTTTAGCTTCCAAACTGAAACTCTGTATCTATTAAACAAAAACTTTTCATTCCCCCTCCCCCAGCCCCTGGCAACCACCATTCTACTTTTTGTCTCTATGAATTTGACTATTCTAGTTATGTCATATAAGTGGAATCACAGTATTTGCCCTTTTGTGACTGGTTTATTGCACTTAGCATAATGTTTTCATGGTTCATCCATGTTGTAGCATGTGTCAGAATTTCCTTTTTTGAAGCTAAATAATATTCCACTGTATGAACTATATATAGTAGACATGAAGTCTCACTTTGTTGCTCAGGCTGGTCTTGAACCCCTGAGCTCAAGCCATCCTCCCACCTCAGCCTCCCAAAGTGTTGAGATTATAGGTGTGCGCCACCACACTGGCCTCCACTGTATGCAGAGATGGCATTTTGTTTATCTGTTCATCAGGCATGGTCAGTTGGGTTGCCTCCACCTTTGGCCATTGTAAATAGTGCCGCTATGAACATGGCTTGTACAAATCACAGTTTGAGTCCCTGTTTTCAATTCTTTTGGGTAAATGTCCGGAAGTACATCAGGTTTGCTTTTTCAATTATGTAATGTTACCTCCACAGACAGTCTGCAGTGCATGCTCAGCTTTAGACCTCGCACCTTCTCTCCCAAAGGAGCTATAGCCAGTATATAAACACCAGCTGCACACAGCAAAGTGTGGCATGAGCATCTGAGTGGAATCAAGAAAGTACTGTGAGGATAACCGGGCATGGTGGCACATGTCTGTAGTCCCAGCTACTTGGGAGGCTGAGGCAGGAGAATCCCTTGAAGCCGGGAGGCAGAGGTTGCAGCGAGCCGAGATCGTGCCACTGCACTCCAGCCTGGGAGACAGAGCAAGACTCCATCTCAAAAAAAAAAAAAAAAAGTACTGTGAGGACACAGAGGGCATGCAGATTTCACGGCCAGTCTGTGAGGAGGGAGAGGACAGGGATTGTGCTCATTTACCCTGGGTACCTGGCATCTCGCCTGCACCTGGTGCAATCATCAAATTCATGATCGAATGAGTGAATGAAACATATTGTAGGGGGGATTTAAAAAGATTTTATCAAGGACACAGTATGTAAACAAGACCCTGAAGAATCTGTAGATGTAGGGAGGTTGAAAGGCATAGATGTGGGAGGAAGACATTCTAGGGGAAAGGTATTGCCTAAGCAAAGGTGTGGAGGCAGAAAAACCCAGCGCGTATTCAGCAAAGGAGGGGTCCGGTTCGTTAGAGCTGTGATTTAGACAATCCCTCTGAGGAATGCTTTGAAGGAGAGTAGCTGGAGGCAGGAAACACGGCAGTGGTAGAGACCTCTGGTTGTTCTTCATCATATGCTTTCCTCTTCCTCGATTGCATTGAGAGATGATGAAGACTATGATGATGGTGATGATGATGATGATGATGAAGATTATGATGATTGGGGGCGTTTATTTGATACATCTCTGAGTCAAGCACTGTGCTAAACTCTTTACACAGATTATATCATTTAATCTTCATTAATGAACCTACAAAGTGGTCGTCATATCACCATTTTACAAGTCAGGAGACTGAGTATTCCAGAAATCAGGAAGCTTGCCTGAAACCATGGGTGGCATCGAAGGGAGCCCAGGAAGTCCGATGGCAGAGCCCAGAGTCCAGAGCCCAAGGTATAGAATGACTTTCTCCACCCCCCAGGCCTTTCCAAACCAGTGCAATCAACGCCAGAGCTGTTTTTCCAAGGATACAACAAACCGTTTGAAACTTTCTAGAATTTGGAAAGCTTCACTTTTGTTCTTTTTTTCTTTTTCTTCTTTTCAGAAACTGCCCATTTTTTAAAAAGTATTAGAAAAACTCTTAAAAATAATTGAAACTGAGATCCTTGGAGACCCTTGCCCCAGGTACAGCAAAAATTTTTATCTAAATGTGATCAGCCCTTTGGGAGGCCAAGGTGGGAGGAGCAGCTGAGGTCAGGATTTTGAGACCAGCCTGCCCAACATGGCGAAACCCTGTCTCTACTAGAAATACAAAATCAGCCAGATGTGGTGGTGGGCACCTGTAAACCCAGCTACTCAGGAGCCTGAGGCAGGAGAATTGCTTGAACCGGGGAGGCGGAAGTTGCAATGAGCTGAGATCGCACCACTGCACTCTAGCCTGGGGGACACAGAAAGACTCCATCTCAAAAAAATAAAATAAGTAAAGAAATAAATGTATTTTGGACACAAGACTCCAGAATAAATATATTTTCCTCCAGACTAAAGTTTTTAAAAATCTGATTTTTTTCCTTTAAAATAGCTATTCTAGTTTTAATATGGAATTTAAATACTTGCTGGGAAAAATAGAGTCCTGATTTCACTGTGCCCTTTAGCAGGCTTCCTAATCCGGATTCTGAGTTAAAATTGTTTGGAGAGTAAGTAGGGTTAATTCCAAGAGCTCACTGAGTTTGAAAAGAGATATGAGATTCTGGAATGGTGGGAATTACGAAGTTACTTAGACTCACAGTTTGCCAGAAACCAGATGGAAAAATAAGGTGCAAGACGTCCAGGAAAGATCCCAAAAAGGCACATGCCAGTGCTGGCTGTCGACAATTAGAACATGGGAACTCCAGCTCGAGTGAGCTGTCCCGGCCAGGCAAAACATTTCACCTTGCTGGGTGCTGAAAACCAGCACATCCAGGAAGGCAGCAGGCTGGTGGCAAAACAGCTGTCCTGGAGGAAAGCGGGCAACCCCACCCAGAGAAAGCACTTCTCCCACTCCCAGCAACCCCACTCGTTCACCAGGGGGCACCGTCTCCTCCCTGCTCCAAAGCTGACACCCCAGGTGGTCACCGTGAAGCATGCAGATTCTCAGAGGCTGCATCTCACCAAGTTCTTCCCCGAAGGGTTTGAGGCCAGGGCAGTGTCTCTCCCAGGCTGAGGGGAAGACCTCCCATAACACAGTCATCTGAGATGCTCGTCAATGTGTGGGTTCCTCCTCCTCCTTCCAGACCTGCTGAATCAGAATCTCCACAAGGAGGGCTGAGGAATCAGCCTTTTAAACACGCTCTCCAGGGATTTCCATACAAACACAAGGGCAAGAACCACTAAACTATAAGCAACAGACCTCTTTCCTCTGGAAAGAAGAATGGCGTGCTGTCCCCTGTGGCCCGGGTTCTCTGACTGGTAAGTGGTCGGCAATGGCTGAATGAACAGATTAATGGATACCAGAAGCTACTTTGCCATCGTTTGGGATGGCGGTGGAGGGTTTCATAGAGGAAGGGGCTCCTGGAGGGCTGTGGCCTGCCTGGGTCAGGGCAAGGCCTGTGGGGCTCTTGCTTGGGGCTGGGTATCTGTGTCTGCCCCTTTCACCTCCCTTTGCCCTGCACTGTGGCTCAGCCACATCTGCACAGGCCCAGCTTTGGCCCAAAGCCCAGCAAGGCCACCCCGAAGTCAGACGCTTTTCTCTCCAACAAACTGCCAGACCAACCAAGCTTGGCCCTCAGGATTGGAATTCGCCACATTAGGAACCAGCCTCAGCATCGCAGACACCTCTGCTACCTTTTGCCAGGAGGGTGGTGCTGGGGCCAGCCCCACAACGGGCCATAGGAACTCTTGGCAGTTTCGCCCCAATTAAACCACACAAAGCTGCCATCCAGCCTTTTCAGGAGTAACGTTTGCCCTTCCTGGGCTGGCTGTAGTTTGTCAAAGCAAGGACAGCCTGTGGCTACACCCTCACACCCCCTGGCTTCCAGACTTGTAGGCCTTTCCTACTTCTCCCACAGTTTTACCTGACCCGCCCCCAGAACATTGACTTCAGAGCCTTCCAAGCTGATGAAGTTATCCAATGTGGCCCCGCTGCCTCACATTTGCAGAGATCAGTTTACTTTCAACACGCCTTCATTTCTGTTATCTCTATTATCTCATTTTCTTCTCCCAGCCGCCTTGCAGGAAAGGACAGGGTATTATTACCCCATCTGATGGTACAAAGAAGCAGAGCCAGGGCTCAAGGTCACATGCCTGAGTGGCAGAGCCAAACCCGGGACCAAAGTCTAAGCTGGCACCTTTGCTCAGACCTTGGACAGACCTGGGGGAAGGCAGCAGGCTACATGGCTTTCAAACTTGATTGTGTTTACCACTCACCCAGGAGTGCGTTTTTATAAAGCAGGTCCCCAGACACTCACCAGAGCATTCTGTAGATTTAGTGTGCCTGGGAATCTGCGTTTTAATAGGCACCTCTGATTGAAGTGAAGAGAACATTTTAACTTACTCCTGGAGATCTCACCCCTTTATGTGGTTTGCAAAAATGAGTAATTTTATTGCTGAGAAGTCCTTAGAAAGGAAAATTATACCTGAATCCCTCAGGCCCTAGACCTCAGCTGCACTGCGGCCCCCTTCAGAGTGATTAACCTGCTGAAAGGAAATAAATATGCCCTAAAACCCTAAGCTCACTGCCTGGCAGGTTGGTGATTCTCAACAAGCGTCTTCTGCTGGGCACTGTGGCTCACGCCTGTAATCACAGCACTTTGGGAGGCCGAGGCGGGCGGATCACGAGGTCAGGAGATCGAGACCATCCTGGCTAACACGGTGAAACCCTGTCTCTACTAAAAATACAAAAAATTAGCTGGGTGTGGTGGCAGGTGCCTGTAGTCCCAGCTACTCGGGAGGCTGAGGCAGGAGAATGGCGTGAACCTGGGAGGCAGAGCTTGCAGTGAGCCAAGATCATGCCACTGCACTCTATCTAGCCTGGGTGACAGAGTGAGACTGCATCTCAAAAAAACAAAAAAACAAACAAACAAAACAAGCATCTTCTTCTTTCATCTTTCTCTTCAATGCCAATAACCTTTGGCTGCATATTCTTATCCTAATTTTGAGTTTTGCCCCATTTTTGCTTTAGCTGTTTTTTAAAAACACTTTTAGTTCTCACAATTTTTTTCCCTGTCTTTTAAGCTCCTGGAGGCTTGACCTTTTCTTTCTCACACCAAAGTCTCCCTAGTCGAAAAATATCTTGGACCAATTAGTTTACTTCCACCTGCATTCCACTTGGATGGTGCCACTGTTCCACAGCCAAACCCTGACGCTAAATCCAGCCCTGTTGCCCACCCCACCAAGGTCATGTAGGCTATTTATATTCACTGTGTCCCCTGCCTTCATGCTTCCTGAGGTGGAGAAGGTGCAGAATGGTGCCTCCAAGCCTGTCCTGTCCCTCAGACCTATTCCTATGTAAGATACCCCCCAAGTGAGGTTGACAAGACAATAGTTATGGAAAATGAAGGAAAATCTAAGTTGGCTCTGACCATGTCACCTAAGCTCTCACAGATCTGGAGAGATGTCTGAGGTTTTAATAAAGTCATCTGCTATCAATTTCCTCCTTCAAGTGTAGTTCAGATGCGTTCCCAAAGAGCTTGTTATTAAGGCATTTCACTTAATGTTTCTGTTTTGTTCACTTCTAGTCTCTTAAAAATCTTTGCATACTTGCTTTCTAATTATAAAAATACATGTACATTTAGAAAATCTGGAAATCCTAGAAAAGTATACAATAGAAAACATCACTAATGATCCCTCCACCCAGAGTCCTTCTATTAACATTCTGCCATCTATTATAATTCCATTTTTTATATACACAGAATTTTTAAAGACATCTGGGGCCAGGCTTAGTGGCTCATGCCTGTAATTCCAGCACTTTGGGAGGCCGAGGCAGGTGGATCACCTAAGGTTAGGAGTCCAAGACCAGCCTGGCCAAACTGGTGAAACCCTGTCTCTACTAAAAATACAAAAATTAGCTGGGCATGGTGGCGCACGCCTGTAATCCCAGCTACTCAGGAGGCTGCAGTCCGAGAATTGCTTGAACTCAGGAAGCGGAGGTTGCAGTGAGCCATTGCCCTCCAGCCTGGGTGACACAGCGAGACTCCATCTGAAAATATATGTATCTGGGATCATACTATTTTAGAATTCGATTTTTAAAAATTTAGTATATCATGATTATTTCCTCAGGACATTATGTCTTCTAAAGCATGAATTCTATAGACTCCCATAGTACAGTATCATTTGGATGTGCCATCTGTGTCATACACTTAGTAATCTTCTGAGGGTTAGATACTGTAGTGGATATTTGTCATTCTTATAGGCAACTTTGTACACTTTGTATCTGAACCCTTTTCCTATGTTCGGAGACTCCCTCACCCAATGAAACAGAAATGAAGAAAGATGGCAGTAAGACTTCCTGGCTCCCTTGCAGCTAAAATGTGATCACAAGGCCTAGTATTTACCAATGCGATGACTCTACCCAAATTTGAATGGGAAGATAGTGTGAAGAAGCAAGGTCTAAAGATTTCTAGTCCTGTGAGGATGGGGGAGGGGTGGCTGCTCCATCAGGTTCCAGAACCCACCATTCAGCTGCTGTAATGATGGTGGAATCAGCTGTAGTGTTTGCTGCTGGGGCAGCAGCAGGGGTATATTCATTAGATATGCTGCAGTTTGAACCTGAGTGCTGATTCTGGCCTTCAGGACCAGTTTCCTGGATTTCCTGGAGATTCTGTGAGCTATCTAGTGTCCTGTAAAAAATTCTCCCTTTCTCTTTTTAACTTAAAATACCCAGACTTAGTTTCTGTTGTTTGTAACAATGAAATATGATTGATAAGAAATACTTGGGTTGTCTCAGCATTTGTTATTTTAAATAATACTGTGGCCAAGATCCTGAACATAACTCTTCGCACATATCTATTGTATTTACTTAGTATAAATTCCTAGAAGTAGAATTCCTGAATTGAAATATAAGCATTTTTCAGGCTCTTGATAAACATTGCCAAATTATAGTCCAGAAAATTAGGAGTTTATAGTGTCATATTTTTGCAGGTTTTTGTAGAGGTTATGTGTATAACCTCTACACATAACATCTAGATGTTATATGTATAACCTCTACACATAACGTCTAGATGTTATATGTATAACCTCTACAAATATATATATAATTACATATATAATTACATATATAATTACATATATATAATTACATATATAATTATATATATAATTACATATGTAATTACATATGTAATTATATATATAATTACATATATATAATTACATATGTAATTATATATATAATTACATAAGTAATTATATATATAATTACATAATTTTTTATATGTGTAATTACATATATATAATTACATATATATACAAAATTTTATATATATATAATTTTCCCAGTTTTCATTCATTCATTCAACAAACACAAACACTTACTATGTTTCAGGAACTGTGCAAGGCCCTTAAAAATAAGTATGTATTTAATTAAGTGTAGGAGGAAGTTAGAAGGACTATAGCAGAGGAGTTAGGGACTTTTAACTCTCAACAAATAGCACATCTCTTCTCAGCTAAACTAAATGCGCAATAAGACAAAATAGTACAGCATTTGGGGTCAAAACTATTACCTTTATTACATTGATATTGGAAAATAAATCTGACTTATATTTGCAGGTAAATGAGCTTCCTAATTTTGAACCCCCAAATCAGGCAGGCTTGCCCACCCTGCTAGAGGAGCAGAACATAACTTGCACTCCTTGTTGGAAACTAGAACCTAAGGGAGAGCAAAGAGGAAGAAGTTGTGGTCTGTCTTACAAAATCACCAACCTGGCAGGGTCTCACCCCATTCCAAGGGAGTAAGGTCGCAGGAGAGGTCACCGGGAACTTACAGTCCGTGGAGTTACTGACATCTGGAAGGGAGCATCAGGAATGAGGTATAACAAGTTGGGGAGGGGACTGCCTAGCAGGGGTGAGGAAAGCTTCCCAATTTCACCCAAAGGACAAGTGGTGGAACCGGCTATGTCAGCACACATCAAGCATGCGGAACCGATCTTCAAGTTCTGTATCTCATAGAAAATGTCTGCAGGCAGAGCAGCCAGCGCTTGCCATCAACAAAGGGGAACAGATATCAGATGTTGTCAGTATACATCCAGTTCTGCCTAGGGAAGAATCACTCCTCCCCCTGGAAGCCTGAGCTTCCTGGCTGGGACAAGGACCTCCTCCCCTGTAGCAGAGCCAGGCAGCTCTTCCCCAAATTGGCTTCCTCGTCCTTCTGGGCACAGCTGGGTGACATCTTCCAGTGTCTCCCGGAGTTACGTATGGCCATGTGACTCATTTCTGGCCCATGGAAAGTAGGCACAAGGGCTGTACCATCTCCAGATGTGCCCCATGCAGCAGGTTGAATCGTGTTCCCTCCAAAATTCATGTCCACCAGAGCCTCAGAAAGTGAGCTCACTTGGAATAAGGGCCTTTGCAGGTGTAATTAAGGTAAGGATCTTGAGATGACTTCCTGGATTCGGATGGGCCCTAAAGCCAATGACAGGTGTCCTTAGACAGCAAAGGAGAAGAAGACACAGAGAGACACAGGGGACAGGGCCTCGCTAAGACCAAGGCAGAGGCAAGAGCCAAGGCATGGCAAGGATGGCCAGCAGCCCCCAGGCGTGGAATGGGCTCCTCCTTAGAGCCTCCAGAAGGAATCAGCTTGGACTTCTGGCTTTCAGAACTGTGAGCGAGTACATTTTTTTTTTTTTTTTGAGACGGAGTCTCACTCTGTCACCCAGGCTGGAATGCAGTGGCACGATCTGGGCTCACTGCAAGCTCTGCCTCCTGGGTTCACGCCATTCTCCTGCCTCAGCCTCCCGAGTAGCCTACAGGCGCCTGCCACCACGCCCAGCTAATTTTTTCGTATTTTTAGTAGAGACAGGGTTTCACCATGTTAGCCAGGATGATCTGGATCTCCTGACCTCGTGATCCACCCGCCTCGGCCTCCCAAAGTGCTAGGATTACAGGAGTGAGCCACCGCGCCCGGCTGCGAGTACATTATTGTTATTTTAAGCCACCGAAGTGCTGTAGCGGCAGTTTGGTAAAGCAGCCCTAGCAACTGATAGGGGGCATAAAACTCTCCCTGCCGTCTCTCCTGCTCTTTCCCCTCTGGCCGGCTGGCACGGTAACAGTCTCTGGGGTGATGTTGGAAACCACAGGCAGAGGCTGGGGTTCCAGAGATGGAATGTGCGTGGATTCCCGAGTCACTGCTCGGAGGGAGCAGGAACACCTGCCCACAGGGCAAAAGCAACATTAACTACAGTACACAGGAAAAAAACAGGAAAAAAAAATTTCTGGATCATCTGTTACAGTGGCCAAATACCTTAACTAATATCCCCCATAACTAATATCCAGCAGAAAGTAATAAACTGTCATTCTCTATATCAGCATAGTATGGGGAAAAATTACGAACAAAAAATTAAATAAAAAGATAAGAAATTAAGTTTAAATTAAAAAAAAATTTTTAAATGTCATTCTGGCTTGGACAGCAGTCTTGTGGAATTTGTAATTTTAGTCTGTTGCTGAGAGACGGACCCTCTGTGAATACACGGAAAAAGTCCTCTGGTCAGAACTGGGAAGCTGAGAATAAGAGTCTTCCCCTCCAAAATGTATACAAAACTGGAGGTCAGGGGCCCTGCCGCACTCAGCCTGCATCTTGCGGGTATCCCCATTCATGGGCTGTCTCTCCCACTCCACCTAAATCTGGCCAGTCTGTACCAGCAGAGGCCTGCGGAGGGCAGGAGTGTGTGATAGGTGGGCTCAGGGGACGTGAAGACCTGTGCTAGGTGGAAACACCGTGTGGTGTGTCACTGAGAGACATCTTTGCCTCCAAAAGGAGACCTGTGCATGCTGTGGCGCAGGCTAGGAGGGCAGGGGGGAGGGGCAGGCCCTTTTCCAGAGAGAAAGCAGATGACAACAAGGCCAAGAAGGATGGGCGTCGAGCTAGAGCATCCGACCTGCAAGCAGGGCTGCACTGCCCAGCATTCCTGCCACCTCCACACGTGTCTCTGAGTGTGTAAGTGGCTCTTTTAGGGGAGCCTGCCGTTGTTACTGGATCTGTAAAGGCATTCTGGGACTCTCCACACCAGCTCTGAGCTCCTCGAAGGCAGGAATGTGATACCCCTGGCGTTTGTAGTTCACGGGAGGCAGCGTTGGTGGATGTGCTGGCCTAGGAGGCTATGGTCAGATCATGAAAATCTTCTGAATGCTGTGAGAGGTTTGGACCCCACTCTATGGGTAATGGGGTGGCTCTCAGGAGGAATCTTTAAATTCTGTATTTTACCCCTGAGAGGATATGAATTTATAATACCCCATTGTTCAGCACAAGAAGAGGCACTCAGGCAACTGACATGAGGAAATACTTGCCCTGTAGCAGCTGCTCACACTACGGTGTAGGACAAACCCAAAACTGGGGCAAGACAGCACAGCCAAAGGTGTGCACTTAACCAGGGACTTAATCTAAACACAACCAGCAAAGAAAAACTCAAAGCGATCCATCAGCCAAAACCAGAACACCAAGTGGTGGGGACGAACGGCAGAATTTCTGACCTCTTGGTTCAGCCAGGCCCCAGTAAAAACCAACAAAAGGGACAAATCAGGGGGAAAAAATCTGTATTTTAGACTGCTAATTCTGGAAGCATGGCCTGTACAGAGCAAGACCACCGTAAACATTTGTGTAGCTGAAAGCAAAAGTCAGTATTAATGCTCATCACATAACATGTTTCAGTTTCTATCCCTTAAACACACACACACACACACCACATACCCCAAAAGCATGGATATCCTGTGAATGGCTGGTTTCTCACTGTGAAAGGAAAATAAATCTTGGGGTCACTAAGCTAAAGGGAAAACTCATGCTGGGAACTGCTTAGGACCAACCTGCCTCCCATTCTATTCAAAGTCACCCCTCTCCTCGCTGACATAGATGCATATCTGATTGCATCCTTTGCAAAGGCTAATCAGAAACTCAGAAGAATGCAACCATTTTTCTCTCACCTATCTGTGACTTGGAAGCCCCGCCCCACCCCTTCAAGTCTTCCTGCCTTTGCTTCAAGTTGTCCTGCCCTTGTAGACCGAACCAATGTACTTCTTACATATATTGATTGATGTCTTATGTCTCCCTAAAATGTTTAAAACTAAGCTGTGCCCCGACCACCCTGGGCACATGTCATCAGGAATTTCTGAGGCTGGGTCAGGGACACATCCTCAACCTTGGCAAAATAAACTTCCTAAGTTAACTGAGATCTGTCTCAGATTTTCTGGGTTCACACTGTGGTTTCCCCAGGCTGCAGTCCGAGTGCAGTGCTCTGCTGCCTGAGAGCTGGCCAATGACAGAGGTCCCTGAAGGTGAGGGTTGGAAGTGCCACGTCTGATGTCAGAAAAAAGGCTGCTTCAGCGGGGTGCGGTGGCTCACGCCTGTAATCCTAGCACTTTTGGGAGGCTGAGGTGGGCAGATTGCTTGAGCTCAGGATTTCGAGACCAGCCTGAGCAACATGGCGAAACCCTGTCTCTACTAAAAATGCAAAAACTAGCTGGGCATGGTAGTGCACGCCTATAGTCCCAGCTACTCAGGAGGCTGAGGCAGGAGAATCACTTAAGCCCAGGAGGTGGAGGTTGCGGTGAGCCAAGATCATGCCACTGCACTCCAGCCTGGGTGACAGACTGAGACTCTGTCTCAAAAAAGGAAAAAAAAAAAAAGAAAAAAAGAAAAAAAAGGCTACTTCAGTCCCCCAGTAATGTCCCAGCATCCTCAGTTTCCTCCATGAGCGTAAGCACAGGCCTTTGAGCAGGGATGGCAGCCAGGACTCAGTCAGCAGGCAGCTCTGCCTAGCAGCTGATGTGGAGAAGATTTCAGGCCAGTGAGGTTTCCCTGGAATCCAGTTTTGGTTTTTCTTTCCATCCCTTATTCCCTTCTCTTCCTTCTCTTGTCTGGCCTGAGGAGCCAGTTCGTGGTTCTTTGCTATGGCAGCCCGAGCAAACAGATACAAACTCTTTCCAGGTGGCTCCAGGATGGGCCCTTTCCCTCGCCTGCCCTGCCATGGGCATTAATCATCAACAGGAGTTGTATGTGTACCATGGAGAGGAAGAAGACATTGCTAGACAAGAGAAGTAATAAGAGCAGAAACAGGCATTGACAGGATACTCTTGCAGTGGGGATGGGAGGTGGGAGTTAGGATAACAGTGCTAACTAACATTTATCGAGCACCTTCTATATACAGGCTAATTCCAATGCAGTATGTCTGCTCACCCCTGAAACAATTCTTTGGAGGTGAGTCTCAATATCACGTCCATTCTATCTACACCCGAGAGTAATGGCTTGGGAAAGTTAAACGTTATGTCCAAGACTAGATAAGTGGGGAAGCCCATGGGTTGAACCCAGGATCACAATGGTTTGTTTTCAACTTTCCAAGCACAGGAGAATAGAATTTGTGCTTTAAAGCTCACCCTGATCTTCCCTCGGGGGTTTAGCCTGGGGCTGGGTTGAGCATCCTAGGATCAGCCTGACCTGAAGTTGTTCTTGCCTGTTAACCTCCATCCCAGACATGGCCACTGGGCAGGTCCAGGGCTAAACCAGCCAAACCAGAGCAGAGGAGTCAAGGCCAGGGCCAAGTTCTTGCTCCAGTCCTCTTCTAGAGTGGCTGCTGGCCACTGCAGAGACCACCTAGGGTGCCTGTGCACTGGCCAAGAGATGCAGGGTGGTTTGGGCACAGCCATATTTACTCCCATTAAAAAGGATTTTCTACACAGCTGTTAAAGAAAGCCTGAAAACAGAACCAAACAATCCCCCAAAATGTTCAGATTCCAAAAAAAAGGCTGAAAGCCTCTTCACTCAAGCAACAGCCCAAGGAGAAGGAGCCAGCTTATAGCTCCAGCTTCAGCTCCTACCAACAGTCAGGGACTCAGCTGTCTTGCCTAACTCTGGAATCTTTATTATCAAATAGCACATGTGTCACTCCAAGAACCATGCCTATGAAGTCCTCTATGAGAACTCCCTTTTTTGCCCCTAAAGGGAAAGGTCCCAAATAGGTCAATCTTACACGTAGACAGGATCCTTGTGGCTGTTGAAATACAGGCATCGTCATTCTCGTAAACACTTCGACGTGGCATTCGCTCTGTGCCAGGCATTCCTATGCTTCCTGTGTGCTAGTTAATTCCAACCTTGTACTTCATCCTAACTTGCCCAAAGTCACTTAGCCAGTTGTTGTTGGAATTAGGATTTGAAAGCCAACAGTCCAGAACTTGTGCTTTTAGCCACCACACTATGCTACCTTTCTTAAAATATTTGGGGAAGTAGGGCCAGGCGCGGTGGCTCATGACTGTAATCCCAGCATTTTGGGAGGCGGAAGCAGGCAGATCACCTGAGGTCAAGAGTTCGAGACCAACCTGGCCAACATGGTGAAACCCCATCTCTACTACAAATATAAAAATTAGCCAGGCGTGGTGGTACTCGCCTGTAATCCCAGCTTCTCAGGAGGCTGAGGCAGGAGAATCGCTTGAACCCGGGAGGCGGAGGTTGCAGTGAGCCAAGATTGCACCATTGTACTCCAGCCTGGATGACAAGAGTGAGACTCCGTCTCCAACAAAAAAAAAAAAAAAAAAAAAAACTTAGGGGAAGGAGATTACATTTTACTCCTTGAGCATGTGTAACATCCTCACCATTGAAACTAGGCACCAGGCAGCAATTGCCAGTCGTATGTTCTTTCTTCTCTAGTCTGCAAAGCTGCTAAGGACAAAACTCTGGGGGCTGCTTGCTTCCCTGCTCCCTGCAGCACCTCCCAGAGGGCTTCACCCTCCAGTTGTCCATCCTACACATAAGATGCTTCAGGTGAGAGGAGTAGATTATCACCATGAAATATTTGTGAATCCCAAAGTTAAGGCCTTAATTTCAGAAGGCCTCATGAGTTATCTAGATGGTGTCATTGCAACGACTAAAACAGTGGTTCATAACGTTTACTTTGTCTCCTCCAGCTCAACCATGGCTCTAGTGGCGTGTGAAGGGGGAGGCAGATGTAGCTTGCTCCTGTGTCTGGATAGACCAGGTAGACACTATCAGCCACCATGCATCAGTGCTTCTTTGTTCAAGGTCCAGTGAGCTTGGATTTTGCCCCTCTTAATTATGCAAATATAAGGTACTTATTGTCAGGGAGGAAGAGTTTAGAGGTTTTTTTGTCCTTCAAAGTCACCTCTTTCAATACATTTTGATATGCAGACGTGGCCCTTGGAAAGAGGGAATAAGTTCACTCAGAGGCAGCCTCATGAGACAAAAGGGATTGTATCAGTCAGGATACATTATATAAGATATAAGTCAATGTTATGCTGCAGTAACAAATAATCCCTCCAATCACAATCACAATTAAACCAGCAAGGTTCAATTCTCACCCATGATTCCTTGTCATAGTTGCTCCAGAACTAAGGCTGACTAGCCCCAATATTGCTGGTCACCACAGTAGAGAGAAAGTCACTATTTCCATTCACAGCCCATTGGCTAGACCTCCCAGACACAAGGGGGAAGCGCAATGCTACCATGTGTCTGAAAAGCAGAGTCTCAAATATATCTGAAATATATATATATATATTTGTTTTGTTTGTTTGTTTGAGACAGAGTTTCACTGTCATCGTCCAGGCTGGAATGCAATGGCACAATCTCAGCTCACTGCAGCCTCCACCTCCCAGGTTCAAGCAATTTCCCTGCCTCAGCCTCCCAAGTAGCTGAGATTACAGGCATGCATCACCACGCCTGGCTAAAGAGTCTGAAATATTTGATGAACTCAGCCTTATGACCTCTATAGAGATGGGGACTTAGGCCCCCTTTCTGTTTGAAAATCATTGTTATTAGAACTACACTGGCAAAGAATAGAATGGATGTGATGAATGGAATCAGAAGGCATCTTGGCCAGGCCATAACTCTAACCAGCAAAGCTGACTAAAGCCTTGATTGAATGTTCCTGGTTGAACTAAATTTGGGAAGAAAATATATAATCTCTTAGAAAAATCAAAGTGAACAAATCTAAATATGGATTTTAAAAAAGACCATCATGATTAATGATATTGTTGAGAATAGAGAGAGGATTCTGAATCTGATTTATGTCCATAGGAGGACAAGCTTACTTTGGGGATAATTAGAGAAAAAAATGGATTGTCACAAATAATGCTTGTAAGCATGTAATGAAGGAAAACTTTGTTGAGGATAAAGAATATTCCATGACCAAGAAATACCTCAGTGAATAGCTGAAAAATATGACTTCCTATTGGCTGGGAGTTGCACTTTGCACTTGTGACATGGGCTAAGGGTGTGGGAGCACTCAGCCCTCTAGGAAATTTACCAGACGCTAGAAATAGGAACTTCAGACCAGTTTACAAAATACTGTTCTTGGTGGGCAGCTGTGGTGGTGCATGCTTTTAATCCCAGCACTTTAGGAGGCTGAGGTGGGCAGACTGTTTGAGCTCAGGAGTTCAAGACCAGCCTGGGCAACATGGTGAAAACCCATCTCTACCAAAAATACAAAAATTAGCCTGGCTTGGTGGCGTGCATCTAGGGTCCCAGCTACCCAGAGGTTGAGGTGGGAGGATCACCTGAGCTTGTGGAGGTTGAGGCTGCAATGAGCCCTGATGGCACCACTGCACTCTGGCCTGGGTGATAGATTGAGATCCTGTCTCAAAAAAATTAAAAAAAAAAGGAAAAGGAAGGAAGGAAGGAGAAATGGAGGGAGGGAGGAACGAAGGAAAGAAAGGGAGAAAGGAAAGAGGGAAGGGAGGAAGGAGGGAAGGAGGGAGGAAGGAATGAAGGAAGGAAGGAGGGAGGGACCGAATGAAGGGAGGAAGGAAGGAATGAAGGAAGGAAGGAAGGAGAAGGAAGCAAGGAGGGAAAGGGGGAGGGAAGGAAAGAAGGGAGGGAGGAAGGAAGGGAGGGAGGGAGAGAAGGAAAGAGGAAGGAGAGAAGGGAGGGAGGGAGGAAAGAGGGAAGGGAGGAAGGGAGGGAGGGAGGAAAGAGGGAAGGGAGGAAGGGAGGAAGGGAGGGAGGGAGGAAAGAGGGAAGGGAGGAAGGGAGGAAGGGAAGGAGGGAGGGAGGAAGGAAGGAAGGAAAGGAAGGAAAAAAATACTGCTATTGGTGTATTATGATGGAATAATATAGACTGACATGTTGACCAATGCTATGATCCTTCCCAAAATTCATATGTTAAAGTCCTAACCCCAGTACCTCAGAATGCGACTGTATTTAGAAATAGGATTCAAAAGAGTTAACTAAGGGTAAATGAGTTCACTGGAACAGGCTCTAATTCAATATGACTGGTATTGTTAAAAGAAGAGATCAGGGCACAGACACAGGAGGAAAATCATGTGAAGACACAGGGAGAAGATGGCCACCCACAAGGCAAGGAGAGAGGCCTCAGGAGAAACCAATCCTGCTGACATCTTGATCTCGGCCTTCTAGCCTCTGGAAGTGTGAGGAAATAAATTTCTGTTGTTTAACCTACCCAGTCAGCGGTTCTTTGTTATGGCAGCCCTAGCAAACTAATACAACCAGTATACCAGACACTCTTCTATTTTAAAAAAAGGTAATCAAAGCTTAGAAGTTTCAATACTATTGTCCCAATTCGTAGAAATCTCTGGAATCTATATGTTCATTGTTCCTCTGTCTTGCCACTTCCCAAAATATATTGTCCAATTAAAGAGCTAAAGTCAGCATGGAAACTGGACTAAACTGAACATTGTCTTTATTTCAGGGCTTTGGGGTCTTACTGCCTACTCTGTAGAAATACTTCACTGCTTTTAATATCCATTGCTAAGTCTGTGTTAGCAAATTATCCCAAAATGTAGTGGCTTAAGATAATTATATACATTTGTTATCTATCACAGTTTCTGTAGGTCAAGAATCGGGGATGGCTTAGCTACATTGTTCTGGCTCAGGGTTGTCAGAGGTTACAGTCAAGATATCAGCTAGGGTTGCCGTCATCTGAAGGCTTGATTGAGGCTGGAAGATCTACTTCCAAGTAGCTCTCTCACTTGGTTGGCATCGTGGTGCTAGCTGTTGGCAAAAGGTGTAGTTCTCAGCATGTAGACCTCCGCATAGACCTGCTTGTGCATCCTCACAACATGACAACTGGCTTCCCTCAGAGTGAGTGATCCAAGACGGATCATGCTGGAAACAATAATATCTTTTATGAGGAGTCTTGGAAATTACACACCATCGTTTCTACACCATCCTACTGGTTATATAGATCAACTCTAGTCAAAATGAGCAGACACTACATGAGGACATGAATATCCAAGAGCAAAAATTATTGGGTGCCATCTTGGAAATGAGCTGCTTCATTGCTTCATCCCAATTTTGTGAACATTTGGAATTTGACCTTCCTCCCTAACAGGGACCACAACATGACAATTTCTATACTGATGTCGGATGCTGCCCCACCTATAGGGGCCTTTTCTGTCTTAATAATTGATCTGAGTTGTGACAGTGCAATACCCACCATTGATATTTGGGCAGCCCTCTTAATGTTTGAACCCCCTCCCTCCACTGCCAACACCCCCCCGACACACACACACACAGAGTTTTCAAGCCTAATTCTATCTTGAGAAACAGGTTAGATGAGCGTTATAACCTCATTGTATAGATACTGAAACAAAGCTGTGAAATAGTGAAATTGCTTACTTAGCTTACATTTGTAGCCAGCATAGAAGTGACACCAGCATGATGGCCCCATGACCCCAGGAGAAGCTTCCTTTCACAAGGCCACACTGTTTTACTTTGTCTAGTGGTAATAAACACTCAGTGCTTGTATTTATCTTTTCAATGAGATTGTGCAAACTAAAAGGGTGCCTTTTTGAAACTGATATTCAAGCTTCACACAGCTTAATCAGAGAAATAGGAAACTGCTTCTACCACAGCCTGGGTCATCCTTTCTTCACTTCACGTTATTTCTTAACTTTTCTTCTCAGAATTTTATATAGATTTTTCTAAACCCAGGCTGTGCCTCCAATTTAGAATTAAAATTTAGAATTAAAAATTAAATTCTTCCAAGAAAATGAAAGAAAGATAAGGTGTCATCTTTTTATATTTTGGGGCATTTTCTCCCTTTCAGCATCTTGCTGCCAAGCTGGTCAATCAAGGTCATGCAGGGATTGTTGGCATCCATGGTAGAGAGCCATGAATTTCTAATCTCTGTCAAGATCAGGATGCCAACTGGCAGGGGAAGCTTAAAACAACAGACGGCTCCATTTAGTTTTATCCCTTCCGTTAGAATAAGCCAAAGATGAGAGAGTTATGCTTCCTTGGAATTCTGTGTCTGTCAATTTGAGGCCGCATTATGTGGGCAGACCTGGCACAGGTGTGGCCTGATGATTTCCTTGGGGCAGAGATGTTTTTGTCACTCATGCTGATCTTCATTCCCTTGGGATTTTGAATTCCTAGAGCTCTGGGCATAACTTTATATCATTTTTAGCCCATGCTTGATGGGGCATCTGAGATTGGGCACTTTATCATGAATGAATGAACTAAATTCAGACTTGGAGAATTCCCTCAAGCTGGGATCATTATAAAGAGAACAAAGGGATTTCAGTAAATTGACGAACTCAGTTCATACATTGGAGGCTTCTATGGTAACTCTACCCAAATGTATGCTTTCTAATTAAATGATGAGTACTCATGCTCTAGCTTTCCTCAGCAAATGGCCATGTTTTCATGCTTTGTGCTTTCCTTCCCATTAGATTGGCCTCGCTGCAATGAGATTTACTGTAAATGGGTTACCCAAATAATTACCATACATAGGTAGAAATGTGGGCACTCTGGGTATCAAAATTCTCTAATCATCCAGTTCTAGGTGGCTTCCCTTTTTTAGAATTGGCAGCCACCCTCAGTGGGCATTCTAAAGCATCCACTGCCATGCGTGTGTTCCTGGACACGGGTGCTGCAATGGTGCCAGCAAACATCGAATGCACTATAGTTTCCAGGGGCTTTTGTGTACAAAACCTTATTTGAACTTGTCAGTAGCTTGATAAGCTGAGTAGGGCAGGTGCATTTAGCCTCATTTTTAAAGGTAGACCCAGACCCAGAATGATAAAGCAAGTTTCTTAAGGAATAAACTAGTTATCAGTGTAACCAGGACTAGAATCCAGGTGTGGTGTTTTGTTTGTTTTTGTTTGAGACAGGGTCTCATTCTGTCACCCAGGCTGGAGTGCAATGGTGTGGTCACAGCTCGGCAGCCTCCCAGTCTCAAGTGGTCCTCCCACCTCAGGCTCTTAAGCAGCTAGGACTACAGGTGCGCACCACCATGCCTGGCTAATTTTTTATTTATTATTTTTATGTATGTATTTATTTATTTTTACTTAATCCCCAATGTGATGGTAATGCCTGGCTAATTTTTTCTTTCTTTTTTTTTTTTTTTTTTTTTTTTTTGTCCAGATGGGATGTCCCTATGTTGCCCAGGCTGTTCTCGAGCTCCTTGGGCTCAAGCAATCCTCCTGCCTTGGTCTTCCAAAGCATTAGGATTACAAGTGTGAGCCACCACACCTGGCCCATGGTAGGTAATTTTATGTGACAACTCGATTGGGCCACAGGATGCCCATATATGTGGTCAAACGTTCTGGGTGTGTGTTTGAGGGTGTTTCTGGAGGACATGAACGTGTGGATTGGTAGACTGGGGACAGCAGATTGCCCTCCCCAATGGGGATTGGCCTCATCCAATCAGTTGAAGGCCTGAATGAAGCAAAAGGCTAAGTAAGAGGAACCCTTGATACCTGACTGCCTTCGAGCTGGGACTTTATTTTTTTTCCAGCCTTTGTACTCAGATTGAAACATAGACTCTTCCTGGTTCTTGAACCTGCTGGCATTTGGACTAGAACTACACTTTTGGTTCTTCTGGGTCTCTAGCTGGCTGACTGCTGATCTTGGGACTTGTCAGTCTCCATAATTACATGACCTGATTCCTTTTATTCAGTTTCATATAAGGAATACATATGTATACATGTTCTGTTTGTTCCATTGGTTCTATTTTTCTGGGAGAACCTTAATATACCAGGTCTTTTAATTTGATCATTTTGATCTTTTGATCTTTCCCTGATACTGACACCTCCAGGGCACAGTTACCTGTGTAAAAAATTAGAGGCAGTGCTCTTCGAAAATCAACTTTATCATTTCTCAAGCTCTGCTTAAGTTGGTCAGCAAAATGCCAGGACTGGATTAAGGCATCAGAATAAAATTCCCTTAAGGTGTTGCCCAGAAGATCTCATCTAGTTCCAGGGCTCTGCTGATGTCCAGTGCCCTTGATGGAAGTCTCCATTTCTGTCTCTGCCTTATTCTGAAAGTCTTCTAAAGAGAAAGGGTAGGGTAAGAGCCAAGGCAACACTTTTCAGCCCTTCCAGGCTGAAGCATTAGACTCACACGAAGGGACTTAGTGAGCCTAGTGTATGTGTCTTGATCAGATTTCTTCCCTGCCCCCTTAAAAATGCAATGAAGAGAATTCAAATGCCATGAGACTCTTTAAGAGTCTGGAAGGTGGAATAAATGGTCCTTCCAGCACTAGCAAAGAATAATGGGAACAAGAAAAAGGCAATCTTCAGCTTCTCGTCTCCTTTTTCTATATCCTGCATGTAACAACTTCTTAGTTGTTCTCCCTCCCTAAAATTGCACAGGCCTCTTCACGGCTCAACTTTCAGTTTGGCAAAATTGTTAAGCCTGTGCTACGTGTCAGGGACTGTGCTAGATGCTGGTGATGTAGCAGTGAGCTAGACCCACAGGGTGCTTTTCCTCATGAAGTTTTACAGTCAGGGGAAAAAAGACATGAAGTAAAGGGTAATAATGATTATTATGACAGTGGAAATGTCAAGGTAAAAGGGCAGGGAAGGCCGGGTGCGTGGCTCATGCCTGTAATCCCAACACTTTAGGAGGCCAAGGTGGGTGGATCGCCTAAGGTCAGGAGTTCAAGACCAGCCTGGTCAACATGATGAAACCCCCTCTCTACTAAAAATACAAAAATAAGCCAGGTGTGGTGGTGGGCACCTGTAATCCCAGCTACTCGGGAGGCTGAGGCGGGAGAATCACTTGAACCTGGGAGGCAGAGGTTGCAGTGAGCCGAGATCACACCATTGCACTCCAGGCTGGGCAACAGTGAGACTATGTCTTGGGGGGGAAAAAAAGGGTTGGGGGGCAGGGAAAACATTCCCAGCAGAAGACATAGCACATAGGAAGGCTCAGAGCTTGGACACAATGTAGAGTACAAGATGGAAAGTGGTGTGGTGGGAGGTTGGTAGAAGCCTAAACGTGCACGGTCTTCTAGACCTGCTCGGTCCACTGCAGCAGCCACCTGTGGCTACAGAGCACTTGGAATGAGGCTAGTCCCTACTGAGACTAGACTAGATTTCAAAGATTACCACGAACATTAAATTAAATGTTTTTTAAATACAAATTTTAAATATAAACTTTTTTTTTTACTTTTTTGATGCGGCTACTAGAAAATTTCAAATTACATATGGCTCACATTATATTTCTATTAGACAGTACTGTTCTAGACCATGTTATAAAACCTAGACTTGACTCTGAGAGCATTGGGAGATTTCTGAAGTGTTTTAAACAGAAAAGTGACATTATCAGGTTTGCATTTTCAAAAGACTCTGTTGTGAGGAGACTGGATAGTAAGAAGACAGGACAGAGGCAGGGAGGCCAGTTAGGGGTGGCTGCACTGGCTTGAGTGAGAGATGCTGGATTAGACAGGGTGGCAGCAACGCAGGTAGAAAACACTTTAAAAAAGTAGTTACTAATACCAAACAGCTCTCGTTCCAGTGAGAAATGATAGGTTGAACCATATAAAATTTTCATCTTCATTTATTAAAAGTGGTTGAATACTGAAAGAGCTAACAAGGGCCAAAGGTGGGACAAATGAGTCACAAAATAATTAAGTATAGTGTTACAACTCAAAGAATGAGATAAATATTCAAGTCCATGCTGACATTTAAAAAAACTGAATAAATGGAGAAGAAACAACTCTTACAGAATTCCAACTTAATAAATAATGAGGAAATTAGCATATCACAGTAATAATTGCCCCAGGCAACATTTCCATAAGGACACTAAAATAAATGGGGAAAAGTGTAAGCAGAAACAGGTTATTTGCATAATCTTAAAGTATGTCCCTCTACATATTTAATAATTATAAGTAGAAAAATGGTAAATTTACAGTGGAAAATTCCAACAGATATCACCCTAGCCAAAGTGAGTGAGGTTAGCAGCATCAGGAGTGCATATGGACACCATGTTTTCGTAGGTAAGATGTGCTGAGAAGGGTATTATCACTCTGGGGCATCTTTCCCACATACCCCATAGCCTCAATCTAATCATGAATAAACATCAGACAAACCCACATTAAGGGACATTCTGCAAAATAACTGACAAGTAATGTTCAAATGACAGGACTGAGGAACTACTACAGATTGGAGGAGGCTGCAGAGACATGACAACTAAATGCAATTTGAGATCCTGGATTAGGTCCTGTAATAGGAAAAAGTAGAAAAGCTAGTAAAAAATTAAGCTAGTAAAAAGGTGTTTCTGCTTCAACTTTTCTCCATTTTAGTATCCTTATGAAAACTTAATAGTATTGTACCAAGTTTAACTTATTAATTTTGGGCGCCTGTAATCCCAGCTACTTGGGAAGGCTGAGGCAGGAGAATCACTTGAACCCAGGAGGCAGAGTTTGCAGAGAGCTGAGATCATGCCACTGCACTCCAGCCTGGGCAACAGAGTGAGACTCTGTCTAAAAAAAAAAAAATTAGATCCTGCTTCAACGTTCAACTCAAAAACAGTAACTCTATTTACAAGATTCCTAAGGAAAGATCTCAGATACCAACTAGGACTGCAAAGAATACGGCCAACGGGTGGCATAGTTTCATGGGCCACATCATTACAAGGGACTGAGCATTGGGGGAGGCAGAGAATATTTCAGTCATCTTCCTCCATTCCCACTTCTGGACACCTGCCACCATGAAAAGCTCTAAAGCAAGAGGATGGTCCAGGTGCCCAACACCAAAGCTACACCAGAGGCCAGAATGGCAAAGCCTCTCTCCAGCAGCTATGTCATACTCATGTGGTATTAAGTTTCCAAGAAAAGTAGCAACAGGTGTACAGATGTCCTGAGAAACCTGTCCTACAACTGCTGCCAAGTGAGTACACGGTCCCTTACCATGGTGTTTATTCAACAATGAGGCAGACTCTAGGTCACTGGTTAAGTTGGGCATTGTGGAAGATGTTCTCCTGACCACAAGGGGATTTCAGTGCAAGCTAAAATAGTAATCTACAAAATTATACTCTATACACCAAGTAGCATTTACAGCCCTTAGTTCCTTCCACTGATGAGTGACTAACAAGTGTTTCTCTTCAGAGGTGGATTACTTTTCATGAGGCTTAAGTACCAATATGTTTATTGCATTTAAGGTATCACTTAATTGTCTAACTTCTAGAGGTAAGCAATTTACTCGCTATTTAATAAGTCAGCCTTCTTTTCATTTGCCACGGCAGTTTCATTGCTTGTAATTATTCACTGTGGTGTTCCCTTTAACTTGAATACTACTTAACAAGATTTCGTTAATATCAAAATATTGTTAAATATCAAAATATTCAAGAATGCTTAAAAATTAGCACTTTGGGAGGCCAAGATGGGCGGATCACTTGAGGTCAGGAGTTTGAGACCAGCCTGACCAACACGGCGAAACCCCGTCTCTACTAATATAAAAATTAGCCGGGCATGGTGGTGCACACCTGTAATCCCAGCTACTCTGGAGGCTGAGGTAGGAGAATCACTTGAATCTGGGAGGTGGAGGTTGTAGTGAGCTGAGATCATGCCACTGCACTCCAGCCTGGGTGACAGAGTGAAACTGTGTCTTGAAAAATAAAAAACAATGTTTAAAAATTAAATGTGTTTTCTTAGAACTGGCTGGTTCACATATTACCTCACCAAATAGATATTTGGCCTCACTTTGTATACTCTCTAAATGGATTCATGTTAAAGACATACTCCTACAGTTCTAAATTTGAATGAGACCCTTAGAGAAATTCAGACACTAAGTCCTTGGATAATATAAGTGATCAATGTCAAGGTGAGAGTTGAGAATGGTTTTTAAGAAATGCAATGACCATTCCATATACCAAAGGGAATTCTTTATTGTAAACAAGATATAAAGTACAACAAAAGAAATATTGTGCAAATTGTAAGTCACAAGGATTTTTTTTAATTAAAACTTTTGTTTTCCAAGGGTCCAAGTTTTGATGTCAGAAATCTACACCCAATATACAAAAACAATGTTAAATGGGAAGATATAGTGACATTTTTCACTATATATTTTAAGCAATGTACTTTTGTTTTGCCACTGTGTATATCATCCACTATATAACAGAATAAAAGAGAAATACTGTTAACAAAAGTGAATGTTCTAATAATTTTTCTACCCAACTACCTCCACATCCCCAAAAAACGCCTATAAATTAACAGGACAACATCAACATTTGTCCACCTGTGAATAATGGTCACTAATTTTCTAATTCAATAAAGCACACATTATATCCTCATAACATAAAGGTACTTTACTGATGACATAAGCCATCTTTTTCAAGAAGTTATCTAAGATTCTTAATATCCCTTCTTTACAATATATATTTCATCTTCAGTTTTTTTTCTAAACAAAGTGCAGTGTATCTTAGAGTCTACAGAAAACACATTGGTATACAATTTTCAAATCTACACAAGAAACTGCAGGCAAACTAAAGTTCAAAGCATAATGAAATGCCTAGATACAGTCATTTGTTAAACTTTCAAAACAAAAATGCAAAAACAAATTGTAGCTATGCTTCAAAGCAATTAAATTAAGGAGGATTCCAATTCTTTGGGCCCTCTTAGCAATATACAGTCGTTCAATTCCAAATATTCACAATAGTGTAAAAATGATAGTTCTAGATATATTTAATCACTACATCCACGATGTTGACTGGAAAGACTAGGAATAATAAAGAAGATAACTCTAGAAAAAGATGACAATATTTGTAATAATACAAACTCATTTTACATCTCCATGTCTGTACCGTAATGTTTATTTCCTTCCAGCCTCCATATTCTTGAAACCAGTGCTTTAGAAGAATCACATTGAAAAGTTGGTCTCAAGTATAAACAGCAAAAGTAAAGTAACAAATATGCACACAGATTCAAAATCTGTGCTACCTGTGTTGACCTCATCTGAAACCTTCAAAAAATATTCAAAGGAATAAAAGCTTTCTCATCTCTCTTATGTGATAAGAAATGAAACCTGCCTTTCTGTGACCTGCCTGTGGCCGAAGCCCTTTTAGTCACCTAACCCAGGCGGGGCCTTCGTGCCAGGCTGTGGGGCTTCTGCTTTAAGCCCACGTTGTGGGGCCACAGACTTGCAGTGGAAGCATTTTTACATCACCACTGGCTCCCGCTGAGACCAAAGTTAGTTCTGACTCTTCACTTTCCGGTCTGTCACTGTGTGGGAGCAGGGGTTGGAGGTAGAGCAATGTCATTTAGCTTGCTCACTTCCATCTGCCAGTTTGGTAGCTTCTTGGCTGATAGATGGCGCCGGGCATGCTTGGTCAAATGGTCACTCCTCATGAACCGCCGGTCACACATGGGGCACGCAAATTTCTTCTCACCCGTGTGGGTTCGCCTGTGTCTGGACAGTTCATCAGAACGGGCAAACCTCCTTTCACAACCTTTCCAGCTACAGCTGAAAGGCTTTTCTCCTAAAACAAAGACATACAAATCATTATTATGCATAAGATTGCCGTAAATTATATGTTCAATTCTGTCTAAAAGTATATGAGAAGATACATTTTAAATAATAAAAGCTAATAAATCAAACTGTCAAATGAATATGAGATATGTATTGCTCCAATTTCAACTTGTCACTTGATCACATTTACAAAACTCTTCCCCACATGAAATAAGGCAGCCGGGTGGAGTAGTAGGCACCTGTAGTCCCAACTACTCAGAAGGCTGGGGCAGGAGGATAGCTTGAGCCCAGAAGTTTGAGACCAGTTTGGGCAACAGAGCAGTTTTTTTTCATCCCTTAAAAAAAGCCAAAAATGAAAAGACTTCCTGACTTTAACTATGATTCAAAGGCTTTAAAGATACCTTATTAAAGTAACTACTCAGACATCTACAGAATCATCATTTGAGAGACTGAAACAAAAGCACATCAATAAAGTATTTACATACTTATTTTTAAATTATTTGTAGAGATGAGGTCTCAGTATGTTGCACAGGCTGGTTTTGAACTCCTATGCTCAAACAATCCTCCCACCTTGGTCTCCTAAAGTGCAAGGATTATGGCACTCGTGAGCGGCCTCCAATACAGCCTTTTGGAGGACCTTGCACTGGTAAATACCATCCTCTAAACTAGCTAAAGGCAAGTTATTCCTTATCATCCTGGGTTTAAATGTGTGATCACAGCCAAAATCTCTTCATTTAAACACTAAAGATATAAGAAGTGGCTGGTACCTGTGTGCGTCCTCGTGTGGGCCTTCAGATGGGAACTTTTAAAGTATGTCTTGCCACATCCTGGGTGGCTACAGATGTGACTCCTTATCCTTGATGAATCAATCTGAGGAGTGACTTTTGCTGCTGAAGGGGAAAACCCAGGAGCAGGGGCAATGGGAGAGAGTCTGGTGCCATTCGGGCTCACCACCGGAGGCTTTGAACTCTGCACAACGGGCTGGGGTACCACAAACATGACAGCGCCTTTGGGGACTTGTGTGCCCATGAACACAACAGGGGGGCAAACGGCTGGTGGCTGGCTGGGAGGAGTGCTGGGAACGACTGTTGTCACAACAGGGTTGTTGGCAGGAAGGGGAACCATCTGGCAGATGACCGGCATAGGTGGCACTCCCCCTGCAGATACTGCAGGTGGAGAGACCAACACTGACTTCTGTTGTGGGGACACAGGGGCTGGCTGAGACCTGCAGATGACCGTCTCTGAGGAAGGCACAGAAAAGTCATAAAGTGCAGCACTTGCTTTCTCATCAACATCTGCCACTGTGTTTCTCTCACATTTGGATCTGTTTGGTGACACAGCGGCACATGGTATGTTCTTTCTTGCAGCCTCAACATTTAGGTGGGTTCTTCTTCTAAAAGAATTGTTCTGATAGTTGAGGATGCTGGCTGCTTTCATTGGGCAGGTCTGGTGGTTACATAGCTGGGCATCAGCTGTATGACGAATCACACTTGTTGCCTGAGCTTTGGGGAGTTTGGGGGCAGATACTGGGCTCTTTTCTTCCTCTTTGAAAGGTGCGGCAATGTGAGGTTTGGCAGTATCTGAGAGTGACTTGAAGTGTACAGTAGATGGCGCTGGTGCCATCAGATTTGACACTTGAGAGGGTTCAAAGTCAGAAGGACTGTAAGGTGGAGTCAAACACTAAAGAAAAGGGAAATACATAGCATGAGAAATCTACAGTTTATTATATAAATTTTAAGAAATTATATAATTTACGTCTATCTTAAAAACAATAATACTTACAAATGCTGGGATTGTATGAAAATCAGGTGTTCCCGGAAGCAGATTCTCTTCCTCTGACAAATCAGATACTGGTGTAACAGGTCTGTTTTCAACGTATTTCTTAAAATCAGACTTCCAACTGCAGCTCATTGACATAAGTGCTTCTACAGCTTCAAAATCACTTTTCTCTGCAGTTTTGTTCCAGGAATACATACTCTCTTTTGGCCTTTCAGAAATCATTTCCATTCTTTCCTCCTATAAAAACAAAAGAGGAAAGCTTATAAGCATATTTTTTGTCATCCAAATGACACACAGAAAAATGAGCAAATTTTTTTTTTTTTTTTTTTTACAACTCACACAACTTTCCAAATTAAAATCAGAAATAATTTTCCTCTCACACTTACTATGATACTAAGGAAGTTCAGCTACACTTGTTAGGTAGGTAACCCAAACCTCACAGTAGTGGCAATAAAATCTTCCTCATTTTTTCTGTTAACATTTAGACTTTAACACTGATAAAGCGATATCCGTTCATGGGAGAGAGGCACACCTACTACCATTAAGGGGACTAAGACGAAAATTATCAATGCATTTGTGATCCAAAAGGAGAAGTATTTGGCTAAGAAGAAAAGGAGTATTTTATATAGACTTTCCAGAGTAGCTACCTGCAACTGGAGTCGGGCAAAAAAACTAAGAGTGCGGCAAAAAATTTATCTTCTTAAATATTACAGGTATGGTATGAGGTCTTTTGAGGTACAAATTGCTGATAGAAAAAAAAAATAGCCAAAACCTTCTAATAAAGACAAAATGTAGTAGAGCTCTGGCCTGTTGTTATGGGTCTGACCTTTGGAAAGTCACTTTGCACTTTGGGATAAAAATCAAAAGATAAGGGATCCTCAGGGTATCTTTCAAGTTAAAATTGCATTATTTAAGATCTAAAATTTGATCACTTGATTATGGTAAAGAAAAATCAAGTGATATACATAGAAAAAAATTCTAATGTTTATTTTAATTAACTTTCAACCTCTTCATATTTGTGCTCCCTTTTACTGAATCTATTTGACACAATGGTTTGCCATACATAACTACAACATAGCTAATGCAATATTACTAAAAACTGGATAATCAAAAAATTTAATATTCTACTTGGAATTTGCAAAAACCGACTTTAAAAAGTCAGCATAATCAAAGTAGAATCTATTTTAATTCCTTAAAGAACTGCTTGATGACAAAATAACAGCACAGGTTTTGCACTTATTTGTAGAACTACCTAATGTTTTATAGTAAAGTTCTTTGAACTACGCTAAAAAAAAATGGTACTACTCACCATTTCTCCTATTTTCCATTAAAAGAAAACTGTCCAGACTCGTTTGGTCAAAGTAGAGATTGTGTAAAAATACCAAAAAACATTCTTTACGTTGCAAGGTATTATTCTCAATACTAGTTTTTCAAAAATGCATGATGCCTTCGTGTTGAAATCCTAAGAAAACGAGCCATTGCTCTTGAAATATCGCTAACAATATAATTGCATAATCGCGCCCGCCTTTATGTAAGCTGCAATGGACAGCGCGCGTGTGTGTAACAGCCCCAAGACGCCAATGCAAAAAAAGGAAAAAAGAAAGGCAGGCGGCAGGGAAAGAGAGCGTGAGCTGGGAAGGACAGGAAGGGAAACAGGGAGGGGAGGAAAGGGAGTGGGGCGCGAGGCAGGAAAGGGAAGCGCGGGCGGAGGCGCGGGCGGGGGAGGCAGACGAGGGGCGGGGGCGGACGGCGGGGGAGATCCTAGCTGGCGGAGACCGACGGATGGGGCCGCCCTAACCTCAATGAGGCTCACGGGTGAGTCACTGGGAACATTCCTCGCCGCTCGCACGTCCCCGCGCCCCTGCCCCCGCCATTGGCCGGCCGGCTCGGCGGCCCGAGCCCGGATTGGCTGTGCGGCCCGGGGCGGGGGCGTGGGCGAGGAGGGGGCGAGGCATGTGAACAAAGCGTGATCAGCGGCTGCTCCGGGAGGCGCAGGAAACGTGAACTGGGAATTGCCGCGCCGTCACCTTTCCCCTACTTCCTGAGCTTGCGGGCCCCCGCCCGCGCCCGACCCGGGGGAGGGGCCGCGGGCGCCGCCGCCAACCGCCCGGCCGTGCGCGCCGGGCCCGCGGGGAGGGGCGGGGCTGCGGGCGCCAGGCTCCGGGAGGCGCCCGCCCCTTCCAGCTCCCCGCGAGCCGCCGTTCCCTTAGGAACCGACAGCGGGGCCGGGCCTCGCTCCCGCCCCTGGCGGAGGCCGGGGCTGGGTCACTCGGGGACGAGAAGCTCCCCGGGCGCACCCGCTCCCGGCCCACCCCCGGCCTCCGCCTCAGATGCGGGAGGAGGAGCCAGGTCCCCGCGGAAACCCGGCCGCCGCCCTCCTCCCGCCGGCAGCCCCCGGGAACCCGGCCGAGCCCTCGGCACTTCCCGCCCACGCGGCCCACGGGACCTCAGACCACCCCGTCTCTCCCTGTAGACGCGGCGCCCCCTCCCCGTGGCTTCCGGCAGCTCCAGGCCCCTCCCGCCGCGCGTCTCCACGGGTTCCCAGACGTGCAGCCCCCACAGGCCCCGGCTCCAGACGCGCGGCCCCCGCGTCTCGCGGCCCAGCTCCCCCCGCCCACCTTCCCGCCCCAGCTGCTGGGTCCCGCTTCCCACCCTCCTGCCCCAGAGGCGGCTCCCCGCCTCTTCCAAGGAGTCGTCAGAAGGCGGCCACCTGCCCCTGGGGTAAGAGTCCCCCTCCAGACGTCTGGGGGAGCAACTCGTCCCCCAGGGCTGTCGGCGGGCCCTCGTGTCATCCCCCCGCTCCGACGACAGGCGCCCCTTCCCCCAGCCCCGAGCTATCTGCTGAGCAGCCCCCGTCTTCCAAGCGTGGGTTCAGACCCCCAGGATGGGTAGCCCACTCGCCTCTCCTGTGGACACCCCGCCTCCCGAGTGCTTGCGAGCAGCCCCTTCCTCCCCTGGCTCGCGTTCCTGAGCCAGACCGGGCATCTCTCCTCGGTACCAGGTGAGGGTAGCCCCCTTGTCCCTCCCGCGACTCTCGTTCCACACTGTACCCCAACCTCGCTGCAGGGCAACGGCCCCCTCCCCACTCCTCCCCCGCTCGTCATCCTCCTCCTCACCAGCCCTCTCGGGTCTCCATGCGGAGTTGTCCCTTCCCCTCAGTACATCTAGAGCAAGACCCCTGTCCCTGTCTGAAGATCCCAGCCCCCTGGTTCGACCCCCTCCCGAACACACACGCCCTCACTAATGCCCATAGTCTGCAGGCAGGAAGCCCTTTCCTTCCCCACGACTCCGCTGCAGCCCCAATTCTCAGGCATGGCTGATGTCCGGGGCTCGGGGTTCGCGCCCCCTTTGGCCCCCCAGACAAGACCAGGCGAGGAAGCACAGGGGCATCCCCAAATGACTTACCGCAGTCTGCTGGAGAGAGGCACCGAAGTTGAGCATGGTTGGCTGCTTGGCCGCCGGCGGCAAGCTGACTGGCTGCTAGGCTGCTGGCTGCTTGGCCACAGACGGGCGCACGGAGACACTCGACGCCGCTCCCGCCGCCGCCGCGCTCAGCGCCGTCTGCCCCCTCCCCATTCAGGTAGCCGCTCAGCCTGCCCCGCGCCGCGGGCGGGGGTGGGGGCGGAGCCTGAGGCCGGCCAATCAACGGCAAAGGTGTGTGAGGCGCCGGCCAATGGGCTCGCGGGGCCACGCGTGATCGGCGACTGCCCGGCAGCGTGAAGCTGGTGTCAGTGGAGCGTGTACACAATCCCCGGCAGCGTGTTCCCTCTGCCCTGCCCCGGGGAACTCCAGAGGCCACCTGATTGAGTGACGCCCCCCGCCCCTCGCCCACCCCTCGCCCACTCCTTGCCCCTCGTCCCCCGCCCCTGCCTAGAGAGGCGGTGCCGCGGCCGGGGAGGCGCGGCGACTGCAGCGCGCCCAGGCACTGCGGAGGGCCAGCCCCACGTGGGGGGTGGGGAGGGATGCCCGCTCCGCCCCGTCCCCTCCGCGCCGGGCCTCGTCTCAGCCCGCCACGGAGTGGGCGGGACGCCAGGCAGGCGGGGGACGCGGCGGCTGCCAGCCAAGGGGCCGGAGCCAAGAGATTTGCATTGGAAGCGCCATCCTCTTGCGCGTCTGATGAGGAAGCAGAACCCGGTGACCGACTGAGCTGCATTTCTGAAGCATTTGCTGGGTTTTGCCTCACTAAGCCTCGGGGAGCACTGGGGCGCGGGATGGGGGACCCTGTCACGGAGCCGACACCTGCTCGCGCGCCTCTCCCCCGCTCACGCCGTGCCGCGGGCTCGCCCTCCCCATCTGCAGCGCCCGCAGCGCCTGCCCGCCCCGCCCATCCTTCCTCCTGGGCAACCCAGAGGATGGCGTGAGGACTCCTGGAAGCCCAGAGGACCGGACCAGGGGCGTGGTGGGGAGCCGTAGACCCGAGTTTTTATCCTTCTCTGGCGCCGACACTCGGCTGCGGAATCGAGTTTGAGCTCGGTGTAGCTGAAGTTTAAATTGTAGCTGTTTCAAAGGTAGACCCCACCTCACCCCCACCCCTGGACCAAGACCTCTGGAAGCGTCCTGCCTGGAAGCCGCTTGTGGGGAGGGCTCTCCTAGGGTCTCCAGGCTCCCGCTGGAGCACGCCTGGAGGTGGGTTTGCCGGCCGTTCCCTGAAACTGGCACCACTACCGCCCCACCCACCCACTCCAGCTGGTGGGAGGCAGGCTGGGTTTCTGAAAGGAAGCCGCCCGTGTGCTGCGCCTGGGGGCTGGGGCTAGGCCTTCTGATCAGGAAAGCCCATGGCCCTGCTTTGGCACGGATTTGCCCCCGTTTGGCCGTTTGTGCGTGATCACAGCAGCTGTTGTTGGAGAGGAAGGCAGTGATAACGGGGCTTAAAGCAAATCGGAGATCTTATCCGATTTGGACAGGCTGAATTTAAGGCAAAAATCACTGTCTCTCCTTCGAGCACTCACGTCTCTGTAACTGAATGAAAGGCTGGTAATGCAAATAGCATTTCTATCCCAGTAATCACAGAATGAACACAGGAAGGGAATTAATTCTTTTAGAAACTGCCAATGCTATGCGTATCTTCCGATGGTTTTTTTCTAATGTATCTAAGGCCCAGGCTAGCGAACAACAGCAATAATAATGATAGTAATACTGTTGGCCAGGACCAGAGAGGCCCAGGGCTGCGGGGATGAGGAGGGAATGGCCTCCTGTCACCGCCCCTCCTGAGTCTGCTGGAGAGGCGCCAGCTCAGCAGCCCGGCAGCTCTTCCTGCCTCTCCCCACCCCATGTCCCTGCTTCTGTCTGCGGGGTGTCCCTCCCCACAGGTTTCCTTCCGCCTGGGCTGTCCCATCCTGTTGACCCAGCCTGAGGGCTGGAGCAGTTGGCCCTGGACACTGTGGCGGGAGAGGAAGCTCCTGTATGCCCCTCCGGCAGGCCTACCTTCCTTCCTGTCGGGCCCTCCCCTGGGGTGGCTTCTGCTAGACCCTCCAGGCCAGAACCCTGTCCCTTCCTCAGGAATGTGGGGCCTGCTGGCCTGGCTCCCCAGCGGGCTAAGAAGCAGGGAGCGGTCTTGACTTGTGAGAGTGATTCAAAACAGGAAAGAAAAGAGAAAAGGGGTAGGAGGAACAGTGTGGTGGTGGCACAATTCCTAGAGATTCAGAGAAACATGTTTGCCGGGCTCCTCAGACAACATATCCAAAACTAGAATTGCTGATTCTACTCCTTCCCGGATGCGTGCCTTGTCTCCTTCCAGCCTTCACCTTCTCTCTCAAAGCCCTGGATCTGATTGTTCCCCAGGACCCAGCAGTTTTGCCTCAGAAATGTCTCTGTTCTCACTTTCCATTTCTACCCTCCAAATGTTGCACTAGATCAATCTGTCATCAAGTCTTGCTCTGATTAAACAATCTGCAATCCCCCCACCCAACCTCCACCCACACTCCAGCTTATTTTCCATTGCCCAAGCTCCATACTGTGACTGGAATGGCTTTTTAAAAGTCATGATCCAATCATAACATTCTCTCCTTAAAAATGATCCATGGCTCCTGTTGCCAGGATATGAAAGGCCATTCAGTTCTGAGCTATCCAGTCAGCCTCCAACTATAGGACTCTCCCAACCCTCCCCACCTCGTCTTCCACCCAGACTTACCCTTGCCCACAGCCACAGCAAACCGCTTGCTGTTCCTCAAACATATGGTGCATTTTCATGTCTCCGAGCCACATCCTCATTCAGGAAACACTATGTTGCACATGCCTTTGTTCGTTTATCCACTCCATTCGACAACTATTTGTTGAGCATCTACTATGTGTTCTAGGCACTGTTCCAGGGACAGTAGCAGTGAACAAGACAGGCCAGGGGAGGCAAAGATAAGTACACGTCGAATACACACACACACACACACGCACACACACACAAAAGCACCATTAAGGTAGGTAAGTTCACTTACAGTGCACCAAATTGTAACAGGGTGGTAAGATTGTGACTGGGCAACTGGTTTGGTATGAGATATAGGAGAAGCTTGCTCCAAGGAGATGTTTAAGCTGAAAACCTCATGAGAGGATAGGAGGATCCCGGGCAAGTGCACCTAAGTAGAGGGAGCAGCTAAGGCAGTCTTACAGCAGGAAGGACCTGGCCCCATGGGATGCAATGTGGCTGGAGGTGCAGAGGGTGTCAGGGAGAGTGGGAGGGGATGAGGCTGGAAAGTAAAGCGGGAGGAGCTAGACTACTGAGGAAGTTATAGGTCATGGTTTGAAATGGGGATTTTCTTTTTCTTTTCTTTTCTTTTTTTTTTCTGACGGAGTCTCGCTCTTTCACCAGGCTGGAGTGCAGTGGTGTGATCTTGGCTCACTGAAACCTCCACCTCCCAGGTTCAATCAATTCTCCTGCCTCAGCTTCCTGAGTAGCTGGGACTACAGGCGTGAGCCACCACGCCCAGCTAATTTTTGTATTTTTAGTACAGACGGGGTTACACTATGTTGGCCAGGATGGTTTCAGTCTCTTGACCTTGTGATCTGCCTGCCTCGGCCTCCCAAAGTGATGGGATTACAGGCATGAGCCACCGTGCCCGGCCCGAAATGGGGATTTTTCTTTAAAGTGCTAGGGGACGCCATGTACAAGAAATGTACATTTGCAGCCAGGCGCGGTGGCTCACGCCTGTAATCCCAGCACTTTGGGAGGCCGAGGCGGGTGGATCACGAGGTCAGGAGATTGAGACCACGGTGAAACCCCGTTTCTACTAAAAAATACCAAAAAAATTAGCCGGGCACAGTGGCGGGCACCTGGAGTCCCAGCTACTCGGGAGGCTGAGGCAGGAGAATGGTGTGAACCCGGGAGGCGGAGCTTGCAGTGAGCCGAGATCGTGCGACTGCACTCCAGCCTGGGCAACAGAGCGAGACTCCGTCTCAAAAACAAAAACAAAACAAAAAAATATACATTTGCATCCCTGAAGGCCCCCTTTGCCTTCTTGGCTTTCAAGGGCTTTGTACCACTGTCACTTTGTTGAAGGCTTCCTTCATAACACCGGGATGAATTGATGGTTCTTCTTTGCTCTCAGCGTACATTGTCCACACCTTCATGCTGGGAGTGGATTAGTCATTTTGCAAGGAACATTTTTTACGATACTGAGTCCTGCCCATGCTCCATCCAGATCTGAACTCCTGAGATGGTGATCATGTATAATCATCTATATTTTTGAGCCAAGGTCTTGCACTGTCACCCAGGCTGGAGTGCAGTGGGGTGATCACAGTTCACTGAACCCTTAGCCTCCTCTGCTCAAATGATCCTCCCACCTCAGCCTTCTGAGTAGTTGAGACTACAGGTGTGTGCTGCCACACTTGGCTGATTTTTTTTTTTTTTGAGATGGAGTCTCACTCTGTTGCCCAGGCTGGAGTGCAGTGGCACAATCTCAGCTCACTGCACCCTCCGCCTCCTGGGTTCAAGTGATTCTCCTGCCTCAGCCTCCGAGTAGCTGGGATTACAGGCACCTGCCACCACACCTAGCTAATTTTTGTATTTTTAGTAGAGACAGGGTTTCACATGTTGGTCAGGCTGGTCTTGAACTCCTGACCTCAAGTGATCCACCTGCCTTGGCCTCCCAAAGTGCTGGGATTACAGGCATGAGCCGCTGAACCCAGCCTTGGCTGAATTTTTTTTTTCTTTTTTTTTTTTTTACTATTTGTAGAGCTTAGGTCTCACTATGTTGACCAGGCTGGTCTTGAACTCCCAGGCTCAAGCAATTCTCCTGTCTTGGCCTCCCAAAGTGCTTAGATTACAGGCATGAGTCACCACACCCAGCCTATAATCATCTTTTTGATCTAGTATCTGTTCTATACGAAGCACTCAAGATTTTTTTTTTTTATTGGAGAAAGTAATTGTAGATTGTCTCTGAAGACCCACTGGAGTTACAGACAGGATATGTGCAAACGCCTAGGTGGAAGTGTGGGTCCTTCTATGCCTTTCCCTTAGCTTGTGTCATTGCAGGGTCAGACATGGAAAACTGTCATCTTGGGCGTGTATATGGTTTGGATGTGGCTTGGCTCTGTCCCCACCCAAATCTCACCTTGAATTGTAATCCCCATAATCCCCACTTGTCGAGTTGGGGATCAGGTGGAAGGCGACTGGATCATCGGGGCAGTTTCCCCCATGCTGTTCTCGTGATAGTGAGTAAGTTCTCATGAGATCTGATGGTTTTATAAGGTGGTTTTCCCTGCTCTTGCTTGTGCTCTGTGCCTCTTCCCCTTCCACCATGATTGTAAGTTTCATGAGGCCTCCCCAGCCATGCAGGACTATGAGTCAATTAAACCTCTTTCCTTTACAAATTACCCAGTCTCGGGTAGTTCTTTATATCAGTGTGAGAACAGACTAATGTAGCATGAGTAAAAGAAAGCCCTTGGGCAGTAGTAAGTGGTACCTCAGATAGATGCTGACCCTTCCTGCTGATGGTACTGGTTTCTCCTTAGATCAGAATAATGAAGGAAGTGAGAGGGGAGCTGACTGTAAAGATTTCTCAGGTCAGTTATGAATGTTAGAACACATTGTACCCACGAGACATCTTCTCTTTGCCCCTTGCAGTCAGTGGGTCTCATCACCATTCATCCATTCATTGCCCCACCATATGCCAGGTATTAGCTGAACACTGAGGAAAAACCATAAAAATGACACCGTTCCAGTGTTGAAGGAGCTTCCAGTATAGTGGGAGAAGTAAATAGGAGAGCCAGCCGTCACTATAGAATCTGACAAATGCTAAGATAGGTACCTGCAGGTGCCTAGGGAAGGGTCAGGGAAGCCTTCTCCCATTTGATCTGTAAGCTGAGGAAGTAAAGGGATAGAAGTGGAGACTAGAGAGAGCCTTGGGGATTTAGGATGCTCTGAATTGTCTGGATCACAGATCTGAGAGGCAGGATGAGGAACTTAGGCTATTAAGGAAAGCAGCCCAGAACATGAAGTGCCTTTGTGTGCCGTGCTAAGGAATGTGGAAGTGGAACTTTTATCCTAAGGACAAGGGGGACCTGCTGACAGGTTTTAACAAGGATGATGGTATAGGAAGCTCATTCTGGCCCAGCATGGAGAATGGACCAGAGGAGTGAGGGTCTGTCGCCATTGAGAAGGCTTTTGCAGGCAGCAAAGGTGATGCTGGGCTAAACTAAGAAATGGTGGCAGGTCTGGAGAGGATGGAATAGAGATGCCAAGAGCAAGCAGGATTCGGTAATCGATTGGATGTAGACATGAGGAAGAGGGTAGTATCGAGAACTGCCAGGTTTCTGCCTTGATTCACTGTATGAAATAGAAGAGGGCCACAGAGAGGTAGTGGGCTTTGGAGGAAAGGAAGAAAATGCCATATTTCAAGTCTGGAGCCCAACAGAGAAAGATCTAGGCTGGAGATTAAAATTTTAGCCAGGTGCAATGGCTTATGCCTGTAATCCAAGCACTTTGGGAGGCTGAGGCAGGAGGATTGCTCAAACTCAAAAGTTTGAGACCAGCCTGGGCAACATAGGGAGACCTCTGTCTCTACAAAATATCAGAAAATTAACCAGGTGTGGTGGTGTGTGCCTCTAGTCCCAGTTACTTGGGATGCTGAGGCATTGCTTGAGCCCAGGAGGTCAAGGCTGCAGTGAGCCGAGCACTGCACTCTGAGCACTGTACTCCGAGCACTGTACAACACAGCAACACCCTGTCTCAAAAATAAATCAATAAACAGAAATAAAAAACAAAATATAGGTGTCATCAGAGTCTAGGTGGCAATTGAAGCCAAGGGAGTAGATAAAATCCCGCAGGAAAAGAAAATAACGAGAAAAAAGAAGAGAACTGAGGGTGGGCCTCTGAGGAAGAAGCAGGCTGAAGGGGGCAGGCCCGTGGTGAAATGCTGGCAGAGGGTGTGGCAAGGACTTCTTTCCTGTGTGCGTGCTCAGGATGTCCTGGCCTCATGGGGTGCAGAGTGGGGATGAGAGGCGAACTGGGGCTGATTTAGAAAGTGAAAGTGCCAGATAGAGTAGAAAAAAAAATCTCCTCTGGTGAATATCATTAGTTATTTTCATTACACTAATTACTATGGTTTTAAAGCTCGTTAAAAACATTTTTTTAATCTTAAACTCTATTTATGGGGTAAATTGTTTCTAAAGATGCCCACCACAACCCTTCCTGTCCCATGTAACCTTTTCTGCTGTGACTTTGCCATTTCTGTGTCAAGAGGTAAAGTCTTTTTTCCTACCCCTTGATTCTGGGCCGGCCCTGCCCTGTGACTTGCTTTGACCGGGAGAATGTGGGGCAGTGCTGTGGGACTTCCATGCCTAGATCTTAAGAAGACTTTGAAGTGTCTGTGTTTATCCTCTTGGAAACTAGCCACAAGGCAGAGGAGCCCAGGCTAAACTACTGAATAATGAGAGAACATGTGAAAGGAGAACGGCCACATGGAGAAAACTAAGGCACCCCAACGAACAGCCAGTACCAACACTCCAGCCACGTGACCAGGGCCACCTGGGACCCGCCAGCCCCAGTCACGCAGGCCCAGCTGACACCACATGGAGCAGAGATGAGCCATCCCCACCAAGCCCTGACCCACAGAATCATGAACAATAAATAAAAGAGCAGCCCAGGCATCACTTCCTGCCTCCCCTCCACTCCACGGTCCCGCTTCTGTCCACAGGAGTGTCATTGGGTTTTGGGGTGGTTTGCTATACTGCAAGAGATAACTGAAATAGTCCATGTGTGTTTCTTTCAGTTCTGGAGGGACAGCTACAGTTTTCAAAATACTCATTTTATAAGAGTACTTTTTTTTTCTTTTTTTAAAAAAAAAGAATCTAAAATACCTTGGAGAAAGCCCCAGGAAGGAGAACTAGAAAAACTAGTAAAGTAGAAAAGGAAAAAAAATCAGAGCAAGGAAGAAATACTTTATTTTTACCTTAGAGAAATGGGAAGTGGCTGGGCGTGGTGGCTCATACCTGTAATCCCAGCACTTTGGAAGGCCGAGGCGAGCAGATCACCTGAGGTCAGGAGTTCGAGACCAGCCTGACCAATATGGTGAAACTCCGTCTCTACTAAAAAAATACAAAACTTAGCCAGGCGTGGTGGCGGGCACCTGTAGTCCCAGCTACTCAGGAGGCTGAGACAGGAGAATTGCTTGAACCTGGGAGGCGGAGGCTGCAGTGAGCCGAGATCGTGCCACTGCACTCCAGCCTGGGCAACAGAGCGAGACTCTGTCTCAAAGAAAAAAAAAAAAAAAGAAAAAAGAGAGAAATGGAGATCTGGAAGAAAAATATTCCACACCACCAGCAAGCACTCCCTTGAGTGCTTTGAGATGGAAATAAATGTGTAATAGGAAGAAAGGGAGTTCACCTTGATGGAGCACCTGCTATGCACCGGTTATTACTTGGTGCAGTAAGAATCTGGAGGTCCTAATGTGGCCCACTGTATAAAGTCCATGATATAACACTATAGGGATTTATTTTTGTAAAAAAAAAAAATTAAATTCCTCCACTCTCCATTTGCTCTTTTTATCTCCTCAAGAAGTGAGAAGCCAGTTAAGTGGTTAAGTGGCTCTGCAAGGTTCCAAGTAGCAGTAAAATATAGTTACTTAACATTGTGATTTTTACCAAATGAACACAGCTGCGTTCCCTTATTTTTTTCTTAACAAAGGTAAAACATACTGATCATTAAAAAAATACAAAAAGGAATAAAAAGATGAAAATCCCTTGTAATCCCACTTCCAGAATTAACCTCTACTAACATTTTGATACATATATTTTCAGGCTCTTTACCCTGTCTTCTCACTCCCCTCTGTATATATGTTATAAAACATGCTATCTTGTAACTTGCTTTTTCTTATTTTACTTAACCTATCAGGAACATCTCTTTGCACATCAATAATTGTAAAGGTAGTGTTCTTACAGCTTCTTAAAAGTAGGACCTTTCATTTTCTCTGGATAGACCCAGTGACTTTTACCTGTTCCAGTGTCAGAATTCTGGTAATCTTGCCTGGCATCATGGGTGAGAGGAGGGGTGTTGTTTTTCAAAGGCCAAACATCTTCCAGCTTCTTTGTGGGTTATAATCAAGATTATGATATAAAGCTGTAGAAGGGTAAGCAGTCAGCAAAAGCTATGGCTGATGGTCTCTCTATTTAGCACGTGGCATTTTTTTATTGAAATTTTCTGAATGTTGAGACGATCTTCCAGAAGGAGGGCAAGGGTCATGCATGTTCTTCCTTGGGGTTCTTAGCCCCCACTGCCACCAAGCCTGGCTGTGCAGTGGAGTGCCGTCTTCTCAGGAGAGTCTTCGTTTCACTCCTGAAGACAAGCATATAGGCCCCTTTTGGTTTTAAGTGCTATGTTGCTACTGATAAAAAAAGTAAAATAAATCCGAGCGTGACATGAACCAACCCAAAACAACAATCAAAAACAGACTGGAGGATGTGATGAAGGTTCTAGAATCTGAAATGGTCCTTTTACAGGTTAACGAAACCTATGAACTCCTTCTCAGGATAATGCTTTTGAGCTCATAAAATGAAGTTCATAAGATTACAAATGAAGCCATTATATTGATAACACATTTATCCAAATATAAAAAACATAGGCTGGATGAGGTGGTGCACGTTTGTAATCCCAGCACTTTGGAAGACTGAGGCAGAAGGCTCACTTGAGCCCAGGAGTTTGAGACCAGTCTGGGCAACATAGGAAGACTCCGTCTCTACAAATAATAAAAAAAAATTAGCCAGGCATAGTGGCACATGCCTGTAGTCCCAGCTGCTCAGGAGGCTGAGTTGGGAGGATTGCTTGAGCCCGGAAGGTCAAGGCTGCAGTGAGCCATGATGGTGCCACTACACTCAAGTGTGGGTGACAAGAGAGACTTTGTCTCTAAAAACTAAAAATGATTACATATATATATACACACACACACACACACATATTCACATACATATATAATGGTATTTTGGCATTATAGTGCTGCTTTAACACATTTGTTTATTATTATTATTATTATTATTATTATTTTTGAGACACAGTCTCACTCTGTCACCCAGGCTGGAGTGCCGTGGCGCAATCTTGGCTCACTGCAACCTCTGCCTCCCGTGTTCAAGTGATTCTCCTGCCTCAGCCTCCTGAGTAGCTGGGACTACAGGCGCATGCCACCACGCCTGGCTAATATTCGTATTTTTAGTAGAGACGGGGTTTCACCATGTTGGCCACACGGGTCTCAAACTCCTGACCTCAGGTGATCCGCCACTCTCGGCCTCCCAAAGTGCTGGGATTACAGCCATGAGCCACATTGCACTCCACCTATTAACACATTTAATAACAAGATCTAGTATGGGACTAACAACTGAGGTAATATTGAAGTTATCATGAGCATAAATGAGATTTCAAGGTCTGCATAGTTATGTAATATGGAAATATCTGTGATTTCTCTTAGTGACAAAGTCACAGGTCATAGGTCCTGCTGAGCCTAGTGTGGTTTGTTTCCTGTAGTTACAGTAAAGAAAATGCTAGGTGTGGTAAGAGATTAGTGCAAATAAAAATGTTAAATATTTGTCTCATCCAAGATCACAGACTCCTTGAATTATATCCACAGATGCCTTGGGAGTCTGAGGAACCCCAGATTCAGCACCCCTGCTTAACCTGCTTTTAAGAAGAAAAAAATGGAACTTGATAAACTTCACTCAAAGGAGAGACCCACTAATAACTCCACACACCTCACACCGAGTGAAGGTCTGGCTGTCCCTCTGTCTTCATCTTTTCAGGCTGCTGTAATAAAATGCTATAAGTGGGTGACTTATAAACAACAGAAATTTATTTCTCACAGTTCTGGAGGCTAGAATGTTCAAGATCAAGGTGCCAGCAGATTCACTGTTTTATCAGGGCACTCTTTCTCATAGATGGAGCTTTCTCACTGTGCCCTCAGACAGTAGAAGGGACAAACAGGTTCCCTTGGGCCTATTTCCTAAGGGCACTAATCCCAGAGCCCGCATGACCTAATCACCTCCCAAAAGGCCCCAGGTCCAAGTACCATCATCTTGGGAACTAGGATTTGAATCATAAATTTTGGAGGACACAAACATTCAGACCATAGCGTCCTCTGAACTCCTAACTGAGACTTGCAGTGAAGGTAGAGAAGGATTGAGGCCGAAAAGCAGTGAGCATTTTTGGTCTCAAGCCAAATTTGCCATATTTCAGGTCTGGAGCCCAACAGAGAAAGATCCTGAGGGCTGCAAGACTTGCCGGCCTCACCTCCAGTAGGCAGCTGGAGTGAGGAAAAACGAGGCATGGGGTGAAAGGGATAGAAACAAAGTATGACATTGGGGATTAAAAAATCTGTTTTCATGGGGCTCTTCTGGATATTCTTGGGCCAGTTGTTTTAACCTGCTTAGCTTCAGTTTCCTCAACTGCAACATAAGATTTACATAACTATACCTGAGGAAATCAGGGGTGTTGAGAAGAGTTTAAGTGAGATAATCAATGTGAACATGTTTGGCAAAGACTGAAGTAGTGCTATTCAAATTGTAATGTGCATAGAATCCCTTGGGGATCTTGCTCAAAGCAGGTTCTGATTCAGTGATTCTGGGTTGGGCCCCAACATTCTGCATTTCTACCAAGCAGCATCCCAGGTGATACCTAAGATGCTACTCTGAGGACCGTACTTTGAGTAGCAGGGTCCAAACTACTCTATAAATGTGCCTTATTATTATTGCCCTCTTTTTTTTTTTTTTTTTTTTAGATGAATTTCACTCTGTTGCCCAGGCTGGAGTGCAGTGGCACGGTCTCGGCTCAGGGCAACCTCCACCTCCCAGGTTCAAGTGATTCTCCTGCTTCAGCCTCCCGAGTAGCTGGGATTACAGGCATGTGTCACACCCAGGTAATTTTTGTATTTTTAGTAGAGACAGGGTTTTGCCACATTGGCCAGGCTGGTCTCAAACTCCCGAGCTCAGGTGATCCGCCTGCCTCGGCCTCCCAAAGTGCTGGGATTACAGGCTTGAGCCACCGCGCATGGGCCTATTATTGTCATTTTAATATTCTACCCTCTGACCCAAGGAGAATGACAGCTGAAGATAGGGAGGAAGGCCCAGCTCATCTCATGAGGCCAGTCTTCTGCTCAGCAGGACACTCTGGTCTTGCAACTCCACCTCCCCTTTGCTGCCTACCACCACCAGGTCATGATGAAGACTGGCCACAGCCAACTCAAAGAATGCTTCAAACCAAGTCAGTAGAAACTAGCCAAACATGGGGGGTGGAGGCAAAGACTGAATGAGATATTTGTGCAAAAAAATAAATATATGCAGAAAATATTTTGCATTTGTAATGCCGAATATCTCACAAAATTCCCAGAGAATACAACATATGTTTCATCTTCTGGTTTTTCAAGTAAGATCAATCATTCCTGCACAATTCTTCAAAAGCCCCTTTTCTCATGGTTCTCATGAGGTGAAGAGCCTTTGATAGCTCCTGTTGGTTACATTTACTCTAAGCTTCTGTCTAAGAATGACCAGGAGCAGAAAGGTCAGTGCAGCTGAGAATGTGGAAGATATTATAGAACTCTTGGGCACTGTTGGAGGGAGTGTCAACTAGAACCAGTACCACCACTTAGGAAAGCAATCTGGCTTTGTTGAGATGAAGCATGCACATATCCTATGACCTGTGAATAACTCTGGAATATATATTTTTTCCGAGGAAGTTCTCCCACAAGTTCATAAGGATGCTCATCATGAAATTGATTGGCGTAGCTGGATGTTGAAGGCAGCTTAGGTGCTTATCACTAGAGAAAGGGATTAATAAAATATGGCAGATGTAGACTGTTGAATACTAAGTAACAGTAAGAAATAACCAACTGGAAGTATACTGCAGCACTATAGATCTTTAAAATCCAGGGGTAGCTGGGAACAGTGGCCCATGCCTGCAATTCCAGCACCTTGAGAGGCTTGGATGGGAGGATTGCATGAGCCCAGGAGTTTTGAGACCAGCCTAGGCAACACAGTGAGACCCTGTCTCTACAAAAACTAAAAAACAAAAAAAATAGCTGGGTGTGGTTGCCGATGCCTGTAGTCCCATATACATGGGAGGCTGAGGTGGGAGGATCACTTGAGCCTGGAGACTGAGGCTGTAGTGAGCCAAGATCATATCACTGCACTCCAACCTGGGTGACAGAGTGAGACCCTGTCTCAAAAAACAAAAAAACACTGAGGGGTAAGGGAAAAACATAGGAAATAGGAAAGGATATATAGTACATTATCATTTTTGTAAAGACATCTCACCTAAAATAATATAACTTTTGTAAGACAGCATCCATGCATATATAAAGATATATTAAAGTAGGTGCTGTGGGGTGAAGGGAATATAATTAGGGTTTAGGGGTATAAAGGAAAAATAAAAAGTAAAATAAGGGAAGAACTTTGTTTGGATTAATGATGAAGTACTTAAAAACTGAGCTTTTAATTCAGATTTCTTCACCTGCAGTAGAAGAACCTTAGAGCAAAATCACCCCTCACCCCACAACCCTCTTCTACCACAATGTGTAAGGGTCTTCACAGTCCAGCCCTGCATGACCTAAAACAAAGCTAGTTCTCCATCTCGGGTGCCATCTTCCTCACCATTACCTCACAACAGGTCTTGAACTCTTCCTCTTTGACATTTTTTGGCTAGAGTCAACTTCTTTTCATCTTAGCTTCTTGCTACATCCACCTACAATATGTCCCTAGCAGACAGGGCTGAGTCCCAGTGTGATGTGGACAACTTCACACAAAGATGTGTTAGGGCCAGGTGCGATGGCTCATGCCTGTGATCCCAGCACATTGGGAGGCCAAGGCAGGGGCATTGCTTCAGTCCAGGAGTTCAAGACCAGCCTGGGAAACATGGTGAAACTCCATCTCTACAAAAACCACAAAAATTATCCAGGTGTGGTGGCATGCGCCTGTAGTCCCAGAAGGCTGAAGTGGGAGGATTACTTGAGCCCGGGAGGCAGAAGTTGTAGTGAGCCAAGGTCATCTCACTGCATTCCAGTCTGGGTGACACAGCGAGACCCTGTCTGGAAAAAAAAAAAAAAAAGGATGTGTTAGATCAGGGATTTGTCTTCCCTGGGTTTGGTGACACCATTGATTTGACATAGAACCTTAGGAAGTCCCTTCATTGTGCTTGTCTCCCCTGTAGCACATTCCACACAGCATGGTCATCTATAATACAGGTATCTCTGTTCTCCATTAGACTGTAAGTTCACGGAGGTTCAGAACCTTAGTTACCGATGTCCACTGCCCAGAACTAATCACATAAGAAGCCTGTCTCTAATAATGTTTGAGAAATGAATGGATTCCTCAGTCCCCTAAACCAGATGGTGGAACAATTTGGCCTCTAACTAACTTACACATCTAATTCAAAGCTTTAATTGGTTGTAGTTTCAAAGTGCTTGTGTAATGGTCCTAGAATATGCCACAAAATAAATATGCAATAACAAGGAGAGTGTTGCCCTAGTTCTGATGTCCTGATGCATAAAGTACCGTGTCCATATCTCCCTTTCCTTCAAGACGCTGAGACAATGTATGTGTGCTCCAGGAATGACTGGATGAAACAAAAAGAGAGTCTGGATGCCATTAAAATGTTTGACTATTGGATTCCCACGGTTTGGGATGGGAAGCAGAACTCGGTGAAACTGTAGGTAAGTGCCTGTGCAGGAAAGCAGCGGGTATACCTCACTGGCACCTTGCCTCTTTCAGAAAAATCAAACCTGCCTTCTGTGCAGTCAGATCTGGTGTGCCCATTACCAGCAGGGTTGGATATGTGCCTGGTTGGCTGGTTTTGGGAAAATCTACATTTTTTCCACCATTGGAGTAATAGATACACTCAGCAGCGGCCACATCCACCTCCAGCCAAACTGTACAGCACGTGACTCAGCATCCTGGGAATCTCCGGCCTAGCTCGGACTACAGGTGCGCCCATCCTGATTGGCACATTATCCAGGAGGTGGTCAGACCCCCTTGAAATCTGGAGGGAGTATGGCCTGGGAGTGGTGAGGAGCAGGCTGTCATGCCTGTGGGTAGAGGTCGCAGGTTGTCATAACCAATGTGGATGCAGTGCTCAGTACAAGGCCTTGGGTCTCTGGAACTGGCTTTTCTTGTACTGATCACTTTCTCAAAAGGAAATGTTAATTTTAAAATGTGCTTTTTCATGACTGCCTTTCTTGGACAAGGTGAAAGGCAGTGGTGAAAAAGCACATTTTAAAGGACAGGACATTGTTTCACACCCAACTAAGTGGAATGAAAAGACCCTCACAGCCCAGGGGAGAGCAAGTAGGTGGTGAAACGGGTTCATCTAGGGCCTGGCTCTAAGGTCCCATCAGCACAGCAGCAGTGGTGTTCAGTTCCAAAAGTCATTTGTGGTCTGCTGGGACTCCGGGTGGCTGGCTTCTGCTGCCTGCTGCTCCAGGATAGAATCCAAACTCCAAGCATAATGCAGAACATTTCAACTTAAATTTGGGTTATACGGCTGCTGCGGGAACAGTGTTTGTTCCCTGGTGCATTCAGCTTTGAAGGCTGCCGTCTGTCCAGCTGTAAGCAGGCTGGAAGGACTAGGAACGTGCTGCTTGGAGGTTGTCTACCTCCCCTGTTCCCCACTCCTGGGTCCCCAACCCTCCCTCTCCTCCCTTCCTCCATCAATCCCTGGTCCCCAGCCCACTTCTCCTCTCCCACTCCTGGGTCCCCAGTCCCTCCACCCTCCTCCACTCCCTTCTCTGTCCCTGGCCTTCCCTCCCCTCTGATCCTCCTCCTGCTTTCCTGGGTCTCCAGGTTCCCTCCCACCCCACCCCAACCCCGTCCCCACCCAGTCCCCAGCCCTCCCACCTTCCTCCGCCCATTGCCTGTGGCCTGAGTTCACAAGACTCCCTTCACCTTTTGGGGCAGTGGGCTTTAACAATTCTTGAGATATAGCAACACTAGAAAAGGAATAGGATTAACTGGGAGGAAAAAGTGGAAGGATGAGGAAAAGGGCTGTAGTGGAATGTGATATAGGTCCTTTTGCAAGAGCAAAAATTAGGAAAGATTAGTGTATCTCAACCTTGGCTGCGTGTTAGAATCACTTGAGGTCTTAAAAATCACCACTTCAGGCCAGGCGCAGTGGCTCACGCCCATAATCCTAGCACTTTGGGAGGCTGAAGCAGGTGGATCACTTGAGGTCAGGAGTTCGAGGCTAGCCTGGCCAACATGGCCAAACCTTGTCTCTACTAAAAATACAAAAATTAGCTGGGGGTGATGGCACACACCTGCAATCCTAGCTACTCGGGAGGACGAGGCAGGAGAACCCCTTGAACCTGGAAGGTGGAGGTTGCAGTGAGCCAACATCGCACCACTGTACTCCAGCCTTGGTGACAGAGTGAGACTCCATCTCAAAAAAAAATCCCCACTTCAGCCACATCCAAGACCAATGAAGTGGGTGTCTCTGGGGGTGACACTCAGACGTGTGTAGTTTTTAGAGTGCTCCAAAGTGATTCCAACGTACAGCCAAGGTCGAGAACCATTGCTCCAGATTCAGGCAAGACATTAAGGAAAGGATGGTGGCTCTCTGTTTGTTTCTGTTTCTTCCTGCTAGTTAGCTAAAGAATTAGGCAATTGTCAGAACGATCACTGGTGCTTGTGCACACTCTCTGTCTTCCCACATCTGACGATAATTGCTATCAGGCAAGGACATTTAATATGAATCCACTTAAAAAGAGAATCATGATTTTGTAATCAGTGTGAAAAATGTTTGATTGGAACTTCCTACTGAGAAATGAAATTAAAAGATTAAAATATATTTTCTTAGTTTAACAAATCTAGGTTATAATTGCAACTATGCATTAATTGTTACAAAATGAATTATATGTTAGTTACTTTTCTCAATATTCATTTCCTAACAAACTTTTATATGATAACATCTTTCACTTGGACTTTTAAACCCTGTCATAGAAGAGGTGGAGTTTTTTGGTTTTGTTTGTTTTGCAAAATAAGAGTTTATCAGCGTGGGCAACATGGCAAAACCCCATCTGTACAAAAAAGTACAACAACAATTAGCTGGGCATGGTGGCACGTGCCTGTGATCCCAGCTACTTGGGAGGCTGAGGTCAGAGGATCGCTTGAGCCCAGGAGGCGGAGGTTGCAGTGAGCCGAGATCACGCCACTGCACTCCAGCCTGGGCAACAGAGCAAGACCCTGCCCCAAAGAAAAGAAAAAAAAAGAGTTTATTAGTTTTCCTAAAAGCCTCTTTTTATCCTTTGATATTTAAATTATTTTATTTTGAAGGGCCTATGTGGCACCATCTTTCTCAGCACTCTGCTCTTCAATTGTGAACTGGTTTAAACATGCCAAATCTTTATTTGTCAATGTCTTTGCTTGAAGTTCAAGCAATTTGCCAATATTACTTTTGTCACCTTCATTAAATCCTGTATCTTTTGCAAGTTTTGCAGCTTCAGTCTGAAGGCAATTTGCATAATATTTATGTTACATTTGCTGAATTTTTACAAAGGCAAGAGACTGACCCACAGAGACCTAATCAGTGGGGCAGTAGGTGTTAACCGAAGTGATGTTTTAACCTAGTCATTGGGGTATAGTGTTAGCTGAAGTGATGTTTTTTAATAGGGACCAGTTTTATAAGTGACTAATATATTCACTAATATATGTATTGTGAATATAATATATTCACTAATATATGTATTGTGAATATAATATATTCACTAATATATGTATTGTGAATATAATATATTCACTAATATATGTATTGTGAATATAATATTCACTAATATATGTATTGTGAATATAATATATTCACTAATATATGTATTGTGAATATAATATATTCACTAATATATGTATTGTGAATATAATATATTCACTAATATGTGTATTGTGAATATAATATATTCACTAATATGTGTATTGTGAATATAATATATTCACTAATATGTGTATTGTGAATATAATATATTCACTAATATGTGTATTGTGAATATAATATATTCACTAATATGTGTATTGTGAATATAATATATTCACTAATATGTGTATTGTGAATATAATATATTCACTAATATGTGTATTGTGAATATAATATATTCACTATATAGTCACTAATATATGTATTAGTGAATATTTTCACTACTGAACTTCCTAACTTTAAGGAATTGGATAATGAACACCTGAGTAATGATAAATAGACATATGCTTATTGCATATTGACCCCATATATACATGAAAGAGGTAAATGTGCACTGTAAAGTATATACTAGTTAACACAGATTATTGTACCTTGTACTTAAGTGTGGCGTTTCAGACAATGTTACTATTTCCTGTACCTGAAGAAGTGGGCACGTTAACTGAGTTTTAATCAGTGTGTCTTCAGAAAGGAAGTGACTACTAGTTTTTCTATATAGTAATCATAATAATCTCTAACACTTATTGAGCTAGGGCTCTGCTCCAAGCCCATTACCATATTTACAGCAGCTCTCTGACCAATATGAATAATGCTATCTCCAGGTTGTAAATAAGTTCACGTGGATGCTCTATGTTGCTAATGCCTCTTGAAATAACTGGAAGCGTTCTGCAACTGGTCTTCACCTGTAGAAAGCCTCCCTCCTTAGTCCAGCCTGAAAAAGCATTTCCCTGGCCCTGGACAAGAAGATAGCTCTGTATATATAGCTTTCTGACCTGAGCATTCATCTCAGAACCCTGAGCTGCGTTGGGCTCCTCCGGCAGCAGCTCAGACCCCTCCCAGCACAGCCCCTTAGCCCCGCTCCTACACCCCAGTGCTCGGATGCCCACCACCTCCCTAGGCACCTTGTTTTCTTTTTCTTTTTCTTTTTAAACAAGTATAATTGTTTAAAAGTTTTTCCTTGTGCCAAGATTTTTTCCACCCACCCCACCAATCCCAGTTCTGCTATTGGGGAATTACTACCCCAAACAAATAGAATTCCTTTTCTTTCTTCTTTCTTTTTATAGACAAGGGCTTACTCTGTTGCCCAGGCTGGAGCCTAGTGGCTCAAGCACAGCTCACAGCAACCTTAAACTCTTGGGCTTAAGAGATCCTCCCGAGTAGCTAGGACTGCAAGTGCACACCATCACACCTGGCTAATTTTTTTTACTTTTGTAAAGAAGAGATCTCATTATGTGGCCCAGGCTGGTTTCGAACTCCTGGCCTCAAGAGATCCTCCCATCCCTGCCTCCCAAAGCGTTGGGATTACCGGCATGAGCCACTGCGTCTGGCCCGGAATTCCTTTTCCATGGAGATATTCTTCATGGAGCGGAAGGCACTGTCACCTGAACTGTGGCGAGATGCTCTGTGCTGTGGGTATACACCTCTGAATCACTTGTTCAGCAGGCTGTAAACCTAGAACCAGAGATTTTACTGGAATTGAGCAGTCAATTAGTGAAATAAATTAGGACCCATTGAATAAAGGTTAAACACAGGCCAATACATTACTTGTAAAATGTTTGCGTCATCCTCCAAAACAAAGGGTGGGTTTTTCCCCCAGACACCATGTAGAAGGTGCCTAAAGCTATTAAGGAGAAAGTGATAAAGGGTCACGAGGTTAATAACCCACTTCCCAGGCCTGGCTGCCTACAGTTTGAGATTCCCCTGGGGAAGTGCCTCTGCATCAGTTTGTTTTGACAGCTGACCTCTTTCTGAAGCAGAGGTTCTCTCAGAGATGGCCCTGGAGTCTCAGTGGCCACCATCTGGCTGACTCCTCCCTTTCAGAAGGATGACAAGCTTGGTGCAGGAGAAGAAGCAGCCTTGCAGTTCTATTTCGCTGGGCTCAGATGAGGAAGGCAGGTGGACTGTGTACAGAAGCAAGGAGGCCATTTTTAGTTTCCTCCTTTTCTTAGGCTTTTTGAGACGGAGTCTCGCTCTGTCACCCAGGCTGGAGTGCAGTGGTGTGATCTCGGCTCACTGCAACCTATGTCCCCGGAGTTCAAGAGATTTTCCTGCCTCAGCCTCCTGAGTAGCTGGGACTACAGGTACCCACTGCCACACCCAGCTAATTTTTGTATTCTTACTAGAGACAGGGTTTCGCCATGTTGGCCAGGCTGATCTCAAACTCCTGACTTCAAGTGACCTACCCACCTCGGCTTCCAAAAGTGCTGGGATTACAGCTGTGGGCCACTGCTCCCGGCCTGCTTTCTCCTTTCCTGTGCTGAAGAATGTTTCTGGGTTTGGGAGTTCAGGGGCTTTTCTTTGTTCAGTTGTCTCCTCATCATTTACCTGGGGAGAGAATTGGCCTAAAGGAGCAACGTGAAGGATAGCACTCTCCTGTCCTTGTGAGGGGACTCGAGACCTGCTGAGGGCTCCTCTGTGGCCTACAGTATCAGTCCTCCCCACAGGCACATGCCTGTCCATCTGATGGCCCAGCTGGCACCCCAGCTAGGGGTAAGGGCAGGAACAGTGAGGGTGCTGGAAGAGGATTCGGGAAAGATCTAGAGAAGAGAAGAGAGGGCAGGAGTCATGGCTGTCTTTGAGAGAAAATAGCACTAAGATTGGCACTAAACCCTAAAATCAGGGTTTCAACCCAACTGTTGGGTCCCTGATGGAAGCTTCCTCTCTGGGCTTTACCACTCCCCCAAAGTCTTCTGAGCATGTGTAAAGCTTCTACCGTAGCCATCCAATCCTTTGATGCCAGGTCTGACTTTGGTAGAGTCCAGAAAAGGAAATTGAGAAGCTGGGTGTGTTGCTAGAAAGATGAGTGTGATAAGGACCAAACACGACTGCACTGGGCGCTGGCTACATCTCTGTGAAGTTATCTCCCTTGGCCTTACCACAAGCTGCCTATGTGCCCTCCTCCACAGAGGAAGGAACAGAGATGCAGAGAGAGAAGTCTAAAAACAAGTCACATTGTTGGTGGGTGGACAGGAGCCCAGGCAGGCTGCTCATTGCTTCCCCGTCCTGGTGTGGTATGTGCCTGGGGACCACGGCCACTCTGCCAGGCTGGGCCCACCAAGTGCTCTCTAAAACCTGGAGTCCTTACTCCTGGTTACAGTAACAGTTCCCAAGCCAGGGTGATCATGAGCTGCTCATTAGGAAATCCAAATACAGATTCCTGAGTCGCTTCCCTGACTTCATACCTCTAGTGTAGGGCCTGGGAGTCAGTATTTTCCAAGCCCTCCTCAAGTGGTTTTGATAATCAACCAAGTGCAGGAACCACTGGGTTAGATCATTAGTGGGGCCTTTGTAATTAACCTCACCTAGGCCAGGCGCAGTGGCTCACGCCTGTAATCACAGCACTTTGGGAGGCCGAGGCGGGCAGATCACGAGGTCAGGAGATCAAGACCATCCTGGGTAACGTGGTGAAACCCCGCCTCTACTAAAAATACAAAAATTAGCCGGGCGTGGTGGCAAGCGCCTGTAGTCCCAGCTACTTGGGAGGCTGAGGCGGGAGAATGGCATGAACCCGGGAGGCAGAGCTTGCAGTGAGCCGAGATCGCGCCACTGCACTCTAGCCCGGCAACAGAGCGAGACTCTGTCTCAAAAAAAAAAAAAAACCTCACCTAATTCCAGGCACCTGCTTTCCTGTACTTAGACTCAATTATAAGGCTGCAAAACACACTAGTGTATATCTCTGGAACTTTAAGACTGGCTCTGGCCATTTAGTCACTTGACCAATGTACATGAAATACCCATCTTGTACCTGTGCTGTTTCAGGAATGGGGATATACCAGAAGAGGCAGGGCTACTGCTCTCATGGAGCATGTAGTCTAGCAGAGATATACAAAACCCCTTCGCTTCCACTCCAGCACCTTCCTTTCCACCACCTTCACCACCTTGCATCTTTTTTTTTCCTGGTCTTCAGACCTTATGAGTTCATAAACATTTTTATTAAAAAAATTTTTTTTGAGACAGGATTTCACTCTGTTGCCCAGGCTAGAGTGCAGTTGTGCAATCATAGCTCACTGCAGCCTTGACTTCCTGGGCTCAAGTGATCCTCCTGCCTTAGCCTCCCAAAGTATTGGGATTACAGGCCTGAGCTACTGCACCTGGCCTATAAACTTCTTTCAAAGTGGAGTCTGAGTCCAATTCATTTCTAGACTGTCATTTTCTCCCGGACTCACCCCTACACCCAGTTACCTATACCTAGTATAATAGTTTGCACTCAGTAAATGTTTGTTAAATAAATGCATTTATTCATTCATCAAATATTTAGAGTGCCTACGATGTGCCAGACATAATTGTTGGTACCAGGACAATGATGAGATTGAAGCAAGAAAGGTACTTAGGGTGCACAATTTAAGGAGACACTTAATCTAGGATCATGCAAGTGCACCTGAGCCTGAGGACCTCCTTAAATGTTGTGCCCTAGGTGCCCTGGCTCTTTGCAGGGATATGCATATTGCCTGTCCTAAGTCTTTTTCATTTGTGTGTGATCTGCCTTTTCAACCAGATTGTGAGGCCTTATTCTGGTCTGTCTCTTTCTCCTCTTCCTGCACCACCTCCTGCCTCATACGGTGTTTTCTAGAATGTTGTCCCTGATCATCTGCCTGGGAATCCTTGGTAGCACTTGTTTAAAATTCAATTTTCCAGGCCAGGCATGGTGGCTCACACCTGTAATCCCAGCACTTTGGGAGGCCGAGGCTGGTGGATCATTTGACATTAGGAGTTTGAGACTAGCCTGGCCAACATGGTGAAAACCCATCTCTACTAAAAATACAAAAAAAAAAAAAAAAAAACTAGCCAGGCATGATGGCATGCACCTGTAATACCAGCTAATTGGGAGGCTGAGGCAGGAGAATTGCTTGAACCCGGGAGATGGAGGTTGCAGTGAGTCAAGATCATGCCATTGCACTCCAGCCTAGGCAACAAGAGTGAAACTCTGTCTCAAAAATAAAAAATAAAAAAAATTAAGAAGATAAAATTCAGTTTTCCAAGTCCCACCTATTGAGTCAGGTTCTTTGAAGGTGACACTGAGGAATATGCATCACTGACAAGCTCCCTGAGTGGCTGAGGCACAATTGAGGACCCCTGGCTCACTGGTTTGTTCAGTCAGTAGGATTAATGCTGAACAATACTAGAAGAAGAACACAGGGAGAAGACAGGGGAACAGGGGCATTTAATATGCATCAGTGCCTTTGGATTCTGTTTACAGAGATAGAAAAGGAAGGCAAGGGAAGAAGGCAGTCTAGAGGTGTACATGCTGGCCTGGACTCTGCCCCATATGCTCTGCAGGAAGATCTAGATCAGCTCACCCTTGCACTTTAGCTGGGCCACTCTGGGCCCTGCCCCATCTTCCTCTGACTCTTCTTTTTTTTTTTTTCCTTTTTTCTTTCTTTCTTTCTTTCTTTCTTTTTTTTTTTTTTTTGAGACAATGTCTCACTCTGTCACCTAGGCTGGAGTGTAGTGGCATGATCTCGGCTCACTGCAACCTCTGGCTCCCAGGTTCAACCAATTCTCAGCCTTCCAAGTAGCTGGGACTACAGGCATGTGCCGCCACCCCTTGCTAATATTTTGTATTTTTAGCAGAGACGAGGTTTCACCATGTCGGCCAGACTGGTCTGGTACTCCTGACCTCAGGTGATCCACCTGCCTCGGCCTCCCAAAGTGTTGGGATTACAGACATGAGCCACCACGCTGGCCCTTTGACTGTTCTTGAGTTGCCCATACTGCCTGCCCAAGGAGCTAGTGGCTGACACTGTCAGCTGCTTTGGCAGCTGTGTCAGAAGTTTCTCTGGTGCAGGGTAGGGGCAGGTGGGTTTATGGCTGGCTGGGGCGTGGGTATGAGTGTGGCAGGGCAAACAAGGCACTTGGGGAGGTCTGTAAGTTCACCTCCACCTCCAACTTCTAAGGCTGGTAGCTATCATTTTTACATGCTTCACATGGTACGCTGCATCAATGCCCACACACTTTGGGGTGACAGATACATATTGTTTAATGGTAATTATCTGGATGAGAGAAATCACTTGTGTGAGTTACCAGTAAACCCAGTTTGCAGGGTGGAGCACACCTTTGGCTTTCCCAATCCATTAGCCCCTTGGCGGTATCACCATGAGATTCCTCTTGCTATCCAACCACACCCAGCTCCCTCATAGAAGAGTTCAGGTGTGAGTCTCGAATCTGCATTTTAGCTTGTTCTTAAAAGTATTCAGGCAGGGAGATGGAGGACATAAAGTCCAGCTCAGGAGGCAATTTGGGACACTGTTGGCATCTGGGTAACCATCCAAGTGTCCCTAAATGGCAAATTATTGATATAGGGCTTCCAATAGCAGGTCATTCAACTTGAATTAATTAATAACCTATTATTTGCTTGTAAGGTTGAGGACAGTGGTTTTCAAGCTTTTGTGTGTATCAGTATCACCTACTAAGCTTGTTAAAACAGGTGCCCCACCCCGGACTCTTAAGAGATGAGGCCTGGAAATTTATCCTTTCAACAAAACTCCCCAAGCACTTCACACACACACACACACACACACACACACACGCACACCACGAGTTTACCTCTGGTTCTTTGAACTAGGAAGTTCTGCAGTGTTTTTTTTTTTTCTTTCTTTCTTTCTTTCTTTTTTTTTTTTTCTTGAGACAAGATCTGACTCTGTTACCCAGGCTGGGGTACAGTGGCGTGATGTCAACTCTCTGCAACTTCTGTCTCCCAGGCTCCAGCCATCCTCCTACTTCGGCCTCCAGAGTAGGTGATGCTACAGGCACATGCCACCACACCCAGCTAATTTTTGTATTTTTTTGTAGAGACGGGGTTTTGCCATGTTGCCCAGGCTGGTTTCAAACTTATGAGCCCAAACAATCCGCCGGCCTCAGCCTCCCAAAGAGCTGGGATTACAGGCATGAGCCGTCGCACCCAGCCAAGTATTTGTTTCTTAATTAAGGCAGAGTATTCTCTCTCTACCTTCAGCCTTTTCTTCAAATGTGATGGTTTGTGCTCTGTTCACTTGGCTAAGATGGAACTATCTTTTCGAGATCCCTTTCCCTGTACAGTTCTGAGTTAAATTTGGCCAGAAGAAGAACTTGTACCAGGTTTGGAAAATGTGAAGCAGTGGCCATCACTCTCAGAAAGTCATCAGGGTTAGATGTGGTGACAGACACAGAGAGGCCAGCGGGTTCCAGCTTGTCCTTGCTGTCCTGCACTCCACATCCAGTCCTCTTCCTGACTGCTGACTCCAGGACCGACAGCAGCCCCAGCCCCTCCCTCAGATGGCATTTCCACGGAGGAGGGACCACAGGCTTCTCTTTTCAGCCCCTCCACAGCAGCAGGATGTGCTTAGCTTGTCCAAGGGACTGCTTGGCGGCTCCTTCTCTGATCCTCCCATTCCTCCGGGGCCTTCACCTCTCCAGTTCCTCCCAAAGTTGTGTAATGTCCAATTCCTATAATAAGTGTGTCCTTTATCCCATAACTCCAAGGGGTTCCCTTCCCTGACTTAACCCTGACTGTTCAGTTAAGAAGTACTTCCCATGTCTAAAATAAATCAAGACCTCGGAATTAGGACTTCCATTTAGATCCAAAGGGATGTCCATGGGATGTAAAGATGTGTAAACACCGTGAAGACAGCTAAAAGCTCACCCATCAGTCTTACCTTCCATGATTATAGGGTAATTGAAATATTTGATTTCCCCAAGTTCTCTACTGGCAAATACAGTACCTTCAGCCAAAGCAGTAAAAGTCACCCTTTCCTTTTCCTCCTGACTTTCCTTTTAAGCGAGTGTTCTTGTTCAGACCACAGTGTGCATATGTGGTATGTATGTGGTAGCCTGTCACTTACTGCAAAGAAGCCCTGAGTCCAGCCTGTAACTGAATCCATTCCTAGAATCATTAAGCATAGACAGGTCACAGAATGGCCCCACCAAAATGCTTCATGAAAGGATAGGCATTCTTTGGCTTGTTGTACAATTTTTTCTCTGCCCCAATGCCATGGGCAGCCGTTCTTTTCTGACCACCCATGTGAATAAGCTCTGGTAGGATCCTGGATTGTCCCTACCATAGCCTTCATGATACTGTGCTGCTATTATTCACTGGATGTCTGTGTCATGCACTAGATGGCAAGTACTCTTAGGACAGTGTCTCTCATCCAGTCACTTGGCTTCCCGGTGTCCAGCACAGCACCTGCACAGAGAAGCATGCAGTAAACATTTGTGGAATGAATGATGAGCCATGTGGAGGTCACGTCTGATTTGAGGCTGAGACTTTCCTATCAGGCTTTATCCTCATTTGAAGGGGCCTGGAACCAGGGACCAGATCTGTGCCCCCTTTAGAGTGTGAGGCCCACATACCAGGAGATGGAGCTATAGAAGGGCCAGCTACTGGCCACCAGAGACCTGACTGGTGTGAGGCCTCCTGTGGTGCCTGGCCAATCTTGGCTGATCACAGCCTACGTCAGGGTTGATAATCATGTGGCACAAGAGCCCCCCGCTCCATTCTCCAGAGCCCACGCTTCCTAATCTATTATGGCCCTTGAGCCTTCTCAAAACAACACCTAGGCAGCTGCTACCAGTGATCAGAGTGGCAGCTATAAATGGAAGCCGTTCTTCACCCTTGGACAGCCTCTGAGATCTGTCTCACTGTCATCCCCGCCATCCGAGGCATCACTATTTTTGTTTATGGGGAGGCATGAATACCAAGCCAAAATATCAACAAGTGAAGTAGAAATTGAGTTGTAAATAAATGATACCAAGTTTATCCAACTCAAGCAACCAATAAACCAACTACTTGACTGGGAGAAAAACATTTTTCTCCCAGTCAAATGGAAAAGGCAAAAAGATGGCTTTGTTTGTATGCTGTGATGCCACTTTTATTTATTTATTTATTTGTTTTTAGAGACAGGCTCTTGCTCTGTTGCCCAAGGTAGAGTGCATTGGCACAATCATAATTCACTGTAGCCTTGAACTCTTGGGCTCAAGTGATCCTCCGCTTCAGCCTCCTGCGTAGCTAGGACTATAGGATGTGCACCTAATTTCTTTTTTTTTTTTTTTGTAGAGATGGGGTCTTGCTATATTGCCCAGGCTGGTCTCAAACTCCTGGTCTGAAGCGATCCTCCTGGCCCTGCCTCCCAAAGCACTGGGATTACAGGCACAAGGCAATGCACCCAGTCAATGCCACTTTAAAATGGGAGTTTGGTGTGTACCCAAATGTCTGGGGACAAGACTGCCCCCAGTGGGGACTCCTTTACTGCAGAGAAACCTCCTCTCCCCACTCCACAGCCCACATGCAGGTCTGGTAGGAGTCTCCAAATCCCACCCGTCTCCCTGCGCTGCAGTTGCCCTTCTTTACCTGCAGAGTTTGGCATCCGGTAGCAATGACTTGAACCCATGGAGTGTCAGGTGAGGAGAGGAGAGGCCAGCGCTGTGGTACAATGGAAGGAAGGGACAGGAGGCAACCACTTGGCTTCTCGCCCCAGTTCTGCCACTTACAAACCATGTCACCTGTGACAAGTCAACATTTGGGAGCCTCCACTTCCTCACCTGTTAAAGGAAGTTGAGGGAGTGGTTATTAGTTGCCTGTATGTATGTATCTCGTTGGGATATTGATAATATCATATAACACTGAAAAGGCTAATGTGAAAGTGCTCTAAGTAAGAAAGGGGAAAGTTTTTGTTTTGTTTGCTACTTTATAGCACACAGCCTGGCCCACAGTATAGTGGGGTGTTCAGTAAAAGGTTTGTTGAATGAACAAATGTGAACACAAAAATCTTGCTCCCCTGGGAGTGGAGAGGGAAGTGAGGTCAGGAAGGTGCACACAGGGGACCTCACAGGTAGAGGAGATATTGTATGTGTGAGGCTGACGGGGGTTACATGCTACATGCTTTCTAGTTCCTCTCTGTGTTTGTATGTTGATGTTTTTTGTATGTATTCAACATCTAATGAAAGCATTTTTTAAAAATTAATGAACAAACAAACAAACAAGTAGACAGAACAAACCCGTGAAGTACCTTCCCAAAGGAAGCTATTATTAGTGCTAGTACAGCTTTTGCTCTGCCATTAAAACAGTTCTAAGTGATTTCACTTAATTCACAAAGGTTCTGTGTCCGGGCCAAGCGTTGCTGAAAGGTGGAAGAATTCATGGAAAGAAGGTTATACCAGAAACCAAGATCTGCTTTTTAAAAGGGAACATGTACGCTCATGTTTTGGCTTGAATTCACTGCCTTTCACCTATGTGTGGTCCCTCCTGTGCCGAGTCAGCATGGAGTTCAGGTAAGCCATGGTTCTTTGCTTGTGCAGTGGCCTCTGCCTCGCTTCTCCTTGCTAAGTCTTACTCATCCTTCAAGACCTACCCCAGGTGTCATCCTTTCCAGGAAGTGTCTCTGAACCACCTCACGGGATTAAAAAGCATCATGCCACCTTAGCACATCTACGGCAGTGGGTCTCAATTGGGGGTGGGTGACTTTGTTTCACTGAGGACATTTGGCAATGTCTGGAGACAATTTTGATTGTCATGACTGGGGGTGGGGATGGAAAGTGTACCACTGGCATCTAGTGGGTGGAGGCCAGGGATGCCGCTAAACATCCTGCAGAGCACAGCACAGCCACCCCCACAACAAACTGTCTGATCCAAAATGTCCTTAGTGCTACTGTTGAGAAGCCCTGCTTAATGGTATGAAATTATCTCTTTGTATCTCAGTAAGGACCCATATCAACCTGGGAAGACCCAAGGTTGATTCAGCCTTTTGTCCCCAGCACCCAGTATACTGCTTGTAACCACACACACACACACACACACACACACACACACACCGTATAAATATGTATATATAAACGATGTGTATCTATATTGGGTAGGTTTTTTTTTTTTTTTTGAGACAGAATCTTACTCTATCACCCAGGCTGGTGTGCAATGTTGTGATCACAGCTCACCACAACCTCCACCTCCCAGGCTCATATGATCCTTCTGTCTTCAGCCTCCTGAGTAGCTGGGACTACACAGGCATGCACCACCACACCTGGCTAATTTCTGTATTTTTTGTAGAGACAGGTTTTTGTCATGTTACCCAGGCTGGTCTCAAACTCCTGGACTCAAGCAATCTGCCTGCCTCAGCTTCTGAAAATGCTGGGATTACAGGCTTCAGCCACCGCACCTGGCCTTTTTTTTTTTTTTTTTTTGAGACAAGGTCTCGCTCTGTCACCCAAGCTGGAGTGCAGTGGCATGATCACGGGGCTCACTGCAGCCTTGACATCCCTGGTTCAAGCAATCTTCTCACCTCAGCCTTTCTGAGTAGCTGGGTCTTCAGGCAAGCGCAACTGTGCCCGGCCAATTTTTAAAATTTTTTGTAGAGATTGGGTCTTACCATGTTGCGTAAGCTGGTCTGGAACTCCTGGCCTCAAGTGATCCACCCACCTGGGCCTCCCAATATGCTGAGATTACCGACATGAGCCACCGTGCCAGCCTGTGTTGTTTTTTTCATTCATTCATTCCTCTATTCCCTGTAAAGTGTAGTACTTAACTGGACACGCACAAAACTAAGGTTCCTGCTCTCAGGAAGCTTGGCAATCAAATGGAGGAAAAGTTCTTGTCAACACCCAATTATTCACAAGACAGGTTGAAACAGGGCCCTAACAGGATAGGCAGAGTGCTCTGGGAGACCTGATTATTAGGTTGAACCAAAGTAAGTTGCTGACATGCTACCTTTTTAACTGGAAAAACAGCAATTTTGTATGGTTCACCCCAAAATGTGGTTTAACCTACATGCTTTGGACTGGCTTGAGGGCGACGATCAGACTTCACAGAGGAGACACAAGAAATGTTTCCAGTCTTGCCTTCCCCACTGCATGGTCCTTCCCTAAATGCAAAGACCATGTATTTTCTTCCCTGACATCACACTTCTTAGGAGAGTGTCTTGCATTTATAAGGCCTTAGTAAATTTTTCTTGACTAGGGTTCAGGTAACTATCGGTATTGCAAGTTGGTTTTTATTATTGTGAGTGCACTTTTACCCCCAGAAACTCTGAAGAACAGTGTTATACAGGCACAAAATTTGTAGTGTTTTCCTAGTAGCAACGGGTACAAGAAAACACAGTCCCCTAATACCACCCAAAGCCACAGCCTGTCAGGGGAGCCATCATGGAAAGTGTCAGGAGCTAAAGGTCCAGGGCATAGCTGGTGGCCATCTGGGAGGTCAGCTGCCCCTGGCGGTGTCAGGCAGCCCCATGCACACCTGGCCATGAGCCTTGGCCACTTACTCACCTCGTGTTCTGCAGCAGGTGGTGGAAGACAAACAGCTCAGAGCTGGACTCAGAACTTGGCAGAGTCCTGCTTTCAACTACATGCAGCCAGAAAACTCTGGAAAACTGAACTGTTTATTGGGGTCAAACTTTGGTAAGTCCGATAAAGTCTGGCTCCAGGTGTCAATCTAGTCTCTTGAAAGAATTGCCCAGAAGCTCACTGCTGACTGGCTGGATGTTACCAGTGGCATACAGCCTCTGCTTGTGGGTGGAATCCGGCAGCTCGGACACCGCCCCACGGTTCCTGATGCAAGCCTGGGCAGGAGCTAGAGCTAGGGGCTTGCAGCCAAGGAGGAGATAAGTCCAGGGGAGCCCTGCAGGCTATCAAACCATCTGCCAGCTGGACTCGCTCCAGGCCACTGGTGACCCTTGCCATGACACCGGACACCAGTAGCAAGAAAGCCTGCAATCCAGTATGCTTCTCTTTTCCTTTCTACAGGACTCCTAGAGTGGAGCTAGCTCCCGTCCTTCCAAATGCAGCAATGACATTAAGGACATTCGTTCACATGGTTCACAGTTGGTGTTGGGAAGTTGTCCTACCTGGACATTGCTGTCAGAGCCATGGACTAAAATACTCAATTCTGGCCTAAATAAAGCAAGCTCTCGGTGTTAAAGACTTTTTTTTTTTTTTTTTTTTTTTTGAGATGGAGTCTTGCTCTGTTGCCCGGGCTGGAATGTAATGGTGTGATCTCAGCTTACTGCAACCTCCACCTCCCAGGTTCAAGCAATTCTCCTGCCTCAGCCTCCTGAGTAGCTGGGATTACAGGTGCACGCCACCATACCTGCTAATTTTTGTATTATTAGCAGAGGCGGGGTTTCACCATGTTGGCCAGGCTGGTCTCCAACTCCTGGCTTCAAGTGATCCACCCGCCTCAGCCTCCCAAAGTGCTGGGATTACAGGCGTGAGCCACAGTGCCTGGCCTTTTTGAGGATTATTATAAGTAAAAGAAAATTCAGACCACGAACATAGCATTCCTTTAGGTGTTTTGCATAGATATAGTTTTTTGCTTTACTGTGGGTCCACTGGGAAAAGGTTTGTGGAAATCTGAGCAGCTGATGTTTGTGTGCTCAGATTCTTTGGGACCTATCTATAAGACTTGGCGAGGCAATACGGCTTCCACCATTTCCCCAGGGAAAAAGTTACTCAAGGTTACTGAACTCATGAAACCATGTGGATTTCCAGCATGTGTTATTATAATCTCACTAACCTTCCGATTTTAAAACGCTGTAACTCTGTAATTTTTTTCTGTGGTCAGCCCTTCCCAAAGGTATCCACCTTCCAGTTTGTCCTGTGGAGCACGCTCTTGGCAGAGTTTGGCATTGTTTGTTATCAGGGGGTTTGATTTATGTAAAATTGCATTAAATCACTAATAAGGAAGACTTTGTTTAATTTGTATTTTTGGAGGGAAAGAAATATTTTATGGTATAACCATCATAAATCTTACCAGCTCATAAGTGGAGCTTCATTTCCAGATACTGTATGTTAAAGCCACCAATGTTTCAAGAGATTCTAGAGACTATGATGTTTGTTGAATGACTGAGTTTTCCAGCATCATTTCTAGCCTTCATCATATGTTACTACTATCATAACAATAATTATATAAGTTATAAAGAGTCTAAACCCATAGTTTGATAAGTGAAATTAAATATCCTTCTTTTTTTGTAAGGTTTTCCAGGCTGAGCAATGTCTCCCTCCCAGGTAAAGAAACAACACAAAATTAAGGCAATTACTTTATTTTGAACAGGAAGTGGCATAAGCAATTCAGAGTGTGCCCCTAACATAGGAGCTGTTTCCCCATACCCCTCCCCATCCCAGAGTATAATTTTGGGAGAAAGAGGTGTCTTCTTTCTGGTTGGTTATCTACTGTTGCACCTTCTTTTTTTTATTTGTTGAGATGAAGTCTCGCTCTTGTCACCCAGGCTGGAGTGCAATGGTGCGATCTTGGCTCACTGCAACCTCTGCCTCCAGGGTTTAAGCGATTCTCCTGCCTCAGCCTCCCAAGTAGCTGGGATTACAGGCACCTGCCACCACACCCTGCTCATTTTTGTATTTTTAGTAGAGACGAGGCTTCACCATGTTGGCCGGGCTGGTCTCGAACTCCTGACCTCAGGTGATCCACCTGCTTTGGCCTTCCAAAGTACTGGGATTACAGGCATGAGCCACCGCACCCAGCGCACCTTCTTATAAAGTAAGCACCACATCATCTCTAGAATGAGCATCTAACTGCTCATTGGGAGATGAAACTTCCATTCTGGTTTGAGATGAATGCATGGACTCACATAGGGCTACTGAACCACTAGTCTTGACTGAGTTAGAGAGAATGAAGGTAACATGTTTATATTTCCAAGTTGCTTCCATTGTAAAACTCAGTTTTATAGCTCCTTTTGTTAGAAAATATTCTGGTAAAATAATCTTACAAAGGGAAGATAACCTAGCCTCAAGTCTATCATATAAAAGCAAAGAGACAATGATTGATTTTCTGCTCAGTTGTCATGTTTAGGACTTTTACAGGACACATGTTAATTCCCAGGGAACACTGCTATGCTGTTTGTGCCAGAAATTTCCTGTATTGTCCCCAGGCATCAAAAAGGTCACCTGGCCAGTTGTACACAGTCCACACTGGGTCTCCCACAAACAGCTGCATGGCCTTCATCTAGATCTTTTCCTCCAGCAGGAAGTGATAAATTCCTGTGGGGAGAGTTATGATGTCTCCTTACTCCAGAAAGATCCCCATCCATTTGTACTCTTTTATCTCTCACATCAAAGTACCTGCTGCAGGAGGGGTGGTGGCTCGGCTCACCTTGTAATCCCAGCTACCTGGGAGGCTAAGGTGATCCCTTGAGGCCAGGAGTTAGAGACCAGCCTGAGCAACATAGTGAGGCCTTATCTCCAAAAAGAAAAAAAAAGGCAGGGGCGGTGTGGGGGAAGAAAGAGAAAACAAATGTAGCAGAACTCATCATCCAAGTGCAAATACCACTCATAAAACATCTTAATCTTTTCTTCACAATTTGATAGTTTATCTTTGCACATTGTTGTTATGTCCATCCAGGAGTAGTTTCTCTCCTTTCTTATTCTAATTCTGAATCATCCTGATACTGGTCAGCATCCAGCTTCTAGTAGAGCACCCGAGGCAACACAGCTGCTTTAGGCCCATGAGCAGAGGAATGTGGGCGGCTCAGGGGGCTCATCCACGTATTAGGACTGACCATGGCCTCAGACGCCCTGGCAGAGCAGGCCCAGCAAGCAGAGGTTGCCTGGGACAGCGGCTGCTGGAGAGGTGAGGGGTCGTGGTGATCCAATCTGAAGGTCCGCAAGCTCTCTGAGAAACACTTAAAAAAAAAAATCTAATTCATCTATACTAGAGGCTACTGGGACTCCTATATGATCAAGCCCGTAGTTTGTTGCAATTAATATTTAAAGCTTTTTCTCCAAAGGTCACAGGGATCTTTGCAGCAGCTTCCTGGAGGAGGTTCATACCAACTCCCCAGAGTCAACATGTGCCTGTCTTCCCAAGTCTGTGCTCAGAGACCAGGTGTTGATAGTTTGAAATCAGCCCTGGTGGAGTATTTACACCAGGGAAATTGGCAAACGCCACAAATCAGGATTTTTTTTTTTTCCTGGAGATGCTGTTTTTTAAACATTTGCTGCCAGTCCACCAAACAATTGTCTCAAATATCATATAATAGTAGGTTATGTACCCTACATTATGATATGTTTTTAAAAACTAACTAGTGGCTGCCGGGCTCAGTGGCTCATGCCTGTAATCCCAGCACTTTGGGAGGCTGAGGCAGGTGGATCACGAGGTCAGGAGATCAAGACCATCCTGGCTAACATGGTGAAACCCCGTCTCTACTAAAAATACAAAAAAAATTAGCCGGGCATGGTGGCGGGCACCTGTAGTCTCAGCTACTCAGGAGGCTGAGGCAGGAGAATGGCATGAACCTGGGAGGTGGAGCTTGCAGTGAGCTGAGATAGCGCCACTGCATCCCAGCCTGGGCAGCAGAGTGAGACTCTGTCTCAAAAAAAAAAAAAAAAAAGAAAAAGAAAACTAACTAGTGGCTGGGCGTGGTGGTTCATGCCTGTAATCCCGGCACTTTGGGAGGCCAAGGTGGGCAGATCACTTGAGGTCAGGAGTTTGAGACCAGCCTGGCCAACATGGTGAAACCCTGTCTCTACTAAAAATTACAAAAATTAGCCAGACATGGTGGCACACGCCTGTAATCCCAGCTACTTGGAAGCTGAGGCAGGAGAATTGCTTGAATCTGGGAGGTGGAGGTTTCAGTGAGCCGAGATCAAGCCACTGCCCTCCAGCCTGGGTGACAGAGTAAGACTCTATCTCAAAAAATTAAAAAATCAAAATAAAAAATAACTAGTTTTTAAATAGAAAAAGCCATATATATACGTGTGTGTTGGATAGAGTACAGTAGAAACTTTTGTTTAAAAGAGACCTAAAAATATAGTGGTTTAAATAAAATAGAAGTTTCTTTTTCTCCCAGGTAAAGGTCCCAAGTTAGACTTCCCAGCATCATGAAGGCAACTCGATTTTCTTCAATATATTCCTTCAGTCTGTGGGTCTAAGGTGGCTGCTCTAGCTCCCACCATCATGTCTGTATCCCAGTGATCCAGAAGGGGAAAATGACAAGCGCAAACTTTATCCATTCCTTTTAAAGGCATGGCCCAGAGATTACACATATCTTTTCTGCTCTCATTCTACTGTCTAGAACCTAGTTACGTGGCCTAGTACAAGGGAAGCTGGGAAGCATAATCTTTAGTCTGACTCCCCCAGGCCCAGCTAAAACCCAGGATTTCTATAGTTAAAGGAAAAAAGAGAGGGTGGATATTGGTGGTTAACTGGCAGTTGTGGTCCCCACAGTGTAAAAATTCAAGTGATATGACAGATTGGACAGAGAGCTGGCATCCCTCCCCCAACTCTGGCTTCTAGTCTTCCTCGCTAAAGGGAGTTTCCAGAGTTTCTGTGGCTGTAATAGCATATGTGTATATGTTCTCTCTTGGGAGGCCATGTAGCTCCAAAGATTAAAATGTGGACTTAGGTGTCAGAATGCCCTGGTGATGCCCTGGTGTTGATCCCAGCTCCATGGCTGACTAGCTGTGTGAACATAGGCAATATACTTAGCCTCTGTACTGTAGGTCTCCATATGTAAAATGGAGATGACAATAGTACCTACCTTTCTGGGTTCCCATGAAGATGAAATGTGATCATATACTTGGTGCTTTAATCAGTTTCTCGTACATAATAAGTGAACACTCATATAGGGGCTGTTACAATTCTACTTGTATCAATTTAATAATATGGAATGTTTATTTATTTAAAAATAACAACATTGATTTTATGCACCTACCTCATCTTTATGGTCCCCTTGGCTCTGTTGCTTAGAAGTGATCAGTTCTCATCACAGAGGAAACAGATGGGTTGTGGAGTTAGAAGACCTGGATTTGAATTAGGTTCTAATTTGAATTAGTATTTGAATTAATCATTCAAACTCCCTGAGTCTGTGTTTCTCAATTTATAAAACAGAGAAAATAATATTATCTCCCGGAGTTGTGATGAGGATCAAACAACACCATGTAGGTGGAAATGTGTCATAACTATTAAATTGCTATTCCATATTAAATCTGAGAACCACGTTGGGAAGCATTTTAGAGGTCATTTGGTCCAACTGGTTACAGGGCGGAGGCAATAGAATGGGCTTCTTGCAATGAAACTGACCCAGTGGTCCCATAGACAGTTTTGTTTTTTGTTTTTTGTTTTTTGTTTTTAAATAAACATAGAAATTAACCCTCTGGTCTTAAAGCTTGCTGCTTACATTGGTTTTATCTGAGTTCCTTCACTCAGCAAAGGACCCCTAGGCCTCTCAAAAAATGTCACAGAACTGAAACTCACAAGATTGTCAACAAGACGCCAGGCCCCTCATTCATCATGATTGCTTCCTTACCCCACTGAGTACCTGTTTTCCCATATCTGGTTACATTTCTTTCCTGCTGTATAAAACCCCAGTTTCAATGGATCAAGGAGATGGATTTGAGACTGATCTCCCATCTCCTCACCTGTAGCACCCGATTAAAACCTTCCTTGGCAATAATCATTGTCTCCGTGATTGGCTTCCGTGCAGTGAGCAGCAGGACCTAGACCAACCCCCTGGTGTTTCGCTAAGAGCAGCACCTGCACTACACAGAGGCAGGTTGCCAATAGTCATCTGTACAGATGACTCAATAATTCACATTGAATTGGTTATTTTCTGTCTCCCTCACTGCCACCTCTCCAGGCCAGGCCAAGCAAACACCCATCCACATGAGAAGTACTGGAATGACCTCTTAAATGATCTTCCTTTTTTAAATTTTGTCCTTTAATCAGCCCATTCTCCAAGCAACTGTCAGTCATCTTTTAGACAAAACAAAACAAAAGGTCTGATGCTGTGTGACTTCTCTGCTTTCAAACATTTAATGGACTTCCATTTTCAATAATATGGCGGGATAGGCTTCAGACGAACCCTCCATTGTACGATACATACTCAGAATCTTTAAGGTATCAATGACTTGGCAGGATAATAAAGAGTTGTCTGATAGGTTCAAATCCAAGTAAAACTGGGAAGCCAGAAAGGTAAACCGAGGATAGGAGCCACTTTTTTTGCTGAGGAGATTTGCCATAACTGGTGAACTCTGTAATGCACAGTATTGTCCAGGAGTGATATTCAAAATGACATCAACAAAGTCAAGCCTAGACCAATCTGGCCTCTAGACTGAAAATAGGTTAAGGGGAAAATGTGGTTGATGGTTGGTGTTCCCTAAACTCGAAGTTTGTGTTTATTACCATTGCACTCTTCATACTGACTCTCAGAGATTTCCCTAAACCCTTGGCTCTATGCCTACCACTTAAGGAGATTTCTTCTAAACAGGTGAGAGAGGTACATTAGAGAGAATTACAGAGTCTTTACCTTCTAAATGTTTTTTAATTCCCTGGCTTTCTTTTCCCTTCCATGGTTTCTGAGTCATTTCTCTGTTGTTAGGCAAGGTGCCCAACACTTCATAGCTTGTAATTCCTCTTCACTTTTCAGGAAGTGACTAGACTTTTCAAATCCAGTCTTAGGGCACAGCCTTCTGCTGGCAGAGCTCCCTCACCGGGGCTTTGGAGCTGCACGGAGGCAGAGATGCAGGATATCCAGGTAGACAGCACCTTGTTGACTGAAGGGCTCCTTCAGAGGACTGGGGAGTATCCGTGTTTCAGTATCTCTGCACCCTAGCTTAATAGAGAGTGTGGACAAAGTGGACGGACAAAAATCCAAGAAGGAAACAGTGAAGATCTGAGAAGCAAAATGGTGCAGTGTAGACATTAAGAATCTCTTTTTAGGATAAAAGAGATCTAAGACTAAATCCTGGCTCTGCCACTTTAAAATGGTGTGATCTTTGCCAAATTATTTAAGCCTCAATTCTTCCATCTGTAAACTAGCAATACTATGAGGTTGAACCATAGGAAATGGCTTTTATGTAATTATTTTCAAATTATTGTGAAATATTTTCAACTTCATATGGGCACAACCTGATAAGTTGGTACCTACCTCATACGGTTGCTGAGAATGAAAGATCATTTATTAAAAAGGGCATAGCAGGCCAGGAGTGGTGGCATGCATCTGTAGTCTCAGCTACTCAGGAGGCTGAGGTGGGAGGATTGTTTGAGCCCAGGAATTCAAGGTCAGCCTGAGTAACATAGAGATATCCTATCTCTGAATAGAGACTGAGAGGGGAAAACAAAGGGCCTAGGACAATGTTTTAGTTTTTTTGAGACAGAGTCTCACTATGTCACCCATGCTGGAGTGCTCAATCTTGGCTCAATCTTGGCTGCAACCTCCGCCTCACTGGTTCAAGCAATTCTTGTGGGATTACAGGCGTGAGCCACCACGCCCCACTAATTTTTGTCTCTTTAGTAGAAACAGGGTTTCACTATGTTGGCCAGGCTGGTCTTGAACTCCTGGCCTCAAGTTATCCGCCCGCCCCGGCCTCCCAAAGTGCTGGGATTACAGGCGTGAGCCACCACGCCTGGCTTCCTAGGACAATTTTTAAGTATTTGAGTAGAGAACTGAAGGAAGTGTGTGAGCAAGCCGGGCAGAAGGAATGGTGAGTGCAAAGTCTCCAAGGCCAAGGCAGCATGCTTGACAGTGTTCCAGGGACAGCAAGGAGACCATTGTGGCTGGACCTGTGAGGGAGTGGGCAGGGCTAGACCACACAGGGCCATGTGGGCCAGTGTGTGTGTGTGTGTGTGTGTGTGTGTGTGTGTGTGTAACTCAATGATGAAAACCAGAGCTAGTGTTTATTGTGAAGGATATTCTGAACACTTATGCAGCACAAAGTAAGTGCTCAATAAACAGAAGTTCAAGAAGCTGAGGATGTAGATGGTATGTAGGTGAATGAAACAGAGAGAAGAACAAGCAGTGACTCTACATAACGCTTTGAGCTAGGCAGCACAAAGTGGGACTTGCTAGGGGAGGAGCTGCGTATTGTGCTCCCAGATGCTGTAAAGAAGGACCCTTGGTCCAGGGGCCAGGATAAAGGGCTGTCTCATGGTGCTTGGCTCATCACGCACTGGGGGCAGGCCAGGAGGTTATTCATGGGTGATTAAAGCTGGTAAATTTAGCATGTTTAGCTATTAGGCACACAGACTCTCGACTCAGCTCTACCAGTTACTACTTCTGTGACACTGGGCAGGCTACTTAACCACTCTGAGACTTAGTTTCCACTTTTGTAAAACAAGAGTAATGATGATACTTCCCCCTTCTGGAGCTGCATGAGGATTAAATGAGATAACTCGAGTAGAGCTCATCGTAAGCAGTCAGTAATTGTTATTATTCCTGGATGCCTCCAGCCCATTAACTACTACTTATATTCAGGCACTTGTGTGAGGACCAAAGGCTACGTCAGAAGAAACCTGACAAGCATCTCCAGGGCCCAGGAAAGCCTGGATAGGAAACTGCAGGCCTTCAGGACAGGCTTCAAGTCAAGCACTGGGATTAGGGGAGAGAAAGGAGTTGTGAGAAGTGCTTGGAGAGAAATGTAGACTTTATTGCAAGCTGAGATTTGATTTTTTGGACCATGAGTTAATGAGGAAGAGCAAGCAGATCTCCCCTGGCTTGAGGGAGAATGTAAGGGGAAGGGGGTGGTATGTGCAGAAACATCCTGTGCGCCATGCCCTGTGTATGCCCCTCATTTAAACCTGGCTAAGTGTCTTCTCTTCTACATAAGGAAACTCAGGCAAAGAGGCAGAGCCAGAAGTTGGAATTGACTGGAATAATAATTACAGCCTAATACTTATGTGAATAACAAGGAGATCTCAGATATGACCCCTATGCGTTAAGATTCTGTTGGTTGCAAGAAGCAAAAATTAATTGGAGCCAGCTTAAGAAAAAAGAAAAAAAATAAAGAAAATAATAATAATAATATTTGGGGGAGGATCCCAGGAAGAGTAGATCCACCAAATTTCAGAAGGAATAGAAATGATGGAGAGAAACTGATGGGCCCAGCTGTGTCGAGGGACAGGACCTAAAGGACCAACATGGCTGCTAGGCACTGCGTGCCTTGGAGCTGCTTCCAGAAGATGGGAATTGCTGGACCTGTGCGACATCCCCAGAGCAGTCTGAGACACAGTGGGTTTCTGCAAGATTCCAGAATGGGACTAGGCAATAAGAGAATAACTCTTAATTTTCTATTAAAAATAAATTCAATCACTTTTGAGTTTTAGTGAGTTTTATTATATAAATTTATTAAGTGCCATTGAATAAAACACAGACCACCCAGATGACATTGTTGAGGGTTCACCTATGGGTCTAGGGGATTATCTGGAGAGTACAGGTGGTAATGTATGAGGGTACTGCTCTGGTGACACTACCTGGAGGTTGGGGGACAGTGGCGCAGTGTCTGGGGACATAATCTGAAAATGTACTTTCTGAATTATGAAGGCATTATGGAAGTCACATGACAGGAATTTAGAAAGAGGAGAAAAATGTCAGCCATAATTCCATCATTCTTGTCACTTCAGTTGCCATCACAGTGTTTGTGTAATTGTTTAACCTGCTTTTTTCCCGTTGGCATGAGCATTTGTATGCTGCTCATAGTCTTCACAACCATGACCTTTAATAGCAACACAACACGAATGCACTTTGTATAAAATCAGCAGACTTGGCATGGGGAGGGCAAAGTTGACATTTTTGTCAAGAAAACACTAACGTGAATGAAAAGTCCTAAACCTGATGCCATCTGCCAACCGACCTGATTTTTAAGTTATCACCTGTTCCTGAATTCTTCATGGCCATGTTCTTCCTGCCCGTCCTACTGTGATCTGTGTCCAGATCTGTTGCTTCAAGGTGGGAGTGTGCAAGGCATAGAAGGTAAAGCTGGAATGAGATAGAGTCCCTGCAAATTGTCTGGATGTCTAGATCGGTTCTCCACTAGAGGCACCCCCCACTGAGTGAACATTTGGCAATGTCAGGAGATATTTATGGTTATTACAACTTGGGGTGGGAGAGGGGTGTTGCTGGCATCTAGCGGGCAAAGGCCAGAGATGCTGCTAAACTTCCTACAGTGCACAGGACACCCCCACAACCAAGAACTATCCCATCCAAAACATCAGTAGTGTCAAGATTGAGACACCCTGATCTAGACTGGAATGGAATTTCATTTAAAATGTTAATGGCGGCCGGGTGCGGTGGCTCACATGTGTAATCCCAGCACTTTGAGAGGCCTAGGCAGGCAGATCACCTGAGGTCAGGAGTTCGAGACCAGCCCGGCCAACATGGTAAAACCCAGTCTCTACTAAATATACAAAAATTAGCTGGGTGTGGTGGCACGCACTTGTAATCCCAGCTACTCGGGAGGCTGAGGCAGGAGAATTGCTTGAACCTGGGAGGCGGAGGTTGCAGTGAGCCGAGATTGCACCACTGCACTCCAGCCTGGGCGACAGGGAGACTGAGTCTCCAAATAAATAAATTAATTAATTAAAATAAAGTAAAATGCTAATGGAGCCAGGCGCAGTGGCTCATGCCTGTAATTCCAGCACTTTGGGAGGCCGAGGCAGTTGGATCACTGGAGGCCAGGAGTTCAAGACCAGCCTGGGCAACATGTTGAGAGCCCATCTGTACCAAAAATACAAAAAAATTAGCCAGGCACAGTGGTGGGTGCCTGTAATCCCAGCTACTCTGGAGGCTGAGGCACGAGAATCTTTTGAACCTGAAAGGTGGAGGTTGCAGTGAGCTGAGATCTCGCCACTGCACTCCAGCCTGGATGACAGAGCGAGACTTTGTCTCAAAAATAAATAAATAATAACATGTTAATGGATGAGCACACCCTAAGTTTTGTTTTCTGCCCTTGCTTCATTTGGGAAGAATTCTGATTTTTATTTTTTATTTTTTTGCTAAGGATGATGAGAATGAATTATAATAGGTTTGCAAGGGACTTGAAATATAGCACGAGGCAAAATAATGCAGAGGTTAAACATAAAGACTTTGGAGTTTGAAATAATTTAATAGTTGAAATCCTGGACCACTGAGTAAGCTTTCTAAGGCCTGCAAAATGGGATGATAATGCCTGCTTCCTAGTGCCACTGCAGGGACCAAATGAGGTCATGCGTGTGAAGCACCCAGCACACTGCCTGGTGGGGAGTGAGTGTGCCATAAACGGTGGCAGGGGGGATTATTGTGACAAAGCTCAGGTTCACAGAGTTTATCACTTCCCTAGCCTCTAAATTGCAGTTGCATTTGGTAAATTCTTATTTCAGGAAAAATAGGTTTTAACTGATTTTTGTGATCTGGGCTTTTGAGATCTAGGCAATGTAGAACAGATATCTGACCTACATAAATTTTATAGTATGAACTTTTTGGGTGTGAGTCGTCTAACTGAAATATCTAATATATTTTTCTGGTGATCTTTCTTTTAAATAACTTATTGTGCATTCTCAATTAAGAATTCCTGGGTTTTGGTCTGGCACAGTGGCTCACGCCTGTAATCCCAGCACTTTGGGAGGCCGAGGCAGGCGGATCACGAGGTCAAGAGATCGAGACCATCCTGGTCAACATGATGAAACCCTGTATCTACTAAAAATACAAAAAATTAGCCAGGCTTGGTGGCGGGTGCCTGTAGTCCCAGCTACTTGGGAGGCTGAGGCAGGAGAATCACTTGAACCTGGGAGGCAGAGGTTGCAGTGAGCCAAGATTACACCATTGCACTCCAGCCTGGGCAAAAAGAGCAAAACTCTGTCTCAAAAAAAAAAAAAAAAAAAAAAAGAATTCCTGGGTTTTCGTTTGTTTGTTTGTTTGTTTGTTTTTAACATTCTTCATTGACTATTTTGTATCTACTGAGAATTTAAGAGTGGGCCAAGCTAAGGTAAAGATTGCCAGGTATCTAGACAAAATTATTGTCCACAGACTCAATTAGAATCTTCAGTGCAGTGTAAAGAGATCTTTTATCCCCATCCTGAGCTAAGTGTCTGGTTATCAAAAAGCAGGAGGAGGGCTCAGTGTAGCCTGAAGGTTTGCAATCACTTTATGTTCTACAGCTTGTTCTTGTGTGTCTGAGAACCCATGAGGGGCATTGAACATCCCTTGTAAAAAGCATCCTGGGCTTCCTGGGGAAGGCACAGTCCTGAGTCCCAGTAGAAGGAAAGGGCACACCCAGGAGAGCCTGGTGCAGGGGCCGTTGCTGGAGGCTGAAATGGGTGCATTGAACAGGCAAGGGTGGAGAGGGTAGGGTGGGGCATGCAGGAATTCTGGCCTCCAAAGAAGAAAGAGGAGAAAGGAGATCCACAGGGTAAGAGCTGCTCCTGACGCAGGGCAAACACTGGTCCTGGAGAAGGAAGACGCAGCCAAAGAGCACGGGAGTGCAGAAGTGGGGGCTTGGGGATTAAGCCTGTTTTTGCCTTTGGAAAGCTGACTCATAGCCGAATATTCACAGCCCTTCCAAGCCGGCATGTTCCTCCTTTCGCTCCTCCTCTCATCCACCCTCAGTATTGTCATGAGGCTCCGTGCTGTTTTTATGAGTTCCTGGGTGCTTTGGATCCCCTGGAGTCCTGGCTGGGAAAGACCACTTCTTTCTTCTTCAGCTGGCCTGTGCTTTGGGGCCCACTGCAGCCCCTGGAGGAGGGCAGAGGAGCTCCCATGTGTCATCTTCATTCATGGCTTTGATCTATCACATTTCTTTGTCTTTTTGTGAGCCATTTCTGTTCTCCCCAGAACTTTAAGTGAGCTGGAAAGATAACAGATATGCAATAATTGGTTTGGGTTCTATAAATAGTGTAGAAGAAGAAAAGGGAGAGGGTTATAATAAAAAAACAATGTGTGGGAACGTAGCTATTGAAAAAGTGTGAAAATCGGGGGTTGAGAGAAGGGACCAAAGTGAAGCAAACAGTGGAAGAAAGACAATGTGTCTGCAATTCAGCCTTGGTGGAATGAGGCGAAGTCGAAACCAGCAGGCCTTGGAACATGCTCCTGAGATGAGGAGGAAGCACTGAGGGAGCCTGGCCAGAGGATCCTGGAAGTTTTGCATTAGCCTGGGGCCACCTAAGCTGTAAAACTACAGATCATATAGGATGTTTGGGGAGCATTATAGCATCTTTCGGGAATTCCCAAAAGTTTTTGGAAGATTTGTGTGTATTGGCAATTTGTGGTTTTTCTAGGATGAGGGTACAGAACCACCCGTGTTAGTCCATTTGTGCTGCTGTAACAAAATACCCAAGACTGGGTATTTTATGAAGAACAGAAATTTACTTCTCACAATTCTGGAGGCTGGGAAGTCCAAGGTCAAAGGAGCAGCATTTTCCTCTCTGGTAAGGGCCGCTCTCTGCTTCTGAGATGGTCCCTTGTTGCTACACCCTCTGGAGGGGAGGAAAGCAGTGTCCTTGCCGAAGGAGGAAGGGCAAGCAAAGCGGGCTGAATGCTGTGCAGCGTGAAGCCTCTTTTATAAGGGCCTTAATCCCGTTCATGAGGAGTGGAGCCCTCATGACCTAATCACCTCTTAAAGACCCCACCTTCTTAATACCATCACATTGGCCATTAAGTTTCAACATCTGAGTTGTAGAGGTGACATATTCAAACCAAAGCACCACCCAAGTGGCAGGTGTATGCAGAAGCCTGGATCATGAGAGGAGCTGGACTTCTAGATTGGGAGAGTGGTCAGCATGGAGGTGGTGGGGCAGGCCCTGTGTGGGTGGATGGTTCTGGTTGGGTCCGGACTGAGAACAGAGACTCAGATAGCCCCTGGTAAACAAATAAGAGGCCCCAAGTGAAAGGGGATCCAGAAAGAGCTGGAAAGCTGAAAGGGAAAAACCTGGGAAAGAGTGTTATACAGCAACCAAGAGAAATGGGAGTTTCATAAACAGAGAGCGAATAACAGGTCAGATCATGTAAGAAAAGACCTACAGGGTCTTTTCAGATGTCAGTAACAGTATGGTCAGTGGCGTCTGTGGTGGGAACTGTTTCCCTGCAATGATGTGGTTGGAAACCAGGTGGGGATATGAAGGGAAATGCCAGGAGAAGGAAGGATTGAGAGCTAGTCCCAACTGCTCTTTGAGAAGGTCAGCTTGGAAAAGGAAACCTACAACACTTACTGGGAGTTGGATGCAGGATCAAAGAGTTATTTTTCCTTGTCTTGTTTTTTTTTTTTTTTTTTTTTAAATAACCCAGTCTTAGCATGGATACAGGCTGATGGAAAGAAGCCAGGACAGGCCAGGGGAGAAGGGTGCAGGAAAGAGAGTGGAGCAAAGACTCCGGAGCAGGCCATATGGAATGGGATGGAATGCAGAGCCCACGGTGCAGCTTTGTGCATCGGCACAGAGGATGACAGTTGAGGTAATTCATGCCTGGTAAGCTCTCCTTTCTCTGTGAAGTAGGAAGTGTGCTCACTCACTGAAGGGACTGGGCCAGGGAAAGGGTGAATTGCCCAGGGAATTGGGGCAGAGTCTACAGGACTAAGCAAGCAGTTGCTACTGGAAACCATATGTTGCTGGCAGCTCTGGTATCTTGCCTGGGGGTTTTCTTCAGCAATGAGACTACCATGGATGCCCCATTCTACCAGCCAGGCTCCTCCTCCCCAGCCTCCCAGGGCCCAGCCCCTGCCTATCTACCCACTGCCCCTTCAAGAAAGTGTACCAGGCTGGGCAGGGTGTGAAGAAAGTGTACCAGGCTGGGCAGGGTGTGTGTGTGTGTGTGTGTGTGTGTGTGTGTGTGTGTGTGTGTGTGTGTTAAAAGCCCTGTCAACACCCCATTGCCTGAAATTAGTCCAGCCTCATTTGAAAGTTCTCATTATGTTGACCCAAAACCCACTTCCCAGACAGTCTGTGTTTTGGAGTCCTGATAACTTCCACAAAGCTGTTCTAATTCTACCTTCCAAAGTCAGACCAATCTAGGTTTGAATCCTATTTCTTCCCCTCATTAGCTCTCTATCCTTGGGCAGAGTTTTACATAACTGTTTTCCAGTTTCCTCAACTGTAAAATCTTATAGTGTGAGATCAATGCACGATCACCATAATAACAAAAAAATAGAGACGATGCCTAATGTTAATCTTATTAAGGTTAACAATAATTATAATCACAGTTCTGCAAATATTTTATGTCACTGATGTTGCCATGAAACTCTTTTTTCTAGTTTAAAAGTCTTCACTTCTTTTGACATTTTCTGCTGGGGAAGGTTTCAAACAGCAGCTCTGTTGGAGGGAAGTGGGTCCCCCGTCTCTGGAGGAATTCAAACAGAAAATGGAAGGTCACTCGGCAGGGATGGGACTTGAACTTGTGATTGAGGCTCCAGCTGGAAAATCCTAGGGGCCGTTTCCAGCCCTATGTCCTTCCAACCTTCTGACTTAAAAACAAGGTCAGAAAATGAAGTGTGTACTAAATGCTACCCAGTATCATAATAGTTACCATTGTTGAGGCCAGATTTCAATAGAAATGTCTATCTTCTAAACTCTAAAATTAATGGAGAGTGGTCTTATTAATCTACAAAACCTCAACAGCATCATGCTTGATTCCTAGAACTGTAAAGGTATGTAAAGTGTTACTTTTCTGGATAAAAATAATAGCAACACTTGTATAGTACTTATCCTTTCAGTTCTGCATATTTCACTTGTATTAGTTTCCTTAGTCTTCATGAAAACCCATGAGGAAGGTACAGCTGTTATCCTCATTTTATAGAGGGGGAAACTGAGGCTCAAGAGGATACATGACATGCTTTAGGCCACCGTGCTGGGGAGTGCCAGAGCAGAGCTTGAACCCAAGCAATCTGGCTTCAGAATCCTTTCTTGACCGCTAAGCTATACTGCCTCTCTGGTGGGGATGGAAATTGCAAACACTTCATTTTGAGTTTTTGTTCCTTTTGCCAGAAGAGCTCACGCCACTTAAACCAGAAATGAGTTCATTTTCTAGCTACAGTCTTTGAAACCACTTTATTCAGCCCTCATATCACGGATGAGGATGCTGAGACCGGCTGAGTTTGGGCCTTGCCTGGAACCCAGGTCTTTGGTTCTGCATAGTAGCTTCTCCACCCACCATGCTGTTGATCTTTGTCACTTCACTTCAAGGGAGTTGAATCCGTCCCCGACTTGGGCATTGAGCCTCCTTCTCTGACCTTGCTGGGTGCTGGCACAGAGGGTCAAGGGAACAGTTTCCCCATCTCAGAGACTGGTGTTTCTGGGCCACAGTCAATAGGCCTCATCTGAGCCTTTCCAGAGGAGTGAACTCAGTCCTGTTAGTCAATAGAGGCCCCTCTAACTGGGCACCTTAATTCAAACAGGCCCTTCCAGGCCTGTTTGACACTGGGTGGCTCTTTGCTGATCTGCCCCCAGCTTTATCTGTTTGTGCTGAAACCAAATAAACAATCTCACCACTCGGGAAGGGTTAGGAGTAAATTGGGAAATCACTATCAGAGGCACAACTTGATTGGGAACAACTCCAGATGAGTAATTATGACTTCAAGGGGAATTCTCTGAGTTGCTGCAGCTTTGGAAGAGGGACTCTTCACGTGTAAATTGGGCCATCTCACAGCTTTGAGCCTAATAATTTAATTAGCTCCATAGATAGTTAGACGTTATCAAAGCCAATGCAGCATGTCAAATAGACAGTTTTACGATCGCCGTGCGGGCGCCTTCATGATCCGTGTTTGTGAATACCAGACATCCCGAGCTGTCTGCAGAGGCTGCAGTGCTGATCAGGGCTCCCCAGGGCTGCACCAGAAACCCTCTTAGCATCTCACCAGGTACCTGTTTTCCATCTGATCTGAACTGGGAAAACTCTGCAGTTCAGCTCTCAAATTTTAAAAATTAGTTTTATTCATTTGACCGTTTTTGGAACATTTTAAACATACACAAATGTAGAGAGAAGGGTCATGAAGCCCCGTGGACTCCAACATCCAGCTTCAATCGTTGTCCACATTTTTTTCCCACTGTTTTTTGTTTCCTCTGGCCTTCCCTGCCCCCCAAAACAATTCTATTTAATTGCTTGTTGGTTTTTGCTGGAGTATTTTAAAGTGAATTCCTGAAGACATATCATATCATCCATAAATACTTCAGGATTGATCTCTAACCAACAAGTCCTTTAATAAAAACATAACATGCCAGGTGTGGTAGCTCATGCCTGTAATCCCAGCACTTTAGGAGGCCAAGGTGGGAGGATCATGAAACCAGCTCAATGGTCCCATAGAACTGATGTTTATGGTTTCTTTAAATAAACACAGAAATTAATCCTCCCAGTCTTTTTTTTTTTTTTTTTTTTTTTTTTGGAGACAGGGTTTCTCTCTGTCATCCAGGCTGGAGTGCAGTGGCACAAATGTGGCTCACTGCAGCCTTGATCTCCCAGGCTCAAGGGATCCTCCCACCTCAGCCTCCCAAGTAGCTGGGACTGCAGGCACTCACCACCATGCCCAGCTACTTTTTGTAATTTTTTGTGGACACAGGGTTTCACCGTGTTGCCCAGGCTGGTCTCAAACTCCTGCATTCAAGCAATCCACCTGCCTCAGCCTCCCACAGTGCTGAGATTACAGGCCTGAGCCACCACGCCTGGCTGGCCCCTCCCAGTCTTAAAACTTGAGAAAGTTACATTTGTCTTATCTGAGTTTCTTTCTCAAAAAACCAACCATCAAGCCTCCCAGATGGTACCAAGGAGCTGAAATTTACCAGATCACTGCATCCTGACAATAAGACATCAGACCCTTCACCGGTCATGATTACCTAACTGACCACCTGCTTCCTGTTAAACACCTTATCTTCCTTACCCCTCCCTAATTCCTGTTTTCCCACACATGGTTAAATTTCTTTCCTGCTATATCAACCCTTAATTTTAGTCAGGGAGATGGGCTTGAGACTGGCCTCCCATGTCCTTGGTGGCAGCACCTGATTAAAGCCTTCTTCCCTGGCAGTACTCATTGTCTCAGTGATTGGCTTTCTGTGCAGCAAGTGGCAGGACCTAGACCAAACCCCTGGCATTTTGGTAACAATCACTTGAGGCCAGGAGTTTGAGACCACCCTGAGCAACATAGCAAGATCTTGTCTCCGTACTTTTTTTTTTTAAAGTATTTATCACACCTAGCACTACCCAGAACTCCTTAACATCATCTAACATCCTGTCTGAGTTCAATCTTCCCCAGTTGTCTCAAAAAATGCCTTTTAACAGTTGGTTTATTTGAATAGAATCCAAACAAGCTCCACACATTGCATCTTTCTTTCTTTCACTTTCTTTCTTTCTTTCTTTCTTTCTTTCCTTCTTTCCTCCCTTCTTTCTTTCATTTCTTTTTCCTTCTTGCTTTTTTTTTTTTGCATTTCTTAAATGTTTGTTAAATCTGTAACAGCTTCCCCTCCCCAACCCACCTCTGTTTTCATGCCATGTATTTGTTGAAAAGCAAAGGCATTTGTCCTATAGTTTCCCTCACTCTAGGTTTGGCTAAATGCATCTTTATGATAGTTAACATGTTCCATTTCCCCATGTGTTTACCATAAAATGAAGGGACTCAATTGAGTCAGGTTTGGTTATTTATTTATTTGCAAGAATTCTCCATAGGCAGTTCTGGGTTGTCTCCATCATGTCACCTCAGAAGGCACATGGTGTCTGGTAGACTCAGTCTTTGAAATTCAGATTGATCAGGGGCTTCAGATGATATCAGCCTGATCCATCCATGCTGAAGTCACCATCATTGCTTGCATCCATTCCTTTATTAGGGTTTGCCCAGTCTGGTTCTAATAAGTCAACCAGACTTACTTTTACCTTTAAAGGAGAATAAACTTAAGTTCCTATTAGTTGTGATAGTTCATTTCTAGCATCAGGGTTCTTTTGCTTTATAAATTCTGTATGCCATTTTAAATGCCCTTGCTCCTGTTCAGAAACGTTCCCCCTTGGGAGAGCAACTCTGACTTCTCTCCTTCCCTGGGGCTGGTGAGCTGGAACCTCCATGTGGGGAGTCTTGCGTTACATCAAAGCTAACTCCATAGCACCACTAGCAATCCCAAGTTGATCTTGTTAGAAAATCAGATTTTTTGATTGTTTGATTTCCCTTTTTCCTTCCATTCCTCCCTCTGTGGTTTTAGATTGATGAGACAAAGAGTATTTTCACAGAAAGTCTGAATATTTGGGTTTCTCATGTCTTGACCCGCAGTTCAAGTTGACATTTGTTGAGTACATCCGTATGCTTGGCTCTGTGCAAAGCATGTTCTCTGTATGTTCTTGCTTGATCACCACAGCATCCTTGTGATGTAGGGTATTCTCACTAGCCCTGTTTTTCCAGTAGAAAAACTGAGATTCTGAGAGATTCAGACTCTAGAGCCCAAGCTCTTAGCCACCATGTCGCTGTTTCCCAGGCTATGCTAGGGGCTCTGTAGAGCTGTGTTTGCCTGTTTTCCAGGAATGTGTACTCTTGGTTACAGGAACCTAATTCAGAGGTCATAAGGGCTGCGGAGACAGTGAGGAGTCAGACAGGCGCACAGCACTTAAGCTCTTAATAATAAAAATGTGTTGAATGAATGAACTCAGTTGTTCTGATCCTTAATTTGTATTTATTTATTTATTTATTTATTTATTTATTTATTGAGACAGAGTCTCACTCTGTCGCCCAGCCTGGAGTGCGGTGGCGTGATCTCGGCTCACTGCAACCTCCGCCTCCCGGGTTTGAGTTATTCTCTTGCCTCAGCCTCCTGAGTCACTGGGACTATAGGCGTGCATCACCATGCCTGGCTAATTTTTGTATTTTTAGTAGAGACGGGGTTTCACCATGTTGGCCAAGCTGATCTTGAGCTCCTGATCTCAGGTGACACCTTGGCTTCCCAAAGTGCTGGGATTATAGGTGTGAGCCACCGCGCCTGGCTGTTAATAGGTTTATTATTATTTTTTTAATGGAGATTTTTAAAAGATGTTTTCAGGGTTGTTATAAGATTCAATGAGATGCTAGCACAAAATAGGTGCTGGGTAACTGGAAGCTATCATCATATGAACAATTTTTTAAAAGCAGATAATCTCAATTATCCCTGTATTTAGCTTTGGGACTGCATTACCATGGTCTGAGTGTTTGTGCCCAAATTCATATGTTAAAATCCTAGTCCCCAAGGTGATGGTATTAGGAGGTAGGGCTTTTGGGAGGTGATTCGATCATGGTGATTGGTAATTAGAATTAGTGCTCTTAGTAAAAGATACTCCAGAGAGCTAGTTAGCCCTTTCCACTGTGTGAGGTTACAGTGAAAGGCAACTGTCTAGGAAGTGGGCCCTCACCAGACACCAAATCTGCCAGAGCCCTGATCTTGGGCTTCTCAGACTCCGAGAACTGTGAGAAACAAGTTTCCATTGTTTCTAAGCCACCCAATCTATGGTGTTTTGTTATAGCAACCCAAATGGACTAAAGCTGCATTTTCTGATTTAGGCAAAGTTTCACTTTCCTAATTAGGTTTCATCTGGGCTGGTGCCATGAAAGCCTGGTCCATGAAATTCTTGAGATGATCTGCATGTGTATTGCTCTAGCCAAAGAGCACAGTAAATGCTCTGGGCGGGCTGGTGGCAAACAAAGCTATTTAAGTCAAAGTGTCCCAAACACTTAATTATGGAACCCCCTTTTCAAGTACTACTCATTGAAGTCCTACCAAATTATTTTCTGTAGACCACCGTTGGATAATGCTGGTTGAGACAAATGTTAGTCTTTTTTTTTTTTTTTGAGACGGAGTCTCACTCTGTCGCCCAGGCTAGAGAGCAGTGGCACCATCTTGGCTCACTGCAAACTCCGCCTCCCAGGTTCAATTGATGTTCGTGCCTCAGCCTCCCTAGTAGTTGGGATTATAGGTGTGCGCCATCACCCCCGGCTAATTTTTGTATTTTTAGTAGAGATGGGTTTTCACCATGTTGGCCAGGCTGGTCTTGTATGCCTGACCTCGTGATCTGCCTGCCTCAGCCTCCCAAAGTGCTGGAATTACAGTTGTAAGCCACCATGCCTGGCCTTATTTTTATTGTAATTTTTAAGCTTCCTATTTATGGTGAGTGACACTGGCTTTCCACTTATAAAGTACTATAAAATTCCATTTAAATATATTTCTTTATATTAAAAAAGATGATATGATTTAAAGGAGGCCCAATGACACAGATCTTTGTGTATCAACCCAGTGATCTCCAGGACATGTTTGTTAAATGAAACAGCAAGATGTGGAGCTGTGTGTATAGTATAGGTACAAATGGAAATAAAATAAAACAATTATACATATTTACTCTTAAATCTAGAAGGACACAGCAGATGACATCAGCTGCTTCTGGGGAAAGAGACTATGTGACTTGGAGGTAGACATGGAAGGAAGATTTTTTCACTCCATACCTTTTTGTTTTGTAATTATTTATTGGGTCTCACCCTGTCACCCAGGCTCTGGAGTGCAATGGCATGATCATGGCTCACTGTAGCCTCAACCTCCCAAGCTCAATTGATTCTCTCACCTCAGCCTCCTGAGTAGCTGGCACTACAGGCGTGCACCACCACGCCTGGCTAATTTTTGTATTTTTTGTAGAGATGGGGTTTTACCATGTTGCCCAGTCTGGTCTTGAATTCTTGGGCTCAAGTGATCCACCCACCTCAGCTTCCCAAAGTGCTGGGATTACAGGTGTGAGCCACCGCGCCTGGCTGTTTTGTAATTTTTAAATTTTGAACTGAGGAAATCGTAGAAAGCGGAATAATGACCTTACAAAGATGTCCATGCCTTAATCCTTGGAACATGTGAATATGTTATGCCACGTGGCAGAGAGGAATTAAGGTTGCAGATGGAATTAGGGTTGCTAATCAACTGACTTTAAAATAAAGAGATTATTCTGGGTGACCCCAGTGTACTCACAAGTGTCTTACAGATGAAAGATGGAGGCAGGAGAGACAGTGTCAGAGTCAGAGTCAGAAAGAACTGAAGATGCTACCCTTCTGGCTTTGAAGATGGAGGAATGGGCCAACAGCCAAGAAATGCAGGCAATCTCTAGAAGCTGGAAAAGGCAAGGAAACGGATTCTCCCCTAGAGCTTTCGGAGAGAACACAGCCTTGACTACACCTTGATTTTAGCTCAGTGAGACCTATTTCAGACTTCTGACCTCCAGAAATCTAACACAATAAAATGGTGGGTTTTTTTTTAAGTTATTATACTTTAAGTTCTGGGATACATGTGCACAACATGCAGGTTTGTTACATAGGTATGCATGTGCCATGTTGGTTTGCTGTACCTATCAACTTGTCATTTACGTTAGGTATTTCTTCTAATGCTACCCCCCCGCCAGCCCCCAACCCCCCAATAGGCCCCGGTGTGTGATGTTCTCATTGTTCAATTCCCACCTATGAGTGAGAACATTCAGTGTTTGATTTTCTGTCCTTGTGATAGTTTGCTGAGAATGGTGGTTTCTAGCTTCATCCATGTCCCTGCAAAGGACATGAACTCACGCTTTTTTATGGCTGCATAGTATTCCATGGTGTATATGTGCCTAAAGTGGTATTGTTTTAAGCCACTAAGTTTGTGGTAATTTTTTGCAGCAGTATTAAGGTAGCACTTATTTTAAATACACACACATATACCTACATACATTTACATATTTAAAATATATAGCATAATAGTTAAAAGCTTGGACTTGGATGCCAGAATTATCTGGGTTTTAATCCTGGCTTTCCTAACTGTGCAACTTGGGCAAGTTGCTTAACCTTTTGTGTCTAAGTTTTATCATCTATAAAATGAAATACTAACATTTATTTATTTAGCAGGTAATATCTGCATCAAAGTGTTATTGATGGTTAAATGAGTTAATATGTGTGTTTCCAACACAATATGTGCACAAAGAAAGTGTTAATAAATGTTGACTGCTACTAGGTTTAACCATCTTCTTTGATAGGTTCAGTTGCTGAGAAATAATTCCCATTTAAAATGATATAAGTGGAATAAACTAATGTAAATTACTGTATTCAAAAACAAAACAGAAAAGAAACAAAAAAAGTGTTTCAAGAAACCATCTGCAGGTATCTTCAGAATCTGTTCTGAAGGTCTAGAGTTATTTGGTGATGTCCTAAAGTGGTGGAATAAAAGTTTCCTTGTATATTTAACCACTGCCAGTTTAAGGAAAATACTTATAGAAGCCTTTTTATTAAGCCTTTAAGTGTCTTTTCCTTTGCTTTCTTTCTTTTTTTTTTTTTGAGATGAAGTCTCGCTCTTGTCCCCCAGGCTGGAGTACAGTGGCGTGATCTAGGCTCAACGCAACCTCTGCCTCCTGGGTACAAGTGATTCTTCTGCTTCAGCCTCCCGAGTAGCTGGGATTACAGGCGCATGCCACCACGCCCAGCTAATTTTTGTATTTTTAGTAGAGATGGGGTTTCACCATGTTGGCCAGGCTGGTCTCAAACTCCTAACGTCAGGTGATATGCCCGCCTTGGCCTCCCAAAATGCTGGGATTACAGGTGTGAGCCACCGCGCCCAGCCTTAAGTGTCGTTTTCAACACATCTTCAGATGAGTTAATAGCCAAGCCTTTCAGGCAATGGAAAAAAAAAATCTTGACTCAAAGTCTGTGGCACCAGATTTGCCCCACTTTTTGGTCCCTTAGTCTTGAGTGGGGAGTACTCCTGCACTTTCTCATAACCGTATAGCTAGGGGTTTAGATGAGCAAGTAGATTGATTTACAAAGCCAGACCCATTCAGTCATAATACCTCACAAAGGAAAAGTTTTCTCTCTCTCTTTTTTTTTTTTTTTTTTTTTTGGAGACAGAGTCTCGCTCTGTTGCCCAGGCTGGAGTGCAGTGGCATGATTTTGGCTCACTGCAACCTCCACCTGCTGAGTTCAAGCGATTCTCCTGCCTCAGCCTCCCAGGTAGCTGGGACTGCAGGCACATGCCCCACACCCGGCTAATTTTTGTATTTTTAGTAGAGACGGGGTTTCACCATGTTGGCCCAGCTGGTCTTGAACTCCTGACCTCAGGTGATCTGCCCACCTCGGCCTCCCAAAGTGCGGCAATTACAGACATGAGCCACTGCACCTGGCCTCACAAAGGGAAAGTTTTCTAAGAAAAAGGAAGTAGGCCGGGCACAGGGGCTCACACCTGTAATCCCAGCGCTTTGGGAGGCCAAGGCAGGCGGATCACGAGGTCAGGAGATCGAGACTGTCCTGGCTAACACGGTGAAACCCCGTCTCTGCTAAAAATACAAAAAATTAACCGGGTGTGGTGGCATGTGCCTGCAGCCCCAGCTACTCCGGAGGCTGAGGCAGGAGAATCGCTTGAACCCGGGAGGCGGAGGTTGCAGTGAGCCAAGATCACACCACTGCACTCCAGCCTGGGCGACAGAGCAAAACTCCGTCTCAAAAAAAAAAAAAGAAAAAGAAAAAAGGAAGTTCTGTTATAACTGAACTAAATGAATGAAAGCTTTTCTAGTCAAAAGGCATTGAGCTTCTATTTGAAGCAGCAGTCCTTTGTAGACATTGCCCATCTCTTCACACAGCCAAGAAAAAAGGTCAGGTATTTAGTTGCCTGCTTGTGACATGACTGTCAATTTTATGGGCTTTAGTACTTGTCTGAAATCTTCATACCTATTCTGGTGAGTGACAGTTTCCCTGCATGCAGTGGCATTGAGGGGACACAGCTCTGGTGTAACAGCTTGACTGTGGAGACATTTACCATCCAGAGCCTCAGTCCATCCATGCCTATCCCAAATCTTCACTTCTAGTCTATGTCATGAGTGATTAGCGAGTTGTCTGTGCAAGTTGCAAAGGTTGGCAGTGTAAAATATCTTCATTGACTTTACCCGGCTCATGGCTGACAACAGTAAAAGAATGCAAGAATTCATAGTATCACCAGATTTTCTAGTTTGCAGTGACTCATTTCACTTCATTGTGCTTTATATCAACAGCAAAGTAAATAAATTCAATTTCTGTAATACAATGATGAAGTACGTTACAAAACAGAGATGCCCTGTCAATCATTTAGCTTACTTTGCTGTGATCATCCCTCACCACATTTCATTGGCATCAGGACTGACAATTTGTCAATAAACTTAGCAGTTCCAGGCCTTACAATTAAATATGATCATATACATTTGGCTTCCACAGATTTTGCATTTTTATCTCCTAATGCACTGTGTTCTTGTCCTAACATGAAATTATTTTGATAGCTTTTATGTGGAATTCTGTGTACATTTCAAACTGATGCCTGATGTTGGACAAATTTATCCCAGAATTTAGGAGCATCTCTAAAATGTGTGTCATGTGATGGCATAGTTTCACTTTCACCACCAGCTCATTGGTTATCCATATTTCAAAGACTACCACTGCGTGTGTATGTATGTGTGTGTGCTGTTTTGTTATTTTGTTTGGATCTGATACCTTTGCAACACTAGTAGGCAGTTCATAAGATTCATTAATTTGATTATCACACTTGTCCAAAAACAAATGCCTTTTTAAGTCACAATCCCTAGGAATCCTCCCATTTCCATCATAATTTTTTTTTTTTTTTGAGATGGAGTCTCTGTCGCCCAGGCTGGAGGGCAGTGGTGTGATCTCAGCTCACTGCAACCTCCGCTTCCCCAGTTTAAGCGATTCTCCTGCCTCAGCCTCCCGAGTAGCTGGGATTACAGGCGTGCGCCACCACACCCAGCTAATTTTTGTATTTTTTTAGTAGAGATGGGGTTTCACCATGTTGGTCAGGCTGGTCTCAAACTCCTGACCTTGTGATCCGCCCTCCTTGGCCGCCCAAAGTGCTGGGATTACAGGCTTCTGAGTAGAAGCCTAGCACCAGTGCAAAATTAAGCATTCTTACACATTGCAAACTAAAGGACTATCAACTTCCAAAAGGGATGTTTTGATTTATTACTGAAAAGAATGCTCAATACGTACAGGAATTTAGTATTTGATAATCCATTCTAGCAAACTGCTTTTATTTTTCCATAGCATGTATAACTTTCTGACATATTATTCTTGCTTATTTTAGTTATGTTTATGGTCTGTCACTTTTTTCTTTCCACACAAAAACATAAGTTCCACAAGATGGGGATTTTTGTCTGTTTATATTTACTGCTATATTCCAGCATGTAAAACAGGGCCTGGCACATAGTAGGTATTCAATAAATACTTGTAGAATGAAGGAATGAGTGAACTGGCCATGCAGACACAGGGTAGGCTTCTTAATGAACCCTGTGACAGCATCAAGGGCCCAAATTCTTCTTGTCTCTCAGCTCTGCCATCCTCAGTAAGAGCTTTGTCTGCCCCCCCCCGCCCACCATCCCCACTAGGGCCCTTTGTGGTTGCAAGATGGCTACCAGAGACAGTTGGCATTATCTTGTCCACATCTATGAGGAAAGAGAAGACGCTTGACTGGGTCAGCTTGGGTCTTATGCCCCAGTCAGGGCGCACAATGATAACATACATGCAGAGAATGGCTTAACTAATCAGGACCCACACTCCCTCTGACAGCCAAGTCGGTGCATAAGAATCAGCTTCCCCCTAGTAGGTGGTGGGCTATGCAGAGGTTGATGGATATCTGAAAGAAGGAAGGAGAGGTGGGGAAGAGGTGGTAGACAGGAACTCAACACCTTCCACTACAACACTATTGATTTTTTAAATCTCAAATAGCTAGAGGGTAAAGAGGAAAAATAAATCTTCCTCTCTTCCTTCCATCCCAGTTGGCTGCATTCTACATTCTGGTGCCTAATTCCAAGAAACCTGAGAGTTCTGAGGTTGATCCTGGCCTTCTAAAGCACTGGGAAGTCATTGTCAAGGTAGGTAGATAAAATATATTCTGCTTAACATGTTGTGGTTTAATACTTTGTAAACACTTAGGCATAGGAAACATGAGCCTCCACTTGTACTCTTGCCCTGGGTCCTGCAAATGTTAAGGGCAGGCCAGGTGCAAAGAGTGGGTGGCACTCTCGCACTATCTGTGAGTGGACACATTTTGAAAGTAGTTGTAAAGAGGAGGTGCAAATACAGCCTGAGCAACAGAAGCATTTCCTCAGCCCACTCTGAGGCATCAGGAGAAACTTACAACACACAATGCTGTCAACTAATAAAGATCGTTTCTGGCACTTCCTCTCCTCCAGCCTTTCTCTTTACGCGTTCTCAGTTGTGCTGGATATAAAATGGGCTGGCCTTACATAAGGCCGGAGTTGCAAGGAGGTGCAATCACTACTGACTTAAGAAAATAATCTTCAAAAGAGAAGGGGAGGCCAGGCCTGATGGCTCACGCCTGTAATCCCAGCACTTTGTGAGGCCAAGATTGGTGGATCACCTAAGGTCAGGAGTTCGAGACCAGCCTGGCCAACATGGTGAAACCCCGTTTCTACTAAAAATACAAAAATTAGCCAGGTGTGGTGGCGTGTGTCTGTAAATCCCAGCTATCTGGGAGGCTGAGACAGGAGAATCACTCGAACCCAGGAGGCAGAGGTTGTAGTCAGCTGAGATCACACCACTGTACTCTAGCCTGGGGAACAGAGCAAGACTGCCTGAAAAAAAAAAAAAAAAAAGAAAGAAAGAAAAGAAAAGAATCTGACAAGATATAATTTATCAGGAGGCATTAAAATGTAAATAAGCGTATTCTCTGATATGAACATTGTATCTTATTGATTAGATAGTGTGGGTGTTTGGTTCTATAAGTGAGTGAAATCTGTTAAAAGAAGAATCTGGAAAGCTTTCTGTTTTGTGCTTCTGAGAGAGAGCTTCTAGGGTGGTTTTCTGACTAGCATCGTACTCCCTCAAAAATGACCCTGGTTTAGACGGCCACCTGCAAGCTCAAATGGCTTCTGAACTTTGTCTCCTGCCCTGGCTGCTCTCCCAAGAGGACTTCTATGCATCCACTTGCCTAGTTAACTCCTTTTTCTGGCTCTCTAGCTAGACTCTTCATGGAGTGGTCTGTTTTAGCATCCTGTGGCTGCCGTAACAAATCAACACAAACTTGGTGACTTAAAACAACAGTAATTTATTCTCCTAAGGCTGAAATCAAGATGTCAGCAGGGCTGCACTGCCTCCGAAGGCTCTTGGGGTGAATGTCTCCTTGCCTTTCCCAGCCTCTGGTATTGCAGTTGTCCTTGGCTTGTGGCAGCACAACTCCCATCTCTGCCTCCATCTTCACACAGTCGGCTCCCCTGTGTGTCTCTGTGTCTCCAGTCTCCCTCCCTGCCTTTCTCTCATAAGAACACCTGTCATTGGATTTAGGGCCCACCCTAAATCCAAGATGACCTCATCTCAAGGTCCTTAAGCTAATTAGATCTGCAAAGACCCTTTTCCCACATAACGTCACATTCACAAGTTTCTGAAGGTTAGATCTTGGACTTGTCTTCTCCTATCCAGCTGGACAAACTGCTGTTCAGCCCACTGCATAGTCCATTCCCTTCTACCCAGATGGGCTCATCCTGCTGTCTCTTGTCTGGGTGGGGGCACCCACATTCCCGAAGTGGACATGGGAAGTCCCTCTACCTCATATCCAGTCAGTCACCGAAGGCTGTCAATGAACTCCTAATTGCTCTCAAGAGCACCCTCTTTGATTTCCGCGACAACCCTCCATGGCTTTCTTTCTCCTCCTCAAGCTCCTTCCAGGGCCTTTGCATGAACTCTTCCTCCTCTCTGGAAGGTTCTGTCCCTCACGCCTCATGAGTGGGCTCACTCTCTTCAGAGTTCTCAGCTCAGCTACCACTGCCTACAAGAGGGCTTCCCTCCCTACTGGCCCTCCAGAAGCCCCGGTGACTCCACCGTGTCACTCTGTTTGTTCTTCCCCTAGTCCTTCATAACATCTGGTATCTTCCTGTTTATTTTTTTGTAGATTTGTTCTCATCTTATTCACACACACACACACACACACACACACACACACACACACAAGCTCCATGAGGCCAGAGAGCCTCATCTAGTTTACCACCTCTGTATTGCTAGTGTCTAAATCAGACTAGCACAGAGTAAGCATTTAATACAAATCTACTGAAGAAATGATTGATGCTTTCATGACTGCCTTTATTTTCTTCGCCTGTTCAGACAAAGCTACCTTTTACCTGTCTCCGGTCACATCTGATCACACTGGGCTTAAAAATCATGACCAGTTTCCACAAGCTCTTCCTGGCTCCTTGCCTGGGCATCCCAGGCCCTCGGTGACCTGCCCCTGTGGTGCTACCCAGCCCACCCCAGACGCTTCCTCAAGCTATCCCTCTGGTCACACCTAAGGACTCTCCCATGGCCCTTGCGCTGAGTCTTTGCACCTGGTGTCCTCTCTTCTGATGGCTTGCTCTTCTTTCAGCTTGGGGTCTGTTTCTTCATTCAAAACCCAGTTCCTGGCTGCACACAGTGGCTCACGCCTATAATCCCAGCAGTTTGGGAGGCTGAAGAGGGTGGATCACCTGAGGTCAGGAGTTCAAGACCAGCCTGGCCAACATGGTGAAACCCCGTCTCTACTAAAAATACAAAAAAAATTGCCAGGCACGGTGGTTCACGCCTGTAATCCCAGCACTTTGGGAGGCTGAGGTGGGTGGATTGCTTGAGGCCAGGAGTTCAAGACCAGCCTGGCCAACATGGTGAAACCCCATCTCTACTAAAAATACAAAAAATTAGCCAAGCATGGTGGCGCACATCTGTAATCTCAGCTGCTCGGGAGGCTGAGGCACGAGAATCGCTTCAATCTGGGAGGCAGAGATTGCAGTGAGCCATGCTCGTACCACTGCACTCCTGCCTGGGTGACAGAGCGAGACTCTGTCTCAACAAAAAAGAAAAAAAAAACAGAATACAAAAAAATTAAATGGGCGTGGTGGTGCACATCTGTAGTCCCAGCTACTCAGGAGGCTGACACAGGAGAATCACTTGAACCCAGGAGGCAGAGGTTGCAGTGAGCTGAGCTCACGTCACTGCTCTCCAGCCTGGTCGACAGAGCGAGTCTCTGTCTTAAAAAAAAAAATAAAAACCAAAAAACCCAGTCCCTATGTCACCGACTCCAGGAAGCTTTATTTGACTTCCCTCTGCCGCCCTAGTGCCACATGCTTTTGTCATTACCCATTCACACAATCGCATCACTTGCCTTCTTCAATGCTTTCTCTACTCAACTGTCACTCCGTGAGGCTCATCTCTGCAGCACCGGTGTCTAGCACATCATGAACACTCTGGAACCAGCACCAGTTCTACTTCCTCAGCCGGGCAGCTCTCCTGTTGGTCAGGTCCCAGACGCCCGTAGCACTGGGCAGGTTCAGCCCTGGTGTAGCACACCTCACACTCCTGGGGGCATCACCAGGCTGCTGCTTGCCCCTGGAATGCCTCCTGGCTTTGCCTCCAGGACATGTTTTCTAGAATTGCTTGTCAGCTTCTGACTTATGGAGGCTGCCTTAATTCCCTGCATTTACATGGGCTCAGGTTCCACAGTTTCCAAATGCTTGCCAGTTCCCCTGGCCCTGGTGCCAGTGGCTAGTCTTCACTTACCGGAGCGATCGCCGTGGGGTGTCCCAAAGCCAGCAAGGTGAGTTTCAAAGACTAGTGGTGAAGCAAAACAGGTTCTGAGAAGTGTTTATTCAATTTAGCAGTGATGACTTCACTAGTGATCTTGGCAGGGGAAGGGTGGGGTTCAGAGGCACGATGAGGGAGGCCAGATTGCAGTGGCTAGGATTGAGTGGCTAAGACATGGAGGCAGAGGGTTGGGGGCTCTTTAGCCATGTGAGAGTAGAAGGAAAGAGAGGGCTTAAGGGGCAGCGAGGTGGAGAGAATTTTGTCGCTGGTTTTAGGCCAGAATCTTGAGCACCCTAGCGGATGCTGTCCTTACTCTCCCGGATCCCCTTATGGTTTCTGGCATGTCAGTGACTGCCGGCTGCCAGCACCTGCAATGTTGTTGAAGGTGGGGTTTCTCAACCTTGGCTTTATTGACATTTGGGACAGGATAATTCTTGGTTACAACTGGCATGGAGCAGTAAGATAAGGGGGAAAAAAAAGATAATTCTTGGGCCAAAGGTGGGGGTGGAGTCTGTCTTATATATTGTAAGATGTTTAGCAGGATCCCTGGCTTCTACCCACTAGATGCTAGTAGCAGCCTCCACACACACTGAGTTATGACAACAAAAATGTCTCCAGACATTGCCAAGTGTCCCCTGGACAGCAAAATCACCCCCAGTCGAGAACTACTGGTTTAAGGGTATGGAAGCCACTTTGGCAAGCAGCTGGAGGACTGGGAGTGGCTGGGAATTAACACCCCCCCATCCCCTGCAGCCCTTCTCTGATGCCTGGAGGGTGTGGAGGAGGATGTAATGATTAATTATATATGTCAACTTGATTGGACTAAGGGGTGCCCAGATAGCTGGTGAAACATGATTTCTGGGTGTGTCTGTGAGGGGGTTGTGAAAGAGATTAACATTTGAATCTGCAGACTGGGTGAAGAAGCTCCACCCTCACCAGTGTGGGCAGGCACCATCCAATCCATTGAGGCCCCCAATGGAACAAATAGGCAGAGGAAAGGCAAATTAGGTCACTCTTCTGAAGCTGGGACCTCCATCTTCTCCTGCCCTCAGATGTTGGCACTCTTGATTCTCAGGCCTTTGGACTCAGACTGAATTATGTCTCTAGCTCCCCTGGCTCTCCAGCTTGCAAATGGCAGATGGTGGGACTTCTCAGCCCCCATAATCACATAAGCCAATTCCTCTAACAATTCCCTCTCTCTCTCATATCTCCTTTTGGTCTGTTTCTCTGGGGAACACGGACTAATACAGAGGAGTACCCTGGCTCCTCACCCTTCATGGGAACACTTCTGGGAATGTGCTTGGTGTTGTTTTCCAGTTTGCTCTGCAGGATTCAGCTCCAGTAGCTCACCATAGTGCCTGGCATCTAACTGTACCTGTTCTCAGTGACTTTTCCTTCTCTGTATCACTCCCTTCCCACTCTCCCCCTGCACACCATTCTGTCCCTTACACCTATCTCCCAATAAAGGCCTTGGCTCAGAGTCTGCTCCTAGAGGAATCCAAACTAAGATAAGTAGGAATGACATGTGAGGAAAGAGAAAGAAATGAATAAGGAGATGAATGGAGCAAGGAAATAGATAGCATTGAGAGTACATGGGGGGCCAGGCACAGTGGCTCACGGCTATAACCCCAGCACTTTGGGAGGCTGAGGCAGGAGGATCGCTTGAGCCCAGGAATTCGAGACCAGCCTGGGCAACATGGTGAGAGCCCCATCTCTATAAAACATTTTTAAAAAATTAGCCGGGCATTGTGGTGCACACCTATGGTCCCAGATACTCAGGAGGTTAAGGTGGGAGGATCACTTGAGCCCAGGATCATCAAGGCTGCAGTGAGCTATGATCATGCCACTGTACTCCAGCCTGGGCAACAGAGTGAGACTCTGTCTCAAAACAAGAAAACAGACACAAACAAAACAAAAGAGTACAAGGGGAGGATAAATCTCTGAGTCCACATAGACAGGAAGAAGAAATACAAGGGAGCTGGGAGAGTCTGTTTTGAGGAGGAAGCTGGATCAAGTCACTGTGTGGCTTCAACTTCTTTAGTAAAATAGGTCAGGCCAGGTGTGGTGGCACAAGCCTGTAATCCCAGCACTTTTGCAGGATAGCTTGGGCCCAGGATTTCGGGACGAGCTTGGGCAACACAGTGAAACCCCGTCTCTACAAAAAATTAAAAAATTAGCCAGGCATGGTGGTGTATGCCTATGGTTCCAGCTACTCAGAAGGCTGAGGCAGGAAGATTGCTTGAGCCTAGAAGGTCCAGGGTGCAGTGAGCTGTGATGGTCATCTCGGCTCACTGCAACCTCCACCTCCTGGGCTCAAGCAATTCTTCTGCCTCAGTCTCCCGAGTAGCTGGGATCACAGGTGCATACCACCACGCCTGGCTACTTTTTGTATTTTCACTAGAGATGGGGTTTCACCATGTTGCCCAGGCTGGTCTCAAACTCCTGGGCTCAAGCAATCTGCCTACCTCAGCCTCCCAAAGTGCTAAGGTTACAGACATGAGCCACTGTGCCTGACCTGGGGAAGTTCTTAATCTTGAGAATACCATGATTATGTTTGCATTTTAGAAGGAAACTCAGGCAGTAATGTGGAGGAGGGCTTGGGAGTGCAGACCAGGAGTCCAGGCAGAGGTCATGGAGAAAGAAGCAGGGGGACACATCCCAGGCACTCTTAGCACCTGGACATGTGGTCACGTAGGAGAGGAGGGGTCAAGGAGACCCAGGACTCTGGCTGGGTCTACTGCAATTGATGATGGTGCTATTATCCCAGGCATAGAGTGGAAGACATCCTCATACCTTACTGTGATCGAGTTATTTTAGTTGTCTCCCACCCCACTAGGGCAGGGACCATGTCATTTGCTGTTGGTTGTCCTCTCTGGGACTGGCACAGCAGTTACTAGTACGTAATAAGTGTTGAAAGAACATTTTTGAATAAATGAATAAGGTGGCTGGGAGCCCTGGTGGAGGTGTCCCCTGGGAATGCAGGTCAGAGAGAGGTCAGGGCTATGAGTCCTGGGTGAGTGGGAGGATTCACTGAAACACATGCTGAAAGTGGGGGGATGACAAGGAAAGGAGTCAGGATGGGATCTTGGCGGGGCTGTCGGGGGCTGCCCTTCAGGCAAGGGCCTCGAATCTGCCTGTGGGCCATGGCACCCATGCACTGAGAATTACGAGAGCTGGGAACTCTCTCTCATCTTGTCAGTGGCACTCTGGCTGTCTTCATTCATTCAAATATTCTGCTCCATCTCTGCCTGGTGCCTATTCCACCCACGTCACTTCATCTACTATTTCCCCATTTCTCCAACTCTTCTCCAACTCTTCTCCAGGCTATTTTTTCTCTCCCTGTACTCTCCTATGTCCTCTTGGATTCTTCATCCTCCAGTTTGGAAGGCAGAGGATCTGAGCTGGCCTTCAAGGCGGCTCTCAGCCTCTGTCTCTGTCTGTGATTCCTCATCTGTGGAACAGGCCTCAGAAGACCCCCCTCCCCCGCTCACACTGCCTTCACACAGGCCTCCATTGCTACAGAAATGAAGCTACTGTTTGGAGGCTGTAAAGGCTTTTCACTGTCTTAATCCAAAATTCCGTGGAGATTCCAATGATAATGCTTCTAAATGTCATCAACTCCTCAAAATTATTTAGGTGAGGGTTTTTTTTTTTTTTTTGCCATCTGTTTTGCTGATGGGCTTTGCCTCTGAGAGACACCTTGAGCTCAGGGAGCAGGCGTCAGCCCCTCTCCCTTTCCAGTATCCGGCCCTGTACCTGGGCTTGACAAACATTTGTTGAATAAATAAATGAAGGCCATGTTCTATCTCATTAATATGCATTAAGTGATAAAGTGTAAGAAGTGAAGAGAGGCCGGTTGCAGCGGCTCATGCCTGTAATCCCAGCACTTTGGGAGGCTGAGGTGGGTGGATCGCTTGAGCCCAGGAGTTCGAGACCAGACTGGCCAACGTGGCAAAATCCCATCTCTAATAAAAACACAAAAATTAGCCAGGCATGGTGGCGGGCACCTGTAGTTTCAGCAATTCAGGAGGCTGAAGCAGGAGAATGGCTCAAACTAGGGAGGCAGAGGTTGCAATGAGCTGAGATCGTGCCACTGCACTTCAGCCTGGGTGACAGAGCAAGACTCTGTCTCAAAAAAAAAAGAAAAAAAGAGTGAAAAGAATTCTTACCAGATAATCTCTACACAGCTGGGAGGTGAAAGGAGCATCCTAAAAACAGGCCCTCATCAAGCAGCTCGGAGCCCCAAGTGTGTAAGGCCCTATGCCCAGGCCAGTGGCTTGAAAGGGAGTCCATTTCTAGTCAAGCTTGGGGAGCCCAGACCCCAAGCAGGAGCTTGTGGGGTTCCTGGAAACCCCCAGCAGGACCCCACCCCACCCCAGGAAGAACCTTTGAGAAATCACACTAACGGGACTAAGAAACCAAATTAATCGTATTCAACTCTCCCTTGAAGGATCTGGAAGAAGCTGATTTTGAATGCAATTGGTAAAATGTAATCTGCAAATGTGGAATTTGTAGCAAGTTATGAAAGTCTTTTAAAATGAAGAAGGGTCTTTTTGGTAGGAGATGGCTTAAAAAAATAAGATTAAAAAAATTTTTTTTAACGAAGACGGGGCCACCTTAACGGCTACTGTAAGAGTTACCAATCAGCTTGAGGAGCTGGAGAGAATGGATTTTGGGGTGGGGACACTCAAGGAGCAGAAAAGTGCTCCGAAGGGCAGGGCTTCCTCACTGTGCTTGAGACTGCTCTCTGGACTTCAGGGAGTTGTGAACCTCCTACAAGTGTGTGGAAATCATGCATACGTAGGTATGTGCATTTTTCAGGGGTAAGTAGTCTCACTGAGGTAAACGAGGAAGACCAGGCATTGTTGACCAAGTTCTGTCCCGGCCTGGGTGGAACTATTTGTAAGATGATGCCACCTCCATGACCAGAAACTGACCTTCTTGGGATGATTTTTTCCCAACATTTCTTAAATTTCCAACTTTATTTCTTCAAAGCTCTTCTCCATCTAGTTGGGCTGTACTTTCTGGCTCTCCAGGAACTTTCAGCTGTCAGTATTCCCTGCTTAATGCCTGTCAATTTCTCTATACAGTAGCTTCCTGCCTGTCAGGTCTGGACATGCTCAAAAATCCCTTCCACATTGGGTGGCGTCTGGGAAGTGGCTTTCTTTCCCTGCAGCTGTCCATTTGCCTCTTTTCTCCCAGCCTGGCTTCTGAAAAGATTTATGAACATTTGTTATCTCTGCTTATCTCTTAGTCAGACTTCAGCTTGATCCAATCTGTTTTCCACCTTTTTCTACCGAAACTTCTCTCTTCAAGGTCATCGGTTTGCCAAATCTAATTCTAATGGACCAGTTTCCATTCTTACCTTGCTTGTTTTCTCAGTGGGATTTTATGCTTATATTTCCTCCTCCCTGAAGCTTTCCCCTCCTTGACCCTCTAAGTAGGGAATATATGATTAATCTCCCAAACTGGGTCACTGTTTAAAGTGAAAGGGGGCACTAATGAATAATTATGCCAGGCTCACTGTCATAAGCCAAGACTCCCAGGCACACTCAGACGTGTGGTCACCCTCCCTGCAAAACTTGCTTTCCCTTCCCTGGGCTGCTCAGCCTTCTCATACTCCTTCATGGGATCCCTTTCCTCCTTCCTCCATCCACTGTCCACTCCTTAAAACTGCCCTGGGCTCTCCCCTGCTCTCATGCTACACCATCTCCCTGAGTGATCTTTTTTTTTGAGACGGAGTTTTGCTCTTGTTGCCCAGGCTGGAGTGCAATGGCATGATCTCAGCTCACCACGACCTCCGCCTCCCAGGTTCAAGCAATTCTCCTGTCTCAGCCTCCCGAGTAGCTGGGATTACAGGCATGCGCCACCACGCCCGGCTAATTCTGTATTTTTAGTAGAGATGGGGTTTCTCCATGTTGGTCAGGCTGGTCTTGAACTCCTGACCTCAAGCAATCTGCCCACCTCGGCCTCCCAAAGTACTGAGATTACAGGCATGAGCCATCACGCCTGGCCTCCCTGAGTGATCTTATCCATCCGTAGATTAAATCTCCCTCTGTCTGCTGAGGACTCCCTGCCTATACTATGAGTACAATGTCTTGATTTCTATACTCCAAGAACAAGTGCAACTGCTGCCCAGAAGTCTCTACTTGGATGTCCTAGAGGCAAGTTCAAATCTACTCCTAAAACCAGACTCATTCTTTTCAACCCCAACTATGCTCTCTTCCTTTTGGAGAATGGCAAATGAGGGAATATGGAGGAAGTGTCAGGTAAGATGAGAGGTTCTGGAGTTACGATTGCCAGGGTCCAAAGTCCAGCTTATCCACCTACTAGCCATGCATAGTAATTATTTAACCCTTCCAAGCCTCAGTTTCCTCAACTGGAAAATGGAGATAGAAGTGCCTACCTCATGGGTGGGTTGTGAGAATTAATGAGACAATAATGACAATAGCAGATATTTATAGGGCACTTTCTGAGCCAAGCACTTCTATGTGGCTTTCACGTATTATTTCGTTTAATCTTCACAACAACCCACTGGAGTAAGGGCCATTATTCTTCCTCTTTTACAGGTGAGCAACCCTGAGATGCAGAATGCACTGACATTCTCTGTGTTAGTGGCGGAATCAGAGTTCAAATTCAGCAAGTCTGGCTCCAGTGGCATCCTCTTAAGCACCTCAGTGTTCTGTGTGTGCAAAGTTCCTTGAACAGTATCAAGCATATAAGACCCTATGCCTGGGGAAGTGACTTGGAAGGGTATCCAAATCTGGTCAAGCTTGGGGAGCCCAGGCTTGAGCAAATAATTTGCTCAGCAAATTATTTCCACTCTCCACCCGGTCTACCAAACCAGATACCCAGAAGGAGGCCTATTTCCCTTATTCTTCCTTCTATATCCATCAAGTCCTGTCCACTATGCCTTAAAACAGTAGGTGCCTTCTCAGAGTTTACTTATTTAATTATTATTATATATTCCTAGTTCATTGTCCAAGGTGTCTTAATATTGACAAATCAACTACCAGAATCCCAGATGTGAATGGAAAGGACTAGGTCTCTGCCTTTAGTTTGAGGCTTTTCTTTTTAAATCCCCATTCTGCTTGATGTTTTAGAACCTTCCTCCCCAGCCATGAAAACAAGCCCCAGCCTGCCCTTGGGAGAATGAGAGACTATAGGAAGCAGAAGTGAGCCATCCCAGCTGAGGCCACTATGACCAACCAGTATCAGTGTCCAGACAACCTAGCAGCTGACCACAGACACATAAGCCTGGCCAAGGCCAGAAGAACCACCCAGCTGAGCCTAGCCCAAATTGCTAATCTGCACAAAGGTGAGCTAAATAAATGGTTGGATCAGGCACAGTGGCTCACACCTGTAATCCCAACACTTTGGGAGGCTGAGACGGGAGAATTGCTTGAGCCTAGAAGTTCAAGACCAGCCTGAACAAGATAGCAAGACCTTATCTCTACACAAAAATTTAAAAATTAGCTAGCATGATAGCACATGCCTATAGTCTCAGCTGCTTGAGGAGGCAGAGGTGGGAGAATTGTTGAGCCTAGAAGTTCAAGACTAGCCTGAACAAGATGGCAAGACCTTATCTCTACACAAAAATTTAAAAATTAGCTAGCGTGATGGCACATGCCTATAGTCTCAGCTGCCTGGGGAGGCAGAGGTGGGAGGATAGCTCAAACTCAGGAATTCAAGGTGGTAGTGATCCTGCAACTTCAATCCAGCCTTGGTGACAAAGTGAGACTTCATCTCTTAAAAAAAAAAATTAAATAAATAAATGGTTGTTATTTTTTTCTTTCTTTCTTTCTTTCTTTCTTTTTTTCTTGCTTGCTTGCTTGCTTTCTATCTCTTTTTCTCTCTATCTCTCTCTTTCTTTTCTTTCTTTCTTTCTTTCTGTCTTCCTTCCTTCCTTTTTTTTTTTTGAAATGGGGTCTTGCTCTGTTGTCCAGGCTGGAGTGCAGTGGCATAATCATGGCTCACTGCAGCCTCAACCTCCCAGGCTTGAGTGATCCTCCTACCTCAGCCTCTTGAGTAGCTGGGACTACAAGTGTGCACCACCATACCCAGTTAATTTTTTCATTTTTTGTAGAGATGGGGTCTCTCCATGATGCCTAGGCTGGTCTTGAACTCCTGGGCTCAAGTGATCCTCCTGCCTCTGTCTCTCGGTGTTGGGATTACAGATGGTGAGCCATAGTGGCTGACCAAATTGTTGTTCTTTTCAGCCACTAAATTTTAGAATGGTTTTTATAATACAGCAAAAGCTAACTAATATACTTGGGTAGTGTATTCATGAGCATGAGCTGCCATAACAGGATACCACACACTGAGTGGCTTAAACAACATAAATTTATTTTCTCACAGTTCCATAGACTAGAAGTCCAAGATCAAAATGCCATCAAGTTTGATTCTGGTGAGGCCTTTCTTCCTGGCTTGCAGACAGCCTCATTCTCTCTGTGTCCTCACATGACCATTTCTCTGTGTGCACACGGAGAGAGACAGATCTCTGGTGTCTCTTTGTCTTCTTATAAGAATACCAGACTTACTGGATTAGGGCCCTATCTTGTGATCTCATTTAACCTTAATTACCTCCTTAAAGGCCCTGTCTCCAAATACAATCACATTGGGGGTTAGAGCTTCAACATATGAATTTGGGAGGGGTGCAGTTCAGTCCATAACAGGTATCAATCCTCAAGTGGAAACAATGAGACCTGCTAAGACCACCTGAAAAAGAGTGAGGGCAGTGGAGACCCATGAGCTAAGGACAACCTCAGGGAAGCAGTGGCAGTCCTGGGGAAGCCCTGTCAGGAGACAGAGAAGGAAAGGTGGGGGGAGCACAGGGAAAGCCAGGCAAATGATGCGGAACACTGAAGCCAAGCCATCGCCATTTCAAAAAGGAGGAAAAGATCAACAAAGGCAGCAGGCAGAAAGCCAGGAACGGAGAAGGGTCCGCGTGCACCTCTTGATCTTGGCAAGGACCTTGGTGGCCCTGACAAAGCTGAACTACGGTAGGGCCGGGAGCCAGATCTCAGTGAACTGAGGAGAGACAGGGAGATAAAGAAAGGAGCTCTCAGATAAAAGACACTTTTGAGAAGTTTGGAGGAGAAGGAACAAGAGAAATTGGGATCGTAGATTCAAGAGGTTATGAGGACAGGAGGGACCGTGTGTTTTTATTGGCTGGAGGAATGTGCCAGAAGCACATTCCACATGAGGAGAGGTTTCATCATGACAGAACCAGGCACAGCAGTAACAAACCTTGTTGGCATTTGCTGTGTTTCAGGTTTATGCCAAACTCTCCACATGGCTACTCCATTTAATCCGTCAGCTCCATGTGATAAAGGCAAGCATTATCCCATTTCACTGATGAGGAAACTGAGAGAAACAGAGATCTGGCTGGGCACAGTGGCTCGTACCTGTAATCCCAGCACTTTGGGAGGCCGAGGCGGGTGGGTCACCTGAGATCAGGAGTTCGAGACCAGCCTGGCCAACATGGTGAAACTCCGTCTCTACTAAAAATACAAAAATCAGCTGGGCATGGTGGCAGGCACCTGTAATCCCAGCTACTTGGGAGGCTGAGGCAGAAGAATCGCTTGAATCCGGGAGGCGGAGGTTGCAGTGAGCCAAGATCTCACCATTGCACTCCAGCCTGGGTGACAAGGGCAAAATTCTGTCTCAGAAAAACAAAAACAAACCAAAAAACCAGAGAGATCTGCCCAAGATCACATAGCCAGAAAGTGATGGAAATGGGATTTGAACCCTGGCAGCCTGACTCCATCGGCTGGGGGGATTTGGCCTGGATTTTGACCTGCTTCTAAAATTAACAGGAAAGCAGTAGGGGTTGGGGGAGGGTCGGGGGAGGAGAATCAGCAGGGAGCAGGAATTTGATGGAGATCATGTGATCCCAATGGCCTTGATGTGTTTTTTTTTTCAAGAAGTAGGAGACTAGGTGCCAAGCATTAGGCCCAGGTAGGAAGGGAGTGCGGGGAGAGAGAGGAAGGCACAGAGCAGTGAGTGGCAGAGGCGATGAGACCAAGTGTGGTACACGCGCTGGCAGCCACAGTGGTGCTGAGAGGGAAGACTGGATTCACAGTGGTGCTGGTCCTGTGAGGTGCGAGGACCTCTCCAGTGGTGCTCAGGAGCCAGGAGTGGGGAGGAGAGGCCTGCTGGAGCCTGCATAGCTGGGAACCAGGGCAGTGGGTGATGGGGAGCATCAGTGCTTCTCAACCCAAGTTGCATTTGAAAACACAGGAGGGCTGAACCCCACTCCACAACAGTGGAACCTGAGTCTCCGGGGGCCTGGCTCTGCTCTGTGCTCACAGTCCCCATGATGATGTGATGACCCTGAGGTGGAGGCCAGGGTGGAGGAGCTCTGAATCCAATCTAGCATGGAGTTCAAGTCACGCTGGGAGGTCGGGAGTAAGAGGGGCTGCTAGATGGGTTATACAAAATCAAAGGAGGACAGTGAAGGGATGATAGGGCAGGGCTCCAAGAAAGGTAAAAGTAGGGGTGAGTGCTGGCAGAGGTGAGGGATGCTCAGGGGTCTGGCGCTGTCCTGCTGGGAAGGCTTGGCAGGTTGGGAGAAGGTGAACAGGTACGGAGGTTTTCACAGCCTCTTCCACACCCATATTCCTGCTGCCATACTGAATGGAATTGTCTTGGAAACTTCCCTTTGTCCTTGGAATAGAAACCTCTGGGAGTCTGAAATAGGGGTGCCCTGAGGAAGTGCTTAGATGGAATTTTCTTCCCATGTGACCAGCATAGAAAAGAAGACTCACTCCAGTGGGGAGGTGACATCAGGGTTGGGTTATCTGCAGGATCTGGGGTATCTTCCACCACTAAGGAACTCCTTAAGAAAAGGAACACTGGAGAATGGGTTAGAATCACCTAAAATGCAGACGATGTTGTTAGTTTTATGGAACCGATGTTTATCGAGTTCTAATATGTGTCAGACACCAGCAGAACAAGACAGTAATGCAATCTTGCGTGGTGTTTCCCAAAGCACATTCTGGTATATTCACAGTATATTATTTTAAAAGGATGGGTTGGGGGCAGGGGGTCCAAGTGAAAATAAGTTCAGGAAACACAAGTTAGGAAACACTGGGTTAAAGAAAATGAAACATTGACTCACTGCAGGACTTCGCAGAGTTTTTAAACTGTCAGTATGCTCCAAGACTCTTCAAGGGTGAGGATGAAGACAGAGTTCTTCCCGAGCATGCTTGACCACAGGTCTGTTTCGTTGCTACAGACCTTGAGGAATGAATGACCCATGGAATGTGCTTTGAGAAGTGGAAGATGGTGGCCAAGAGGTGGGTTCTGAAGTCACAAGACCTGACTTCCTGCACAGGCTCTGCACCTAGTAGCTGTGTGACTTTAGGTGAGTTGCTTATGTCCATGTCACATCTGGAAAATAAAGCTAAATAATACTGTCTCCCCATGCAGTTGTTGGAATTAGTGCCTGTGAAGCACTGAGCACAGTTCCTGGCCCCCAAAACCACTCATTAAGAGGTGCTAGGCTGGGTTGGGAGATCCCTGTGTCTGCTCTAAAATTCTATGACACGTTGGCCTCAAAAACTCTGAGAGGGGACCAGGGGAGGGAGCTTCTGTCCTCTGCTAAATTTTTTAGAAACAAGACTCAGATGGCTTTGAAGCCTGTGATACATAGAGGAAGCACTGTTAGAGCAGGTGAGTGGGGCGGGGAGGGGAGGCACTCCCATTCCCTTCTTGCCTGGAGAAGCAGGCTCAGGGCATCCGTGGTGCTGGGGGTCAGCAGTTAAAGTGGTTTGGCTTCCTGGAGAGGGTGGTGACAAGGAGGGGAGGGGAGTGGCAAGCCAGCCATCGCCTGCCCCGACTGCCCTGGATCTGGACAGGCTGAGTAGACACACAGGAAACCTCCCAGGCCAGGCAGGCGTGGAGCAGCTGCTGGACTTGGCCCCAGTCCCACTGTTGTCCTTCCCGGAGGTGGATGCTTCTAGGAAGAGGTTACCAGAAAAGCTCCGCCACGGCTGCTTCTGGCCGACGTCAGCACCCTGGACCACATGGGGTCTGGGAGTCTGGGAAAAGGATGCCTCCCCTCCTGAGGGCTCTATGCCATTTATTTGGGACCTTGGAGAAGTGGGAACAGATGGTGGAACCACAGGGGGAGGGAGTCTGAACTGCAGGACACTGAAGAAGGGTCACACTCCTGCCCTGGGACCAGGGGCACTATTCCAGACCCTCCACTCCTACCCCTGGAAGCCAGCGCCTGTGACTTTCCTGACACGGGAAAGAATGGACTGTGTGCCCAAGTGTCCACTCTCACGGTCGTTATGTCTCCTTCAATTCTCTAACACCCTGGGGGTGGAGGGGAGAAGCCAGCCACCCCCAAACACATGCAAGTGAGTGCGATCTCCATGTCACAGCACTCTGAGGTCAAGCCCCCTGCCCACAATCAAGTGCGATCTCCATGTCACAGCATTCAGGGGTCAAGCCCCCTGCCCACAATCAAGTGCGATCTCCATGTCACAGCATTCAGGGGTCAAGCCCCTTGCCCACAATCAAGTGTGATCTCCATGTCACAGCACTCTGGGGTCAAGCCCCCTGCCCACAATCAAGTGTGATCTGCATGTCACAGCACTCCGGGGTCAAGCCCCCTGCCCACAATCAAGCAGGATTTGAACCCACATTTATTCAATCCCAGCACTCTCTCTAGGTAGGTAAAAAGGGCAGACCCTCGGTTTAAACTCCTGGCTAGACCCTGGTTTATTGGGAAAGCATCCTAAGTATAAATGAGTAGAACAGTTCTGATTGAAGGAATACTAATCTTGTTTCTTGTCTTTCTTAAGGAAAAATGCCTACAGAGCAGTGGGACACAGAGCTCTGCTGGCCGCCTCCGACGAGGATCTAATGGCTTTTCCAGGAGCGCACCCCATCACCACCCCCAGACAACTCAGATGGCTTCCCCTCCCCTTTTGTCTTCTGGGCTGCGCCCCAGCACCCACCAGTCTCTTTTTCTAGCCAGGGTGGGGCCTCCCAGGGCTTATGGGCTCTGGGCCCAGGGCTCGCTTCCTTTCTTGGCAGCTGCTAGAAATCTCCAGTTTCTGGCCTACTAAAACCCTTCCATTTATTTATTTATTTTTTTTGCCTGCTCCAGGGAAAGTTTTGATTGGCTTCAGCTGGGATGACCTCATCCTCTCTAGATTTTGGTGGCGTTCCCATTTTCCACATCTCCGCCTTTATCCAAGGAATTCCCTTCTGACTGTCTTTTCTCTAAAGGTCGCCCCACCCGCGTCTTCCTGGGCTTTGGAATTCCCCATCCTCACTTGGGAAGGCAAGTGGGCCGTGGACTCTCACCGTCTCCCCACCACTGCCCTCCTGGGTCGTCTTGACTGCCCCCAGCTCTGGCAAGTGCCTCCTGCAGGATCCCAGCCTCCCCTGCAGGGATCCTTTGCTCATTCGCCCCTCCCCCGACTGATCTCTGCTGTATATTCAGGACTCACAGGAAACCACATTATTTAAACTCATCATAATTAACTTTGTGCCAGACCTTCTTTTACATTATCTCACTTAATTTTCACAGTAATCTCATAACATAAAAATTGTTATCCCCAGTTTATAAGAAATGGAGGCTGGGAGAGTTAGACGTAGCCTGCTGGAGATGAGCAACTAGGATGCGTGGAGTTGAGATCCAGACCTAGGTGTGTGTGGCTCCAGGTGTGTGTGGCTCCAAGGCCACTGCACGATGTTTGCCTCATTGATAAATGCTGCCGGCTGCACGCATGTGCACAACGCTGCCGGCTACACAGCTGTCTCCCCTGGAAGGATCAACAGCAAATCCCATTAGCTCCACCTTCAAAATATCCCCAGAATCTGACCCCAGCCCTCACCCGAGCCACAACCACCTCCCACCTGGACTCACTGGAACAGTCTAAGGGGCCTCCCGTTCCTGCCCTTACCCCTTCGGTCATTCTCCACATAGCAGCCATAGTGATTATGATTATGATTATGATTATGATTATGATTATGATTATTATTATTATTATTAGACAGGATCTCACTTTGTCACCAGGCTGGAGTGCAGTGGTGTGATCTTGGCTTACTGCAGCCTCTGTCCCCTGGGCTCAAGCCATCCTCCCACCTTAGCCTCTTGAGTAGCTGGGACCACAGACGTGCACCACCATGCCCAGCTAATTTGTGTGTGTGTGTGTGTGTGTGTGTGTCTGTGTCTGTGTCTGTGTGTGTGTGTGTGTGTCTGTGTCTGTGTCTGTGTGTGTGTGTGTGTCTGTGTTTCTGTGTTTCGGTAGAGACAGGGTTTCACCACATTGCCCAGGCTGGTCTTGAACTCCTGGACTTAAGTGATCCTCCCACCTCCGCCTCCCAAAGTGGTGGGATTACAGACATGAGCCTCCACTCCCAGCCTATAGTGATTCTTTAAAATGTTCATTTCTCCTGTGCTCAGAGCCCTCTGGTGACTCATCGCATTCTGAGTCCAAGCCAAAGTCCCTACAGTGGCCTAGGGGGCCTGCGCAACCTGCAGTCCCATGATCCCTCCCACAGTCCCTGAGGTCACTTCTTACTGCTTACTCCCTCGACTGCAACTGGAGCAGCCTTGCTCTTCCTTGAACACACACAGCAAGCTCTGGCCTCAGGGTCTTTGCATTTGCTGTTCCTGCTGTTTGAAGGCTTTTTCCCAAAATAGCTTTGTGACCCAGTCCCTCACCTCCTTCAGGTTTTTCTCGAAAGTCACCTTTTCAGTGAGCCCTTTCCTGTTCACTGTGTCTCCTCCATCCTGCTCCCTAACCCTCTCCACTCCCTGCTTTTTCCTCCCCACAGTACTATCACCAAGTGACATTATTTTGATTATTGATTTGATATTTGTCTGCTCCCCTGCTAGAATGGAAGCTTCATGAGAACAGGAATGTTTCTGTTTTATTTCTTTCATGGCTGTAATTGCCATTGTGCAGAACAGTAACTGGCACCTAGCAGATGCTCAATAAGTATTTGTGGAAGGGTGGGAGGAAGAAAGGTGTTGGTTAGGTAATTTCAGGTGGCAATGAGCAGAGGAAGTCAGGACAGGCCTCCGAGCAGAGCATCCTGGCCAGGCCTTGGGGGAGCTGGCACGCGGGGCCCGTTCTCCAGGTGGAAGTAGCCTTTGGCCTCTTAGCACCTCCTCTTTGCAGCCCTAGGACCAAATGTTGACTTGAGTCTCAGAGGGGCTGGTCCCAGGGTGAGTTCCTGGGAAGCAGATTCCATGGTGGAGTTCCATGTGCAGGAGGCTTAGGAGCAAGCGCTCTTTAGAGCAACGCCTGAGGAAGGGAGGAGAAGGAGGCAGGGGTGGACTGAGAAATCAAGCTGGGATTTAGGCCCAAGGACAACCTCGGCCAACTCCGCGGTGACCTCTAGGGCTAAAACAGCCCCTCAGAATGGTCCCACATAGGCTGAAACCCCAGGCCTTTATGTACCAGCCTCAATCAGTCTGTGAAGGTTGGCCTGGTCTGGGGTGGGGTGAGGCACTTGCAGGTGAGGCACTCCCCACAGCTGCGGCATCCAGGCCCGCCTTGAAGGGGGATCTGAGTGGCACATGGCCATGCCCACCACAAGACCCTCAGCAGGGTCTGCCTTGCTCAATGGCTGCCTCACCCACATGTGGCGTCCTCAAGACCCCAGGAGAGGGTCTTGATCCCGGTGTCACACGGTCAGGGTAGACACACTCCAGGTCAGAGCTGACCAGCTCCTGGAAGAGAACCAAGACAAAACCTAATTTAGACAAGTAGCAACAGTGCTTTCTGAATTTAAAAAAGTAGGCCAGGTGTGGTAGCTCATGCCTGTAGTCCCAGCACTTTGGGAGGCCGAGGCAGGAGGATCACGAGGTCAAGAGATCAAGACCATCCTGGGCCAACATGGTGAAACCCCGTCTCTACTAAAAATACAAAAATTAGCTGGGCGTGGTGGTGTGTGCCTGTAGTCCCAGCTACTACAGAGGCTGAGGCAGGAGAATCGCTTGAACCCCAGAGGCGGAGGTTGCAGTGAGCTGAGATCACGCCACTGTACTTCAGCCTGGTGACAGAGCGACACTCCGTCTCAAAAAAAAAAAAAAAAAAGGAGAAAAGAATAAAGGTGCAAATGGCCCCTAATCCAATATGACTGGTGTCCTTATAAAAAGGGGAAATGTGCACATGGAGACATACACTCCAGGAGAACACCATATGAAGATGAGGGGAGGATGGTGTGATACGTCTACATGCTAAGACGGGCTAAAGATTGCAGCAAACTGCCAGAAGCTAGGGGAGAGGCATGGGACAGATTCTGTCTCACGACCCCAAGAACCAACCCTGCTGACACCTCAGTCTTGGACTTCCAGCCTCCAGAACATTTCTGATGTTCTAAGCCACCCAGTCTGTGGCACTTCCTTATGGCAGTCTAGCAAACTAATATACTTGTTAAGTTCTTAGACTCACTGAGCCTCTGCCTTCTCATCTGTAAAATGGGGATGATTTTACTTACCTCACACAGTTCTGACAATTACATGAAATTAAACCATCTCTGTCATAATTCCAGGCACAGGGCGTGTGCTCTGTCTTGTCAGTGGTGGTGGTGGTGGTGGCGGCTCTTAGAGGTTGGAGCAGCTCATAGCAAAGATCCTTTCCACTCTCGACATACTTTAATTCTGTGCCTCCACAGATCGTGTTTGATGAGCTTTTGCACCTCAATTGCCATCTCTCCCTTACATTCCACTGGCCCAGATGAAAACAGCCAAGCAGCAGCAGCAGCAGCAGGAGCAGCAGCATGGTTCTGAGCTCTGATGGCTGTCAGTAACAGTGCCTGGTGGTCCACAGGGAGGGAACGGTGGGAGGGCTGTCTTCAGAGCCTGCAGAAGCCTTCCTAGAACCCGTGTTAACCTGGCCCCTGAGCTCTGTATGCACACAGGTATGGAGGAAGGAGAATGCTAGGCCAGCCCTTCTGGATACTTATTACACTGGTGCAAAAGTAATTGCGGTATTTGCCATTGAAAATAATGGCAAAACCCACAATTACTTTTGCACCAACCTAATAAAACAATTTTCAGTTAAAAGAAGGGCATCGTTAGCATCAGCACCCAGACATTTAAATCGTACTCGTCCTCGATTAGCTCAGCACTGAGTTCCAAGGAGTGACTTCAGACATCCCCCCTTGCTCACAGAAAAGAGAGGTATTACATCAAGCATTACGCCACTTCTAAAGTGGAAGAAGAACAAAACAATTGTCAATTACATGTGTTTTGTTTGTTGTTGTTTGAAACAGGGTCTCACTCTCACCCAGGCTGGAATGCAGCGGCGCCGCCACAGCTCACTGCAGCCTCAACCTCCTGGAGCCAAGCGATTCTTCTGCCTCGGCCTCCCTGGTAGCTGGGACTACAAGTACATGCCACACCTGGCTAATTTCCATATTTTTTGTAGAGGCGGGGTTTTGCCATGCTCCCCAGGCTGATCTTGAACTCCTGGACTCTAGCAATCCACCCACCTGGGCCTCCCAAAGTGCTAGGGTTACAGGCATGAGCCACCGCGCCCAGCGTGGATGTGTATTGTTTATTGTAGCCAACCTTGTAGTATTGACTATGCTTTGGTATGTTATAAAATTGTGTTTTAATATGCAATACAAATACTTAAAAGTTCACTGCAGGCCCTTATGTAATCAATGTGATATGTATATTTTCTAGGGCCTAGAAAATAATTTTACTCTTGTGAATAATTGTGGAAATTTCTAGTTACTATGGCATTGGTTTTAGAATATCTTCTTGGCTATTTCTATGATGAATTTTTTCAGGAACCAAAAATTATAGCATTATTCTTGTTGAAAGCTTTTCTAGTTTGCCCTAGACACCCTAGAGTTCATCTTTTCTTTTTCTCACTTCTATAGCTTGTGTTGTTAATTTTGTACTTTAACAACATCTACCACAACTAAAAGCATTTTTTTTTTTTTGGTAAAAGTGATAAATGCTTATTTTTAAAATTTTGGGCCAGGTGCTGGGGGTGTCAGTGGCAGCCTGGGAGTAGTTGAGCAGGGAGTGGATTTACACTGGTGCTCAGGACCCCCTCAGTACGAGCCCAAGGATCACATTTGATGATAGAGGCTGTAGGAGTTTCCCTGGGGCCCTGGGAGGGAAGGAGGCAATGGAAGTGGGTGCAGGCGGAAGCACAGGCAGTGGCCTGCATGGTTGATTAGAATGAAGGCAGCTGGAGCCCAGAGGGGCAGGGGGGCTGGTCTAGGCCCAAGGGAGAAAGAAGAGGAGGAGGAGTGAGTGGAAGAAAGAAAGCTCGTAGGAAGCGACTTGGCTGATGGAGGGAAGGAATTCATCCCAGTCCAGGGATTATGGCAGTGACCCCATCAAGACTGGGCACTGGAATCAGAGCGATCTGGCAGCCAGTGCAATGAAGTAATAACAATGGCTGTCCTTTCCTGAACGCCTGCTGTGGCCAGACCCCAAGCCAGGAGGCTTGCAGACATCATCATGTCATTTCACCCTCACCATCACCACTGCAGGTGTTGCTATTCCCCATTTTACAGATGACGACGCTGTGGTTCAAAGAGGTGAAGAAACCCAGATGCAGAAGTGACGTGAAGCCTTTAATTCTGCACACATGTTGAGTTAGGGTTCCATATTAAATGTGTGAATGTGTGTGCAGGATGTGGAACAGAGCCTGGGACACAGTGAGCATCTTCCAAGTGTTTCCTGTTATTATCGTGTACCAGCCACAGTGGCAGGCCCTGGAGACACTGTGGATAAGAAAACATGTGATTCCTGCCCCTGTGGACCTTAGAGTGTCCCACAAGGGAGACTGACACGAAACAGAAATGGAAGAAAAAGTATCACACAAATCATACAGAGTGACAAGAAGGAAAATGGACTCCATGCCATGAAGCCCCCACTCTGACCCCAGGCCTAGGCCACTGGGCCATAAAGGAGGGAGGCACTGTTGGTTTGGAGCCTGAGTTCTCCAGGCTGGTTCCAATGTCATGGTGGCACCTCTAGGCCAGGGTTTCCTTACAGGAAAAAGCAGGGGTAGGCAAGAGATTTGGTTTTCTAACTACATTGTAGCTGAGGAATCTTTTATTCAAACGTGATCTTAAAGGCCAGGCATAGTGGCTCACTCCTGTAATCCCAGTGCTTTGTGAGGCCAAGGAAAGAGGATTGCTTGAGCCCAGGAGTTCGTGACCAGCCCTGGAAACACACCTCTAAAGAAATCAAATTAGCCAGTCATGATGGCATGCACTGGCAGTCATAGCTATTAGGGAGGCTGAGGCAGGAGGATCACTTGAGCCCAGGAGTTCAAGTCTGCATTGAGCTATGCCCATGCAACTGCACTCCAGCCTGGGCAACAGAGCAAGACTTTGTCTTGAGAACAGACAAACAAACATGATCTTAAGCAAATGTCAAGTCCAATGTGCCAAAAAGTACACACTCAGCTGCTCTGATTGAGGAGAGAACTGCCCCACTGTTCCCCGTCTCCCTCCACTTCATAGCAGCCCAGAGACTCAGAATTTCTAGGGCTATGTGGAGTCCAGCTGGAAAGCCACTGGATCATAATAATGGTATTAAATGAGCACTAACTAAGAGCTACAGTCGTTACGTTATCCCATTTAATCTTCCCAACAACTTTACAAAGTCTTCATTTTATCAATGAAGAATCTGAGGCTTAGAGGGATTAATAATGTAAATAAATAACTGCTTGAAACTTGTTGATTGTCTTGAAATGGGCCCAATTGTCTCACAGAACTAATATTTCTAGTTTCTTTGAATAAGTATAGAAATTGATCCAGTCTTGACGCTTGAGAAAGTTACATTTGTCTTATCTGAGTTCTTTTCTCAGGAAACCAACCATCAGGCCTCCCAGACAGTACCAAAGAGCTGAAATTCACCAGATCACCTCATCTGGACAATGATATGCCAGACCCCTCACCCCTCATGATTCCCTAACCCACCACCAGCTTCCTGTTGACCAACTCCTCTTCCTTACCCCTCCCTAATTCCTGTTTCCCCACACATGGTTACATATCTTCCCTGCTATATAAACCCCTAATTTTAGTTGGTCAGGGAGATGGGTTTGAGGCTGATCTCCCATCTGCTCAGCTGCAACACCCGATTAAAGCCTTCTTCCCTGGAACTACCCATTGTCTCAGTGATTGGCTTTCTGTGTGGCAAGCTGCAGAACCTAGATTGAACCCCTGGCATTTTGGTAACAGATTTACCACTGTGGATAAATTAGAAATAAAGTTGCTCCCCATGGTCTGGCCCGTGCCCACCTGTCCAGCCTCATCACTCCCCTCTTCACAAACACACACACACACACACACACACACACACACACACACACACGATCTCCAATGCCCATCTGTCACCCCAGCCTTGTCACCTGCCTCACATGCTTCTCCATTCTTCTCCCAGTGTGCTAATTCCTTATCGCTGCTGTAACAAGTTACTGCAAACTCAGTGGCTTAAAGCAACACAAATTTACTATCTTACTGTTCTGGAGGACAAAAGGCCAAAATGGGTCAGCAGGGCTGTGTTGTTTCTGGAAGTTCTAGGGGAGAATCCATTTCTTTGCCTTTTCTAGCTACTAGAGGCTTCCTTGGTTATGGCCCCCTTCCAGCAATGACACCACTCCAGCTTCAGCTTCCATCTCTTTCTACTCTGACCCTTCTAACTCCTTCTCATAAGGACCCTTGTGGTACATTGGGTCCACCCAGCTAATCCAAGATAATCTCCCATCTCAAGATCTTTAACTTCATCACATCTTCTTTGCCATGCAAGGTAGCACATTCATAGATTCTGGGGATTAGGATGCAGACATCTTTGAGAGACATGATTCAGCCTGTCACACGTGGTGACTCCTCCCATTCTTCAGTTTTGAGCTTAAAGGCCATGTCCTCAAGAAACCTGTCCCTGACCTCCCTGATAAGGCTGTCTCGTGATGGGCTCTCACAGCATCTTCTACCTCTCATTGCTTTCATAGTCACAATTTAACATTTGTTTGGGTAATGCCATGACTAATTAAACTCCCCAAGCCACTTGGTTTTCCCATTTGTATTTTCAGTGTAGGGTAGAGTCTGGCAGAGTAGGGGCTCAATTAACATTAGCTACATAAATGGACAAACAAATCAATGAACTTGCCTAAGGTCACAGCAGCAGGTAGCAGAGGTAGGATTTGAACGTGGGCAGTGAGCTTGCAGAGTCCTCTCCTCTTAGCCATACACTAGACTGCCTCTCACAGATCTGCAGCAGCTCAGGCTCGGGGGGGCACATATTTAAGTCTCCCCTGCAGGATCCCACCAGGTTTAGGGTTGCCTGGCCGACCTACCCTTTAATACCTCCAGGGCCCAACAGTCTAAAAACCTGTGATTTAAGACACATTTCATGAGGTGGGGGTTTGGGAGGGAGGTTCTGGAAACCCTGGCAATGTGGGACTGGGATAGTGGGTGTCAGAGGCTGGAGAGGCAGCAGTGGTGGAGGTGATATGAGGCCGCCAGGAGGATAAGCCCTCCAGGGGAGGTGGTGGGCACACACACAGGAAAAGAACGCGAAGGGCAGTGCCTTGGGCACACCCACGGTGAGAAGCTGGGAGAAGGCGATGCCAGTGAGGAGGAAATGAGCTGTCACAAACCTGGAGATGTGGGAAAGTGCAGTGTCATGGAAACCAGGGGAGGGAGTAGGTCGGTCCATCCATCCCTCCATCCAGGAAGAGGTGGCTGGGCTGTGGGAGCACCAGGGCTGTGGGTCGGGAGCGGGAGGGGGAGGTGGGGGGCCCAGGGCCACCTGTCCTGCTGGGAAGATCAACCCTGCTGACCCTCAGCAGGGCGGTTTCAGTAAACTGCAATGGGAGGTGGAGGACGAAACGAGGCTGAGTGGGTGCTTCAAGGATTCAGGAGGAAACACAACGAGACCACACATTTCCGGATTTGGCAGGGAAAGAAGAGGATGGTTGCTGGGAGGGGGCAGCCAGGACATGGGGAGACGCGCGTGGGTTTGCAGGCGCCCGGGAAGAGCCGGGGAGGAAACAGTGGAGAAGCAAGAAGGAGGGCACGTCGTGGGCGTGCACCAGGCTGGGCAGGAGAGTCCGATGATGAGTCAGCGCTCAGCGCTTCAGTCAGTGAGAGATGGGGAGGCGGCACCGGCACCGTGGCTCGGGCTGGGAGCTAAACTTTCTCCCTCCGTATTCACGCTGGGGTTGGTTTGGAGAAGGGAGAATGACCGTGGAGGCTGGAGGCGGGGACTCAGGCTCTGAATGCAGATCCACAGCACAGCTTTCGCCCTGCACCCCTTTCCTAGAAAGCCCCCTTTCTAGGAGACCTCAGAGGGCCCCAAGCCCTGGGTCTGGAGTCCAGTGTGAAGCCACCGTGGAGGGTCTGTATGGAGGGGTGCAGCTCGTCTCCTGCCTCGCTTCTCCCAAAGGTTCTAGAACTGCCTCCCCTTCCCCAAGGATGCTGACAACTGTATTTTGAAGAGTCCAGTGCTGTGCTTGGATCCCTCTGACAGGCTCATGAAGCTATGGGCCTTTTCTTAGAATAAAGCCATAAAATAAAATACCTAGGATTACCAAAGGAGCCAAATGCATGGAAAAACACTTCTCAAAATACATTTTAAAACCCAAACTTCTAATATACGTGCTTCTTTATCACATGCATTAAAGAACCGCAGCTGATGTCACAGTGTTGATGAGCATGGACGGCATTTGGAGGCACCTGCAAAACTCTCACGTGATACGAAACTGTTGGTGATTTCTTCTGGTGACAGTCACAGATCCCATTACGACCGTGGTTGCTGCCTACACTCATAATGGAAGGAAATGCTCAGTTTTAGGTAGAGGTCAGTGAAAATAAAGATGTAATTTTTACCCATCCAAGTTCTTGGACCCCCGACCTTCAAAATGTTAAGAACTTCTGTTCTGTAGCAACAGTCAAAAGCCCCAATGCCTATAGGGGCCAGACGGGTGACATCACAGAGGTCAGATGAGGGCATGGCCACAGGCTCAGTGCCCTGGACAGCAAATGCTCCTTCTAGAGGGAACAGCACTGCTCAGCTCCAGGGACGGCAAGCCTGGTACCAGCCAATCCTCACATTGTTAAGAGATGCCAGAAATACCCATTCTTATGTAAATCCTACTAAGTTTTAAATGTTAGCAAAAATATTCACGTTTTAAAGGGCATTTGGAGGTAGAGGCAGATATAACACAGCTACAGCCGTGAGACATCAGGCTCTGGATCCCTGCTGAATGGGACCCTTTATGGGGCCCAGGCATCCCCTCCGGGCCCACAGTCTTCCATGAGAGGCCTGTTGGATCACACGGAACGCACGGCTCCAGTCTAAAAATGGACTAGGCAATAGCCCCAGTTTACAGCAAATTGCCACATGAAACCTAGCAATTGTCTGACTGTGCCACCTCATGGGCCCTGCCTTCCTTCTCTGAGACTGTCTCCACGTGCACGGCTCCACAGGAGAGAGCTGGATCCAGGCCGGAAGCGGAGTTTCAGTCTTAGCTCTGCCACTTATCAGTTCACTGGGCTTGAGAAGTCACGAATCTCTCTAAACCCCTGCAAGGTCTCATCTACAAAATAGGCTTAATGGGTCCATGGTACATTCTAGGATGCTGTCCAAATGCAAGGAGTTCTGGTTATTTCGAGTTTCTTTTTGTTTTCTGCTTCACTCAGCTGGGTCCCTATGGGGTTAGGGTGTAGGAAATGAGGGAAAACATGTTTGTCCCAATACGTAGCATAATGGACAACATCTGTTAAATAAAACCCAAAGCAATTGTGACTTATTCAAACCATTACCACTTTGGAAGGAGGTTTGGACAGTTACTCAGGTTGTTCTGGCAGCACTGAGATCTGGGTGTCCTGCAGATTTAGGAGGGGCAGTGGGAGAAGCCACAGGCCTGGGGGACATTGCTGCTTTCATTTTGCACATGCTGTGCTCAGCTCAGCCCCTGGGCATTTCATTCTCATTTTCAGATGTTGCAGACTGGTGCTCTGAGCTGCTCAAGGCCAGGTTCTCTGGGGGCTGGGTGGTTATGGGAGCTGGGAAATGAGACCAGAGAAGAATCCTGCCACCATGCTGTCACATCAGAGCCTTTATTTAAAAAAAGAACACCCTGTGGCTCCGTGGGTGAAGGCGGTGCTGGCTCCTTCCCTGTGTGTGGATCAGCCGTGCCTGGGACTCAGGTCGGGTTGGGTCAGGCTGTGTCGGGCTAGGGAGCCCAGTCTCCCCGGCTGGTGCATGACAATGAATTAGGGCCCTGGAAAAGTGGGGCCACCAGGGAACTATCCATCCTGGGTGCATGGAGGAAAAGCAAGAGCCATTGTCCACAGATGAAACTTCCAAAGCCACACACAAGAGGCAGATCCCTGCTATGCCCTTGTGTAGCTGTGAGACCTTCAGCTGATACTTCGATCTAATAAATTATTACAGGAGAAGCGTTTAGAGCAGCACATCACAAGTGCTGGACAAATGGTAGAATTACCCTACCAGAAACATCCTTTCATCCCTTGCAGTCTGTAATGAAGCTCATTGAAACATCCCTGCGAAATCAGGGAGATATTTATGCTCCTAGTACTCCATTTGGAATCTGGTGAACTTCTACTTGTCCAAAAAGACCCAGCTCAAATGACACCTCCTCTGTGAAGCCCGTTTTTCATGCCACTGCACTATTAAATGATTTCTTTATGTCAGGATCTGTACTGAGCACTTCACATATGTCCATGCAGGGGCAGATTCAGGTTTTGTGAGGCCTGAAACTTATACAATTTAGAAGGTCTTCTTAAAACATACACACACACACACACACACATACACACACACACGACATCTGATTGTATTTCTCGGGTTTCTAAAACAAAAATGACCTCCTTTAGCTGGGCATGGTGGCTGAACCTGTAGTTCCAGTTATTCAGGAGGCTGAGGCCAGAGGTCTGCTTGAGTCTAGAAGTTGGAGGTTACAGTGAGCTGTGATCACATCACCGCACTCCAGCCTGGGCAACAGAGCAAGATCCTGTCTCAAAAAAAAAAAATGACCTTGTGAGCACATAGCTAGGGCCTTGGAAGGCACCTGAGCAAGTGATGGGCCTTGACGCTTAAGCTTCATCAGCTTCGTTGGTAAATCCATCTCTGGTCTCAAGCAGTCTCCACCATGGCCCAGTGAAGTTGGTAACTATTGCCCCATTTTATAGATGTGAAGAGTGAGACTCAGACATAAGAAGTAACTTGCCCCAAATTGTGCTTTTTTGTTATTCTGAGACAAGGTCTCACTCCCGTCACCCAGTCTGGAGTGCAGTGGCATGATCACAGCTCACTGCAGCCTCAAACTCCTGGGCTCGGGTGATTCTCCCATCTTAGCCTCCTGAGTAGCTGAGACTACAGGCACATACCACCACACCTGGCTAATTTTGTGTATTTTTAGTAGAGACGGTGTTTCACCATATTGCCCAGGCTGGTCTTAAACTCCTGGGCTAAAGCAATTTGCTTGCCTTGGACTCCCAAAGTGCTAGGATGACAGGCATGAGCCACTGCACCAGCCCAAATTGTGCTCTTGACCTCGGCACTACCTGGTGTTCCCCGCTGACCCTGACAGGCAGTGCCTGTTACCTGGCTGGTGCCTCCATTGCAGGGCTTCTCATGTGAAAGCATGGCACTGCAGTTATTGGCTTGCCCATGCCACTCTACTGCATGTCAGTTTCTCTCAGGCCCTGGGACAGGCCTTTATCTTTGCATCTGGGTGCCCCAGAGAAGGTGCTCAATAAATGCCTATTGGGTGAACGTACACACTCCACCTTCACCTTTTCGTACCCTTGGTCTCCACCTGTTTCATGCGCCTGCTGATGAGCTCCCAGCCTTGGCCTAATATTTTGGAGAAAGTTTCCAGGGTGCAGAGGGGAAAGAGAAAAAGAAGCCTTCCTATGAGACCTGAATAAGACTGCAGAACAGAATAGTCAATTCATACATTCAACAAATGTTTCTTGGGTACCATTCTAAGTACTAGGAACCAGAAATGAACAAAACAGACAAATATCCCTGCCCCCAAGCAGCCTGCACACTACTGAGGGGAAACAGACCAAAACACAATAAATAATAAGATAGCAGCCTGACAGATGGTGGCAGTACTGTGGGGAAAACAAAGCAGGAAAGGAGGACCGGGTCTGCTGGGTGAAGTGGGGTGTGTGGGAGAGCCTCATGGGGAATATGAGATCTGAAGGAAGTGGAGGGAGCCGTGTGGCCATCTGGGGAAGATCCTTCCAGGCAGGAGGTGGGACCATGCCTGATGAGTGGGAGGAGCAGCAAGAAGGCCTATTGTGAGTGAGGCCAGGGTCAGCCAAGTGACAGGGGACAGGCCACACAGGCTCTGAAGGCCACTGTGGAGAATCTGCACCTTCCTCTGAGAGACAGGAGCCAAGCCACAGGAGGATGGCTGAAAGGAACCCTCCATCTGCCAAGTTGAGAACAAAGAAGGAGTCAGGGATACCAGTTAGGGAGTATTTCAAGAATCCAGGTGGGAGATCATTGCCACATAGACAAGTCTGGTGGCTACGGAGAAGCAGTTCATTCCTGGATGGCTTTGAAGCCCAAGATGGTGGGATGTTAGATGTGAAAGAATGGAGTAAGGATGGCTCAGAGATTCCTGGCCTAAGCAGCTGGAACGATGGGAATGCCTACGGGAGGAGGAGCTCCTGGGAGCGAGATCAGGATTTTGAGTTTGGATATGTTAAGCTTGAGATGTTTCTTGTAGTCAAACATGCAACTGGATACATTAGGCTGGACTTCAGGAGAGAGGCCCAGGCTAGAGAAATAAAATGGGAACTCATTCACATAGGAATTCGAGGCCTGAGACTGAACGAGATCACCACCAAGGCACTGTGCACAGAGAAGAGGTCCCAGATCTGACCTCTGGGGCTTGTCAGTGCTTAGAGATCAGGGAGATGAAGCTGAGAAGGAGCAACTAGGAGCACCTGGTGTCCTGGAAGCCAGGAAAAGCCAGTGCTTCAAGGAGGAAGAGGTGTTCACCTGGGTCCGGTGTTGCTGATGGGAGAAGTGATATTTGGATGGACCACAAGAAGAGCTTTGGTGAGCTTGTCAGTAGAACTTCCATGGAGTGGCATGGGTGGAAGGCCAAGAGAAGGTTTCTTACACCAGGGCTAAGCTGGGTGAGACGGGAAGCCATGAGGCGGGAGAAGGACAGGAAAAAGAGGGTGGGCTCGAAGGATCCCTGGTCCTGGTGGGGAAGTGGAAGTGTTGGAGATTGTAGCCACACTGCTAGTTGGAGCCCGATATCCTTTCTCCCCTTCATCCGTAACAATAGGGTCTTTTTTTTTTTCTTTTTTGAGACAGAGTCTCACTCTGTCTCCCAAGCTGGAGTGCAGTGGTGTAATCTCGGCTCACTGCAACCTCTGCCTCCTGGGTTCAAATGACTCTCCCTTCCCAGCCTCCTGAGTAGCTGGGGTTACAGGTGCCCACCGCCACACCCAGCTAATTTTTGTATTTTTAGTAGAGAAAGGGTTTCGCCGTGTTGGCCAGGCTGGTCTTAAACTCCTGACCTCAGCTGATCTGCCCACCTCGGCCTCCCAAAGTGCTGGGATTACAGGTGTAAGCCAGCTTGCCCGGCCCCATAATAGGGTCTTGCTGAGCACATTCCTGCCCAGGTGAAGACCATACTTCCCAGCTTCCCTTGCAACTGAGTATAGCCTTGTGGCTGAGTTCTGGCAGTGGAAGGTGACAGAAGTGAAATGTACAGGTTCCACATCCCTGGCCTGCAAGGAGTTTGTTAGTCCCACACCTGCACCTTTCCCTCTTCCATGAAGGGTGACACGCGGTGGCCCAGGTTCAACCAATGAAGCAACGCACGGGGCAGGGCTCCTTGCCATTTTTGTGCCTTGGACCACTTGGCTGTCTGATGAAGACCATGGATGCTTCTCAGAAGACTGTTCTTAAATGCGTGGAATAAAATAATAAGATTACAAAGAAAAATAAATATATTGAAATATCAAAATAGTAAAGAATTACAGTCTAATAAAATATATACTTCCTTATTAATGCATTAAAGAACCATCTAGCAATGGATCTAATAAACACTCTGCTTTCAAGGTCTTGGTATAGTCAAAGGTAAAGTCAAAGTCCTTTTCAAAGCATAAAGGATATCTCACAATATCTTTACCAACTAAATGTGATAATAAAGTATCTGTGATTTCTGTTGGAAACAAGAAATAAGATCACAGGTACCACCAATACTCCTGTGTTTCTGGCCTGCTGTCATAATGAAAGAAAATGCTAATTTTCAGGTAGAACTTGGTGGAAATCAAGATGTAATTTTTTCCCCATGAAGGGTCAGAGAGCTCCTGAATCCTGGCCAGGTCTGTTGAGGACATCTGCCTTTGGGGATGGCAGAACCACAGGGTGGAGGAAAACTGCATTCCCCAAAACCGCATGAGGCAGAGCCACCCTGCTGGCCTGGAGCAGCCAGGGTGTTATGTGAGGGAGAATGAAGGTCCTGCCTTTTTCACACTATTGTCTTTGGGGTCTTTTTGTTATAGCAGCATATCCTGCACCCTAACAGAGAGCCTGATGGTGACTGAGCAATTGTTAATGTGCCATTGTATGAGTCTGTTGATTGCCTGGCCTCAAAGCAACCTGAAACCCAGCTAAGGGCCTCTGGACTCAGCAGCCTGGGAAATCAGAAGTGAGTCTGCCCGATCATCCCCCTTTTTCATTCCACCATGCACCTCCTAACGTGCAGACGTGGGCCTCCCCGATGCCCCACCCTGTCTGGGCCTCAGCAAAGTCCACCTGGTTCCTGTTCTTGGTCTGGACAGGCCTGTGCCCTGGCCTCACCCTCATCATGACTGGTTGACAAAGGAGCAGCTGTGGCTCCCCTCCCTCCGCCCCCTCACTCCCCAGCCCAGACGCACCGCGTGGCGGGGCAGATCCCTGACTCCAGTGAGCAGGAATGTTACTGCAGGCCTCGGGTTGGTTGTGGCTGTGATTGCTGGCAGCACCTCAAGACTCCAAGAGGGTCTGAACTGGAGTTGACTGTGCAGCCGGGAGCAGCAGAAATGCCCTTAAAAAGGGAAAGGAGAGAGATGCCAAGGGGAGAGCTGACTCGGCCTGTGCCAGGAGCATGGAAATCTCAAGAAGTAGAGTGGGGAGTGAAGTCAGTAACAATTCTAACCACGAAAGCTGCCGTGGACTGAACGTCCACTAACTGCCAGGACTATACATGTGCTTCCCATAGATAGCCTCTTTGAACCCTCGCACAGCCCCATGACTTAAGTTCTACCATCTTTAGAACTATACAAACTCAGACTCAGAGAGACTGAGTCACCTGCCCAAGGTCACACAGCCAGCGAGCTAACAAGAGTTGAAACCCGGCCAGGTGCAGAGATGCACACCTGCAATCCCAGCACTTTGGGAGGCTGAGGCACGAGGATCACTTGAGCTCCGGAGTTCAAGACCAACCTGAGCAACACAGCAAAACCCCGTCTCTATAAAAAATGCAAACATTAACTGGGTGTGGTTGTGTGTGGCTGTAGTCCCAGCTGCTTGGGAGGCTGAGACGGGAGGATCACTTCAGCCCAGGAGGCGGGGGTTTCAGTGAGCCAAGATCGCACTACTGCACTCCAGCCTGGGCAAAAGAGCAAGACCCTGTCTCAAAAAAAAAACAAAAAAGAGAAAAAAAAAAGAAAAGTAGAAGCCTCTTAATAACGAGGCCTGGGGCTAAGCATCAGCTTCCTCTATCTTCCCTGGGAAAGAAGAAGCCCAGCTCTCGCTTTAGGGAGTTCTCACAGCAGAGGGCTCCTGCTGCTCTGGGTAAATGTGTAGCCTTTTCAGAAAAGGGCAAGGCTGGAATCTCCAGGGAAACCTCTCTCTTCTGGTATAGCAGGGCCAGGACCATGGCTATGATGAGCGATAAGATGATGACAGAGCCAGAGCCAGTGGCCTCAGCCAAGGCTTTGACTGGGGCTGGCTAGTCTGTCCATCCTTACCCTTTTCTGAGAGGGCGCAAGAAGAGGAAAATGGGGTGAGGTTTCCAATGCTGGGTGCAGCTCCCCATGCCCAGTGCTTAGAACAGACACGGGACAGGATGGACAAGAGCTCTGTCCTGGCAAAAGCCAAAGATGGGGGGTTGTGGAGCTCCAAGAGTCGGAGGAAAGGAAAGGGACAGCCCCAGATTTAATTGAGAGTCTCTAATTTCAGGGAAAGGTTAGAGCTAGAGAAGGCAGCACTGGGCAGTGGGAACAGCGTGCACTGTGGGCCAGACAGACCCAACACAGTCCAGATGTGTGATCAACTATAGACCAGATGTGTGGTGCAGATGGGCCACATTGCCTCCCACACAGAGCAGAGTCACAGTTCCTGTGACATTGCCTGCCACGTCTTGATGAAATGAGATCATACATACTCTGTATGACAGAGGGAAGCCAAGGTGAGTGCTTGCACAGTGCCTGCTTCATGGCCTCCCTAATTGCTATCCTGGAGCTCTGCGTGAAGAAGAGCAGGAAGTGGTGTGGCAGCTGAGTCCTGAGAGATGGGCTAAGGCTCAGGGGGAAGGCAGGCAAGTGGATTTCAGATCCACTCGGAATGTGCTGCTGGCTCCCTGACGTGCTAATCTACAGTGCTGGTGACCAAGGCCCTTACCTCCAGGGCAGAGTCTGCTCCAATCAGGCTTGGGAACCCAGATGGCTCCTGGACAAAGAACTACAAGGACCCCATCAGCCTCGCGGAGGAGCCTGCGCTGGCCTTGTGCCTGCTCTCCAGGACATCTTCATTGCTGCCAAGGCTCTGCCTTGTCCCGTGTTTGAGAAATGATGCCCCTGCTTTGTGAGCCCCAAAGGGAGTCTGAGCTGAGCTTGCCTGCTCCTCCCACCCAGCCCAAGAACCTCAGTTTCCCTCCACCCAGCACTCCCAGGGCTGCTCTTTACCTGCTGCCCGCTCCATGAGCCGCACCTTTCCTGCTGCCTGGGTCTGCACCTGCCCCCCACCCTCCTGACCAAGGACTCTGGGGGTCCTGACGCCACCAAGGTGAAACCCAATCCTAATGTAAGGCTGGCCCGGGCTGTGAAGAGGAGCAGTAAAGGGTTACAGTAGAGATCCCCGAACCTCATTCCACAGCACCCTCAGGTGGCTGCACAGTTTGGGAAGCCAGGCATTAAGGTAGTCATTAATTAATTAATTCAACCATTTGTGAAGCACTTCCTCTAAGCATTAAACCCTAAACACAACAGCTAATAAGACCCAGCCCTAGGCCCTAAGGAGCTCCCTGTTTAAGTTAAGAGACAGACACAGGAACATGCAATTCATGTGTTCCCCACATTCACAGGAGCAGAGAGTTCAGGAGGAGTGCATAGGAAGGGGATCTGCCCACTTATGGGTGCCCAGAGAGGGCTTCCTGAAGGCAGCATCAGAGAGCTCAATCCTAGAGCTTCAGCAGGCAAACATGGGCAGTACCTAGGGGTAAAGCACAGAGTGCAGCAAGGAGGATACTAGAGAGAGCCTGGCGTTGCTTTAAAGACCTGCAAGGAGGCTGGGCACAGTGGCTCACGCCTGTAATCCCAGCACTTTGGGAGGCCGAGGTGGGCGGACCACAAGGTCAGGAGATTGAGACCATCCTGGTTAACACAGTGAAACCCCGTCTCTACTAAAAATACAAAAAATTAGCCAGGCGAGGTGGGGGGCGCCTGTAGTCCCAGCTGCTCCAGAGGCTGAGGCAGGAGAATGGCATGAACCCGAGGGGGCGGAGCCTGCAGTGAGCAGAGATCGCGCCACTGCACTCCAGCCTGGGCGACAGTGAGACTCCGTCTCAAAAAAAAAAAAAAATTAGCCGGGTGTGGTGGTGGGAGCCTGTAGTCCCAGCTACTCGGGAGGCTGAGGCAGGAGAATGGCGTGAACCCAGGAGGCAGAGGTTGCAGTGAGCCAAGATCGTGCCACTGCACTCCAGCTTGGGCGACAGAGTGAGACTCCGTCTCAAAAAAAAAAAAAAAAAAAAAAAGACCTGCAAGGAATTCACGATACAGGCCAATAAGAGAGGACACTGCAGAGCAAATCAGTGGGGAACCACTGGGGTGTTCTACAAAGGAAACGTCATTGAATCAACATTTTAGAAGCAACATCTAGCTGCAGAGTGAAGAATGGAGGGGAGGATGAGGCTGCACAAGCAGGAGGGACAGCCAGGAGCTGCTGCAGGAGTGCAGGAGCCAGGCGGTGGTGGCTGGGACCAAGGCGATGGCAATAGAGATTGTAGGGGGTACTGGGTGGTGGAGAGGAGCTGAGGGAGAGAAAAGTAACGACTCCCAGGTTCCTGGCTTGGGCTCCTGGGCAAATGGATGGTAAGGCTACTAGCAGGGATCCCAGAGGGAAGCAGGTTTGGGCAAAAGGGTGTGAAGATCCCATTTGGAACTTGGGTTTCAGGTGCCTGTGGGGCCTCCAAGTGGAGACAATCCACTGGGGAAGGTAAACACAAGAGGCTGGAGTTCCAGAGGCTGTTTGGATAAGGGACCCAAGGGAGCACCCAAGGGGGGCAGCAAATCCAATCTGGAAGGCTCGAGAGAAAGGGGGATCCTGGGGAAAGAAGCCAGCGGGAGGAATGGCATGTTCATGTCCAGCTGTAGGTGGCAGAAAGCAAGACACATTTGGGAAACTAAAAGTGGTTCCATGCAGCTTGGGTAAATAAAAAGGTTCCAGAATGACAAAAACAGACAAGTTGTAAGCAGTGGGATTACAACATTTGGACTTCATCTTGAGGGCCATGGAGGAGCCACTGAAAGATTTTCAAAAGAGATGTGCCTTGGTGAGACTGGCTTGTGTAGGGCATGAACTGGCAGGGGAGGGGGACCACTGGTGAACTTCTGGAACATCACAGAGACACCACTTGTGAGCTGCTGGAAAATCACAGACACAAAAAGACTCATCTGCCCCATCTCACTTCATTCATGCACTCGCTTCACTTCACCCTAGACCTAGGCTCTCAAATGATAGCGTTAGAGCCTAGGATCCCTTTTTCCCAGCTCTTAGCTCCACTTCTCTGGCTTCATGCCAGTCTCAGATGGCTCTTCTGTTGGGGAACAAGTTGGCCACCCCAGCTCCAGCCTCACACCCTCCCGTGTTTGAATCCAAAGAGCGTGCTTCTCTCAGTAGCCTCAGCATGACCCTCATGCTGTCTCCTTGGCTCTGGTTGGGTCATTTACTCCTCTCTGAACAAATCCTGCCTCCAGGGAAATGATGTCCTTTGGCTGGCCAGGCCTTAGCCACATGCCCCAACAAAGCACAGTGCGGGAGGAGGCGGGGTGAATTCCCCTGGAGCAAAATCACAGTGGCTGCCAGAAAAAGGGCAGTGGCCATTGGAGGTATGCACGGTGACCTGCTTCCCAGTCCTCCCTAGTGGTCCTAAACTGCGCTTTCCTCCATTCCAGAAGCCAAGGCCAGAGGCGAAGTAGGGTTCTGTGTCTCCCTTCCCTGAGCCACAGGCTCCTGCTCCTCTGGTCCTCAGCTGAGCTCCTGCAGGACACTGTCCTGTTTCTAACCGGAATTCACTTCTCTAAGGGGCTCTGCCATGCATGATGGGTAGCCTTTTATTATACATGGGAATGTATCTCTCTGCCTGGCCCTGTCTCTGTGCTCTCGGGCTGTGTTCTGGAAAGTACTGAGTTTGGCTTCAACTGCACAGGCAGCTTGGGTCCCTCAATCATCGTGAGCCCTGGGAGGACTCTGGCCTTCAGCTGACAGGACTGCACAGACCAGCTCTGCTATCTCTACCTCTGGGGCTCATCATTGAAGCTCTCAACTGCCATTTTCTCATTGACAAAATGGGGTTAATAATGCCTCCCTCAAGGCTACATGAAATAATGTGACAGTTAACAGAGTTCCCAAGGCTTAGACCAGCACTTCTCAAACTATTAATATCTGTGAAGAAGAAACAGTTTTGTTTGTTTTTCTTATCTGTCATAGACCAGTACTTGTGTAAAATATAATAAAAATGAATTACTAGAAAATTTAAAAAGATATGCAAAATACCAGCTCCAATATTTTATTATTATATTCAACTAATATAAAATCATTCTGTCAAATAGCTATAAACATTTCTAAATGCTCATTCTCAGTCTCTTTACTTTCTTATGGGCAACTGGTGACAAATACTTCCTAGACCAGTATGGAGCCACATTTTTTTTGGTAGCACTGAAGTCAGTGAGCCTTCTAAGTAGAAGGCACCTCACAAATGGCTATGGATTTTCTGCTCTTGTTCATGTGATTATTATTTGAAAACTGGCTTTTTCTTTTCCTCCTTTTGCAATTTCAGGTTTCACTGGAGCATGGACTAGGCTTGCTGAGTGGCTGATGGCATAAACAGACTGTATATGAGGCCAGGAGAGCCTCAGCACTGACCTCACCCAGGATACTACCAGCAGCTGCAGCAGACACACAGACTCTCTGATCTCACCAGGCTTTATAACCTTGCAGTGGCAGAGCCAACAGGTCATTCTCCACTATCCCTTCTTCCCTTCTTCCATAATAATAGAGTTTTAGATGGAAACATGGGTTCCCAGCTAAAGACTACATTTCCCAGCCTCCCTTGCAGCTAGGCATGGTCATGTGACTATGTGGCCAGTGGGATGTAAGCAGAAGTGATTCCTGTTCTCTTAATTATGTGACTGCTTCCCTGTCTCCCTTTCCCCACTTCCCATCAGCTGGAAGATCACAAGAACTAATGGGCCGGCCAGGCATGGTAATTCACGCCTATAATCCCAGCACTTGGGGAGGCCGAGGTGGGGGGGAGGGGGTGGATCACCTGAGGTCAGGAGTTTGAGACCAACCTGGCCAACGTGGCAAAACCCCATCTCTAGTAAAAAAAAATACAAAAATTAGCCAGGCATGGTGGTGGGTGCCTGTAATCCCAGCTACTCAGGAGGCAGAGGCAAGAGAATCGCTTGAATCTGGAGGCAGAGGTTGCAGTGAGCCAAGATGGCACCATTGCACTCCAGCCTCGGTGACAGAATAAGACTCCATCTCAAAAAAAAAAAAAAAAAAAAAAAGAACTAGGCCGGGTGCGGTGGCTCATGCCTGTAATCCCAGCACTTTGGGAGGCCAAGGCTGGCAGATCACCTGAGGTCAGGAGTTCAAGACCAGCCTGGCCAACATGGTGAAACCCTGTCTCTACTAAAAATACAAAAATTAGCTGGGCGTGGTGGTAGGTGCCTGTAATCCCAGCTACTTGGGAGGCTGAGGCAGGGGGAATTGCTTGAACCCGGGAGGCAGAGGTTGCAGTGAGCCGAGATTGCACCATTGCACTCCAGCCTGGGCGACAGAGCAAGACTCCGTCTTTAAAAGAAAAAAAAAAAAAAAAAACTAAAGTGCCATAGAATTTGTGCATTAACAGTAGAGTCACCCTAAAAGATCAGGATCTTCAACCTACAGGCATATAAACCCATAGCATTTATTTGTCCAAGCCGCTCTATATGGAGGTTGTTCCGCCACAGTAGCCTAGCCTGGATCCTAATTCTGAAATGAGCAGTGGTAACAGATACCAGCAGGTCTGATTTCACCTGTATTCTGCACCCTTTCTTGGTATCTGAGGAAGGCTTGGATGATCCCGTACTCACAGTGAGTAAGGTTGCAGCTGAGATCTAAGGCCTGAGAAATGTGCAAACAAACACAGTCCCCTAACATCCTTCAAGTACTAATATGCCAGATACAATCCCATCAAATCCTCACAATAGCCCTTTGAGAAAGGGAGATATAGTTGGCTGCACCTTCTTGGAGCTTCTTCCCAAATCTACTCTCTCTCTGACAAGGACACAAGTCAAGAGGAACTGAAACTGGGGAGACTGGAAAGCACAACAGCTGCAGAAACCCAGAATTAGGATGCAGAGCTACAGCCAAAGAGTAGGCTCCCACTTTGAGCAGCTAACTAGAGTGAGCACCTACTGTTTGCCAGGCCCGAGCTAAGCATGAGATGCAGTGGTGAGCAAGCCAACAAGGGCCTGCCCACTTGAAGCTTGCTGCCTAGGTGGGAGGAGACCGAGGTTCAACAGAAAATCATGCATGTGATCATTAAAGTTGGGAAGAAAGTTAGGGAGGAAAAGACTACTGGGCCCAAAGTCGTGAGGAGCTTCAGGTAGGTGATAGGAATGGAGTCAGGTATAGAAGGCACAGTAACTGGGATGGGGGCTGACCTCTGGGGGATAGGGGGACATGGAAAAGACATTGGTTCCTCCCAATAAGGGAACCTAGTAGTCTCACCAGCACAAGGAGGCTGTCTGCATGTTTTTTATGGCACTACAAATGTGGCACCTTTGCCCTTAATAGTCCTAAAACCTGTCCTGTGCCCTAAGAATTTGACCTAAAGACTCTCTCACACTTCCTTGGTTTTACCCCAAGATGATTATTTTCAAAATGTATTTTAAAAAGAAGGAGCTGTGACTTCAGCTATTAACAAAATAACACTCCATATGTTTCTATCAAAAAGGCAATTTTTTGTGATTGAAGAACTCAGAGCCTCCTTGCTGAGAGGTTAAAGAGCCAGAACTGTGAGTTAGGCCTCTCTCTTCGTCTTTTGCTGATCCATGCAGCACAAGGGGCTGAGAAGTTTCTGGAAACAAGTCTGCTTTATCATTTAGGGACGAATTCGTCTGGGAGTCTCCTGCTAAAAACATAACTCCCAAGTCCTGCCATATCAGTTCCCAGGGCTACTATATGCATTTTTGCAGTCGTCTAATTTAACTAGGGAGTAAGTAAAGTGGGGCAGTATTTTACGGAAGGATTCACAGTTTAAATGTTAAATGAGCAAACTTCTATCTGTCCTGCCAGGAGTTCAGGAGGGGCGGCCAGCTTTGGGGGGCATCTCATGCATAACAATTGTCAGCTCAGGCGGAGTACATGGCTCATGCCTGTAATCCTAACACTGGGAGGGCGAGGCGGGAAGGTTGCTTGAGGCCGGGAGTTCAAGACCAGCCTGGGTAACATATCCAGATCCTGTTTCCACAAAAACAAAACAAAAAACTAGTCAAGCATGGTGGTACAAGCCTGTGTGCTTAGCTACTCAAGAGGCTGACGCCAGAGGATGGTTTGAGCCCAGGAGTTCAAGATGGCAGTAAGCTATGATTGCACCACTGCACTCCAGCCTGGGTGACAGAAACCACATCTCTAAAACCAAACAACTGTTAGCCCAGCCCTTGGATTTGAATCTGCACAGGCATGAGCCTCTGCCTAGTCTGGAGAGTCACTGGGAGCTGGGGGGACTGTGGATACGACTCCCCTCATGGCTTCCTGGAGGGTGAGTGCTGCTACTTTCCTCTTCCATAGAAATCTGGGCCTGGGGAAGGTGCCGAGGGATTCAGGAGCACCAAGGCCTGTCTGTCAGGCGAGGGTGGTGTCAGTGAGGCCAGGAGGGAGCAAAGTCAGGTGGTGGGAAGGGACAGTGGCTGCAGGGGGATCATGGTGTGAGGCCCACTTGGGAACACCCCGAGTCACAGTCTATACTCCATCCAGAGCCACTGGGAAGGGGTCCCAGCCTTTAGCCCCAACAGTGGGCTCCCCTGTGGTCAGAGAAGTTGAGCTGGTGGCTCCTCGGATGGGAGTCAGCCCCAGGCCTTTCTGACTCACTCCCTCCAGGAACAGAGGGGCAGAGGCCCAGAGCGGAGATGGTGAGCTGAGTGAGAACTCCAAATCCCCACGCCTCTGGCCTTCTCGCTGACCAATCCCTCCTTCCTTCCCTCTCAGGCTGACACCACCCCTAAGGCCAGCAGCCAAGAGTCTCAGCGGTGTCTTCAACTCAGCCAACCCAGGAGCTGCTCAGCCACCAGGAAAGAAAACCGTGAGTGTCCTACCAGGCAGCAGCACTGAGAGGGGGAAACTCTAACACACACACACACAGGCACACACAGACATACATTCACACACACATATGCACGTACACATGCACACACACAGATTCACACACACAGGTGCACGCAGACACACAGAGATTCACACACACACACGCATGCACACATGCACACACACAGATTCACACACAAATGCACAATGCACACACACAGATTCACATGCACGCTCACACATGCACACACACAGATTCACACACATGCACACGCAAATGCACATGCACACATGCACACACACACATACTGCATGCTACAAAACAAGAATTAAGTCTGAGGCTGGGCGTAGTGGCTCACATCTGTAATCCCAGTGCTTTGGGAGGCCAAGAAGGGAGGATCACTTGACTCCAGGAGTTCAAGACCAGCCTGGGCAACATAGCAAGGCTCCATGTCTACAAAAAAAAAAAAAAAGATTAAGTCTATATCCTTGGTTGCTGATCTGTGGGAGGATAAATGGTACATGTCCATATGTGTACACAAAACTTACCTGGAGAGTGATAAAATTTAGTCACACACTTTTAAAATTGAGAGCAGAGGCATAATCATTGTTCAATAAATGCCAGTTGCTTGATGCGAGCAGAATAGAGGTAGTGGTGCTTTCACAAAGAGAAGGGAAAGAGGCAAGAGAGAGATAAAAGAAGAAGGGGTAGCAGTGAGATGGGAGAGGAGGGGACACACAAAAGTGGAGGGGACACAGTGGAGTGAGAGGAGAGGATCTGGGGACAGGTGCTGGGGAGAGCAACTGCGTTGCTGCTCAGATGGGAAGGAAAAGAAAGAAAAGCAGAGGAGACTGAGACAGGAACCTGGTCCTAAGGGAGCTGTGCTTCTGCACCACCAGGCTGGTGTCAGACATGGACACAGTACTGTGCACTACCGGCTCTTATGCAGGCTTCATCAGAGTGGAGCATCGTGAGGAAAAGGGGAAACCGGGGAGGCACAGTCAAGGTAGGGACCAGTTGTGGCAGCAGGTACATGCCACCCTCCAGCCAGTGGTTCTGCTGCTCAGCAATCACCTGGGAGCTTTGAAAACAACTGCAGCTTGGACCCTACCCCCACAGGTTCTGCATTAACTGGTCTGGGAAGGGGCCCTGGCAGCAGAATTTATTAAAATTCCCCCAGATTCCTCTAATATGCAGCCCAAGTTGAAACCACCCAATTTCCCGTTTAAGGGGGAAGGAGAAAACGTTCCTCAGGCCCCTACTATGTGCTGCCCACTGCCCCACAAGGTAGGTATCCTGATGCCTGGTCTACAAGTGATAAACTGAGTTTCTGCAAGACAAAGGGACTTGTCTGAGTTGTTGCTACTAAGGTGCAGAGCTATGAGGGGAATTCAGATCTGACTTCAAACTCACACTTTCCCCACCCAACAAGCAGAGGCCCACCCATGGGGGGTGGACCCTGACAGGATCACCCTGGCTTCCCCAGTCTGCTGGTCCCCACTCCAGTGTGAATGGCTCCCTGCTCCTTAGCCAAGGAGATCTTCGAGAGAAAGTCTGAGCTATTGCTGACAAAGCTTGCATCTGTACAGCTCTTAGCATTTTCAGAGCTTCTCCCACACATGATCTTATTTGATCCTCACACCTACACCATGAGGTGAGCTCAGCAAGAGGGATCATTGAGTCCACCCTACAGTGGAAGGGACTAAAACTCCAAGAAGCCAGTGATTTGTCCAGGGTCACAGAGCTCATTAATTGGCCTAGAGAAAACCAGAATCCAGCTCTTCTGTCTTTAAGACCAGCACTTTTTCCTATCTCATTCCTGAATCAGGGTGTGGATGATCTGGTATTGCTGGAGGAAACCACAACTAGCCACAGAGCAAGCAACTAGCTTAGCACAGTCAGGGACAGGGCCACTGCTTAATAGCAGAAGGCTCTTAGGAAAACACTGGGATGTAAATGCTGTTGGTTATGATGATTATTACTGAGCTATGCAAAGACGTTGCATGCCCTGTGAATCAAACATCGGAAAACAATATCCGGCAAGTTCAGGTTTTAGTGGGAAAAAAATGTTTTGGAAATCAAGATTAAATTAGAGACCTGTCTGTATTTATCTTCATTTGAAGCAACCCTCTCAAGCAGATGTCAGCAGGCCACCGAGGGCAGGGACCCAGCAGTATGGCCCAGGGCCTTCCTACCTGGTGAGAACATGCTCCCTGACCCCCGCCTTGTCCCGACACCTTGGCAAGGCGAGTTCTGTCCTGCTGGAAGAGGCATAGTTGGAAACCAGCTTGGGCTCTGCATGGTAAGAGGTAAGACCTCTGGGTGAGAGGCGTGTTGAACAGCACATGACTCAGAGCATGATTGCTGCTTGCCGCAGGTCTATGGGGACTTCTGACTCACCTGTCTTGGCCAAATGGGATTGTTAAGAGGCCAGAGAAAGAGTAAAGACAGCAGAGTTGGAAACCCAGGAGACAAATTCCCAGGCTGTCAGAGGCAGCTCCTGAGGCCCCTCCTCCCTGGGAAGGTGCAGGGAGACACCGCAGGCCTCCACGTGTCCTCAGCTGACCCAGCTAGAAGCTGATGTCTGAATTCCCAAAGAGGGTCCCATGGCACAGTTGACCTGTAATGCCGCTCACGGTGCAGCTGAGGGGCAAGACAAATGTGCAGGGACAGTGGCCAGTGGTGCACCGCCCAGCCACAGCCTCTGGGAGATCCAGCATAGTGAGGAGTGAGTGCATCGCAGCTGGAAGGGTGAGGGCGGGCTCCAGGCTGCCCCTGCCCTGCTGGGCTCTGTGGGGGTGTGGACATGGTTTATCAGCTCAGGGGTTTTGGTTCCAAGCTACAAAGTACAAAATACAATCCTAACTTTAGCAAAAAGAGGAATTTACTGGTCACTTATAATCGGTGTGTGAATAATGACGAATCAAGGTTGAATGAACAGAGATAAGTTGACAAATAGCCATACGTAAGCCAGAAAGTGACAAATACTAAAGGTCTGAACAAAGTGCTACAAAGCAGAACCTGGTCACATCTGGCCGGAGATGGAGAACCATCTCCTGAAGGAAGCTCAAGAATGGAAGAACGCTGAGTAGGAACGCAGGAGGTCTCTCGAAGGTGACCATACAGTGTCTTCCCTCAGGAGTAGAATTCTCAGACAGAGAACTGATTGTCTTGTCTTTTTTTACTTTAATTTTTTAAAATAGAGATGGGGTCTTGCTCTTTTGCCTAGGTTGTCCTCAAACTCGTGGCCTCAAGCAGTCTTCCTGCATTGGCCTCCCAAAGTGCTGGGATTAGAACTCTACCCTGACTGGCTAATCTTGGGCTATGGGCCAACCCCTGAGGCCAGGGATCCTGCGATTGGCAGCTCCGGTGGACAAAGACTAGTTCCCCAGAGGAAAAGAAGAGCCTATCACTCACTCCTACGGGGTGGAGCAGTGAGGGATGGTGGGAGGCAAGACAGACATCCTCTGCAGGTAAGAGAGGAGGGAGAGGGCTGGAAATCAGGGGAACTGTCTGACTAAGGAAACAGTTGGGATGATTCATGGATGAGATGGGGCAGGGAAGAGATGGGCCTGGCCCGAGCCCAGGGTGGGTGTCAGACATGGACACAGATTGCATTGTTTCATCTGCCTGGAAGCCACACCTCCCACCCCTCCCCTCCTTCTGGGAAATTACCCTCCCTCTTTCTCCACCCCCACCTGTGTCTCTTGGGTCACCTGGAAGCTACTCTGACATCCTATACTAGTGGCTCAATCCAGGGGTGTCACTGGACCCAGCCCGGGCCAACCATGGTACTCAGCCCTTAAGCAAAACCATTGCCTAGTAGGTCCTTAAACAAGTTTGAGCTGCATTTCTGTCCTTTGCAGCTGTCTACATTCAGGGGTCTATCTGAAGCCCAGTTCTTGCCCTTCTGGAGCTCAAAATAAAGCAAGGGAGGTAATGATGACAAACATAGCTAGAATACAATGTGAGTGTACTTATCTCATGTTTCTGTTTGTTCCCATAAGTGAAAATATGAATATCCAGGTAAATACACGTAAGTACAAGCCATGTGCACACATTGGTGTATGCAGGTACTGGAAGCACACAAGAGAGGAAGAGGGGCTTCTCAGGTGAGAGACCAGCTGGAGAAAAGAGTGCGCATGAGAGAGCACTTGACAGTTCCAGGGAATTCTGCCCAGCGTGACTGGAGTGCAGCACACACCTCAAGGAGTGTCTGGGCATGAGGGAAGAACCTGTCGGAGCTGAGCCTCACATGTGTTGGGAAACAGTTTGGATTTCATTCTCAGGCATGGGAGAAATGCCATCAAAGGTGTGGCAGTTTGGGAGCTGTGTTTTTGAGCAGCACCTGGTGGCAATGTGGTGACCAGGCCCCCTCCCCTGTCGAGTGAGCTTCAGGAAGGCCCCAGAGCTACTGCAATCACAGAGGACAAGGGGTTCAGCGGCCAGAGGGCAGACTCTCACAGGTTGTGTCGAAGACAAGACGAAGATGTGTTGGGGGGCAGAGCCAGCGGCTCCCAAACTGAGTCATCAGCCACGGGCTGTAAAAGGAGGTTCTCAAGGAGGGGAGGCCAAAGGGGGAGGGTGGCAGGGGAGTGGAGAGGCTAAGGAAAGGGGAAAGCCCAAAGCGAGAAGTGGCAGAGCCAGGAAGCAGGCGTGAGCAGAACTAACTCCAGCTCGGGTGGACTCCCACGAGCTCATCATGTCACCTTGGAGGAGCTCGCAGGAAATCCCGGGTCCACTTAAAGGGGCCCGAGTAGGACAGGAGCAGTTATGACAGCTACAACATCACTAGGAGACAGGAATTTTTCAGCTCTATGATAATCTGACCATGATACATGACCGCTGTCACATTTGCAGTCCACTATTGACCAAAATGCCGATATTGGCACAAGACTGTATATACATTTATTGCATCATGTTTTACTAGCTGCACGATATATTCCAATGCATTTTCCCTAACTTGTTTTATTTTTTTTAATTTAATTTTATTTTTTGAGACAGAGTCTTACTCTGTCACCCAGGCTGGAGAGCAGCGGTGCAATCTCAGCTCATTGCAACCCTCTGCCTCCTGGGTTAAAGCAATTCTTGTGTCACAGCCCCTCCCGGTGTAGTTGGGATTACAGGTGTGCATTGCCATGCCCAGCTAATTTTTGTAATTTTAGCAGAGATGGGGTTTTGCCATGTTGGCCAGGCTGGTCTCGAACTTCTGGCCTCAACCAATCTGCCCCCCTCAGCCTCCCAAAGTGCTGGGATTACAAGTGTGAGCCACTGCTCCTAGCCTCCAACTTATTTATTACTCTATAGAGAAATATGTAGATTATTTCTCATTTTTCCTATTACAACTTGTGCTTTAACAAGCACCTTGGAACAAAAGTACTTGGATATATGTGCAAAAATGTATGCAAGATATATTTCTAGTAATGGTCAAAGGGTACGCATATTTTTGTGTAGTAAGTGTTGCCCAATTCCTCTCCAAAAAGATGTAGCAATTTATAGTCTCAACAACAGTGTATAAAGTGCTTATTTTCTTACCCATACTGGATATCAACAATCTTCTAAAACTTTTGTCACTATATTTCATTATTCTTTGGATTTGTATTCCTTTGATTATTAGTAAGGCTGAGCATCTTTTCATCTGTTTCTAGATATTTGTGGTTTTTCTTCCCACACAAATGGAATTTATCAATTCTTCTTTTCAGCTGTCTTTTTTCCTATTGAATGTGAAGAGCCCTTCACATATTATGGAAATCTGCACTGTTGACTGTCTTTTTTTTTTTTTTTTTGAGATGGAGTCTCGCTCTGTTGCCAGGCTGGAGTGCAGTGGTGCGATCTCGGCTCACTTCAACCTCTGCTTCCCGGGTTCAAGCGATTCTCCTGCTTCAGCCTCCTAAGTAGGTGGGACTACAGGTGCACACCACCATGCCCAGCTAATTTTTGTATTTTTAGTAGAGACGGGATTTCACCATGTTGGCCAGGATGGTCTCAATCTCTTGACCTCATGATCCAACCGCCTCGGCCTCCCAAAGTGCTGGGATTACAGGTGTGAGCCACCACACCCAGACTTGACTGTCATATGTATTGCAAATATTTTTCCCAGTTCATCAGTTTTCTCTCCACACTCACCCCTGCATCCTGTCTACCCCAAGTCTGGGTGTCTCTCTCTCTCTCTCTCTTTTTTTCCTTAGGAGTTGTAGCTTGTCACATAATCATATTTATTGATCAATTTCTTTCTTTCTTTTTTTTCAAGATGGAGTTTTGCTCTTGTCCAGGCTGGAGTGCAATGGCTCAATCTCAGCTCACCTCAACCTCCGCCTCCCGGGTTCAAGCGATTCTCCTACCTCAGCCTCCCGAGTAGCTGGGATTACAGGCATGCACCACCACGCCTGGCTAATTTTGTATTTTTAGTAGAGATGGGGTTTCTCCATGTTGGTTAGGCTGGTCTCAAACTCCCAACCTCAGGTGATCTGCCCGCCTTGGCCTCCCAAATTGCTGGGATTACAGGCGTGAGCCACCACGCCCGGCCTGATCAATTTCTTTATAAAAGCTGGGTTTCATATGATTTTATGCTTGGAAAGGCTTTCCACATTTCAAGATAATATTTCTTCTAATTCTTTGATAGTTTCATATTTTACATTTAAACTTTGATCCATCTGTAATTTATTTAGTGATTGGAGTGTGGTAGGGATACAAGTTTATTTATTCAAATGGCTCTCTAGTTTTCCCAATACCATCTAATGAACCGTCCATTTTTCTCATTTGGTTTTAAATGCTGACCTTTTTTTTTTTTTTTTTTTTTGAGACGGAGTCTCACCCTGTTGCCCAGGCTGGAGTGCAATGGGGTGATCTCGGCTCACTGCAACCTCTACCTCCCCGGCTCAAGCGATTCTCCTGCCTCAGCCTCCCGAGTAGCTGGGATTACAGGTGCACGCTTCCACGCCCAACTAATTTTTGTATATTTAGTAGAGATGGGTTTCACCATGTTGGCTAGGCTGGTCTTGAACTCCTGACCTCTTGATTCACCCACCTCAGACTCCCAAAGTGCTGGGATTACAGGTGTGAGCTACCCCGGCTGGCCTAAATGCTGACTTTTTCATACAGTCAAATGTTATGTATTTTATGTCCATTTCACAGACAAGAAAACAGAAACTCAAAGAGATTAAGCAATTTGCTTGAGGTTGAACAAGGAGCTAGTGACAGCCCAGACTTGGAAACCATCTATACTGCTTTCAGTACAACCTGCCAGACAGGGAGAAGTCAGCCAGAGTCAGTGACTAGCTGGAGAGGAAAAGGACGGGTTGCTTCAATAGTGAACCTATCAATCGTGGCACTGAAAGTCAGGAAACTCGATCTTTTGAGCCAGTTTTAAGATAAAAGATACTTCATGTGATGATGAGTACAGTTTGGGATATGTCAGAGTGGAGATGGTACCCCGATAAAGGAGTAACCAGGTGGAAATTTCCAGAACCAGAGTTTGAGAGAAGAGACAATAGCATGAGTCATGATGGGGGTCATGGGAACTAAGGGAGAGGGAGGTGTTAAGCATGACTACCATCATGGGCACAAGACCAGCATGGGGACGAGAGCAGCGTAGGGACAGGGGTGCTGGCTTCATCACGACAGGATGAGTGCAAGGAGAAAGAGGTTGTCGGGGGAAGGAGAGGGCCTAGAGAGTTCACTCTGGGGCCAGATGGATTGCAGCTGCTGGCTGAGCCCCCCAGTAAGCAGTGAGATACACAGACCTGGAGGTCAGCCTAGCTCCTTCCTGAGGGAAGATGGAGTGGAGTGGCGCAGTGAGAGAAGGGCAGGCCAACAGGGACAGGGGAGCCAGGAAGATAATAGATTTGAAATGAAGAAAGGACCATTCGTTGCCAAAGGATGGAGGAGGGAGACTGAAAGTCCTCAAGAAGCAGCCAAGAATTTTGGTGCCAAAAAATAAGGACTTTTAGATGAAGCAAAGAAATCTATAAGCTGACCCACAATGACAATCCCTAAATGGTGAGTACCCATATGATTGCCAACGTTTGTTGTAAAGCTTTGTTGTTGCACTCCTGGAGGCTGGGTGAGTTTATGATGCTGTTCCAAGAAGAACGGGGCCCAGAGAGAAGTGAGAGCCACATTGCCTGTTCACTCGTTGTAAGAGGCAATCTCAGACAGGTCACGTGCTAAATTGTGGCAGTAGAGACCCAATTCATAGGAGGCAGAGGAGAAAGCTCTTGCCAAGGCTTGAAGTCACCCTCTGTAGCTTCCTGGAGGCAAGTCTTGATAGCTGGGTAGAAATTGAAGGACTTGTGAGCAAGATTAGTTAGGTGGGGAGAAGCCTGCCTGTTGCCAACCTGGAAACTCAATGGGGAAAAGAAATAGGAATCTGTGAAGGTTTTTGAGCAAAGGAATAACACTGAGAAAGTAGCATTTTAGGAAGAATTGTCTGGCAGGCAATGTTAGACAAGGTAACAGAGTCTAGAAGGTCCAGAGGTGGCTTTTGGGAAATGTTTATTTAGCAAACATTTCCTGGGAATGAATTACACATCAGGTACTTGGTATAGGCACAGAGATGAGCACAGATAGGCACAGAGAGCAAAGACGTTGGAGCAGGATGAGGAAAAGCTTCCTAGAGGAGTCAGGTTCTGAAAGATAAATAGGAATTTTCCAGTCAAGCCCCCTCCTGGGTGGAAATGCCTTTACCTTTAGGAATACATATTTAAAAGTCCAACAATATAAAAGGGATGCAGTAAAAGTCGATCAACATAACTTGGCTTGCAGTGCCTCCACCCCAAAGGCAGCCACCGTCAGTAGCTTCTAGCATAGAGTAGCGGTTAAATTCATAGGCTCTGCTACTAACCTGCCTAGATTGAATCTCAGCTCCATCACTTGCTAGTTGATGACTTTGGGCAACTAGCTTAGCTTCTCTGTGCTTCAGTTTTCTCATTCAGATGAAGAGGTTGATGATGATAAGACCTAGCTGCAGAGTTGTTGAAAAAATTAACTGAGTTAAATTGTGTAAAGGGTCTAGAATAGTGCCTGGAGCACCGTGAATACACAGTACATGTCAGTACTCTTGTGACCCTCTGAGTGCTGAATGTGTATGTGTATCATCAGTTGGTATGGATGAGGATAAGATAGGATAGTGCATATAAAATGCAAATGGTATTCACCAAAACAATGTGTTAGCCAGGCACAGTGGTTTACACCTGTAATCCCAGCACTTTGGGAGGCTGAGGTACGCAGATCACTTGAGGCCAGGAGTTTGAGACCAAGCTGGCCAACACAGAGAAACCCTGTGTCTACTAAAAATACAAAAAAAAAAAAATTAGCTGGGCATGGTGGTGCACGCCTATAATCCCAAATACTCAGGAGGCTGAGGCACGAGAATCATTTGAGCCTGGGAGCTCAAAAAGTTCACCAAAAAAACACTTTTTGGTGAATACCAAAAAATTACAATTGTTGCTGCTCTCATTAGTGCAGCAGTGAGGATGAGATAGGATAGTGCATACAAAATGCAAAGAATGGTATTCACAAAAAAAAAAAAAAAGTGTTGTTGCCCTCATTAGTGCAGCCGCGTAGTCAGTCAGCTGGCCAGTGGGAATCAAGGCCAAGGCTTCTGCCAAGGATGATCAACTATAGATGTGTTGAATAAATGAATGAGGAGTGAATCTTTCTTTGTTTTTTTGTTTTGTTTTGTTTTTTCTTTTTTGAGACAAAGTCTCGCTCTGTCACCCAGGCTGGAATGCAGTGGTGAAATCTTGGCTCACTGCAACCTCTGCCTCCCAAGTGGAAGTGATTCTCAGCCTTCCAAGTAGCTGGGACTACAGGCCTGCACCACCATGCCCAGCTAATTTTTGAAATTTTTGTCAAGATCAGGTTTCACTGTTGCCCAGGCTGGTCTTGAACTCCTGACCTCAAGTGATCCACCTGCCTCAGCCTCCTAAAGGGCTGGGATTCCAGGTGTAAGCTACCACACCTGGACTGTGAGTGAATGTTTCACCTTACAATCACAAGACTGACTACATCAGTTCCATGCTTCTTATCCTGATTTTTTTTAAGTGCAAAAGTAGGAAGAAAGGGAGTTTCTCTTTGTGCCAGAGAGTCTTCAGTAACTCAGCACCATTCCCTACCTAGCTAGCAGGGATCTGGGTTCGATTCCATCAATGAGAGGTACTTCTGCAAGATCTGGAAGAAGGAAGAGAAGAGCAGACACAAGACTGTGTAGTGGCTTCCAGGAATTAGCATGAAAGTCACCCGTTTTGGTCTACAGACACTTGTGATCATCACTGCAGTCTCCTGCAGTTTCTGTAACTTCCTGACTCTCTAAAAGCTAGCAGCCATCCTGAGAGGTAAGACTAGTTTGCCTTTACTTTTCTTCCTCCAACACTCTCAGTAGTTTTGTAACCACTTAATTCCCTATATTAAACCCCTTTCTGTTTGAAATACCTGGGGTGGTGTCTGTTTTCCCAACTGGACTATAACTAAACACTTTCTTTTTATCAGGAAAGGAAAAATTTCCCAGCTATCCACCATCAGACTTTTATCCACATCTAGAGTAAAAAAGCTAAGTAGGTCACATGCATACTACAAAACCCAGCCAATTGGCCAAGGTAAATGGGATTACCGTAACAGGCTTGAACTAGTCCTGACTCCTCCCCCAGGGTTGGGCATATTACTGCCTCATATCTGAATAAAGAAGAGGAAAATGACTGTGTGCAGACACCAATAGTTGCTGCTACTGGTGCTTTGGAGACCCCAGTGCAGTTTGGAGGGTCCTAATAAGAAAAGTTGGCCTGAGAGTGGGGTTTGTCTTTTGGGTCTGGCTGATGGCGGTAATGAATGTCTAAGGAAATGGGCTTCATGATAAGGCTGAGATTCAATTAGAAAAGAATCAATGTGTTTGTATTGATTTGAGGTGGGCACTTGTATTTTCTTCTATGCAAGGCTAGGCATTCTTGGGACAAATTAAAAAATAGAAGTGCAGTGAAGTAAAGCAGGACTAAAAATTATGTGTCCATTGTCTATTGAATGGACAAATAATAATGCTTCTCACATGTATTATATGTTTTAATAATGATAATACTAAAAATAACCACTTTAATAGTACTTACAGCATGCCAGGCATTTTTCCAAATGCTGTCTGTGCATTGTCATGTAATCCTCACAATAATATAAGGTAGGTATTATTATTATTCCTATACACAAGGTGAGAATGCTGAGGCACTTGAGGTTCCCCCTCTCAAGGTGAGAACCTCAAAGTGAGAACTCTCAAGGTGAGAACCTTGAGAGTTGTCCAAGGTCACACATAGCTTTAGGTGACAGAGCTGAGATCTGAACCCAGATGGTCTGGGCCTGAGATCATACTGAGAACATAAATTTGGCTGGGCACAGTGGCTCACAGCCTGTAATCCCAGCACTTTGGGAGGCTGAGGCAGGAGGATCACTTAGCCCAGGAGTTTGAGACTGGCCTGGGCAGCAGAGTGGGACTCCATTTCTCTTCCCATTTTTTTTTTTTTTTTGAAACAGGGTCTCATTCCATTGCCCAGGCTGGAGTGCAGTGGCGTGATCTCAGTTCACTGCAATCTTCATTTCCTGAGTTCAAGCAATCCTTCTACCTCAGCCTCCCAAGTAGCTGGGACTACAGGCACACACACACCCATGCCTGGCTAATTTTTGTATTTTTTTGTACAGACAGAATTTCACCTTGTTGCCCAGGCTGATCTTGAACTTCTGAGCTCAAGCAGTCTGCCCACCTTGGCCTCCCAAAGTGCTGGGATTATAGGCATGATCAACTTCACCCAGCCCTTGAGACCCCATCTTTACAAAAAATAAGTAAATAAAAAATTAGCTGGGTGTGGTGGCCCATGCCTGTGGTCCCAGCTACTTGAGAGGCTGAGGTAGGAGGATGGCTTGAGCCCAGGAGGTTGAGGCTGCAGTGAGCCGTGATTGTGCCATAAATTTAAGGTGGCTTTTTGTCACTATGTATTCTGTTCATCAACAGATGCCAAAAGAAATCACATGAGGAGCTATGACATTTGTTTATGTTTGTATATGTGTCTTGTTGCTGCTGTAACAAATTAACACAAAGTTAGTGGCAATAAACAATATAAATGTACTCTTTTCAGTTCTGGAGGTCGAAGTCTAAAATCCACGGGGTTGCATTCCTTCTGGAGGTGCTGGGGAGAATCTGTTTCCCTGCCTTTTTCAGCATCTAGAGGCACCCACACTAAACGGCCTCTTGGCCCCTTGCCCCCATCTTCAAAGCCAGGAGCGTAGCATCTTCTCTCCCTTCTGACCTCGTGCCTCCCTTTGATGAGAACCTCTGTGGTGACACTGGCCCAACCAGGTCATCTAGGAAAATCTTCCCATCTCAAGATCTCTAGCCCAATTACACCTGCAAAGTCCTTTTTACCATGTGAGCTTCCAGAGAACAGTACACTGGCTTCTTTGAGGAGCCATTACTCAGACTAACCTAATGTTACAAGGAGAGCTTGCCCTGGAGAGGGTAGGAAAGGGCCCGACTAACGCAATGAGTCCATCACACAGATAGAAGGGGCAGAGGCCACTGCGTGAAGGCCCAGGCCAGCTTGCCCTGAGCTCTTGCCTGGCTCCATCCCACACTCTGGCTGGTGGGGTGGGTGGGCACCTCATCTCTGAGGACAGAAGGGGAGGGAGTCCGGTGGGGGCAAAGCAGCTGGTCTTGCAAGAGTGTCCTGCTGTTGGCTGGGTAGGGCCGGCTCTGAGGAGCCTTTCCAGGGGAGCTTTGTTTTTCCAGAAGAAAACTGACAGAAGGACAGCTGCCCCAAAACAACAAGAACTAAGTGAAAGCTCTGCAGAGGTGCAGATGGTAGCTATGTCCCTCCCACGAGGGTCCTCCCATGTTAGCAGGCCACAGGATGCATGGTGCCATCCAGCCAGTGGTCCACGTGGGCCCAGCTTGAGTATCTTCCTGATAATGGAGGCCAGGATTTGCAGCTGGGCTGAGATGATCTGGGCAAGGATGCACGGTCAGCCTCAAGCAGCCTGCACATAGCATGCTGTCCTGCAGTGTGCAGTGGAGTCACTGGGGCATGGGGTGGGAGGTTATATGCTGGGATAGCCCAAGGGCTCCCACTCCTCTGGAGGAGCTCAGCCTTCTACAAAGTCTTCCTCTGGCTTCTCCTCTTCCCATTGTCCTTAATAATGAACCTGCAATAGGCAACTTTTACAGGAGACTCTGGAATTATGAATAAGGCAGTGGGCTGGGGGTGGAGGGAGCACCCAGGAGGAAGGGCTTGGGCTCCCTGCCCTCAGTGGCTCATGTCTGTCTGGGGAAACAGACATGAAGATGGAAGGACCACCATAGGTAAGACACCTCACGAAAATGTTGACGCTGCTTTCTGGACTCTGGCTTATGCATGGAAAATATGCAAGAACAATGAAGTTCGTTGCCTTCTGCAGAGCACTTCCCCGGATCCCGGAGTGAATTTCATACTTCAGGAGCAGTCACAATAAAGTTCTTGCAAAACAGCTTCATGTCAAGCCAGCTGAAAGAGGTAGTTCAGCACGACGTGCCTTTTCCTGGAGGCATTACTGAGCTTTTCTTGCCTGCCAGAAAGTTTCCTCTTCACTGCCTTGACGAACACAAACTCTGTCAAACACGAGTTCAGGTCTGCATGTCGTCTGCGAACACAGCTGGGGCCAGCGTCAGGCAGCTGCCAGCTACAGAGGGTTTGTTTTCTTAGCAACCCTCTCCTTTCTTGACAACAGCAGCCTGGAGCCAAGCTCCAGGGTGACAGGTATGGTCAGTGATTTGCCACAGTGGCTTTTGTCCCATCCCCCCTCAGAAGTGCCATCTGGGCATGTTTTAGCCTGAGCCTGAATCTGGCCAATCCTTACACCCCCGACTTGACTTCCTTCAGACCTGGCCTGGCTTCAGCTCCTGGAACCCTCCCCATGCTGAGCAGTGGCCTAGGGAATGCAGACTTGTCCTCAGCAGTGAAGTCAGGGGACAGAAGGATTCTAGAAAAACACAGGCAGAAAGCAAGTGCTGAGAAGGGCTAGTAAAGGCTGAGTTGGGAGCCCTTCATTCCTTATGCCAAGTGGTTCAAGGCTCCTTCTGACTCAGTTTCCTTCCCTGAAGGCCAAAGCTGTGAGGGTGCATACCCAGCTTACCTCCTGAGGCAAAGTTTACCCCCCTGGCTGTGAGGGCAGCAGGGACCTAAAGATGACTGAAGCCAACCCTGTCATCTATCAGATGCGGAAACTGAGGCCCAGAGAAGTAAATGACATGCTCAAAATCAGAGGGTGAGTGGGCGGCAGGACTAAGATTATTACTCAGGACCCATGTGAGAAAACCAGTAGAACTGGCCTCCAATTCCCACCCCCAACACCACCCTGACATATACACATCGGTTGCCCACAAGAGCATTCAGACCCTTGTAGGGTACCCCGCCCTCCCTGGACATCATGGAAACAGCAAAGCAGAACATGAGTCCCTTCCTCACACTGGCCAACAGGGTTTGGAAAGATTGACTTTTGACACTCTAGGCCCAAGGCCTAACGAGCCTAGAAATCATGAGCTCTCTATTCTAGGTATCCCAGCATCCCAAGGAGCAGCCGAGCTGCCTGCGAAGGAATTTCTGCTGAGTTCTCTGGGGCTCCTACTCTCCCAGGCTGGCTCCTAGGTGAGCCTGCTGGCCTCCACTCCACACATGGGACGCTCAGATCCCATCCTCCTCCTTCAAATCAGATCCACACCTGGAACTGGCCTGGAGCTCCCAGGCCACCATTTCCATTGCAGTGTCTTGTCCAGCCCTCCTGCTGGGACTGCCGTGTCAGCCACAGCATTGGTTCCTCATTTTTGCTCACTCCCCTTGCCTCTGCCTCCCTTCCCTGCAAGCATGCCCAACCCCCGAAAAATCCCCCAACCCCCACCAGGAAGGCAGAAGTGGCAGCAGAGATGAGGATGGGAGCAGAAGGAAGTCCTCCTGTGGGGAGTTGTTGATGAGCCACTGCCCTGCCTGTATCAGTGCTGCTGTCCATTCCTGTTTCTTCCATGTGATGTGCACATAGTAGGTTCCCCAACAAATCCCAGTGAATTGAATTTCCTGTCATTTTCTCTCTTACCAGAAGTTCTTTTGTTCCTCTAACTCAGTTGCCTGACTGGTGGTGAGCACAGACATTTAATAGAGGTCAAGTAGGCCGGGTGCGGTGGCTCACACCTGTAATCCCAGCATTTTGGGAGGCTGAGGCGGGTGGATCACACAGAAGTTCAAGACCAGCCTGGCCAACATGGTGAAATCCCATCTCTACTAAAAATACAAAAAATTATCCAGCCGTGGTGGCGCATGCCCCTGGTCCCAGCTACTCAGGAGGTTGAGGCAGGAGAATCCCTTGGGCCTGGGAGGTGGAGGTTGCAGTGAGCCGAGATCACAGCACTACACTCCAGCCTGGGTAAGAAAGCAAAACCCTGTCTCAAACAAACAAACTAACAAACAAAAATAGAGGCCAAGTAACAAGATAAGCTAGGGTTAGAAAGGAACTAGAACAAACATCCTGAGAGATTGTATTTTCTTCTCACTCCTCCATAAACCAGCCTCACATCTGGTTTCCTGTAGGTACAGAGACCGAGGCAGGGCCAGGTGCTGCCCAGGAAGGAGCGGGTCTGGTTTCCAAATCAGAGGGCCGGAGCGTGAGAACAGCCTAAGTGGGCCGAAGGGCAGGGAGAGAGCTGTACGGCTGTACCCTTTCTGCATGGAAACAGGACAGCCCAGCAGTGGGTGGTAGATGCCAGGGCCTGGCATGGGGAAAGCGCTTCTGATTGGCACTTCCTGGCATACCTGAGTGGCTTGGTAATTTCCCGTTCCTGGGACATGTGGGTGCTTAGGAACATTTTAACCCAGAGGCAACCAAGGAAGGTTTTGTCTTGATCTTGCAGTTGAAGTAACAGAAAATCCAACTCAAGTAAAAGTAACAATAGGAAATATCATACAGCATTTACTGTATGTCAGGCCCCATCCCAACCCTCTCTACATTAATTACTCACTCCTGTCAACAATCGTATGAGGAAGGAATCCTATTATCATCCCTATTTTACAGACATAGTCACTGAGTAACCTGCCCAACGTCATGGAGCTTGGCAAGCCAGGATTAAAACCCTGCAACTTCGCTCCTGCTAACTCTTCCCCCCTCCAGCCTTTTGAGATCAAACAGGCAAAACATCAGGTGTGCTGGGCTTGTGTAACCACGTCATAGAAAGGAGATGCAGGTGGGTCTTGGAAGACAGGGATCAGGAATTTTCTCTTTTTGTTTTTCACTTTTTATTTTTGAGACAGGGTCTTGCTCTGTGGCCCAGGCCAGAGTGCAGTGGGGTGATCACAGCTTACTGCAGTCCCAACCTCCCAGGCTCAAGTGATTCTCCCGCCTCAGCCTTCTGAGTAGCCGAAACTACAGTTGCACATCACCACACCTGGCTAATTTTTATTTTATAGATTGGGGGTCTTGCTATGTTGCCCAGGCTGGTTTTGAACCCGTGGGCTCAAGCAATCCTCCTGCCTTGGCCTGCCAAAGTGCTAGGATTACAGATGTGAGCCACCTTGTCTGGCCTCTTTCTCTTTTTAATTTTTCTGTTTTCTGAACTCTAATCCCATGGCAAATCCCTGGTCTCAGGAATCAGTGTGCCCCTGGCCTCCCCTTTTGGATCTTTAGTTCCTGTTTTCCTGTAGGCTGGATTTATTCTCATCTACTGCAGACTAATTTCCTCCAAAATCCACTGCAAAGCTACCGTCAGCTCTCACAGAGAAACAAACTGCCCTCCTCCCTGTGCTTCCAAGTTTGAAATTTCCAGAAGAGGGCTCTGACCAGCCTGTTGGGTCAGTGCTGTCTCCTGGCCAGTCTACAGTGGGCAAGGGGGAGAGATCCACAAGAAGACAGTAATTATCATTCAAAGTCTTGGTGGGAGGTACTAGCTCCAAAAAGTGGGTGGACGGTCCTTTCCGGACAGGTAGTGCCCAACATCCACGGCACAATTGCTGCGAGTGGGAAGAGTTTCCAGATCCAGGCCTCCAAACACACAGTGGGCCAGGAGCCTCTGGGGGCTCACCAGGCAGCAGGTGGGGGCAAAAAGGAAATAAGAAGACTAAGAGGGTTACTCAGAAAGGAAATGAGAGGCCAAGTGCGGTGGCTCACAACTGTAATCCCAGCACTTTGGGAGGCCAAGGTGGGCAGATCACTTCAGGTCAGGAGTTCGAGACCAGCCTGGCCAATGTGGCAAAACCCAATCTCTACTAAAAATACAAAACATTAGCCAGGCGTGCCGGTGTGCGCCTGTAGTCCCAGCTACTTGGGAGGCTGAGGCAGGAGAATTGCTTGAACCTGGGAGGTGGAGGTTGCAGTGAGCTGAGATCACGCCACTGTACTCCAGCCTGGGCGACAGAGCAAGACTCTGTCTCAAAAGAAAAAAAAAAAAAAAAAGGAGGCCAGGCATGGTGGCTCATGCCTATACTCCCAGCACTTTGAGAGGCCAAGGCGGGTGGATCACCTGAGGTCAGGAGTTTGAGACCAGCCTGGCCAACACGGTAAAACCCCATCTCTACTAAAAAAAAAAAAAAAAAAAAAATCAACCAGGTGTGGTGGCACCTGCCTGTAATCCCAGCTACTCAGGAGGCTGAGGCAGGAGAATTGCTTGAACCTGGGAAGCAGAGGTTGCAGGGAGCTGAGATCGCATTGCGCCACTGCACTCTAGCCTGGGAGACAGAATGAGACTCTGTCAGAAAGGAAGAAGAAAGAAAGAGAGAAAGAGGTAGGGGGGAGGTTGGTAAGGAAGGGAAGGGGAGGGGAGGAGAGGGGAGGGGATTGGAGGGGAGGGAGAAATGAGAGTGAGCAGGGAAGGGCAGGAAATCGAGAGTGGACCCCAGCTCAATATGGGTCCCTGCAACAGACTGGGGAGGAGACGTGACTGTGAAGAATAAAGTGCACCTGGATTTACGGGTCAAGGGCGAGGAGCCAAACGGGATTTCTGTTCTAGTCTTTCTTCTAAAATCAGTCTCCATGGAGCTTCAGGAGGCCTGCTGGGAATTAGTCCTCATGCTTCCTCCCAGCTTGTACCAAACCTATTCCTGAGTGACAGATCACCCCAAAACGTAGCTGCTAAAGCAATAGTTGTCATTTATTACCTCTTACAGCTTCTAAGAGACAGGATTTGGGGGCTGCTTGACTGGGTGATTCTGGCTGGGGGTCTTAGTCCCTTTTCTGTTGCTTATAACAGAATACCTGAAATGGTAATTTATGAAAAAAGACATTTATTTTATTTTATTTATTTATTTTTTAGACAGAGTCACGCTCTGTTGCCCCGGCTGGAGTGCAGTGGTGTGATCTTGGCTCACTGCAACCTCCGCCTCCCGAGTTCAAGTGATTCTCCTGCCTCAACCTCCAGAGTAACTGGGATTACAGGTGCGTGCCACCATGCCCAGCTAATTTTTTGTACTTTTAGTAGAGATGGGGGTTTCACCACGTTGCCCAGGCCAGTCTCGAACTCTTGGCCTCAAGCGATCTGCCCACCTCAGCCTCCCAAAGTGCTGGGATTACAAGCGCGAGCCACTGTGCCTGGCCAAAAGGAATTTATTTCTTACAGTTCTGGAGGCTGAGAAGTCCAAGGTTGAGGTGACACATCTGATGCTAGCTTTCTTGCTGGTGGAGACTCTGCAGGTTCCCAAAGTGGAGCAGGAGGTTGAATGTGCTAATGTGTTAGCTTGGGTCTCTCTTCCTCTCCTTAATAAGCCATCAGTTCCACTCCCATGATAACCCATTAATCTATTAATCCATGAATACATTAATCCATTCATAAGAACAGAGTCCTCATGATCCAATCACCTCTTGAAGGCCCCACCTCTCAACAGTGCCACCTTGGGGATTAAGTTTCAACATGAGTTTTGTAGGGGACATTCAAACTATAGCAGGCTCTCCCATGGATTGCAGTCCCATCGTGGCTAGGGCTGGGTCAACTGGAAGACCTCCACACTCACAGGTCTGCTGTCTGGGCTGGGGGCTGCCCAGCAGGGGCTCCACAGGCATCTCTCTGCATTGCTCTAGGGCCCTTCCATGTGGTCTCCCCAGCAATAGTGGCTTCAGGGTACCCAGACTGCTTCCATGTTGACTTAGGGGCCTGAAGGCACATATTCCAAGAGACAAGCAGGAGCTATGTTACCTTTTATGAGCTAGTCTTGGAAGTCACACAGCATCATCTCCACAGCACTAGACCAACAGAGGCAATTTCAAAGGTTCACCCAGGTTCAAGGCCATGGAGCATGCCCCACCTCTCCAAGGAGGGACGTCACTATCACACTGCAAGAAGAACGTACGGCATGGGATGTGGCCGGTGCAGCCATCTTTGGCAGTCTGACACTGTAGCTTCATCCCAAGCTACGCCTCTTTTTTGTTATAATTCAAACCATATAGAACATAAAGTAAAAAGTGAAAGTACCTGCCGGGCGCAGTGGCTCACGCCTGTAATCCCGGCACTTTGGGAGGCCGAGGCGGGTGGATCACCTGAGGTCAGGAGTTTGAGACCAGCCTGGTCAACATGGTGAAACCCTGTCTCTACTAAAAATATAAAAAATTAGCTGGGAGTGCTGGTGGGCACCTGTCATCCCAGCTACTTGGGAGGCTGAGGCTGGAGAATTGCTTGAACCCAGGAGGCAGAGGTTGTAGTGAGCCGAGATCATGCTACTCCACTCCATCCTGCGTGACACAGCAAGACTCTGTCTCAAAACAAAACAAAAAATGAAAGTTCCTGTCTTATCCTGCTACCCAAAGGAAACCTCTCTTACCAGTTGGTATTCAGATTCCTTTTCTAAGCACTTACAAATACGTACTTAAGTATGAATGTGCTGACAATTTTCCAGGGGCCCTCCAGGGCTACTCTGCACACTTCCCCACTCTGCCCTGTGCCCCGGGAGGCTGACCTGCTGCAATGGGCTCCCTCACCTTTGGGCTTCCAGGTGGGTTTGACAACTGGGGGGCACCAGGTGGAGATGGGAGAAAGGGAGGAGAGAGGGAGGTGAGAGTACTGATTTCCCCATCTCCCTCCCTGGCTGTCTCAGTGAGGTGACTGTGTCCACTACAGTCTCAACTCCTGTGCATGGATCCTCTGCATCCTTATCTCTGCCTTTGGATTACACTGTGAGCTTCACAGCAGTTATATTTTATGTTGATGACACAGCAAGTGATAATAGAGTCCCCAGTGCTATGTGCCCCAGGGGACCGCAGTGTGCCTGGTGGTTTCCATATATCCTGCCCACAACTCTATAAATATTCCTCTTATTAAACTCTCTGCACATTACCCAATGTCCAATATAAGTGTGCTCTTAATTGATGAAATGTAACATACCCCCACGGTTTTAAATGGTATGATGCTATGCTATTACATAGCAACTAACTTTTTTCACTTTCTGTATCGCCTGTATCTTTCCATGTCAGCACAAATAATCACCCCTATTAATACTTGCATGTGCCATCTAGAATGCATATTTCCTAACTGGTGTGACCTTCCCCACTGACAGACATTTAGGTTGTTGTCAACTTTTTTCCCTTTCACAAGCACTGACACAATGAACATACTTGCATATGTCTGTCTGTCTAAGCTGTGTTTCCTTGGGTTAAACATGCCTGATATAACTTGAAGGTTGGCCAGGTGCAGTTACTCACACCTGTAATTCCAGCACTTTGCAAGGCTGAGGCAGGTGGATCGCTTCAACCCAGGAGGCGGAGGTTGCAGTAAGTCAAGATTGCACCAGTGCACTCCAGCCTGGGTGGCAGAATGAGACCCTGTCTCAAAAAAACAAAAACAAAAACACACACAAAAATTAGCCAGGCATGGTGGCATGCACCTGTAGTCCCAGCTACTCGAGAGGCTGAAGAGGGAGGATCACTTGAACCTGGAAGGTGGAGACTGCAGTGAGCCAAGATCATGCCACTGCACTCTAGCCAGGGTGACAGAGTAAGACCCTGTCTCAAACAAACAAACAAACAAAAAACCTTAAAGGTCAAGGAGTAGGTTCTGGAGCCATATCTCCTTGGGTACAAATCCCATCTCCTTTATCTAATGGGAAAGCTCGTCTCTTCTGCCTAATGACTGTGCAATTGTGGGTCTATTTAACCACTCCCCCACTCCAGTTCCCTTAACCATAAAAAGGTGATAACACCTTTCCATAGGGGCATTGAGGGGGCCAATCTCACAGGGTCAGCCTAAGGATCCAATGATATAACCATGTAAAACATCTTGTACATTCAGCCTTTCCAAGATTTCATTTCGCCGTCTGTAAGATGGTAACATTACATCCCTGGTTGATTGGATTTGAGGATTAAATCTCATAGGGTTGTAAAGATTAAGTGAAATAATCTGAGTAAAGCACTTAGCACCATGCCTGGTCCCAGAGTAAGTGCTCCATAAACATTAGCCCTTGTGGTTATTGCCTATATTCTCTACTAAGTTTAATATTTTATTACAGGTATTATGACTACTATAAGTTTTACAGCTGTTATATCTTACATTGATTATGGTTCTTAACAACTAAAAATATTTGCTCAGAGTAATCTAGGAAGAAGGCTTTACTTAAATGGACCCTTTAGACGTAGAAATGTACACAGAAACATAGGTTATTAATTTGTTCCTTGTTGCTTCCTATTGGAAAAATCAACCAAAGTTCTTTCCGTAGAGTAACATGTGAGTATTTGGGGGCTGGTGGGTGAATGGGATGGATTGCTTTGATGATTATTCCCATGAAGATGAACTCCAGATTTCTATTTTTCTCCATCTGGAGAAAAACACACATTTTTGCCAACATGCATATTTGCACCTCACCACTACATGAGCAGGCAGAGGACACATTGGGGAAGGAGCCCATCCTGAGTCCTTGAACTATGGGAACCTGTAAATATTGGGTGGGAATACTAATCCCACGGAGCATTCCGGGCTATCAGGTGAACCAGGTGAAGTGCCCTGGCAGCTTCAGAATAAACATCTACAAAGGCCAGGGTGTTCACAGCTGTTGAAGAGGAGCCTGTGGATTTTTGGAACTGACACCCCTGCCAGAGAACTACTAGTTTTAACTGCAGTTGTGACAATTAAGCAAGAGACCTACAAACATATTGCTTAACACTTGTCTGTCAACACCCGGGCTGTCCACAGACCTGTGGCTGCCTTCTCATGGAACCTGACATCTCTATTTGGACAGTCTCCCCTGCAAAGTGTTTCCATCCAGAGAAAGTTCACCAGGGAAGCAAAAGGCATTAGGGTTTGCAGTCCCACTGCCCACTAGGGCAAAAGCCACTAGGACGGGCATCTAACCACGTGGGGCTTTGGAGAGTCGAAGCCAGCCTGGGGTGGGGGTGGGGTGCTCCTCCTGCAGGTCCCCTCTCCGCCCCCCCCTTTCTGGCACAAAGAGATATGTTCTCTGCATGGCTGTTTGCCCTGAGAAGCTGGAACCAGGCCATGGGATGCTCAGGCTGACACAGGGAACATGATCCTGCCCGCTCAGCCCTCCACTGGCGGGAAGCTGTTGTCCTTACAACTCCAGTTTGGTGATTCTCAAACTTCAGTGTGCATCAGACCACCTGGGGGGCAGGGGAGGAAGCTTGTTAAGAAGGCAGATTCCCAGACACACCCCCATAAATTCTTACCCGATGGATGAGACTCTGCAACTGAGAAATATCATCCCCGTCAGAATCACAAGTTAAACTGTCCCCCAAGCAATGTTTAAAAAATGTCTGTGCCATCATTGAAAACTTGGGAGATTTAGTGTACAAATTTTGGCTGGGCACGATGGCTCACGCCTGTAATCCCAGCACTTTGGGAGGCCAAGGTGGGTGGATCACCTGAGGTCAGGAGTTCAAGACCAGTCTGGCCAACATGGCGAAACCCCGTCTCTACTAAAAGTAGAAAAATTAGCCAGGCATGGTGGCGCGTGCTTGTAATCCCAGCTACTCAGAGGCTGAGACAGAAGAATCGCTTGAATCCAGGAGGCAGAGGTTGCAGCGAGTCAAGATAGCGCCACTGCATTCCAGCCTGGGTGACAGAGAGAGACTCTGCCTCAAAAAAAAAAAAATTAAGGCCGGGCACGGTGGCTCACGCCTGTAATCCCAGCACTTTGGGAGGCCGAGGCGGGCGGATCACGAGGTCAGGAGATCGAGACCATCCCGGCTAAAACGGTGAAACCCCGTCTCTACTAAAAATACAAAAAATTAGCCGGGCGTAGTGGCGGGCGCCTGTAGTCCCAGCTACTTGGGAGGCTGAGGCAGGAGAATGGCGTGAACCCGGGAGGCAGAGCTTGCAGTGAGCCGAGATCCCGCCACTGCACTCCAGCCTGGGCGACAGAGCGAGACTCCGTCTCAAAAAAAAAAAAAAAAAAATTAATTAAAAAAATAAAATAAAAATTTTATTTTCATCCAGAGCACAGGCAAGACCAAGTCTACTTTACCAGTCAGTAGTAAGAAGCCGGTACTATGGAGCATCTGCCCTTGAGGCAAGGCTGGCGCCCTCCAATCCAACCATGCACACATGCTGCGTGCACACTCATCACTCTGGCCGTGTCCTGTACATCGACTTTGAGTTTGTAAACTCTGCTCCATTCTTCCAGGATGAAGAGAAATAGCAGAGCCTAAAGCATACGCCTTTCGGCTTTCCCAGCTGCAGCGAGTTGTATTCATGTCCCTGCTGCCTGGCCTCTTAACTCCACTCTACTAGAGCATTTCTCACTAGAATAGAACTTCCAGAAGGGAAGGGCTTTGTCTATTTTGTTCTCTGCCATCTTCCTAGTGACTACCGTGGTGCCTGGAACACAGTAAAGGTCAAAAGTATGTATCAAACAACTACAATGATAACACTTCACATTACTAGGATGGCTATCATCAAAAAGACACCAAGTAGCCAGGTGTGGTGCTGCAGGCCTGCAGTCCCAGCTACTTGGGAGGCTGAGGCAGGAGGATTGCTTGAACCCAGGAGTTCAAGACTTCAGTATGCCATAATCTCACCTGTGAGTAGTCACTGCACTCCAGCCTGGGCGACATAACAAAAAAAAGAAAGAAAAGAAAAAATAACAAGTGTTGGCGAGGATGTAGAAAAATTAGAGCCCTCATTGCTGGTGGGAATGTAAAATGATGCAGCCACTTTGGAAAACAGTGTGGCGGTTCCTCATATGTTAAATGTATAGTTCACACAAAAGCCATCAATGCCACCCCTAAATATAGACCCAAGAGAAAGGAAAACAAGTGTTCAAACAAAAACTTGCACATGAAAGCTCATAGCGGCATTATTCATAACAGCCAAAAGGTGGAAACAACCCAAAATGTCCATCAAACAGTGAATGGACAAACAAAATCTGGTACTTCCATACAATGAAGTATTATTTAGTCATGAAAAGGAATGAAGTACTGATACATGCTATGACAAGAATTATGCTGTAAAAGAAGCCAGATGCAGAAGGCCACATGTTGTATGATTCCACTTATATAAAATATCCAGGACAGGCAAGTCCATAGGGACAAAAAGTAAAGTAGTGGTTGCCAGGCCCTGGGAGGAGAGGGGAATGGGGAGTGACTACTTCACAGATACAGGGTTTCCTCTGGGGAGGAAGATATTCTGGAACTAGACAGTGGTGATGGCTGCACGACATTGTAAATGTACTAAATGCCACTGAATTGCACACTTTAAAATGGTTAAGACGGTGAATTTTATGTTATGTGTAATTTACCACAACAAAAAAAGTTTCGGATGAATGAATGAATGAGTGAATAAATGAGTCTTCCACCGCCATGCCCTAAAGGCCAGGTGTTGACAAGGAAAGTCTAAGTTGTCTCCAGAGTCCGGTCCCCACCCCACCTTCATCCTTGCGGTACACCATCTGTCCTGGGAGGGCAGGCGGGGCCCAGCTCCAAGCTGAAAATGGGGCAGAACAAAGCTCCTTGGCTCTCCATCTGCTTCCAAATCTGGAAGACGGAGTGGGCAGTCACGCCCACCACTCAAGACTGCTGGGAAGACAAGCAAAAGTTCTCTGCACACCGTAGACCCGCAGTGAGTACTGCTTCCCTTCCAGTCCTCCACAGGGGAGCTATCGCGGGAGGGATTCCTCAACCCACACAGCACCTGGCTCGGGGTGGGCTGGCTGCATGTTGTGGGATCCTGTTGGGGCCTGGACATTTGCTGTGCAGGCGAAGTGCTGAGAACACCACCCCTCAAAGTTCCACCTGGCAGGTGTCCATCCCTATTAGTAGAGCCCACGGTTCCCAACATTGTACTGCACACAGCATGGCACTCCATTACTACCTAATTTCTTGAGGATCAATGAAAACACACCTGCTTTCAAGCAGTGGAAACTTCATCCCCGAAAGACAGTCCCTGCCACAGGCTGTGGCACTCTTGAGTGATGGGCTGCAGTGGTGGGGTGTAGTGGACAGCAGAGTCACTGGAACCTGGTGATACAGAAAATGGCAGAAGCCACTGGATCTGGAGTCCTGGCTCTGTCCTTAAAGGAGTGGCTTTAACCTGTATGCTCCTAGGCTTTTGTGAGAATTTAAAAAGACTAATGCGGGCCCCGCGCGGTGGCTCATGCCTGTAATCCCAGAACTTTGGGAGGCCAAGGTGGGTGGATCACCTGAGGTCGGGAGTTTGAGACCAGCCTGGCCAACATGGTGAAACCCTGTCTCTACTAATACAAAAAATTAGCCGGGAGTGGTGGCACATGCCTGTAATCCCAGCTACTCGGGAGGCTACTCAGGAGAATTGTTTGAACCCGGGAGGCGGAGGTTGCAGTGAGCAACAGTTGCCTGGTGACAGAGCGAGACTCCATCTCAAAAAAAAAAAAAAAAAGATGAATGCACCTAAAATGGTGTTATTGTGCACCCCTATACATTTTACCACTGTCATGCACCTAATGTGAGTGATCACTACATGTCAGCATGAGCATCATCTAACATCCTGCTCTCTTTGCATCAGAGCTGACTATAAATAAAAATTCCACTCTGTCCACATTCACAACCCATCAGGGAATCTTGATCTCAATGGATGGAAACCAGATTACATTGTAGTGATTCCACCATGACGGCGGCATCTGCTCCCTAACAGCCACTGTGGTGGGCATTTTCTCAAGGTCGTCTCTTTTGGTTCATTCTTCCAGGAGCCTTATAAGGTGTATTATTTTCTCCTCTTTATATATGAGGCTGAGAGGTTAAGTCACTTGCACAAGATCACATACCCAGAAAGTGAAGGCACTTCAAAGACTGCACCCTTCCCATTCATTTATTCATTTATCCTACAAGATTCATTAGGGGCTGACCACTGTGCTGGGCCCTGGGGGAGCAGATGACCAGACCTGGCCCTGGGCCTCACTGAATGTACCAGCTAGAAGAGAACAAGTAGACAGATGATTTCAATGATGAGGGGATGCGAGTGACCCAGTGAGGAAGAGGGGAGGGCTCTCCAGGAACATCAAGCGCTTGTGTAGGCAGGGGTAGGAGACAGCCTCAGGGAGGGTGGGAGGATGGAAAACTGCAGAGAGTTTTGATTACCTGGAGAGCAAGGGAGAAGAGTGGGTACCCACAGTGGTGGTCAGGCCAGATAACAAAAAAGCACTCAAATCATGATGAAGAGCTCAGAAGCCATCCCCTGGGCAGCCGGGAGTCACTGATGAATTTTAAGCGGGGGAGTGATACGATCAGATTTTCTGTTTCCATGTCCTTTGAGCCTGCAAATGTTCCATAAGACCCACAAAGCAGCTGTAATGCAATCCCCCTACACACCTTCCTGGCCTGTTCATTTTTCACCCACATACATTTAAGAGTCTTGCTCATAGGTCAGGAAACAGGCTCTGAGGCAGACTTACATGGGGCTTACTAGGGAGATAGCTAGAGCTACGCCTGCAGGGAAGTCAATGAAGCAGGATTGGGTAGGGCAGAGGCTGAACTGAGATGCATTTGCAACAGAGACCTCAACTGGTCCTGTGGAGAGCTCAGAAGCCCGGATGTCCCAAAATAATGCAAGGGGCCAGGTCTGTGTACCCCCTCATCAACAATTATTGTATGCAGGTGGCACGGGGCCCATGGCCTTGGACCAGGCAGCTCCCTTCGGCTGAGGGCAGCGTCTGGGGAGGGACTCAGCTATGAGCAGTTAGCAGGCCACACTTCCTGCTACTGGGGATGGAGGTCCTGGGTCGTGCAGAGGGTCTGGGTGGGACACTAGCGTCCATTGCAGCCTGCTTGGCTCAGAGATCTGTGCCAACAAGTCTTGATGTGTGCTGTTTCCTGGCTCTTGCCCCCATCTGCTTCTGCAGGAGCCAGTCCTCTGCAGAGTTCCCCTTGAATATGTCAGGACAGCAGCCAAGACACAATTCCTATCTTTTTCCCCCTCTCCTCTTCTGCCAGGGACCAGCTCATGTACTTCCGCAGTACCTGTCAAACTCTTCCCCCACCACTCTACCTGGCTGCCTATACATGAACAGACAGAGCTATGCAGTCTTCTGTGGCAAAGCGGGGTACAGAGTATTCCCCTTTGTGGCACACTCCCCTAAAGGAACCCTAAAGAACTTTTGTGCCCAGCTACTCAGGAGGCTGAGGTGGGAGGATCCCCTGAGGCCAATTCGAGACCAGCCTGTGCAACATAGCAAGACCCTATCTGAAAAACAAAAAAACTCCTAGGCTTCAGTTTACAGGGTTAGCTCCTTGACTTACTCCCTGCTGGGCTGGGGAGTTAAAATACCTAAAGCTGTGTTTCTCAATCCTGGCTGCCCAGTAAAATCCCCTGGGAAACATTTTATAAATATCAACGCCTGGGTCCCACCCCCAGCCCAATGGCATCAGAAACTTTGAGGGTGGGGCCCAGGCACTGTGTTTTTTAAAATTCCCCTGGTGATTCTAAATATGCAGCCAGGGTTGAGAACCAGTGACTTTGATTTTTATTTACATGGATCAGTCTGGGTGTGTGGAGGGACAGAGGTGATTTGGAGGAGAGCTGTGAGGATCCAGAAGATGATGGGAGTGGAAAAGAGGAGGTAGAGACTCAGAAGCAGAATAAATAAGGGAGCTGGGTAAAGGCAGAACAAGAAAAGCTGGAGGAATCACCTGGGGAGCTAAAGGAATGCTGGGAATGAGCTCCCCACCACCAGGGATCCCTATTTGATCGGTACAGGTAGCTGAGCACTGGGGAAAGACATTCAAAACAGCCAGGTGATTTCAATAGGCTGCAAAGCTGAGAGCCGGAGCTCCAGGCCATGCCATGGCCTCTTATCTGGGAGCCTCACCACGCAGGTGTCCAGGTGGCCTCCACCCAGTGTAGACAAGCCAGCCATGCTTCTCGCCACCTGGACCCTGGGGTGAGGTCTTGAGCAACATCAATTTCCATCCAATCTAAACTTAAATATGGGCACGCCCAGCCTCCCTCCTGGGAAAGCGTCTGAGTGGAGCTGTTCTGCATGACCTGGGTGGCCTTTTGTGACATGTTCTCAGGGGACTCTGTGCTGGGCTGTCTGCTCCTCCTGCCTAACTGTATTGGCACATGGTTTATCCTGTTCAGCATTTTCTTATATAGGTAATCTTTTTCTAAAAAAGAAATTGCTTGTTTTCTAAAGGCAAATGTAACACACTATTTTCCCCAAAAAAAACATGAAGTAGAAAATGAAAATCGCCCTTAATCTCAACACCCAAAGGTGACGCCAGTTGAGAACTGGAGAACCAGCAGCTGACCTGGTTGTCACAGCTGGGGCTTGATGTCCCATTGAGCACAATCAGCGTCTCAGAGCACCAGCACCAGCCAAGGCCACTGTGACTGTGAAGATCGAAACAAAAACAAGAGCACAGTCCAAACCACAAAAATAACCCACCATCCCCCTATCCTGGCTAATGGGTGACTATTTTCTTTGTTTTTGTGTGTGGTTGTTGTTTCTACCAATTTATAGCCTCAGTCAATTCATCTCCATAAGAACTATTAGACACTCATCTCATCCAATCCAGAGCAAAGATCTGCTTCCTTGCACCATCCCCAAGCTTCCAGCTACCTACCCCAGGCCCACATCTTATTATGAGTCCTTTCCTGCTCCTCTTACTGGGACACCCCACGGTTCCCATGGTGTGCGTGCTTCCAAACTGCAATAAGCTGGTAAACCCAACTCCACGTGTGGTCCTGGTGGTCTCTGGCTGGGGCGCATTGACACCACAGAATTTGGAAAATACCCCTCTAGACATTATTTTTTCTATGAACATAGATATATTTTTATTTTAAAAATGAGAGAGGACTGCAATTCTTTTTTTTTTTTTTTTTTCTTTTTTGAGCCAGGATCTCACTCTGTCACCCAGGCTGGAGTGCAGTGGTGTGATTATAGCTTACTGCAGCCTCTAACTCCTAGGCTCAAGTGATCCTCCTGCCTCAGCCTCCCAAGTAGCTGGGACTACAGGTATGCACAACCACGCCCAGCTAATTTTTAAAGTTTTTATAGAGATGGGGTCTCCCTATGTTGCCCAGGCTGCTCTCAAACTCCTGGCATCTAGCAATCCTCCCACTTCAGCCCCTCAAAGCACTGGGATTACAGGAGTGAGTCACCACGCCCAGCCAAGAGAGGACTATAATTCTATTTTGCACTTTAAAAAAATGAGCAATCTCTTAGGAATATTATTTGAAAGAGCTGTTGTTGTACAGATGTTGTAGGCTCACTAATACCACTTTCTAAGTGTGTGATGATATGTTTCTTTAAGGCTTTTGAGAGCAGGATCTAACGCTTTTTTTTTTTTTTTTTGAGACAGAGTCTCACTCTGTCGCCCAGGCTGGAGTGCAGTGGCACGATCTCGGCTCACTGCAACCTCCGCCTTCCAGGTTCAAGCGATTCTCCTGCCTCAGCTTCCCAAGTAGTTGGGACTACAGGTGCGCACCACCACGTCCAGCTAATTTTTGTATTTTTAGTAGAGACGGGGTTTCGCCATGTTGGCCTGGCTGGTCTCGAACTCCTGAACTCAGGTGATCCACTTGCCCTGGTCTCCCAAGGTGCTGGGATTACCAGTGTGAGCCATTGCACCCAGCCCTAATGCTTTTTTGATATCAGCCATGGACTGCTGGCTTTCTTTGGCAAATTCTGAGAAGGATCACCTCTTTACCAGGCTTTGGGTGTGGAGAAGCCACAGGTGAGGGCGGAGATACTGCAACCATTCCCCATGGGGCAGGACACAGGGCCTCTCAGGTGTGGCAGGATAAGTGGCCACACATGCAGAGCCAAGCTTCAGAGCTGGCTTTGAAAGGAGGTTCTCACTCCCCAGCCCCAAAGGTGGCTCCCCCAAAGATCAGGCATGTGGAACGCATTTCACTCTCAGCTTTCAGAATACCCACTGCATTAGAGGGGATTCATTTGGGCTAATAAGGCTTGGAAGCCATTTGGCAGATTTATGTTTCAGAGAGAGGTTCTCCAGGGCAGTGGAGCCAACAAAATTCGGAAACAGCAAGGTCAGTTCAGCTCTGTTAACTAATTCAACACAAGTCCGTTAAATCAATGCCAGGCAATGGGCCTTGTTCTAGCTGAGTGCTCCTCAACCTCTGCTTTGTACCCAAATCACCTGGAATCTGCTTACGACAGACAGATTCCCTAAGTCTGGGTCGGGTCTGAGATTCCGCATTTCCAACAAGTCCATGAGTGCTGCTGATGCTGCCAGGGAGTCACCAGGCCCTTGCTGTCCTGCCAGCATTTGCTACCCCCCTAAGTCTCCTGCAAAACCCCCCTCACTGCCTGCCAACAGGAGCAGAGAGTGTATTGAGGATCACATGACATATTGAGACCTCTCTTCCCACAGTGGAGAAGTCTTCCAGTCCGTGCATGGATGATGCCACCACTGGCTAAATGTCCTCTTCTCCAGCAGTTGAAACAGTAGCTTTGGCTGGGCACAGCAGCTCACGCCTGTAATACCAGCACTTTGGGAGGCTGAGGCAGGAGGATTGCTTGAGACCAGGAGTTTGAGACAAGCCTGGCAACATGGCAAAACCCCGTCTCTACAAAGAATACAAAAAGTAGCTGGGCATGGTGGCACACACCTGTAGTCCCAGCTACGTGGGAGGCTGAGGTGGGAGGATCACCTGAGCCCAGGAAGTGGAGGTTGCAATGAACTGAGATCTCGCCACTGCACTCCAGCCTGGGTGACAGAACACCCTGTCTAAAAACAAACAAACAAACAAAACAAAATGAACCCCAGCAGCTTCGACATCCCTCCCTCATGTGCAGCTGTACCTGGGTGATATGAGACGACACAGACAGGGAGGGATCCCACCTTCCTGCTGGAGAGTTGCCTGGGACTGTTAACAGACCTGCTCCTAAGGAGCCCTGTTCAAGGACCAAAAGACCTAGAGGCCCTGGAGCTCCAGACTAGTACCCTCTGCCCATCTCTAGGATTATCTCCTTATAAAAGTTCATTATTCCAAATTGAGAGATCAAAACACAAGTAGGTTCAAAAGAGTTTAGCTTCACGCCACTGCACTCCAGCCTGGGCAACAGAGCAAGACTCTGTCTCAAAAAAAAAAAAAAAAAAGAGTTTAGCTAACTTCCTGATGGACATATTCAGAAAACGCCACTAAGACGGGAAATCCAGCTGGCTGGAGAGTAAGAACTCCTCCTCAGGCAGGCCTTTCTGTCCTCCTCCATCCACTGCTGGACCCTGATCCAGTCCACTGGGGCATTTCTTATGCTCCCTGGTACCCGCTACTGTCTGTGCCACCTCGGCCATCACCTTGGGTCCCTGTTCAGCCCCCTCACCCCCTCCTAACAAGGGGTGCAGTTGCAGAGGGGCCTCTGAACAATATCAAATGAATAATGCCTATGTCTGTAGTGACTAAATTCTACAGTCCGGAGCTGCCATTTTTCTTGTTCTAGAGCTGTGCATCCAATATGGTAGTCACCAGACACATATGGATATTTAAATTTACAATTATAATTAAATAAATTTTAAAATTCAACTTCTTGGTAGCACAAGCCACATTCTAAGTGCACAAGGGCCACATTTGACTAGTGGCTACAGTATTGGGTGGTGTAGATGTACAATGTTTCCATCCTTGCAGAAAATTCTACTGGACAGTGCAATCTAGATGTTTCTCCCCAAAACCCACTAAGGTCATAGAATGCCTTTGGGTGTTTTAGGAAAAGGCCCCTCTTCCTCAAGACATCTTACTGACCCCTACAGGAAAAACATAGAAATAAATATACAAATCTACAACCACTGATAAATAGCACCCGAGAGCTGTGCAGCGCACAACCTGCACCTTCATCTGCAACAGCCCTGATGAAAGTCCTTCACTGGTCCTTTGAGTTTCACTTATCTCTGTTTTCTCCATTTTCAAAGGCCCCTGCTATGAACTGGATGTTTGTGTTGCTCCAAAATCCATGTGCTGAAGCCCTTTCCCCAGTGTGATGTATTTGGAGGTTGGGCCTTTGGGAGACCCATTAGGTTTAGATGACGTCAATACGGTAGAACCCCCATGGTGGGATAAGCGCCCTTATAAGAAGATGAGGAGACCAGAGCTTTCTCGCCACATGCACACACCAAGGAGAGGCCATGTAAGGACATGACCTGGAAGAGGCCCTTACCAAGAACCCGACCATGCTGGCACCTTGATCTCAGACTTCCAGCCTCCAGAACTGTAAGGAATAAGTGTCTGTCTGTGGGTTTTTTTTTTTTTTTTTTTTTGGATGAAGTCTTGCTCTGTCGTCCAGGCTGGAATGCAGTGTCATGATCCGGGTTCAAGCGATTCTCCTGTCTCAGCCTCCTAAGTAGCTGGGATTACAGGCACCCCCCAACGATGCCCAGCTAATATTTGTATTTGTAGTAGAGATGTGGTTTCACCTTGTTGGCCAGGCTCATCTCTAACTCCTGACCTCAAGTGATCCGCCTGCCTCGGCCTCCCAAAGTTCTGGGATTACAGGCGTAAGCCACCGCACCCGGCTGTCTGTGGTATTTTTGTGAGAGCAGACTGAGCTGAGTGAGACAGCCTCTTATCTTCTTTTTCCTGGGGGGGGGGGGGGGGGGGGCGGGATTTTGCAGTTGTTCCTTGTATTAGTTTCCTGTGGCCTTTGAAACAAATGACCACAAACTGGGTGGCTTAAAACAATAGAAGTGTATTCTCACAATTTTGGAGGCAGGAGTCTAAAGTCAAGGTGGCCTGCAATCTCTCCAAAGCCTCCCTTCCTTACCTCTTCCAGCTCCTGGTGGTTCTAGGCCTTCCTTGTCTTGAGGCTGCATAACTCCAATCTCTGTCTCTGTCTTCAGCAGGCCTTCTCCTCCTATATCACCTCATCCAGCCAATATATGTGCATTATCAAGTAAATGAAGACATGATTGAAGTTAAAGGTTAGAAGAAACAGAGCTGTCTCTCTTCCCTCCCAGCTCTCCTTCCTCAAGCCTTCCCAAACCCTACCCCCAACTCACTAATTCTCTCCCCACCCCACACAGAATTGAAAGTTTCTTGGCATTTTACTGCTGTAAGGCGATGATGAGGGGGAAACACAGTGACCCAATATGATGGGAGTGTCAGAAAGTATGAGAAATAGCCAAGGCCAAAAGGGGAAGATAAGGAAGGCTTGACTCCCTCTGTGTGGAGAGATCTGAGGAGGACTAAAGGGCAGGGCCAACACCTGGAATCCCTTGTAGGGTGGGAGGTTCTTCATGAGAGCCAATATCCCTAAGTTTCACCAAACTCAATTAAACACACAGGTCAGATTTATGAGGCTGGTCACCAGGGAGTGTGGTTTTCAGTCTGTCAGAATTACCAAATGAGACATCCAAGGACAGGAACCGGCAACGGTTCCCAACATGCTCAGGCCACTATGGCCTGGCCCACACCGCATGCACTCAATTCTGTGGGAGGAAGCTTGAGGGCCTGGGAGCTGGAGTTCCTGGCGTGGACACAGAGAAGTACAGCTGTTTCCTTTCAGCTTTATTTTCTAGTGGAAATTTCACAAGCCAAGTTTTGGAGGTGGGGAGAGGTGGGGAAAGATGGGAATCTGACAATGTAGAATAACAGAGTTGACAGTGGATGTTTCCTCCTGAGCTAAACCAGAATTTTCCTGGGCAGCAAAGAATAATAGAATGGGCCCAGGTTTTAGAGCCCAAGTGGTCTAGGTGGGATCTTTGACCCCGCCACTTGCTAACGGTGTGCCCTAAGGGTAGTTCCATAACCTCTCTGAGCTTCGATTTTGTCTTCTGTGCAAAATAGGGCTGAAGCACCTCACAAGATTATCACAGAGATACTCTGCTACTGGACTGTCTTCCTTCCCTTCTCAGCTCTCTAATGAACGCTCTGGCCCACATTTTGGGTTGAGGCCTCCCAGGCAGGCCCACCCGCTTTGTTCCTGCCCTCTTCCCTCCCTGTTCACCTAGAAGGGACCCAAGAGCAGCTCCCAGGAAGGCCTGCCCCATCAGAGCTGGCTAGCAAGGGGCCTGCGGGGTTGCTGAGAAGACACCACTGCATTCTCACCCAGTGACCTTTCCCCAGGGCTCCTAGGGAGTGGGTGCTCACATCTCCCCTTCCCAGGGTACCTTTGGGTGGTGCACAAATAACCAGTTACTCAGCTCATGTCCCTGAATTGGCAGGACAGCCTTGTAGGCCCCAGGGACATTCAGTGACCTCAGTCTCAGAGAATGTGGGGGAATTCCATGAGAGGCAGGACTGCACAGCCCAGCCTGAAGGGAAGGTCAGGGCAGGCTGGGGAGTTGACAGAGCCAGCTGAGGTGTGGGGTGGTGTACTGTACCCCTGGGTGTCAGGGTGGCCCCCACAAGCCCAGGGAAGACAGCCAGCTGCGTGGTCTGCAGGCCAGGCGCACTTGCGGATGTTGCCACACTGAGCCTGCCTCTCCCGCACTGGGGACTGCCCCCAGAAGCCTGAATTGTTTTCAAGGCTTCCTACTGCAGCTGCTGGGCCCCGCCTGTTTCCTCCCGGGAGACATTGCTCAAAGAGAGGCCCAGGGCCTTTTCCCAGCCCCGGGGGGCCGCCCTGGAGCCAGGCCTCAGAGGTCTCAGCTCTGGAGTCCCTGCCAGCTGCTTCTCCAGAATTTGCTTCTCTGCCTTCTCCTACTGGGGTGGAGATGAAGAGTATCTAGGATGGCCAGTTGGAGCAGATAACAATACAGGATGACCAGTTAAATGTGAATTTCAAGTAAACCGTAAACAATTCTTTATGATCAGTATGTCCCATGCAATATTCGAGACATACGAAAAAGTATTTGTTGTTTATCTAGAATTCAAATTTAATAGGCCACCTGGCAATCCTGGCCTCACCTCATTTTTTAAATTCTAAGAATATCCCTCTTCTCAGCTTCTTATCTGTGGGGAGACACTTAGAAATAAGGGCAACTGGGCGTGGTGGCTCATGCCTGCAAGCCCAGCACTTCAGGAGGCCAACATGGGAAATCGCTTTTGCCCAGCAGTTCAAGACCAGCCTGGGCAACATACCAAGACCTTGCCTCTACTTTAAAAAATTTTTATTTTAATTAAAATTGTAAAAGAAATAAGAGTACACATAAGGCATTAGTGTTTTCCATGTGATTACAAGTATTAATCTGGTTTTAAAACTCTGGGACACTGTTGATCTTTGCAAACATTTCCTTTCTTTCTTTCTTTTTCTTTTTTTTTTAAGACAGAGTCTCACTCTGTTGCCCAGGCTGGAGTACAGTGGCACAATCTCAGTTCACTGCAACCTCCACCTTCCAGGTTCAAGCGATTCCCCTGCCGCAGCCTCCCGAGTAGCTGGGATTAGTCACCCACCACCACGCCCAGCTAATTTTTTTATTTTTAGTAGAGACAGGGTTTCACCATGTTGGCCAGGCTGGTCTCAAACTCCTGGCCTCAAGTGATCCGCCTGCCTCAGCCTCCCAAAGTGTTGGGATTACAGGCATGAGCCACCTCACCCAGCCGCAAACATTTCTTAAACTAAACTTTGTATTAACTACATATTACATAGTTCCTTATTGTAATAAAATCTCCAGTGGCTAATTTGTTTTCTGTGCTTTTCTTTCTGTATTTTGTTACCCATATGTGTTTTGGAAATGTCCTGCTAGCGTATGGGAGACTACTCTATTCTTATCTAATTATCAATGCTGTTGAAGGAAAATATCCTTTTACCTTTCTCTCCTGTTCCTTTTAAGAAAAACCCAAGCACGAGCCTGTACTCTGTTTCCCCTGGAAAAGGAAGCTGCTAGGTGGGTCCCAGTGTTTTTGGGAGGGTGGCTCCTGGTGAGTGACAGACACCCCTGGTGTACGCAGAGTCTTAAATGTCTGCTCTGGACTTTGAGTATGTGAGGCCAGAGGCCCAATTCTACAGGCTGGGCCGGAGGAGGGCGTTTTTGGATGTTTTTAGGGCTGTGAGAATGTGTTCCCTTTATTTGTGCCTCCTTCTGCTTCTTTTCCCATCTTTTCTCCAAAGGAATAGAAATATCAATGTTCTAAAGTCCAGAGTCACAGGATGAGGGTGTTGGGGGTAGAGCTCCTCCAGGGCCTGCACAAAGGTCCCAGGTCTCTGCCTCTGAGCATGTGGTGGGGACCTGAGTCACCTTGCAAATGCACCCCAGCTTGGAGAGCCTGCCCCGGCAGCTGCCCGACCCCTCCCAGGCCCAGCTGCTCCTCTAGGTCACTCAGGAAGAAGCCTTGGGAACATCCTGGCCTGCCTGTGGCAGCACCCTGGCAGGGTACCAGCTTGGGGCCCTTCCTACCCTTGCGGGGAGCCAGCATTGGAACCACCCCGCTGAGTCTGGAAATCCTCAGTTTTCTGACGCAGTTCCTCCTCAGCCACGAACGCAGGCAGAGCCTCCCCGGGGGGGGGCCCTGCAGCTCACCAGCTGCCGGTCTCTCCCCCAACCTCCCACGTCTCTTCCCACACCTGCCTTCCAGTATTCTCCAGCACTTTGTCAGGATGCCTTAATGAGGCTAGGTTGCAGCAGGCCAGCAGCATACTCACCTGGCTCAGGGAGTGTGACACAGCGTACGTGCTACCAAGAGCAGCTCCACTGAACTCCCATGTTGACAGCAGGGCCCTGCCTTCCCCGAACATGGGCTGGCAAGTTTCCTCCATCTCTCACCTTCTAAATCTACTAGGAAGCCCTGTGGTAAAGCTCTCAGTCTCAGGCTGAGATTGCTGGGTTCAAATCCTACCTCTCCTACCTCTCCTACTTACTAGGTGGAGTGACCTAACCTCTCTGGGCCTTAGTGTTCTCATCTGTGAAAGGGGGATAATAACCATCCTGTATCACAGGCTATTGTTGAGAATTAAATGAGGCAACACATTGAAAGAGCTTAGAAAAATGCCTGGTACATAGTAAGTGCTTATTAGATGTCAGCTGTCATCTAGATTTGCCAGGTGTCCTCTATGGTCATCAACATTTAGTCCCTGCAGTGGGCAGCACTCAGTACAAGGCACTAAATTGCAGACATAAGAAATACAAGCTGTCGCCCTCAGCTGCTGCTTTTAGGTACCCTTGGAGAAAACCTAAAAGCACCTGCATAGTAGATTTCTCTTCTCTCTCTTTCTTTTTTCTTTCTTTCCTTCTTTCTTTCTTCTTTTTTTTCTTTTTTGAGACAGAGTTTTCCTCTGTCGCCCAGGCTGGAGTGCAGTTGCACGATCTCAGCTCACTGCAACCTTCACTTCCCAGGTTCAAGCAATTCTCCTGCCTCAGCCTCCTGAGTAGCTGGGATTACAGGCGCATACCACCACACCTGGCTAATTTTTGTATTTTTAGTAGAGACGGGGTTTCAACATATTGGCCAGGCTGGTCTCAAACTCCTGACCTCGGGATCTGCCCGCCTCGGCCTCCCAAGGTGCTGGGATTACAGGCGTGCACCACCGTGCCCAGCCTCTCTCTCTCTCTCTCTCTCTCTCTCTTCCTTCCTTCTTCCTTTCTCTCTTTTTTTCTTTTCTCTTTTTCTTTTTCTTTCTTTATTTCCTCTTTCTTTCCTTTCTCTATTTCTCTTTCTTTCCTTTCTCTCTCTTTCTTTGAGAGGCTCTCACTCTGTTGCTAAGGCTGGATTGCAGTGGTGTGATCTTGGCTCATTGCAGCCTCAATCTCCTAGGCTCAAGTGATCCTCCCACCTCAGCCTCCCAAGTAGTTGGGAAGAGAGGCGTGTGCTACCATACCCAGGTAAAGCATAGTGGATTTCTGTTTTGCTTTATGGCCACATTTGCATGAATCCTTTGAATGTTCCTCCTGCACTTGGAGAAAATCTCACAATAAATGTCCCTGCCTCCCCAGGGTAGAAGCCAGAAACTCGAATTCTCAGCATCCCTTATGGTAGGGAATGGGCCATGGCCAGGCTCCACATCAGAGGGACTTGGGTGAGAGCCTGTGGAAGCAGGAGACCTCAGGTGCCTCAAGGGCGGGTGCTCCCCTCCGTGCTTTCGTACACTTTTCTATAGAAGTCATTGCAGATTGAATTGTGTCCACCCCCAAAAAAAGATGTGTTGGAGTCCTAACCCTCAGGATCAGAATGTGACCTCTTTTGGAAATAGGGTCTTTGCCAATGATCAAGTTAAGATGAGGTCATGAGGGTGGACCCTAATCCAATGAGTCCTTATAAAAAGGGGAAATTGAACACAGAGGCAAACCTCACACAGGGAGAACCCCATGTAAAGATGAAGTCAGCATCAGCGTGATGTTTCTACAACACACAAATGCCAAAGATGGCGGCAAACCACCAGAAGAGAGAGGCAGGGAGCAGGTCCTCTATTACAGCCCTCAAGAGGAACCAGCCCTGCTGACACCTTGACCTTGGACTTCCAGCCTCCAGAACTGTGAGAGGATACATTGCTGTTGTTCAAGCCACCCAGATTGTGGTATTTTGTTACAGCCACCTTAGCAAACTATATGGAGGGGAAGCTCCTATGTGTTGTGTCAAATGTAAGCTCCTAAGAGCAGGAAATTGTGTCTGTTTTATTTATTGGTGCATGAATGGTGCCCAAGAAATGTGTGTTCAATAAATGAATGTCTTCTCCATAATTCCCAATGCAGAACATACAGGATAGGAAAAGGCCAGTCTTTGAAAATCCCACACACTTCTTATCCATTACCCTCAGACCTCAGCTATGGTCCAGGGAGGGACTGTGCCTGCCAGTGCCCCAACAGACATCCACAGAGACCTCTGATGCAGCGGGGTCTTGGGAGTTGGGTAGGCAGTGGGGCTGGTGGGTGGACATCCAGCCTTGTGGCTTTCAGGCCTATACCAAGAGCTGAAGAGACCGTAGAGATCCTACTCCAACTCTTCCATTTAAAAACACAAAGCCCACAAGTCCCAATGAGTATTTAGGTATCTCCCTGACCCATCTCTTTCCACAGGGCACAGCCACCCAAATCAGCCTCAGGCTTGGCTGAAAGATACATCAGCACGGACCATTTCAAATCTGTTCCATGCCATTTTTAGGTCTCTCTCTCTCTCTCTCTCTCTCTCTATATATATATATATATGTGTGTGTGTGTGTGTGTATATGTGTGTATGTGTGTGTACATGTATGCATATCTATTTTATGCTTGGCAGGGTCACACTGAGGAGGTGCTTCGTGGCAGGGAGCACTTCTGAGTTCTGAAGAGAAGGAATCCTGTTGCCTGTGGTCACACAGTGGCTCTCGTGACATGCTTCCCAGCCAGAAGAAGGGTCTGCACAACGTACTTGGCTAATCTAAGTGTGGTTAGGTTGGGAATCTTCTCTCCCTTGGACTCTGAGTGTGCAAGTGTATGTGTGCACCTGTGTGTGCGGGAGGGAGAATGTGGTAGGGGAGACCTAGGAAGGCCCCTCCCAGAGGAAGAGGTGAGGCCGCCTGCCCAGGCCTCTCTCCATCTGCCTGCGCAGCCCAGATCAGAATGAGGACCGAAGCCCCCACATGGGTCCCTGGGAGTCCAAGGGCACTGCCCAGAGGGGTTCAGCCTCCAGGCCACACCCAGGCTGGTCTGGGAATGACCCTCCTTTGTGTTAAGAAACATGAGCCTCCTGGATTCCACTTGGGGCTGGTGTGTCCCTCACAGAGAGCCCTTTGTGCCTGGGAGAGGGTTGGCCCCTATTCTGGCAGCCATCCAGATACTGCCTGCCTCGAGCCACCCTGCCCTGGGGCTCCCCACCATTCCTCCTCTCCAGCTGCACCTCCCTTCCTCCCAGGGTGCAGTCTCCTGCTGAGGGCAGGGCACCCAGGGGAGCCTGAGCTGTGCCAGAAGCATGACCCTGAGAGCCCCAGGCCAGAGACTCGGATGAAGCCAAGGACTGCTGTCATGGAGAGGAGAGAGCTCTGGGGACAGCCCACATGTGGGGACAGCCCAAAAGAGTCGGGGCTTCTTGGCGGGCCCATTTCAGGGCATCAGGGATGAGAAACATCCATCAGGGCCAGGCCAGGGCTCCATGACTGCTGCTCTGAAGCAACAAAGCCCCCTACTCCACTTTCATCTTGCCAGGGCAGAGGGTGGGCTACAGCGGGATCTGGCTTGTTGCTGGGAGACACCATCACTGAAGGTCCGCGATTATCATTGCAACTGTTCATGTTCCTTTAAAAAATTAAATTAAAAAAAAAACCCAACATGAGAAATCTCATGCTTGTCAGAGTCGTCCTCCCCCGCTGTCGGCTCCCATTATGAATCCGTGGCATTTTCTGCTGAGAGTTAATTACATGTTGTGTGAAAGATACCAGGCTTCCTTTAAAAATTTTTTCTCCTGGATGGGTTTTGACCCCGTCAGCTGCCTCCCTCTGCTTCCTCCCTGTGCAGCAGGAAAGAAGGGCATGCTTGGGGGAGGCACAGGCCTGATGTCCCGGCCCTCTGCTCCTCAGAGCCCGCGTTCCTCCCGCTGATTGCTCAAGGCCTCCCTGAACCCAGGCAGTTGTCACCCAGCGCCCGGAGAGCCCGCTCCTGCCAGAGCGCGGGGATCATGACAAAGCACAAATGGAGGTGCTATTTAAGGTGCCAAGCACTTAGCCCTCCACAGGCTGTTTCCTCTCACCCTCCTCCCTCACAAAAAGGGGGGTCAGGTGGAGGGAGGGGTGCAAATGGCTTCCTGAAGCCATCCCTGTGAAGGCTCAAAAGGGAATGTGACCCCTCCAGGAGGCGAAAGGCAGAGCCTCCCAGTTGCTGGTTCTTTTTTTCTGCTTGCTCCCACACATAGACAAAAATTCTCATTCTCGAGATGGCTCATCTTTTCTCCTAAGAGGCGATGACCCGCTCCGGAAGCAAGTGTGGACTAATACCACGAGTTATTGCCTCTCTGCAGTGTTGAATTTCACCTCTTTAAGAGATGGCCAGTGGCACAGCTGTTGGGACCTCTCAGAGCACGTTACAACACCCCTTGCTCTGACAAGTCACAGCGTCTCGGAGCTGGAAGGGCCTTCTCAGCCAACCCCTGCCCTGAACTCAGGCACATCTTAAAGAATTTGTAGTTGGGCACGGTGGCTCACGCCTCTAATCCCAGCACTTTGGGAGGCCAAGGTGGATGGATCACCTGAGGTCAGGCGTTCGAGACCAGCCTGGCCAACATGGTGAAACCCCATCTTTACTAAATATACAAAAAATTAGCCAGGCGTGGTGGTGGGCACCTGTAATCCCAGCTACTCGGGAGGTTGAGGCAGGAGAATTGCTTGAACCCAGGAGACAGAGGTTGCAGTGAGCCGAGATCATGCCCTTGTACTCTAGCCTGGACAACAAAAGTGAAACTCTGTCTTTTAAAAAAAAAAAAAAAAAAAGCAGAGAATTTTCTACTGTCCCCAGATATTAGTCTTGTACACCAATCAATAAAGGAAAACTCAAGATTGTGAGTTAAAAATAATCATGTCTATAATGACAACTCTCAACTAACTACATACAGAATACTTACTTTTTAATGGGGGCAAAGTACTTTTCTTCATTCTAAACTTGATAGTGTTGAGTATGGGGATGTCAACTCATTTTAATTGTTAGGACAAATTAAGAAGAGCACTCTGCTGCCACTAGATTCCAAAATAAAATATAATTATGAATTTTATATTATTTTGAATAACTTGCTTTGCAGCTTCCCATCATAGGTACAACCAAGAATTGACTTTATAAAAAGAATAACAGCTCTCTTTATTTGGTTTTATTCTTCAAAGCAGTGTTAGGTCAGTCATAGTGGCTCATGCCTGTAATCCCAGCACTTTGGGAGGCCAAGGCGGGAGGATCACTTGAGGTTAGGAGTTCAAGACCACCCTGGCCAACATGTCGAAACCCCGTCTCTACTAAAAATACAAAAATTATCCAGATGTGGTGGCGCGTGAACCTCCTCCTCCTGGGGGGTTGCAGTGAGCCAAGATCACACCACTGCACTCCAGCTTGGGTGATGGAGCGATACTCTGTCAAAAAAAAAAAAAAAAAAAAAAGCACAGTGTTGAGTACTGAAAGGGCTGAGGAGGCACATTCGGCTAGTGTGACAAACCACTGGATTACTGAAGAGTGGGTCGTCCACAGCCTCTAAATCCCAGGGGTTTCAAATGCAGTGTGTAAAACCTGTTAAATTGAAAAATCCTGTGCCCTGTGCCCAGAGATTCTGATTTAGTAGGTCTAGGGTGGCACCTTGCATTCTGCATTTTTTAGCAAGCATCATGGCTCATTCTGATGCAAGCAGCCATCCTTCCAAGTGGAGAGACTCCACAGGGGTGATGGCTGTGGCTTATAGGCAAGGGAATCAGCTGGACCCCAGCAACTGCTGCTCTCTTCCCAGCCACAACTTTCCTGGAATGCACATTTCAGGAAATTACTTGTATATGTATTTTTTAAAAATTGTTTTTTCCCCTTGGTTATAAAGCTAATGTAAGGCTGGGTGCAGTGGCTCATGCCTGTAATCCCAGCACTTTGGGAGGCCGAGGCGGATGGATCACCTGAGGTTGGGAGTTGGAGACCAGCCTCACCAACATGGAGAAACTCTGTCTCTACTAAAAATACAAAATTAGCTGGGTGTTGTGGCACATGCCTGTAATCCCAGCTACTCAGGAGGCTGAGGCAGGAGAATCGCTTGAACCCAGGAGGCAGAGGTTGCAGTGAACTGAGATCATGCCACTGCACTCCAGCCTGGGCGACAAGAGTGAAACTCCATCTAAAAAACAAAAAAAACAGAAACAAAAACAAAAAAAGTGCCAAGTGAAAGTGAAGACACAGCCACGTGGAGAGAAAGCCATGTGCAGAGGGTGCCGTGATGCAGCTGGAAACCAAGGAACGCCAATGATTGCCCTCCAGGAACAGGTGAGGAAAGCAGAAGGAGCCCTGCTGCCACCTGGACTTCAGATCTCTAGCCTCCAGAACCGTGAGAGAATGAATTGCTGTTATTTTGTCCGGTGCTTTGTTGTGCAATCCTAGGAAACTAATCTACTATATGTTCCCTGGTGTGGTGTCAGCTGAGCCCGAAAACCTAAGGTACAAAGGACAGTTCTTGCTCCCTCTCAGAAAGGCATCCAGTCCAGCCTGCTAATCTGTTTTCCCTGGGAACATTTCTTGCTTCTGGTCACAGGAGCAAGAGCCCAGTAAGGGTCCATCAGAGGCCTGTCATCCATTAGGGCAGGGTCTGGTTTAATGCTTTCTTCAGGGCCACATCTCACGTGGTAAGAGGAACACACAAAAAATCAACGTAGTGTTTTTCTTCAAACTCTTGGATTTTGGCCAGCTGCAGTGGCTCACACCTGTAATCACAGCAGTTTGGGAGGCTGAGGCAGGCAGATTACTTGAGGCCAGGAGTCCAAGACCAACATGTTGAAACCCCATCTCTACTAAAAATACAAAAATTAGCTGAGCATGGTGGCACATGCCTGTAATCCCAGCTACTCAGAAGGCTGGGGCATAAGAATCACTTGAACCCGGGCGGCAGAAGTTTCAGTTGCAGTGAAAGGGCAAGACTCTGTCTCCAAAAAAAAAAGCTCTTAGATTTAACAAAATGGAATAAGTATTTATTAGGCTCTTTCAACACCTCCTGGATTAAAGCCTCATTCAGCAGCTCACACTTTGTCACTGATCAGGCCTCAGACGGATTCACTACCAGGGCCTCTCAGGCCCTAAGCCCCTGACTGTCAGGCTGGGAGGTTGAGCTACTGTTACATTCCTGACTACTCCTAGATCCGTCTTTTCTCTCGTGGCTTCTGAAAAGTTGCCCTCTCAGGTTGATCGTCTTGATCTTGGACAGAACTGGGACCTAAAGAACCCCATGTGCGTATTATACACTTAAGGAAGTTGTTACCTCAAGAGTTAAAAGTCTAACACATTTTCAGCCATCCTTTACCAAGTGCTCACTGGGTGCCACTTACTTCCTCATGTTCTCACAAAAGCCCTACAAGGTAGGCTGTGATATAATAAGAAACATATATTTGGTCTCTTCCCCCAATTCCTGGCCCCGAGCTCCTAAAACCTTTGCAATTTCCTGAACAATAGAGGTTCTAGGTGCATCTTGGGTTCTAATATTTTATCTTTGGCACAGGTTTCTGACACAGAGCTCCCAATCCCCTTGGCACTTCCTGGGTGACAGGAGCATCTTTTGTTCTAAGGAGATGACTCTCAGTGGACTCCTGGATGGGGGCTGGTCGCCAGAAAGACCAAGCCATGGTTAGAATCCTGGATCTTTCAGCCCTACTCCTCATTCCCTGAAGATGGGAGAAGGGCTGGAAATGGAGTTAATAATCGATCATGTCTATGTGATGAAGCTTCCATCAAAACCCCTGAACTATGGGAGTGTGGAGAGCTTGTGCACTGCTGAGTACATGGAGGGTGGTGTCCCTGAGAGGACAAGGATGCTGTGTCCCTTCCCCCATTCCTTGCCCTCTGCATCTCTCCCATCTGGCGTTTCCTCTGTATCGTTTGTAATATTGTTATAATAAACTGGTAAATGTACCTAAAGTGCTTTCGTGAATTCTGTGAGCCACTCTAGCAAATGATCAAACCTGAAAAAGGGGTTATGAGAACCTCCGATTTATAGCAAACAGATCAGAAGATCCAGAAGCCCAGATTTGTGCCTGGCATCTGAAGTGGGGGGCTGAGCCTGAAACCCATGGGATCTGACTTTAACTCCAGGTAAATGGTGTCAGAATTTAATTAAACTCTATACACCCAGCTGGTGTTGGAGAATTAGTTCTTGGGGGAAAACTTCTACCCCCGACATTTGATCACCGAAGTATCCTGTTGGGTGTAAACAGAGAGAAAAGAAGTCTATTTTTTCCTTTACATAAGTACAACAATCTCTGTTTTACAATTTAAAAAACTGAGGACCAGAAATACCAGCAGGCAGCCCAAGGTAGCAGAGCTTGTACATGGCAGAGCCAGAAGCAGAGTCAAGTCTTTTTAACACTGAGTGTCTGGCTGTCTGTTCTGTTAGGTAGTCAAGAATGGCTTAGAGGATCAGTGGAAGGCAGCTTGTCAGTAGAGTGATAAATGCTAACAAGGGATGCCAGATGTTTTGAGAATTTATGCCAAACCTTTTGAGGCAGATGTTCCCAGTTCCACTCAGTTTCATCTCCACCTTTTCTGGCATCTGGAGTAATAAGGAATTTTGTCATCATATGGCCCCTGAAAATAAGCTAATCCCTGCTAACTCACCTCTTGATTTTTATATCTCAATTTCAATAAGTCTATGCCCAAAAAGTTGCAAGGAAAGTGAGCCCTCTAAACATATACAAAAAATCTTTCTTTTTTTTTTTTTTTTTTTTTTGAGATGGAGTCTCACTCTGTTGCCCAGGCTGGAGTGCAGTGGCACAGCCTTGGCTCACTGCAACCTCCACCTCCCAGGTTCAAGTGATTCTCCTGCCTCGGCCTCCCGAGTAGCTGGGATTACAGGCACGCACCACCACACCCAACTAATTTTTGTATTTTTAGTAGAGACGGGGTTTCACCATATTGGTCAGGCTGGTCTGGAACTCCTGACCTCGTGATTCGCCCGCCTCAGCCTCCCAAAGTGCTGGGATTACAGGCATGAGCCACCGCGCCCGGCCAATTAAATTTCTAACACATGAACTTTGGAGGTCACATCCAAACCACAGCAAATTGCTCTTTGGAAAAAGTTTTGTGAAGAGAAGCAGCCTCTAATTTATTTTTAAATATGACATGCTAGCTTTAGTGAGGTTCGCTTGTGTTCCTGAGTGTGGGTTTACGCACAACAGGTTAGCTTTAGTGAGGTACACTTATATCCCTTTGACCCTCAGCCCTGGTTCCAATTGCTAGGTTAGGAGCTAAGGCTCTTTCTGCTGAACAGTTGCTGTGGGTCAAGCAGGATGATGTTGCCAGGCCAAAAAGCCTGGGCTAAACTCTCAGGCAAAGAGCAGGCAGGCAGAAATCCTCAACAAAATACTAGCAAACTGAATTCAACAACACATCAAAAAGATCATTCATCATGACCAAGTGGAATTTATCTCAGGGATGCAAGGATGGTTCAACATATGCAAATCAATCAGTGTGATGCATCATATCAACAGAATGAAGGACAAAAGCCATATGACCATTTCAACTGATACTGAAAAAGCATTTGATAATATTCAACATCCTTTCATGATTAAAAAAAAAAGAATCCTAAAAAAACTGGGCATAGAAGGAACATACCTCAACACAATAAAAGCCATATATGACAGACCCACAGCTAGTATCACACTGAATGAGAGAAATCTGAAAGCCTTTCTTCTGAGATCTGGAACACAACAAGAATGCCCACTTTCACCACTGTGATTCAACATAGTACTGGAAGTCCTAGCTAGAGCAACCAGACAAGAGAAAGAAATAAAGGACATCAAGTTGGAAAGGAAGAAGTCAAATTATCCTTGTTTGCAGATGAAATGATGTTATATTTGGAAAAACTCAAAGAATCCAGCAAAAAACTATTTGAACTGATAAATTCAGTAAAGTTTTAGGATACAAAATTCAACATACAAAGATCAGTAACATTTATATATACCAACAGTGAACAATCTGAAAAAGAAATCAAGAAAGTGATCCCATTTACAATAGCTGCAAATAAAATAATATACCCAGAATTAAACTTAACCAAAGAAGTGAAAGATCTCTACACTGAAAGCTATAAAGCACTGATGCAAGAAATTGGAGAGGACAGACCAGGCACAGTGGCTCAAGTCTGTAATCCCAGCACTTTGGGAGGCCGAGGTGGGCAGATCACCTGAGGTCAGGAGTTTGAGATCAGCCAGGGCAACATGGTGAAACCCTGTCTCTACTAAAAATACAAAATTAGCTGGGCGTGGTGGCACATGCCTGTAATCTCAGCTAATCGGGAGGCTGAGGTAGGAGAATTGCTTGAACCTGGGAGGCAGAGGATGTAGTGAGCTGAGATCACACCACTACACTCCAGCCTCAGCAACAAGAGTATATCTCCAGCTCACCAAAAAAAAAAAAAAAAAAAAAAGAAAAGAAATTGGAGAGGACACCAAAAAATGGAAAGTTATTCCATGTTCATGGATTGGAATAATCAATATTGTTAAAATGTCCATACTATCCAAAGCAATCTACAGATCCAATGCAATCCCTATCAAAATACCAATGATGGCCAGGCGCAGTGGCTCACAACTGTAATCCCAGCACTTTGGGAGTCTAAGGCGGGTGGATCACTTGAGCCAATGAATTCGAGATCAGCCTGGGCAACATGGCACAACTCCATCTCTACAAGAAATACCAAAATTAGTCAGGCATGTAGCACACACCTGTAGTGCCAGGTATTTGGGAGGCTGAGATGGGAGGATCACTTGAGCCTGGGAGATGGAGGTTGCATTGAGCCAAGATCATGCTGCTGCACTCCAGCTTGAGTGACAGAGCAAGACCTCTGTCTCAAAACAAAACAAAACCACAAGAAAAAAATCAGTGACATTCTTCACAGAAACAGAAAAAATAATCCTAAAATTTATATGGAACCACAAAAGACCCAGAAGAGCTAAAGCCATCACAAGCAAAAAGAATAAAACTGGAGGAATCACATTACTTGACTTCAAATTATACTACAGAGCTATAGTAACCAAAATAGGCACAGAACTGGCATAAAAATAAACACATAGACCAATGGAACAGAATAGAGAATCCAGAAACAAATCCATACACCTACGGTGAACTCATTTTTTATAAAAGTGCCAAGAACATACATTGGGGGAAAGGACAGTCTCTTCAATAAGCGGTGCTGGGAAACCAATATCCACATGCAGAAGAATGAAACTGACCCCTACCTCACCATATATAAAAATCAAATCAAAATGGATTAAATACTTAAATCTAAGACCTCAAACTATGAAACTACTAAAGGAAAACACTGGGGCAACTCTCCAGGACATTGGTCTGGGCAAAGATTTCCTGAGCAAATACCCCAAAAGCACAGGCAAACAAAGGGAAAATGGATAAAAGAGATCACATCAAGTTAAAAAACCTTCTGCACAGCAAACAAAATAATCAACAAAGTGAAGAGACAACCCACAAAGTGGAAGAAAATATTTGCAAACTACTCATCTGACAAGAAATTAATAATCAAAATATATAAGTAGCTCAAACAACTCAACAGGAAAAAAATCTAATAATCCAAATTTTAAAATGGGGAAAATATCTGAATAGAAGTTTCTGAAGAGAGGACATACAAATGGCAAACAGACATATAAAAAGGTGCTTAACATCATTGATCATCAGAGAAATGCAAATCAAAACTACAATGAGTTGTCATATCTCAATCCAGTTAAAATGGTTTTTTTCAAAAGATGGGCAATAATTAATGCTGGCGAGGATGTGGAAAAAAGGGAACCCTCATACACTTTTGGTAAGAATGTGAACTAATATAGCTGCTATGGAGAACAGTATGGAAGTTCCTCAAAAAACTAAAAATAGAACTATTATATGATCCAGCAATTCTACTACTAGGTATGTCAAAGAGATATCTGTACTCTTATGTTTAAAATTCACAACAGCCAAGATTTGGAAGCAACCTAAGTGTCCACCAATAGATGTATGGATAAAGAAAATGTCGTACATATGGGCCAGGCACGGTGGCTCACATCTGTAATCCCAGCACTTTGGGAGGCCAAGGTGGGTGGATCACGAGGTCAGGAGTTCAAGACCAGCCTGGCCAAGATGGTGAAACCCCAACTCTACTAATAATACAAAAATTACCTGGGTGTGGTGGCACATGCCTGTAATCCCAGCTACTCAGGAGGCTGAGGCAGGAGAATCACTTGAACCCAGGGGCAGAGGTTGCAGTGAGCCAAGATTGCGTCACTGCACTCCAGCCTGGGCAACAGAGCAAGACTCTGTCTCAAAAAAAAAAAAAAAAAAAAAGATTAAAACAATTGAACTCATGGAGACAGAGAGTAGTAGAAGGATGGTTACCAGAATGGTAGGTGGGCCAGGGATGAGGGGGAGTGAGGATGGTTAATGGATATAAAAACGTAGCTACACGGAAGGAATAAAATCGAGTACTTGGTAGCACAACAGGATGACTACAGTCAATAATAATTTATCATACATGTAAAAATAACTAAAAGAAGGCCGGATGTGGTGGCTCACACCTGTAATCCCAGCACTTTGGGAGGCTGAGGCAGGCAGGCAGATCACTTGAGGCTAGGAGTTTGAGATCAGCCTGGCCAACATGTGGAAACCCCGTCTCTACTAAAAATACAAAAAATGAGAGGCCAAGGCGGGCAGATCACGAGGTCAAGAGAACACCCACATTGTGAAACCTGTGTCTACTAAAAATACAAAAAAAATAGCTGGGCGTGATGGTGCGCACCTGTAGCCCCAGCTAGTCCAGAGGCTGAGGCAGGAGAATCACCTGAACCCAGAAGGCAGAGGCTGCAGTGAGACAAGATCATGCCACTGCACTCCAGCCTAGGTGACAGAGTAAGACTCTGTCTCAAACAAAACAAAACAAGCAAACAAACAAAAACTACTAAAAGAGTATGATTGGAATATTTGTAACACAGAACAGATTAAATGCTTGAGGTGATGAATACTCCACTTACCCTGATATGATTATTATGTATTGTATGTTTATACCAAAATAGCTCATGTACCCCATAAACATACACACCTACTATGTACCCATAAATTTAAAAAAATCTAGAAAATGATCAAATCTAAAATCTAAGCTAATTTCTATTTGAACTAAGAAAAATTGTTTTCCTTAAAAAAAAAAAAAAACGCAGATAGGGTCAAAACCCAAGATGAGGCTGTCTTGGAAGCAGAGACAGCACACAGGAAGCCCCATCAGACACAAAGGAAGCCTATGAGACCAAACGTGGGGGCAGAAGACAGAAGAGCCGACAGCTCATTTGTTTCCCTGGGAGTTCCACTAACGAGTGGCAAGGATGGAGTGCTTGCCTCCCAGTGGGCTGCTGGGTGGAGAGGAAAGCCGAATAAAGCAAAGCCTCTCAAAGCAGGCAAAGCATGGTAAAGGCTGTAGTGGAAGTGCCAAGGGTCAAGTTAACTCATGAGAAAAGCTTCATAAAGGTGGCAATCCAGCTGGGCCCAAGCCAAAAGCGTAAGTAATCAGAATTAGAAACGGTGGAGGAGTCAACCCCTACTGAGACAGTTCGGGTTCTCAGCCTGAAGGAAAATGTGGAAGTTGGAGGTTGTGGAGTTTGTGGCTTAAGCCACAGCCCCCTCCTACACCTGGCCTTAGCTCCCAGGATACCTGCCCCCCACTGGGCCAGGCCACGGACTTCCCAAAGGGCAACCACATAAAGCACAGGACCTTCCACCACTCACACTTTCCAGACCTATCCCTGGCCACTATTTCTTCCCTCTGATGTCACAGGGCTCTGCATCTTGTCCCACCTCAGCAAAATTAGACCCCCTGGTTTCCCAAGAGATGTCATTTTTAACTCTTTTCTACAGGCGCCTGGAGCACAGGGCTTCCCAGAAGTCTGATTCAATGCTATTTTGAGCTGGGTTAGATTGGCAGAAATGAACCACCCACCCTTGGAAAAGTCACACTTGGGAAAAGACTGCCCCAGCAGAGGTGGACTGGGAGCTCTTTCTCAGCATGAGTTTGAATGGGGGTCATATGGAGCAAGGAGACGCTCACATAGTTTCTGCAAAGCTGTGCTGACAAATAGCTCTGGACAGATCCAGACCGGTTCTGTTCACCCAGCTGTTATGCCGCTTCTGCCTGCAAGATGAGAAAGACACCTCCCCTTCCCAGGTTGGCATCATTTATTGAACCATGGCTTTGGAAAGAACAACAAGTTCAAATCCCGGAAAGAAGCTGAGCGTGAATTCCAGCCGGAGGCCCACCAATGACAGCCCTGTCTTGCTATCCTGGGGGGCATGGCATGGGTGGGCGGGGTGCGATGGGGTGGAGGGAAGGAAATCCAAGCACCTGTGGATGCTTACTGCCTTACTCTGTCCTCCTGGCTCCACGTCACCCTTCCTTCCTGCCTGACGTGATCAGGGAAATCTGCGGGGTTAAAGAAGCTTCTAGAAGCCACTTAGTCCCCCTGCAGGTAGATGCTTTTTTTAAGGGTCTCTTGCTCACTTTGAGCATTCTAGAACCACAGATGCAGCCTCTCAGAGTGGTTACCCAGCACCAACTCAGGGGCAGACCATAGTGCCCAGCCTTGTTACAGCGAGGAAGGTGACTCTCAATGGACTGGGGCTCTTGAATTCCTTTACCCTCAGACATACATCCTTCCAACCCCATCATCCCACGATGGTGACAGGGTCTGTGGTCAAGGGAGGGGGTCAGGTTAGGTCAGTGCAGTTCTTCAAGTCGGACCCCAAGCAGGCAGCACCAGTCCCCAAGAGTAGGGCTCGGCCAGAGCTGCTCCCATCAAAGGGAACTGGGTGGGGCCCTGTTATCCAGACACAAATATCTGCTGGGCCCCTGGGACCCAGGGTGTCCAAAGGTGGTTCTTTTCCTCCCTCAGAAACTTGGCCCAGGGCCTTTCCCAGCAAGTGCCTCCCCCTCCTCCCGCCCTCGGGTTCCCTTCCCAGCCACCCACTCAGTGAGGGCTTCAGCACGTGGCTGTGTGGGGCGGCGGGTTTCCTCTCCGCCCCGGCAGCTCTGCAGAGGGTGGTTTTCGCCCTCTCTTCTCCCCCATCCCCCGTGACTTCTTGTAAAAGGCTCCGGCGTCCCCACCCACCTCCGCCCTCCCGCGGCTGCCAGACCGGTGCCCGCCCCCGCCTCCCCCGGAGGCCGCGCTCTCTCCCCGCCCCTGGCAGCGGGCTCTGCTTCGGAAACTGTTGACTCAGAGGGTGGCCGGGCGGCCAGCGTCTGATGTCAGCCTGGAGCTGGGCCAGGGAGTGCAGGGCGGGCGGCGCTGGGAGCGAGGGAGGAAGGGTGCGGGGCCGGGCCGGGCTGGGTGGGCGCCCGCGGCAGGCGTAGGGGCTGCGCTCGGCGCTCCCGGCTGCGCGCTCGGCCTCGGCGGCGGCCCGGGCGCCCGTGACTCAGGGTGCGTCACCGGAGCAGATGCCCGGGGCGGTTGGAGGCTCCCGGGCTCCCGCTGACTCATCAGAAAGGCCTGCCGCGCGGCCCGGGGGGCGGGGGAACGTGGGGGACCGCGGGGAGCTGCCGGGCAGGCGGCAGCCGAGGTCGTTTGAGGCGCGCAGAGCCGGAAAACCCCACGGAGACGGCTGGGCGGGGGCGGGGCGATCGGCACTGACCAGGTCACCTGCAGCGCGGGCTGACGGCGGGCGACTGAAGGAGGGAGCAAGTCTCCCACCCCCAGCAGCCGGCGGCCGCTTCCGAAGTCTGCCCCCTTCCACTGCGGAGCGGCGCCCCGCGGGCCCCCAGCCAGCGCGCCCGAGGCGCCCCCGCCCCGTGTCGCTCGCGCTGCGTTATTGGGAGAAGGCGGTTCCTGAGCACCAGCACGGGCCTCGGTGACACCGGAGGTCGCTGGGGTCTTCCCCTTCCCCTTAAGACTCTGGGTCTGTCTGTGGGAAGAGCTTTCATTCCCCACCCCACTCTATGCCGACCCTCTCCGGGGGAGGCTCCACTGGCACTGTAGACACCACGTGCTGGGTAAAAAGGCCTGGTCCCAGCGCTTCCCTGTCACTGACTGCTAACCACAAGGCGCCGTGGCACTCAGGAAATGCGGCAGGGGGGCTGGAGAACTATCAGGAAGGGGTGTGGGCAGAGAAGAGGCTTCCACCCTGTCTTGGAACACGGACACAGTCCATGGCATTCAAAAGAGGTGGGAGGCTCCTCTGTGCACGTGCCTTCCGCCCCCGGGACAGGTGGAGGAGGGGATTTGACTGGTCCTCACCCTCTGCATTTATAGTCTGGGCACACCTTGGGCAGTGCCGCAGGAGGGCGCTGTGGAGTACAGGCACATGCAGAAGGTGTGGCGAGGGCTTCCTGGTGGAGCTGGCAGTAGGGCAGGGACCTTGAAAAGGAATGATTTGAACAGATCGGAAAAGACATTCCAGACAGAAACAAATGCCTGAAACCCAAACCGAGAAGCAGGAAAGAGCAGACTGCGTTCTCGGAATGGCAGGGAGTCCAGTTTGACTGGAAGACCTGAGGCTCAGAGGCGCATCACGGCCCAGATGCAGACCACAGAGGCAGGCACAGTGGCCCAGGAGGACCGAGGACCTGGAGTCACGGGGTTCCGCCCGCTGCCCCTGGGGAACCGAGTCATGCCAGTTCCCAGACAGATGAATTCCTTCCAAGAATTCCACAGTCCTGCTCAATCCTAGCCGCCAAGCCTCCTGGCCTTGGATGGCTGCTGTCTAATGCAGATCCTCTTTCATCCAGATTTCAAATATTTTTCCTATTCTGTCCTTTGATCACTAACGTTTATGTTTATCTACATCAGCATCCCTCAATCCTGACGGCACTCTGAAATTATCTAGGGGTGCTTTAAAAAAGAAAAATGTTGATGCATGGCCCTCCTCCAGGAAATCTGATTTTATTGGTCTGGGGTGGGGCCCAGGCATCAGCAGACTTTTAATGAGCAGTTAGAGAGGAGAACCACTGATGGAGATGGTCACCAGGGAGTGTCCAGGTCAGACCGCCACAGAAGAGTGCAGCCTCCTGGCCTTCAGACCCAACTGGGACAAACCCTGAGAACAGCCTTGGCAGACCTCCAGGGGCAGCTGGACTCCCTGAGGCTGGATGTTGCAGCCTCTCCCAGGCATCCACTCTGCAGCTGAGGCCAAAGTTTCCAACGGGAAGGGAGGGTGAGGCTTCTATTTGTTTCCCAAGAGCCAGCTGACCTTTGAAGCTAGTGATAACCACCACAAACCTCACTGGTGGGAGAACGAGGCACTGCAGCCAGTTCTCATCAACCCCACATCCCTGCAGGGGGCCCCAAGGCGGATGTGTCACCATCCTCTGCAACGCTGGGCCTCAGAGGTGGAGGAGGCCCAGCCATGGCCAGATGGGGGATCTGGGGAACAGGTCCTCTGCTTTCTGGGAAAATAGAGGTGATGATTCCTGGCCCCAAAGGTTCTTGTTGGGAGTCTTGAGATAAATCCCCTAGCAGTGCTCAGCATGGGGAGAATTTTCAGTGACTGTTCCCTTCCTCCTGTTTTGCTAATAACTCTTTTCACAAATTTAGGAGAGTCTCCGAGTCTGGGCCTTGCCACTCCTCACTCAGCATCTGACCATCCCCACCTCCTGGATCTACAGGGTTCATAGAGGAGGACCCAGAAGAGGGAAAGTCAGGCTGAGGAACTTGGCCTCCCTGCTGCAAGGGAAATGACATCGGTTACCAAGGAGGTGACCAGCTATCCTTTTCCAAGACTGAAAAGCAGAAATACGGCCCTGAGGCTAGAGGGTCTAAGAGAACAATAGGAAGAATTTCCTGACAAAGGACAATGTTGCCTAAAGGACTCAGGAAGCTCTGTGAAAACAGGAGACTCCCGAGCAGAGCACCAGACCCTTCTCCACCAGGCAGTGTTTTTCCCATATGACAGGTGAGAAAACTGAGGCTGAGAGACATGTAATAACTTGCTGAAGCAGCAACCAGCACACCATATAGCTGAAATCTGTAGATCAGCAGTTAAAAGTGGTAGGGCAAGTCCTCTCTGACTTTCAGCGCTAAGAGCCTAGGATTCTGTGTTTTTCTGCTTAAGCCTGGGAATCAGAGTCCTACAAAAGCCGCGCCTAATCCTGGGGGTGTGGGCTTTAAACCCAGAGAGAAAGCATGTTATTGGAATACTCCTGCACTTTTCTCCCTTTGAATCCCACCACGGAAAGAAAATTCTGTGACGTGTACCCAGTATTTATTGGAGGGTATTTCCTAGCAAGAAAATGAGGGCGATTGACCAGGCACGGTGGCTCACGCCTGTAATCCCAGCACTTTGGGAGGTCAAGGTGAGTGGATCACATGAGGTCAGGAGTTCGAGACCAGCCTGACCAACATGGAGAAACCCCGTCTCTACTAAAAATACAAAATTAGCCGGGCGTGGGGTGGCGCATGCCTGTAATTCCAGCTACTCCTGAGGCTGTGGCAGCAGAATCGCTTGAACCCGGGAGACAGAGGTTGCAGTGAGTTGAGATCAAGCCATCGCACTCCAGCCTGGGCAACAGAGTGAGACTCTGTCAAAAAAGAAAGTGTGGTACATCTATACTAATGGAGTACTATTTAGCCGTCAAAGAAAAAAAAGAAAAGAAAAAGAAAGAGAAAGAAAGAAAGAAGGAAAGAAAGAAAGAAAAAGAAAATGAAGGCGATTGTCAACAGCCTCTGGAAATACAGAGCAGGGTCCAGAAATGGCCCCTTCTTAGATGGCGGGCTGGACAGTGCTGCTCCTTCTTAGCCACTGGCGGCAGAAAGACAAAGCCTGGTAATTGTTCTTGGGATTCTCCCTGTCACCTCTCCTTGTAGGTCACAAGCTTCCTGATGCGACAGCCCGTGGGACTACTAGAAGGAAAGATACTCCTTTTCCCATTTTACAGATCAGGAAACTGAGACTGGACAGAAACACCACCAGGATTGAACTGTGAATGGATCTGACTCCAACCCACAAATTCTTCACCTGGTCTCGAAAAGAGGCCCTGGCAACCTACTGCGCACCAGAGGGGAACCCGCCCGCCGTCCCAGGCCGGGCTCTCCCTGCTGCGGAGCGGCCCGGGCGCGGCGGGACAGGGAACGGAAGGAACGGGCTTGGCGCGCACTCGCCGAGGCCCAGGCAGGATTCGAGCGCCAGGGAGGCGCCCATTTCCCTTCCCCCGCGCCTGGGAACGCGGTGCTGGGGGCGGGGCCCGACCGCTGCCCCCTCCAAACGCCTCGACCGCCAGGTGCCCCGAAGCCCGGCCTCCCCTCCCACCCCCGCGCCTGTTCCCGGCGCAGCCCGAGCCGTGGCAGTCACGTCTCCCCATCCGGCCCCAAAGTAAGAGCCAGCCGCAGCCGCGCCGACCCCGCGCTGGGTGGGAGGGCGCGGGGAGGGCGGGGAGGGCGCGGGGAGGGCGGGGCAAGGAGGTGAGGGGAGGGCGGGTTGCCCGGGCCCCGCCCGCTGCGCCCAGGTCGGCCGGGGAGAGGCGCGGGCGAGTCGCAGCGCCGCAACCACCGCCCCTGCCGGGCGCTCGGCGAGCGGGGGCAGGGCGGGGTGAGGCGTGGCCGGGGATGCCGCGAGGCCGCGCCTCCAGGGCTGTGCGCGGGCGGGTGTTGCTGGGGAGAAAAGCGCGGCACGGCCCCGCCCGAGTCCTGCGGGCACAGCGCTCTCTGCTGGTGTGGGTTGAGAACTGCATGAGACTAATTAAAGACCACCATCCACTTAAAAAAAAAAAAAACAACTTAATTCGAATCGGAACCTCACTGTGTTACTGTGAATATGCCTAATTACTATTCGTCAATTTTAAAAAATTAATACATTGAAATAAACTAAGAAAGAAAAACCTAATTCAATAATGTGTCATAGGCGTTGCAGTTTTGAAATGTGGAGAAGGAAAAAAGAAAAAGAATCACTCATCATACCTTTATCTAGAAAGAAGCACTTAGAATATTCGTGTCTGTCTTTCCAGGGCTTCTTATCTGCAAATCTATGCATGTATGCATTCTTTAGAGGATAAAAAAGGCCGGTGGTGACTCATGCTGGTAAGCCCAGCTACTCAGGAGACTGAGACGAGATGATCTAGGGTATCGCTTGAGCCCAGGAGTTCAAGGTTGCAGTGAGCTATGATGACACGACTGCACTCCAGCCTGGGTGACAGAGCAGGGCCTTATTAATAAATTAATTAATTTATAAATTAATAAATTAATTTATAAATTAATAAATTATACAATATTGTCAGCTTTGTGAACGCAGAGGCCTTATTTTGTTCACTGCTCTATCCTCAGTGCCTGGAACACTGGTAGTTGTCTGGGTGCTCAAAAACCATTTGTTGTTTCTACCAAAATGGAATCATGCTTTACACAGTAGGACCATCATTTTTAGCATACTTAAATGTGCTAGTATGATGCCCCGACCCCCTCAATGAGAATATGTGAGAGATGGATGGTCCACTGGCCTCTTTTTTTGTTTTTTTTTTTAGGCGGAATTTCGTACTTGTTGCCCAGGCTGGAGTGCAATGGCCCCATCTCGGCTCACTGCAACCTCTGGCTCCTGGGTTCAAGTGATTCTCCTGCCTCAGCCTCCCGAGTAGCTGGGATTACAGGCATGCACCACCACACCTGGCTAATTTTGTATTTTTAGTAGAGACGGAGTTTCTCCATGTTGGTCAGGCTGGTCTCGAACTCCCGACCTCAGGTGATCCGCCTGCCTTGGCCTCCCAAAGTGCTGAGATTACAGGCCTGAACCACCGCGCCTGGCCCCACTGGCCTCTTTAACAAGAATCTGGAGGCCAGATGTGTTTGGGATTTAGAATTATTCACAGTGCGCATATAAGGTGACTCTCCACCATGCTCAGTCCCATCACATGTTCTGTAGCACCATGTTTTGCTCCTTCAAAGCTGACTGCTGTAGTCTCACAAGTTTATGTTAATCCCATCCATGCCTGTCTCTCTCAGGAAACCACCCTGTCTGGTTTGCTCACCATAGTACTCTCAGCATGGAGTGGGTGCTCCATAAATATGTGTTGGATGAACGAATGAATGAATGAATAAATGAATGAATGAATGAATGATGAATACTCTATCCTGTTTGCCTCCCCTGGAGTCATGTGTGGAGTTCTGTTTATCCCATCTCAGGACAAGCCCCAGAGAACCAGAATCATAGAAAGGGGGAGGTGTTAGTTTGCCCATCCAACAGAGCATCTGTTATGTGCCAGGCTCTGTGCTAGGCTGTGGGGATCTAAAAAAGATGCAGGCCAGGGGTGATGGCTCACGCCTGTAATCCCAGCACTTTGGGAGGCTGAGGCAAATGGATCACTTGAGGTCAGGAGTTCAAGACCAGCCTGGACAACATGGCAAAACTCCATCTCTACTAAAAAAAAAAAAAAAAAAAAGCCAGGCGTGGTGGTGGGAGCCTGTAATCCCAGCTACTTGGGAGGCTGAGACAGGTGAATCACTTGAAACTGGGAGGTGGAGGTTGCAGTGAGCTGAGATCTCACCACTGCACTCCAGCCTGGGAGAAGAGCGAGACTGAAAAGACCTGTCAGCAGGGTCAAAACAGGGAGCAGGTGGCATGCTCAAGGGTGTGGACAAGGTGTAGGATAGCCAGGGGATGGTCCAGTTCCCGGGAGCCAAAGGGGAAAGGCAAGAGGAGGGAGCGGTTAACCAGACCTAGAGAGAGAGGGCAAGCTAGGTGCAGGGCCCCTTCAAGGGCTCCAGCCTCTGCTGGGAGATTCAGCCCGCCAGAGGCAACTGGACAGGAAATGAGCCCAGGAAGGACTACCCTGACCCCACTATCCTCCCCCAGGCTTCTCCGCTCCACTTTGCTTGACCACAAAGCAAAGAGGCAGGGGAAGCATTGAGGCAGTCTGTGAACATCAGCCTCCAGGTGCAGAGCAGGGTGGATGGTGGGTGGCAGGACAGCTGGAAGCTATCCAGTACCAAGAATGAGGCTGTGATAGCCAACAGGAACAGGAAGGGATGTGATCATAGTCACAGATACCATGACCACAGGCTTGGCCTGGACTGGGTTTGGGCTGGCAGAGAGAGGTCAGAAGCATAATGACCCTTGCAGAGGGAGTGTCATCAAATTAAGTAAAGTTGGGGCCAAAGGACAAAATATTCTAATGTCAAAGCTCAGTGTAAGACAAAGAAAAGGAAGCGCCACCTCACCCAGTCCAAATGGAGGACTATGCCAAAGGGTGATACCTCATGGGAAAATTCACTTGCAAACGGGGAGGATAAATGCATCTCTCTCTCTCTCTCTCTCTCTCTCTCTCACACACACACACACACACACACACACACACACGCACAAAGCTAGGTATCTTAGGAAGGTGGAGGACAGAGACGCAATGTCTCACGTTGGTGAATTGGTGAATCCCTATCTTAGGTGTAAATCAGAAAGCTTCTTGGAGAAAAAAACACATTCAAAACCTGCTTGTAGCTGGTATGTGCCTGTAGTCTCAGCTACTCAGAAGGCTGAGGTGGGAAGATGGCTTGAGCCCAGGTGTTTCAGACCAGCCTTGGAAACATAGTGAAACCCCATTGCTAAAAAAAACTATACAAACAAAAAAATTTGCTTGCAAAACACCCAGCTGGACTCACTGTGGGTTACAAGCACGTTTAAGACTTGGTCTCTGAGAAACCAGTTGACTGCCACCTCAAGATCTTAACTTCTAAAACACAAAAATAGACCCACAAAGTCACAAAGCAATGTTTCTCAAAGCCACAGGGGAACTGCCTCCTACAGATAAAAAGATCCCTGCTTTGAGCCTGAATGAATCAGCCAAGGCCCCCTTTCTTCCAACCAACCAACCCTAACCAGGTAAGCCCACCTCAACAACCTGACCCTACAAAAAACCCTTCCTAACCCTTTTATTGAGTGGCTCCGAAGGCTCACCCAACATGTGGGTTCCTTTGATGCATCAAAGTAAGCAAACTTGGCATTTTGTGGCCATAGGCACATCCTTAGTGGGCCTGACGTCTCCGACTTGAAGGAGTTGGTGGCCCACCTGGAACAGCCATGGCTTGAACTAAACATTTAACAATCCCTACACTTGAGCTGGGGTCTTCTGGAACATCCTCCCAAATCCCCACTGCCAGCCTGTACTGTACTTTGCTGGGGACTTGGAGAGTCAAAGGCTGTTGCTACTGAGGGAGGGGGAGGGCGGTTGGGGGAGGAGGGCTTTGGAAACGGGAGGGAAAGTGAGGCAGGAATCCCTTCTTCCTCCTGGCTCCTCCACAAAGGACTAGGGGCAGGGATGTAGAGATGCAAAGGTCAGGGAACCGGGGACACTTGTGACACTCAGAAGTGTGATAGAACATAAAAGCTTAATACTATGTGAAATCAACTCTGAACAGTGGGAAACTCAGCAATTGTTTGCTGCAACTTCCAAGGCACTATAGCAAATGTAATCCACAAGCGTCATCTAGTGGTACAATCTGTCAGTGTCGGCCAAGCCCTGAGCTCTGAGCGGCAGCTCTGCCGGGTGAGAAGTCTACACTCGGTGCCCAGAGGTCTAGGACCAAGATGGCCAGCCAGCCACATCTGCCAGGGACAGCATTCAGCCTAATTGCCTCGGGCATTCTGCTCTGCAGCGTAGAAAACAAGCCTCGAAGGGAACTCTGAGCTGGGACTATAGGCATGTCCCACCATGCCTGGCTAATTTTTTATTTTTGTATATATATATAAAATATGTAATATATATAAATAATATATATAAATAGATCCCTGCAGATAATATATATATAATCTAATATATATATATAATCATATATATAATCTAATATATAATCATATATATAATCTAATATATAATCTATATATATGTAAAATCATATATATATAATCTTATACATATATGTATAATCTTATATATATATATTAGAGATGGGGTCTTGCTGTGTTGCCCAGGCTGGTCTCAAACCCCTGGCCTCAAGCAATCACCCCTCCTCGCTCTCCCAAAGTGCTGGAATTACAGGCGTGAGCCACTGTGCCCGGCCAGAGCTGGGGATTTTTGGGGCACAGAACAAGCTGTGGTTGCTTGGTAAGTGACTGGGGTTGCGTGGGCATTACAGCTGTTGATGCCTGCCCAGCGTAGCATCCCAGATATGAGGGATATGAAGAGACAGTCTCACCTAATGTGTCGGATCGCCTGCGGTGCCAGCCGTTGTGATGGAGTGGGGCAGGCCTATCTCTCAGGTGGAACCAAGAACCCAGCTGGAAGGCTCTTGAAGCACACAGGGATAGAAGTGCCATGCGGCAGGGAATTGGGGCTATTTTGTTTGCTGCTGTCCTAGTGCTAGAATCGTGGATAGTGCCTGGCACCTAAATATTAAACCAAATAAAAACTCGTTGGCTGGATAAACGAATGAATGGATGGATGAGAGTTAAAGCCCCCATCGGGCTGTGCTGTACAGGAGTCAAGGACTCAGAGGGGCTGAGGGATCTTGCGGGATGCTTCCCTTTGAAGGCCAACCAGAGCCTGGAAAGCTCAACCCCAGTCACACTCCAGACAAGACTGTGAAGGGAGAGTTTAACGCAGGTTAGCAACTTAATCCAGCCAGTTTCAGAAGCTTACCCTACAGCCACAAGGATAGTGGTCTGAGGGGAGATCCTGGTGGCAGAGACAGCAGTTGAAACTACTGAAATAGTCCAGGCAGGACGTGGGAGGGTGGAGCTTGCCAGGATCTGGAAGCAGGCATGGGCTCTGCCCACCCTAGGTACAGACCCTGGCCGGGCCGTTTGTGCCTTGTCATCAGGCTGAGGCTGAGAGAGGGGAAGGAGAGAACTGGGTGATGGGCCTCTGGTTGATGGTTTCGGGTTGAGTTATGGGAGAAAGAGATGAAGATGTTGAGGAAAAAAGGGGTCATTCGAATTAAAGAAATCTCATGGCTTCAGGCCCTGGCTGGGCCAGGAGCCTGGACCCTGGGCTCACCTTCTGCTAGAGGAGAGGTCACTGGAGGGTTGCAAAACAGCCACACCCTCTGGAAGGGCCAGGCTCCTAAGTCATGGTGCAAGTGTCCCCAAGGGCTTACCTAAGGGCGAAATGACTTCAGAGGCCAGGAAGACACCTTCTGCAATATCTGAAGGCTATTGGCTGTATTATTAGAAAGGGAAAGGCGTAAAAGAATTGGAAGTGTGGAGAAAAAATGCTGGCAGTCAGCGTTAACAATAAACTCAGGCTTTTTGGCTGGGCACAGTGGCTCATACCTGTAATCCCAGTACTTTGGGAGGCTAAGGTGGGTGGATCACCTGAGGTCAGGAGTTCGAGACCAGCCTGGCCAACATGGCAAAACCCCGTCTCTACTAAAAATACAAGAATTAGCTGAGTGTGGTGGCAGGTGACTGTAATCCCAGCTACTCAGGAGGCTAAGGCAGGAGAATCGCTTGAACCTGGCAGGTGGAGTTGGCAGTGAGCCGAGATCATGCCACTGTACTCCAGCCTGGGCAACAGAGTGAGACTCTGTCTCAAAAAAATAATAAACTCAGACTTTTCCTGGTTTGGGAAGAGGAGAAAAGGGGGCTGAATGACAGAATAAAAATAGGGAGGTGTCTAGAAGGCAGTGCCACACAATATTAAGGCAGGAGTCTGTTAGAAAGCTGTCAGGGGATTTTTAAAAATAGCTTTTATATACTTTATTGCTGGAATTTTGATCATTTAAAAGATTTTATAATGGGGAAAAAACAACGATCTAACTTTATAGGGAAACAAAGAAGACAAAAGAGAGCAGGAATGCAATGGGAGCTTGAAAATGAGAGGAGAGTTCGAGACCAGCCTGGGACACGTAGCAAGACCCCATCTCTACAGAAAAAAAAACCATGTTTTTAAATTAGCCAGGTGTGGTTCTGCACACCTATGGTACCAACTACTCGGGAGGCTGAGGTGGGAAGATCGCCTGAACATGGGAGGTCAATACTGCAGTGAGCTGTGATGATGCCACTAACCTCCAGCCTGGGTGACAGAGCAAGTATCCATCTCAAAAAGAAAGAGAGGAATGAAGGAAGGGAGGGAGAGAGGGAAGGAGGGAAAGGGAAAGGAACAGTGACTGAGAAGGGCTGGGAGTGGACGTGCAGGGGCCAGTCAGGGGTCAAGGGTCAATACAGTGCTTCTGTTCCGAATGACCAAACATACTTGTTATGGACTGTGTCCCCATCAAAATTCATACACTGAAATCCCAACCACCAGTACATCAGAATGTGAACTTATTTGGAAATAGGGTCATTGCAGATGTAATTAGTCCAATTAACATGAGGTCATTAAGGTGAGAACAAGTCCAATATAACCAGTGTCATAAAAAGAGGAAATTTGGAGAGACTCATACAGTGTGCAGGGAGAAAAGCATGTGAACATGAAGATGGCCACCTACAATCCAAGGAGAGAGGCCAGGAACGGAGGCTTCCCTGAAAGCCCTAGAGAGAACCAACCCTGCTGACCATTTGGACTTCTGGTCTCCAGAGCTGTGAGACACATTTCTGATGTTTAAGCCACCCAGTTTAAAGTTTGTGTATTGTTTGGGCAGCCCTAACAAGCTAGTACACACATCAGCAGAAACCGTGGTTCTGACCTTGTTAAGCAGACAACGTGGCACAGGCTTTTTTTAAATTTTTACCTTTTTTTTCGAGACACGGTCTCCCTCTGTAGCCCAGGTTGTAGTGCAGTGGTGCCATCAGAGCTCACTGCAGCCTTGAACTCCTGAGCTGAAGTGTTCCTCCCACCTCAGCCTCTCAAAGTGCTAGGATTATGGGCACCCGGCCTCCCAACTTTTTTCTTTTAATGATTGGAAAACGGCACCACAGTTGCATGTGCAGGTCCCATGTACCCATTCCCCTGCTACCGGCACTGTCAGCTGCTGCAGACTCGCAGTTGTAGCTCATGGCTGCATTCTTCACTGGAAATCAGCATATAACTGTGTCCATCACTGGGAACTAGCCTCTGTCACAGGGACGGCTTGCCCAAGGTTATGCCTCCTTGAAAGGAGTGGCCTGTAGCCAATGACTGGCTAATGCTGGGATAAAGTCCCAGCTGTCCTGTCTCAGTTTGGTTCAACTCTGAAGGGCCATCCCAGCTCCAGAACTCCCATACAAACCCTAGATGGTGCCAATAGTTCTTGCGGAAGTGGTAAAAATGACAGCTTCAGCAGTTACACGCACAATACTACATGATTAATGATAACTGTGGAGTTGATCACTCTCTTCAGGTTTGTAGGGTTTTTAAATTTGAAAATAACAGTGAACAAAAATTTTAAAAGTGCTGAAGACACAGAGCTTCACAGAATGTTTTGTGTCTGGGTTTTCCATCTGAATGGAACTTCCTATAGGCAATTCAAAATGTGGGTGAAATCTGAGTGATGTACTGTAGGATCATGGGGAAGAGACCGGATCCAGAGCCAGCCTGCCGGGCTACAATCCTAACTCTACCACTTACTCCTAGCTATCTATAACAATTTTTAATTTTATTTTAAAATATTTTAAGGCCAGGCGCGGTGGCTCACACCTGTAATCCCAGCATTTTGGAAGGCCGAGGCGGGTGGATCACCTGAGATCAGGAATTCGAGACTAGCCTGGCCAGCATAGTGAAACCTCATCTCTACTAAAAATACAAAAATTAGCTGGACGTGGTGGCACACACCTGTAATCCCAGCTACTTGGGAGGCTGAGGCAAGATAGCCGCTTGAATCCAGGAGGCGGAGGTTGCAGTGAGCTGAGGTCACATCATTGCACTCTAGCCTGGGCAACAAGAGTGAAACTCCGTCTCAAAAAACAAAAATTAAAAAAATATATTAAATATTTTTATTTAACATAGAGATGGGTTTCACCATGTTGCCTAGGCTGTCTCAAATTCCTGGGCTCAAGTGACCTGCCCACCTTGGCCTCCCAAAGTGCTGGGATTATAAGGTGTGAGCCACCCCGCCTGGCCTATATGACCTTCTTAAGGTCTGTAAAATGGGGCCATGAGTCTCTATTTCATAGGATGGTTCTGAAGATTGAGTTCATGTAGAAGACTAAACAGGTTACTAACCAAAGCCCTTGAACAGTGCCAGAAACAGTGTTGCAATGGTTGCATGATCCTGCAGTCCCCTAGCTGGGCAATGGAACTTCCTTGCTGCTATTATTATACAATTACAGTAATGTTGGTCTTCTCATTCATGCCACAATACAGCACAGAGCTTACAGTTAAGGAAATAGGAGTCCTCTGCTTTTTAAAGAGGTCAACATCAGTTCAGTTTTCTTATCACCCATTACCCATCCGGGCCTATGGCCATAAGTGTAAGAACATAAAGATTGAAGGTCAAACCTTGAAATAGCTAAAAGATTTGGGTCATATAGATAAGGCATATCAAGAGATACTTATTTGACCCCTTGAAAGGCTTGACATTGGTAACCTTGCCACACCTACTACTTCACTCCTCTAATACCTTACCTTCAGGAAGGGTCCTTGCTGCTTTTCCTAAAAGATCTCTTCACTTTCGACTTAAAAGATGTATATAAAGACCTGCTTTTCCCATGTCTTAGCTTGAGGTTATATACACAAGAAAAGCCAACGATTAGTTTCTACCTTGAATGAATAAAGGCCTAGGAACAGAGAGATTCAAAGCAAGGATTTTACTCAACACTTCATTACCAGCAACTCTATTCCCCTTATGAAATTTACAGGCGGAACTAAAGGTCGGAACTAAGTTATTAGTAGTATAACCCATTGTTACTCTGGGAAACTTAATCCCCATTGCAACGGTGTTGAGAGGTGGGCTCATTAAGGGGTGATTATGTGATTATGTCATGAGGGCTCTGCCCTCATCAGTAGATTAATGTAATTATCTCGGCAGTGGGTCAGTTATTGTGCGAGTGGGCTTGGTCCCCATCTTGCTCTCTTCCCCTTCTGCCTTCCACCATGGGATGACACAAGAGGGCCCTCACCAGATGTGGGCCCATCAGCCTCGGACTTCTCAGCCTCTAGAACTGTAAGAAATAAGTTCCTTTATATACATTACCCAGTCTGTGGTATTGTGTTATAGCAACACAAAGTGAACCAAGACACCCTACCATCTGACAATTCACAAGCTGCAACCCTTCCACTTCCTCAAACTGTGGGTCTTCTTCAAGGTAAAGTGCTACATTGATTGTAATATTTGTGTATTTCTTTACCATTTAACGCGTGCAAACTGTACTCCATTTTTAATTAGTTTCTATCAGTTTTGTAATGTTGCACTGACAAAGTTTGAGTGCTGTGCCTGAACCCCATTTTTTCAATTTGTACAATTTCACATAGTGATTTTTAGGAAAGCATATGTCAAGTTATAGCAATACATAAAAGGGAGTGGTAGCATCATGCCAATTGGAAAGGACAGCACCATTTTCCTCCTCAATGTGAACTTCTCATAAGCTCTGCACTACTATTCCCTTCCCTGACTGACCTCCTATACATTGGTCCCAAATCCTCAGTCATTTGGGGCAATATGCAGCTAATGTTACCTAAACCCTTTTTTAACATTTAAAAATGATGTCTGTCGGGCGCGGTGGCTCACGCCTGTAATCCCAGCACTTTGGGGGGCCGAGACAGGCAGATCACCTGAGGTCGGGAGTTCGAGACCAGCCTGACCAATATGGAGAAACCCTGTCTCTACTAAAAACACATTAGCCAGGTGTGGTGGCGCATGCCTGTAATTCCAGCTACTCGGGAGGCTGAGGCAGGAGAATCACTTGAACCCAGGAGGTGGAGGTTGCAGTGAGCCGAGATCGCACCATTGCACTCCAGCCTGGTCAACAAGAGCAAAATTCCGTCTCAAAATACATACGTACATACATACATACATATATACAGTCTTTCTTTGGGGATCACTAAAGTTCTCTTCCCTCCTCTAGCAAGCTTTTAAAGTGTTGTTTATATTCTTGCCTCCAGCAGAATCATAGAATTAGGAAAGGAGAAAACCAAACTTTGAAAATGCTCTTACTTCATTTCTGTTGATAATCTAACAGTATGGAAGGTTAGGTTTAAATCACGAAGTAATGAAATCGGAAAGGCATTACTGGGCACTAAACATAGAGAAAATGCCTTGAGTGCATTGAGACAGGTTTGTTGTGACATAAAAACACCACAGAGTAGGCAGGGCACAGTGGCTTATGCTTGTTATCATTTGAGGCCACAAGCTCAAGACCAGCCTGGCCAAACATGGCAAAACTTTTTTTTTTTTTTTTTTTTGAGACGGAGTCTCACTCTGTCACCCAGGCTGGAGTGCATGGCCGGGCAAAACTCCTTCTCTACTAAAAAAACAAAAATAGAAAAATTAGCTGGGTGTGGTGGCACACACCTTTAATCCTGGCTATTCAGGAGACTGAGACAGAATTACTTGAACCCGGGAGGCAAAGGTTGCAGTGAGCAGAGATGGCGCCACTGCCCTCTAGCCTGGTGACAGAAACTGTTTAAATAAAAATTTAAAAAGCACAGAATATATATGTTTCAAAGACTATTACCTAACTTACAAGTTAAAAGCATCCCAACTCATTACGTTTAGAAAACAAGATAGGCTGGGCGAGGTGGCTCATGCCTATAATTCCAGCACTTTGGGAGGCCGAGACGGGCGGATTACGAGGTCAGGAGATTGAGACCATCCTGGCTAACACGGTGAAACCCCGTCTCTACTAAAAATACAAAAAATTAGCCGGGTGTGGTGGCGGGCACCTGTAGTACCAGCTACTCAGGAGGCTGAAGCAGGAGAATGGTGTGAACCCAGGAGACGGAGCTTGCAGTGAGCCCAGATCGTGCCACTGGACTCCAGCCTGGGCGACAGAGCGAGATTCCGTCACACACACACACACACACACACACACACACACACACACACACACACCACTTAAATGCAGAAATTAAAACTCTATTTCTGTATATCACTATGGTAAAGGGTTGTTGGTTACCTGTACCATCAATCCACAAAAGGTATAAAACTTCATGTATTATTCTTATTATCTTGTGCTGATACCAGAGTACCTTTAAAATACCACCCAAATTTAGTTCCGAGAGGCAGATGGAGAGTTTGGATTGTCTCCAAAAATCTAAAAGGCCCTTGTTTTGACAATTAGGTTTACGCATGTGGTACATATTGAGGGGCACATAATCACTGGTGGATTGGAAATGCATACCTATCCTTGTTCCTTCCCTAACTAAAACGGCATTTAAAAGGAGCGAAACTCACCAGGATGGAGAAATCGAGAGATTAAAAAAAAAAAGCAAGCTAGAAAATGGACAGATTAGTTTATAATTTAGCAGCTTCAGGAAATGGAATACCAAGGCCAGCAGTGGGGGCAAAAAAAAACTCAGAAATTAAAAAAAAAAAAAAAACCAAAAAAAAAAAAAAATGAAGGACTTGGCAGCAGTCCAAACCCCTGGAGGTGGGGGCAAAATAAGGATTGGATGAATCTGTCTAACCACTCAAATCCCAGATCCTTTTCCCTACACTGCGCAGTTGGGCAACAGCCCTCTCTCATTTGTTCATTCTCTAGAAAAGGTAGCCCAGTCTCTGGGATGGCAGGGGTGTGTTACACTGAAAGCAGAGGCCCAACCCTCACCCTGCTGGGTTCTAGAATGCTGGTAGACGGTCTATCACCCTTCAGGCACGATACAAATTGATTGAGAATCAGCTAAGACCTTGACATAATGGCATAAAAATTCCCTAACCAATCATATGTCATACAAAGTTCCCTAACTAATCAGCTGGGACAGATCATTTTTTCAGTCGACAAACTGCACTCATGCACTCAGAGCTGCCTGTTGGCTCTTTAGTCCCCACTCAGATACAGGGAATGCTTAGAATCGTTAAGATTTACAGATTATAAAACAAGACAATTTAGGCAGGGCACAGTGGCTCACGTCTGTAATCTCAGCACTTTGGGAGGGCAAGGCAGGTGGATCACCTGAGGTCAGGAGTTTGAGACCAGCCTGGTCAACATGGTGAAACCCTCTCTAATAAAAATACAAAAACCAGACAGGCATGGTGGTGATGCATCTGTAATCCCAGCTACTCGGGAGGCTGAGGCACGAGAATCACTTGAACCCGAGAGGCAGAGGTTACAGTGAGCCAAGAGTGAGACCCTGTCTCAAAACAAAAACAAGACAATTTAGATTGTCCAGAGCTGGAGGAAAGGGGACCAAAGTGATGAAGGGAAAAAAGAACATTCTTAGCGATAAAACATATTGTTGCAACCTTGGCTCAGAAGTTTAAAATTGCCTAAGTGGAAGACAGAAGGCTTGGAATAGAGCTGAGAATCCTCCACCCCACCATACCTGGTGAAAGCAGAGCAATTTGAGAAACATAAAATAGAAAATAGATGGGAGAAAACCAATCAACTCACAGAACTAAAATTCTTAAACTTCAGCCAAGTGTCCCCTCCTCTGCATATTGCTGCTAAAAACTGAATGGGGACAAAGTTGTAGGCACAGGTACGCACCAGATGAAGTTGGGCACCATTATTTACAAATAAAGGTTAGCTGGACTCTGGGGTTAAAAATAATCTAAATAAGATATTGCAGTATCTTTAGCACATCTACACAACCCCTTTGCTCTACTGCCAATGTGCAATCACTTCATCTGTCACTCAATAGCAGATACTTAACTCTTTAATTGCCCATAACTGATCCAGTGCTAATCTTCTCAGGCCATCAACAAATCAACTGCAAAGGGTTTTGACAGACATAAGCAGTATCATGGTAGAATCAGGGTTTGAAAGACCACTTAACAATGGAATTGCTTTTAAAGCTGATGACAATTACATACATAGGTAAAGGAGTTCAGGCGTATGAAAGATGTTCTTTTTCTCTCCATTTAGTACCCCAAGACCACAAAAAATGAAGCATGCTGTGTAGATTAAGCTTTCTACAAATTGCCATTAAAAAAAAAAACTTTTTACAGTCTGTTTCCGATAAATAAAACAAAATCTTCAACTGTGTAACACTAAAGTCACATTGCCTTTTGAGTCTAGGTGGTTTGTGTTCCACTCCTTTCTGGGTGAAGACATGCACTATGATTTAGAAGATATGTGTAGTAGAGGCCATCTGTATGCAAAGAGAAAAGTTTCTCCGGATGTCTGAGTAGGAACTGAGACTTTTCAGGTTAGCTTTAACTTAATGCAAATGCCAGTAAAGACCAGAACTAGTTCGTTGCTTGTTCCTAGGCCAGGTTTATCCTCATTATGAAAGCCTGCTGCCGTAATTACTTGCATCACACCTTTTTCCTCTCAGGATGGATGCGATTCATAGGATTTACTCACAACTCAAATGTAGAAGACTAATTTTTGTTTTACATTTTGATTCCTGCCAATTTAAGTTTCTACTATTACTGTGTTTCTTTTCTTTTTTTGAGATGGAGTCTTGCTCTGTCACCCAGGCTGGAGTGCGGTGGTGCAATCTCCACTCACTGCAACTTCTGCCTCTCAGGTTCAAGCAATTCTCCTGCCTCAGCCTCGAGTAGCTGGCACAGGTGTGCGCCACCATGCCTGGCTAATTTTTGTATTTTTAGTAGAGATGGCATTTCACCATGTTGGCCAGGCTGGTCTCAAACTCCTGACTTCAGGTGATCTGCCTGCCTCAGCCTCCTGAATTGTTGGGATTACAGGCGTGAGCCACTGTGCCTGGCCTGTGCTTTAATACTATAAGGTTACATTAAAATTAAATCAACTAAAAGGCAGCAATACAAAACCTTCTCTGATGCCCAACCAAAAGTCCAACTTACAAGGACAAAAGAGAATGGTCAAGTACATGCTAAAGAGATCTTAATACCAAGCTATCAACCACTGGCAGTATCTGCCATTTGCATCCATGTGCCAGGCACTTTCAAGGCCTGGTAAGGTTAAGTTCTAGTGTCTTCATCCTACAGACAAGAAACCAAGGCCCAGAGCAACTTGTCCAAATCAGTATAATCAATCTAATAGGTAATAAGGGTCGTTTATTGAGCCCTGTGTGCCAGCCAGTTCTAAGCACCTTGTAACTGTTACATCCTTATAACCTTATGAAGCTGCTACTTTTACTACCATCATTTTCTTTCTTTTCTTATTAGAGATAGGGTCTTACTTTGTTGCCCAGGCTGGAGTGCAGTGGTGTGATCGCGGCTCACTGCAGCCTCCACCTCTTGGGCCCAAGCAATCCTCCCACCTTGGCCTTTTGAGTAGCTGGGACTACCAGCTAATTTTGAATTTTTTTGGAGAGACACAGGTCTCCCTACATTGCCCAGGCTAGTCTTGAACTCCTGAGCTCAAGCAATCCTCTCACCTCAACCTTCCAAAGTGCTGGCATTTACGAGCATAAACCACTGTGCCTGGCCTTACCACGATTTTCCATCTGGGAAAACCGAAGCACAAAAGGGTTAGGTGACTAGCCTATGTTCATACAGACAGTAAATGGCAGAGGCAGGATTTGAGTCAAGCAGACTGGAGGCAAGGTCTACACCTTTAACCACCACCCTATACTAGTGCATTGCCTGAATAATTAAGTAAATCTTTGAATTTAAAGTTACTCCCCAAAATATTAAGTCACCCAGTTAACTAAAGTGTTCAAAGAACAAAGAGATGATGCTTTTCATTTCAGCAGAGTTCAGAAGACTTCTTAAGGCCAAGACAGGTTAGGAAACTAAAATATATACTCTAAAAAGAAGAAAAAAGGAATTAAGCAATGTGTGGCTTCTCTAACCCAGTATTTCCATTTAATGGTATTAATGCCCATATTTACTTGGAATAAATCTAGCTTAATTTGTCAATCTATTCATTTAGTCCGGGTTTTAAATTGTTAGGAGGCTAGTGAACTGAAGTGTCTAGAAAAGGCTGTCCTGGAAACAGTGCTCACATATATACTGGACTTTACCAAAATTTCACTGTTCTATATATAACTTCCAGCATTTTTTAGCAGAATCAATTTTCTTTCTAATAAAGCAAGATTGTTAATACACATAAAGCTGATATGTAAAATTTTACCTCTATTTCAGATAGAAGCCAAAGTAAAACATGAGGAATAAAAACATTTATCTATGTATTCAGAATCACACACAAGTTACCTTTACAGTTCAATTTACTATATAGAAATCATTGGGTTTTATATTTGCAGTTAACTTTTGAACTGAGATTACAATATTATAACAAAAAACTTTACATTAATTCAGAACTTTTTAGCATACCAAATTGAAATACATAGGTTCAAATTTCAGATTTATGGCAAACAGTCTTCAAATACAATACAGACATTTCTTAAAAGTTACCGTATCATTCACATGTGATATTTGCAACTCTGAGCTATTTCTTATAGAACAGCTCTCCTGCAGATATGGCAAAGTTGATATGCCATGAAGTTCAAGGCCTGTATAGTCAAGCCAAGGACTCAAAGTTGCACCATCTTTAAAAAGGTTTGGCATTTCTGGACCACAACAATGCACAACATGTAAAGAAGGTAGGAAACAGTTCCCCCTCCTTGTTAAATGGTTAAAAAAAGTTACATGGTAGCTTGGAATTTTGCATAAAACCCCATAATATACCTTGGAAAAGTCCAAGGGCAATTTGATGGCAATGGATTGGGGCCCTATATATATATATTTTTAATAGAACCCATGAGATTTAAATGGGCATTAATCAAATCAAAAAATATTAAGCACCTACTGGTTTAAGAGATTTAAATTTATTAGAGATTCATGATCAATTTCTTTCCACCTCGAAATCAAGGTGTAAAAACCAGCTATTAAGTGCATTCCAAACTTCTCCTATGTAGCACAGGTAGAATTTTCTGTCCATTGGCACCAAAGTGAAGTCACATTTCCTCTTGGGAGACAGAAATTCCACACCTGAACACAGAGTAAGTTAGGAAAAAATGACCCCTGTTGTTTATTACTATTGTGATTCTGAGATCTAGGATTTCTAATATACTAGCAGTAAACAAAGCAAATTCCTGGCAACAACTGTCAGGTTAGTGATGCTAACTCCCTTCCCCCAACCACCATAAAATTTTAGTAAGAAAAGAATTAAAAGTAATGACTAAGCAGAACAAATTGGAAATAACAAGAAACTAAGGGGACAGTTCAAACCAACAACAAAAAATCCTAAATTTGAAATCACTGCAACTGAAGATAATAAGTGTGCTTCACCCCAACCCCCATCCCAACTCTGAATTTAAACATTCCGTGCAAAAGAGCAACAGGTTTCTGGATAAAGATGTAGCCCTTCTTTAAGTTTTAGTGCTCTGCAGTTTTCTGCAATTTTATTTCCCTCCCCCCAAGTTTATTCAAAGTATTTAACAGAATCTTCCATTTCAGCCAAAAGATTGTGATTCAAAGATTTACTAAGGTACTCTATGCATTCTATCTATACAGAAACACCTATTTATTATTACAGTTGATTTATGCAGGATTAACATTTTTGGTGTTAAAATTGTTAAACATCATGCTTACTGCACATCAACTCTCCATAATGAATCTGAACTTCACAATGATTTACCAAACACTTTACTTAAATTACTAATTAAATAAATGAAAAATGCACCGAGCCAAACAAAACTTAACTGGGCTATAAAGAAAAAAACCCTTCAAAACAGTCCATATACACATCTATTTCAAAACTACCTTTGCTAGCTAGCCCCTTTCCCAAAGTTTTAGCCTGAAAAAACAGTAAAATCTACACAAAATTTTATTGCAATCATACAAGGGTTACATTAGGTCAACAAATACTATGATGCAATTTTACATTTATTAAACTACAGTTCAAAGCACAAATTTACACATTCTAAATACACTAAACGTTATCTAATGAAGTCACACTGGTCTTCTAACATTTGATATATCTGGGTGAAAGACATGAACTTTACAAGACTTTAAACACAAATCCTTAGTATAAAAACTGTGTTCTTGTATGTAAACGATTTAATGGGGAACCCAATTAATGGGCTTCCATCTCCACTAAGTCATCCATTTTGTTGCATATTTTATTTTAAACGCTTAAGGGGTAGGACAAACTGGTAGGTTTAAATCTGGATACATTATCTAAATCTCCCATTATCCCCAATGAATTATAGATGAAAGCTGATTTTGTCTGGTCCCAAATAGCTATTACTAATAGTTTTTGTTGCCAAAAGAATTAAGAGAATAAGATTGTTTAAATTATTTTTCCACACTGGAATGTTGACCAGACAAGCTTAACCTGCAACTTCAGATCTAAAGAAGCGTTAATGCCTGTTTAAGCTTCAGCGGAAAAGCTGTCTTCTTGGCTCAGCTGAATGCAAGAAGGCACAAAGAAGAAGTTCTTCATCATTGAGTCTGAAGTAATTCCAGCATCTTGCATCTCATACCTACGTAGAAAAAAAATCAGCTAAATTCTCAGTTTAAGCCCAAAGACCACGTAATCACATAACAAATGGATAATAAAACAGGATTATAACTAGTCTTCCAAAAACCTTTAAAAGATCATCATTTTTCTATGATAGTCATGCACTGCAGAGTGATGTTTTGGTCAAAGACTACACATATGACTGTGGTATACCGTAAAATTACAGTGAAGTTTAAAAAGTCCTATCACCTCGTTACATCGCAGCAATCATGTCATAGCACAATGTATTATCCTTTCTATGTTTAAGTAACTTAAGATACACAAACGCCACTGCATTACAACTGCCAACAGTATTAAACAGAGTAACATGCTGTACAGGTTTGTAGCCTAGGATCAATATACCACATGGCCTAGATTATGTAGTAGGTTATGCCATCATACAATCGCCTAATGTTGTATTTGTCAGAACAAATTCCCATCATTAAGTAACTACACTGTATAGGCAATACATGACTGTACTTCTAAGTTTAGCATTCATTACAGAATTAAAACTTATTAGCAAGTCTAAAAGGACAGTTCAAATATCCCATCTGCCTTAAAATAAAATCACCTTACCAATCACTGAATGACATCATGTAATAAATGGCTGGCCTCTGAAAATCATTAAAAGCAGATGGTTCATGGAAAGAATCTGCTCCCATGTTATCAAAGATAAGCCAATCTCCCACATTCAGCTCAGGAAGAAGACAGCTTTCCACAATTTGATCAAGCTCATCACAGGATGGACCCCAAAGGCTGCTTGTAAACAGAGGCTCATCTTCCTTGTATTTCTGTAGGAAAAGTTTTACAATTTAATTTTTACTCATACTTACGCAGGTATTGAATTTGTGAGTAAATAAGTATTTTCACTGTCTCAGATCCAATGTGCTCATGGAAAAAAGGCCTAGAGCCAAGGGCAGGGTGCTACTTAAGCCTCGATGGTACCATTAACTCCACGTAAAGGCAACAAACTAAAAAAGGGACTCCACCAGAAGAACGCAAATCCTCAAAAAGGACATTTTTCCCCATTCTAAGATGTTTTTCAAAAAACTGGGAAGCATCTTAAAAATAACAGCTCAGCTTATAAAATGCCAAATAGGTTTTGATATTTCTGATAAAACTTGCCTTGTGAACCTCTGGAATGGTATTTAAGTCCTCAGACAGTTTACTTGCAAAAGAACCATAAACACCATCATTCATATAATACATGAAGGCTGGTTCATCACTTCCGGTTTTTTCTACTGGAATAAAACAGGAAAGGGGAAAATGAATTTTTAATAAAATGGCTCATATGAAACAAATTAATGTAATTTTCACATTTCTCAAACTATTTAAACTTAAAAAGACACATAGAGCACGCATTTCACAAAGGAAGATAACCAATGAGCACAAGAAAAGAGTGCTCTAGGGCTGGATGCGGTGGCTCATACCTGTAATCCTAGCACTTTGTGAGGCTGAGGTGGGAGGATCACTTGAGGTCAGGAGTTCAAGATCAGCCTGAACAACATGGCAAAACTCCATCTCTACTAAAAATACAAAAATTAGCCAGGTGTGGTGGTGCATGCCTGTAATCACAGCTACTTGGGAGGCTGAGGCACTAGAATCCCTTGAATCCGGGAGGCGGAGGTTACAGTAAGACAGTGAGACAGTGAGCCAAGGCTGTGCTACTGCACTCCAGCCTGGGTGACAGAATGAGACCCTGTCTCAAAAAAAAAAAAAAAAAAAGAAAAAAGTATTAAGATTCTAGAAGACTTTCTGATAGTTGCTGTTTCAAAAAAAGAGGAAATGAAGCAGCAAGGAAAAACACTTTTTAGTTTCTTTTCAAATCAGCAAGGGGAAGGCAATATATGCACAAGGAGTTAAATATGTGTTTGAATGTAGAATTAAAAATAAAAGTTGAGATTGTGCCACTCATTCCAGCCTGGATAACAGAGCAAAAACCCTGTCTCAAAAACAAAAAAAAAAAAGAAAAGAAAAAGAAAAAGAAAACAGTGCTCTACATCGTTAGTCATCAGGTAAATGCAAATTAAAACCACAATGGACTACCATTACCACCAACCTACTGACTGGATCAACTTAAAGACTGACACTACAAAACATCAGAGAGCAGGAGGAGCAACCAGAGCTCACATGTATACACTGCCAGTGGGAATCTGTGTGTGTGTGTAGAGACAGGGCCTCACTGTTACTCAGGCTACAGTGCAGTAGCGTGATCACAGGTCACCGCAGCCTCGAGCTTCAGGGATCAATAGATCCTCTCACCTCACTTTGAAACCTTTGAAAACGCCCATTCTACTCACAGCTACTCTACTCTTAGCACAACCAATACTAATTTTCAGGTTTTTAAAATATCACTCTCCACGAAAACAAACCAAGGCTCCCTGGAGAAACAACTGATTACGGGACTGAGGCTCATTTAAAAGGTTAAAATGAGCCTGGAACATCTTGATATACCAAAAAATAACGAATTGCTCTGAGAATAATGGAGACATGTCAAGGGAAAAATAAGAGTAACAGATTATATAAACCTATTGAATAAAGATCTATGAGTCTAAACTCATAAACAGGAGGGAAGGAAAAGATATTCTTTAAGTAAAGGCCAACTAATATAAACAATAATGAAGTTAGAAATTCAACAATAGATGCTAAAACTAATGGGGTGAAAATCTGGTTAAAAACAGGTAGTTTACAGAGTCTCTAATTTAAACTTGCCACTTCACAATGGAAAGAAACCTGCCTGACACAACCTTAAACAAGTGCTCAAAACTAGCATTTAAATTAAAAAAAAAAAAAAAAATCTAGCCGGGTGTGGTGGCACGCACCTGTAATCCCAGCTACTTGGGAGGCTGAGGCAGGAGAATTGCTTGAACCTGGGAGGTGGAGGTTGCAGTGAGCTGAGATCATGCCACTGCATTCCAGCTTGGGCAACAAGAGCAAAACAGTCTCAAAAAAAAAAAAAAAAAAAAAATCATAAGGCCAGGTGTATTGACTCAAGTTTGTAATCCCAGCACTTTGGGAGGCTGAGGCAGGTGGATCACTTGAGCTCAGGAGTTTGAGACCAGCCTGAGAAACACGACGAAACCCTCTACAAAATAAAAATAGAAAAAAACCTAGCCAGGCATGGTGGCATATGCCTGTAGTCCCAGCTATGCAAGAGGTTGAAGGTAGGAGGACTGCTTAAGCCGGGAGGTGGAGACTGCAATGAGCCCTGATGGAGCCACTGTACTCCAGCCTGGGCGACAAAACAACAAGAAAAAACACCTAGCATCATCAATATTAGAATTGGCCACTATCATGTGCCTCCTAACATGATGAAGTGAGAAGAACAGAGTAACACTTTAGTGGACTTCATGCCCCAAATGCATAGCCTAAAAAATTAATCATGAGGAATCATCCAACAAACCCAAACTAAGGATCAGCTATGAAATTTCTACTCTTCAAAAATGTCAAAGTTAAAAAATACAAAGTAATGAGCTGAGAAACTTTATCTAGATTCAAGGAGAAATGACGAATTCAATGTGGTCCTGGACTGGATTCTAAGCAAGGAAAAACAAAGCTGTAAAAAAAAGACAATATTGGGGAAATGGACAACTTTCCTATGGGCTGTGGATTAGTCCACAGCCAAAAAAAAAAGTCTTCTTAATGTAAAACAGTATTTCCTACAATATTAGCCAACAAGATGGTACTGTCTAGTGCCTTTTTGTTGGTTTGACTTGAGTTAGATTACAGGGACTCTTTGTGGCCCTTATGTGAGAAAGTGTGAAAACAGAGCCTCCCTCTGACCCATGTGAGGTAAGGAGAACAGAAAAGATCACAATAAAAGTAGTTCTGAATAATGGATGAGAATTAATCATCTGCTAGACATTTATCTAAAACACACGTATCTAAACATCAGTACCAAGAAAGTTGGATTTGGAAGTCTTACGGAATGGGACCTTGGCTTTAAGATTTTTTTTTTTTTTGAGACGGAGTCTCACTCTTGTCACCCAGGCTGGAGTCCAGTGGCACAATCTTGGCTCACTGCAACCTCTGCCTCCCGGATTCAAGCGATTTTTGTGCCTCAGCCTCCCGAGTAGCCGGGATTACAGGTGTGCGCCACCATGACCAGCTAAGTTTTATATTTTTAGTAGAGATGGGGTTTCCACCATATTGGCCAGGCTGGTCTCGAACTCCTGACCTTGTGATCCACCTGGCTCTGCCTCCCAAAGTGCTGGGATTATAGGCGTGAGCCACCACGCCCGGCCAGTTTTAAGATTTTTAAAAGCTGAAAACCACCTACAACTTCATGACCATCTGCTCATTTCCAGACTAACTGCAATTATCTACCAACAAAAATAAAACTATAAACTTTATAACTTACCTCCAGAGGGAAATTTATCATTTTCAACAACTTTCTTTGCTATGATATTAACTGCGAGTGTAAATGCAGAAGACACATAGTAGCTTCCGGGTTCTGAAATTATCTTAACACCAGATCCTTCAGGAAAGTAGATATCCAACAGAGGGCTGATAACATGATTAACCTATGGATTTTAAATGCCACAGTATGGTTTCAATATTGGATTAGATAATTCGCAATATTCAGAGATTGATATTAACAAAATTTTCTAGGAAAATGAAGCAGTTCCAATCACAGATCATGAACCTTAGCAACTTTGTAGTTATCTCCAAGCAATTAATTAGGCATGCTTTCAAGTCAGTTTATTTTGTAACTATCAGAATGGCATTAATTTTAAAAATAGCTCTAATAACAAATACCCACTGGTATTTGTTTTTGTTTTTTTTTAAGTCATTTTTCTATACTTGATCACTAAAAACAGAAGTAAAATTTTCAAATCATAGTTTCTAGATATCACAGAAGGAAGGAGGGCAGAGCAGGAAGGTGAGAAACAGGTGTGACGTGTATCTGGCCTAAATGCTAAAGTTGGCTGGGAGTGGTGGCTCACACCTGTAACCCCAAAACTTTGGGAGGCTGGGGCAGGAGGATCACTTGGGGACAGGAGGATCATTTGAGGCCAGGAGTTCCGAGACCAGCCTGGGCAATATAGAAAGACTCAATTTTTTTTTTTTTTTTTTTTTAAGTCCCAGCTACTTGGGAGGTTGAAGCAGGAGGATCGCTTGAGCCCAGGAGTTGGAAGCTATAGTGAGCTATAATTGCGCCACTCCACTCCAGCCTGGGCAACACAGGAAGACTTTAAAAAAAAAAAAAAAAAGGTAGTAGTGAAGTTTTCTAAGTATTAAATCATTTGTGCCATTAAGTACAGAAACACAACTGAAATAGAAAATGTTTTATGATAATGTTCAAAGAATTCTATCAAACTTTTCAAAGTTAGCTAGGTCTACTAACTGCCTATTCCTTTTCTAAGAACATAATTTTAAAGAGATGTTATAGGGTTTAGTTTCTGCCATTGTAAAAATCCTGCTCTACACATCCACCACTTAAGTAACAAAGAAAGCAATTATTCTGTTAATGTCATCTACTGAGAAGTTTACCTCTTCCAATTGAAATTCAGTTCCCGTGAATCCTCCACCAATGTCTAACATGTTCATCGTAAAGCCAATTTCTCCCTAGAGATGGAAAAAAAAAATTTAAATGTTTTTCCAAATTGTAATGGATATGAGAACATTTTAAAAACCCCCTCCTAGGGAGGTAAATATCTGTTCTGATCTTTAGTACAGCAAATTCTTGGTTTTTTACTGATAGAAACAGATTATTCAATGTTAGGTATGCTGTCTCTTTGATTTTATTTGTACTCTCTTCTAGACTTATGCAAGTAAATTACTATTTCACTCCTTTACCTGCTTAAAAGGTGTGACTGTACAGAGCTCTGAATGCTTATATAATAAAAATGAGGTGTGTGTCACGTTGAATGTAGTCAGAGTAATTCACACAGGCAGAAAATACTTAGTCTTTAACTTAACATCCTGGCTAAAATAAAATATCAAAATAACTTAAAAGAAAGAACTTACAGCCATGTCAAACACACATCGAGCATCAGATAGAGCATGTACATATACTTGAGATTCTTTGCAAGCACTCGAAACATGAAATCTGAAACACATAGAATACTAAATTTAAAGGAGCAGAAAGTTGTAGAGACACCTCCTGTAATTTCTTTCAACTGTCACTCATCATATTCATACCATTAAGTATCCCCATTAACTTTACCAAATATTTAAAGTATTAGAAGCATTAGCTTCTAATTACCCAAAAGTTACAGTACCAGCTTTATAGAAAAGGCAATGCCAAGATAAAACTGTAATTCTATAAACAAAAATTCTTAACAATAAGTCAATTATCAGTACTGTTCCACGGTTATACAATAAGGTGTGCTTTTATGTATATGTGGCACTTTTATGTTTATATAGTGAAGTAACAAGCACTACCAAATCGTATCACATTCAGTTGAGCATAAAACTGAACATTCAATTTTACCCAACCAAATACAAAAATGTGTCTGTTGTGAAATAAATAAAAATGAACATTAATCAAGCTGAGTAACAGCATTACTATTATTCACTAGTATTACTAGTGATAAAGTTTCAGAATAGAATACTTCCTGATTGTGGCAGTGGTCACACAAGTACTAAAATCCATAGAACTGTACCCGTAAAGTCCATTCTTCTTTTCCCTTCATCTATTCGAGATAGTACTTCATTAATTTTTATGTTGACTTAAATTAAAACTTAAAACTAGACTGACATGGAATGTTATCTATTGTGTAAGGCACAGCATGATCCCATTCTTTGTTTAAAAGACTACCACCTATTTATGTACAAAGTAGTATAGAAAGATACACAATAAGGCCAGGCACAGAGGCTCACATCTGTAATCCCACCACTTTGGGAGGCCAAGGCAGGAAGATTGCTTGAGCCAGGAGTTTGAGGCTGCAGTGAGCCGTGATCGTGCCACTGCACTCCAGCATGGGAGACAGAATGAGATACTATCTCAAAAAATAAATAATAAAATTAAAGAAAGATACACAATACATCTTTGTGAGTGTTTGAAAAAGCAAGACCTTTTTACTTTAGTAAAAGTAGCAATGGGCTGGCAAATAACATCTAGGGCTTAGTGTTACTATGCCTGTAATTAGTTCTGAGGCTATTATCAAGTATTTGAACCTCTTGGAGTCTCGGTTTCCTCACATATAAAATTAAAAGGCTAAAGCAAAGTCTAATTTATTGAAGTCCCCCAGAGTAATCGTTAAAAGGACAAAAAAGTCTGACACTTTTATTTTCATTAAGAATTCTAGCAAATCCCCTCCCATCCAATTTAAAAGGCGGCGATTTAAGTTACTCTGCACTAACTGAATCAAAATATTATTTGCTATTCTTTTTATTGTGGGGAAGGAGGTACAGTCACAAAACAGTATGAAAAGGGACAAGGCATATTTAAGTTGTTTTGCCTAAACTAAGAAGAAAACACATACATGTGTGTTAAAAGACTAGAAAAAATTGCATCTTAGATTTCATGCAAATAAAGTCTTAAATCAATAACCAGAAAGACAGGTTACCACCATAAAATGTTCACAGCTTTAAAAGTTTAAAACAAATACTCACTTAACCCCAATTATTTGGACATCAAGTTCCTTAGCACATTCCAAGAGATGCCTACAGTTCTTCAGGGTAGTGCCAAACTTCATGTTACCCTCTTCACCTCCAATATTATCTTCTGTTGCAATATGTAGTAAGACCCTAAGAGAAGGGGAGATGATTGGGGCAGAGTTGGTTTACATCATCATCAGCACATGTGAAGCCTGAAGATTGTAGGAAGTGTGTTGATTATGTTGCCAGTGCTCCCAAATCCAGCGACGGATGAATCAAGTGAACCTAATGAAAAACAATCCTGTATAGAGAAAAAACTAGCAATTAGGGCCTAAAGCATGAAGCTTACAAGGATGGGATTTTGGAAAATGCAGCAAGTTAAGACTCTGTTGTAGCATCAAGAGTTGGTTGGGCTCTGTAATGAAAGACGACATTACTTTCAAATGAAGTCCATCAGTCCATAAATCCACCTAGGAAGACTAAATTGAATAGCAATGCCATCATTGTCTTTCAATAAAAATATCAGGGCTTTAAATGTCTTCAAATTTCTTTGATTGTGCTAACTAGCTAAACCTCCATGGTTACTGCAAACATTCTTCCTACTAACATTGTTACATCCCAGCAGGTCTCTAACTGGAAAAAAATAGGAAGCATTTTTTAAATTTTTTTTTCTTTTTTTTCTGAGATGGAGTTTCACTCTGTCGCCCAGGCTGGAGTGCAGTGGCGCAATTTCAGCTCACTGCAACCTCCGCCTCATGAGAGTGCCTCCTGAGTTCAAGCAATTCTCCTGCCTCAGCCTCCCAAAGTAGCTGGAAATACAAGGGTGCACCACCACGCCCAGCTAATTTTTTTTATTTTTAGTGGAGACAGGGTTTCACCATGTTGGCCAGGCTGGTCTCAAACTCCTGACTTCAAGTGATCCACCCGCCTCGGCCTCCCCAAGTGCTGGGATTACAGGCATGAGCTACTGCGCCCAACCCAGAAAGCTTTTTAAAAAATTATTTCATGTGTTTAAACAGCAGCCTTCTAGTCTACTGATTCAAATCTATTTGGTATTTCCTTCCAAACCATGGCAACCAAGACAAGATGACTAAAACTGATTAAATTTCTTTAATTTCAGGAGCTGAGTAATTACAAACTGCTAGAAGTTGAAAATATACAAATTCTTTTTGTGTAACTGTTTTCCTATGGATGTAATAATTACATAAACTAAGAAGGTTAATAATATGGCCATGAAAATACAGCTATGGCCCTAATTTGATAATCAGAGGACAAGATTGATGAAAGCAAAAATTATTCTAAGGTTAGAATCAGCTCCATCAAGAAGATGCCAGTCCACAATCTAACATACTAAACATCACAAATCACAGCTTGTCTTCAGAGGATCACAGAACAATATTTTTTAGAAAAACAAGTGGTTCCCTAGAATTTTCCCAACAAGGCTTTTATCCACACAAAGATTTACCAGAGTAATCAATGCTGTCAGGATATCTTAAGTACACCATTAAAGTCAGTATGAAAATTATAGACATACAAAGAAAATACAGATAGAATTCATTTCCGGAAACACACATAACTCATTAAAAAGTAAGCCAACAACTGCATAATTCAATATGCTTTTAGCATATTCTTAAGCCCTCTCGATATACCAGTTTGTGAAAACATAAAATTTGCCTTAAATCTTTTTGCTTTTAAAAAAGTAAACCTTTTTATGAGGGAGTCTTGCTCTGTTGCCCAGGCTGGAGTGCAGTGGCTCGATCTTGGCTCACTGCAGCCTCCGGCTCCTGGGTTCAAGGGATTCTCTTGCCTCAGCTTCCCAAGTAGCTGGGATTACAGGCGCAGGCCACCTTGACCTTAAATGATCCACCAGCCTCAGTCTCCTAAAGTGCTGGGATTACAGGTGTGAGCCACTGCGCCCAGCCTTTAAAAAGTAAACTTTCTAATCAAGAAAAAAAAAAAATTCTCTGGATACATGAAGATGCAAGTAAAAAATTAAACTTCATGTTCAAAAATAAAAGTATTAGCCTTAAAAACAAAACCCCCCAAATCTATGGTCTAGGCTTCGAAGACACTGTCAGTAAAGATGACCATTCAAGAACTATGGCCTAGGGTAGATTAAATCCTCAGCTAAACAGGAAAAAATGCTGACCAAAGTTTATCCTGTTCCTAACGTTATCAAACATCAAACAAAGTTATAGAAATAATGAAAATACAGCCATGGCCCTAATTTGATTATCACACCAACTATCAAGGATTCCTTGAAGATTATTAGATCATATCCCCAAACTGCTCTTATTTTTTTAAATTCCAATTCCACATGAAGGATCAGAGGTAGAGAGCCAATAAAATGTTACTAGTGTTTCCCACAGAGGCCCTTTAAATAAGTTATAATTATGATACACATCATTGCCCTACCACAAATGCTCCTTTCTTCCCAGACAAAAGACAAACCCAACCCTCTAAGTGCTAAATAATATTTTCAAGTACTTAATTTTATACTTACTTGGCATTTGGGTGATTACGTGCAATTTTCTTCAATTCAATTTCATTGTCACATGTCAGGATATTCACTCCAACTTTTGCTGCATACTTTATCTGAGACACTTGCTTGCAAGGACTTATGTAAATAATGTTTTCTGGAGGTACACCCAACTCTTGCACTAAAGCCATTTCATTCTGTGAAAATGAGGTTAAAGTGAGAATACATAATGTCACAGTTCATATTCTGGTAATGCTTCCTCTAATACTATTACCCCCACCCCTTTTAAAACCAGGGTCTCACTCTTTGTATTCCAGGCTGAAGTGCAATAGCACAATCATAGCTCAATGCAGCCTCCATCTCTGGGGCTGCTCAAGTGATCCTCCTGCCTCAGCCTCCCAAAGTGCTACGAGTACAGGTATGAGTCACTGTGCCTAGCCAAACCAATATTTTTATTTAAAAACATAAATAAATAAAAAGTGAGACGAGGTCTCACTATGTTGCCCAGGCTGATCCTAAACTCCTGGCTCAAGCAACTCTCACCTCAGCCTCTCAAAGTGGTGGGATTACAGGTGTTAGCCATCGCTCCTGGCCTAAACATTACTAAAAAGAAGCACCAAAGAAATCTCAGAGTTTAGATATCTGCTGTAGTTTGGTCTAGAAGTAGCTCTAGCCTAAGAATGAGGAACAAATTAAAGTTTTCAATTAATAAAGATAAAACGTTTCAAAGGCTCATTACACTGAAACTTCCCTTTCATTGGTGCACTTGAAAAGCTTGTAATTTTCCAACATGAGGCTGGAGATTTAAACAATTATTTTGAAACTCCATCCAAAAGTCAAACTTCCTTGCATTTGTTCTCTAACCGCTGTAACTACATTAAGTTAAATTATTCAATGTTTCAGTTTAGTTAAAAAATGAAAAATACTTACTTTACTGGAACAAGCAAATCCGGTTCCAAGAGCTGCCAAAATCTCAAGTACAGCTGGAGCAGAGTTGCACTTCACTGTGTAGAATGGCTTTATCTGAGCCACTACATTCTGCCATTGACTGTGTTTCTTCACAATCTTTCCAAGATCTCCCACAAAAAATGCATTTTTCCCTGTCTATTATGGTTATAAAAAAAAAGACAAATATGAACAAAAAACCATTGAAAATCAAGTATCAAAACAGGAAAGAACACCTCTTTTCCTCCACAAATATATGGGTCAAGACATATATTTACATACAGTAATACATTTAAAGCTTGTTAACTAGATTTAGTAAACATTAAAAGAGACTCTGAATACATTTGTTCTTTCTTCTTATATTTGATTACTTTTGCTGTGCTACACTAGCATATAAAATATTCTCCCCTTTGAGATAAAAAAACTATTATCAATTACAGTGACAAAAGTCAGAATGAAACTGCCTTGATTTTACTTTTTGGCAGTTGAAGGAAGGGAACCTATTTTCTCCCATGCTTCCCCCACTGTTTAAAATACTTTGGCAGTTCAGGATATAATTTCCTAATACAGTAAGTAGAATCAGAAATGCTAAATAAAACAAGCTATATATCGCCATTAAAACTGCACCTTAAGACAACATGGTAAAATAAGAGACCATCTTCACTGGGAAACCTCTTATTTTATTACTTTTTCAAGAGTTGAGGTCTTGCTCTGTAGCAACAGACTGGAGGGCAGTGGTGCAATCATAGCTTACTACAGCCTCCAACTCCTGGAGCTCAAGCTATCCTCCCATGTTAGGCCTCCCAAAGTGCTGGGATTACAGGTGTGAGCCACCGTGACCAACCAGGAAACCATTTTTAAAAAGACAAGGTTGTTAGTCTGCACATGGAGATGTCAAAATTAGATTTTAAAAGTACATAAGTCTACCAAATATCAGATAAGCCTGAATAAGAATAATCTTCCTTAAAGTTGTGGCTATTCTAGGACTAGAGAGATGACTTATGCAGTTGGACAGAACATATATTACTCAGTGTTAGATAGCAGGCAAAAAAATCTTATTTAGGACGTACAACATCCAAATACTGTTTGAGAATCCATGAAGACAATGTTACTGTTTTCAACTCTTTAATTCACAGTATTTGAAAATGTCATTAGAATATAGTGCCCAACTGATATAAATGCAAAACGCACATTATGTGCAGCAGAATTTTAACAGTTGTATTAAGTTATCCATCCTCCCAAGATATGATATCTATGGTATTCCGGAGACACAAAGTTTATATTTAATTTGGGAAAAAATAAGGTATTTACGGGAACCACAAGAGAAATGGGATGAAACAACAAGGTATTCAGCTTCCTTTCTTAGGCATGATGTGAGTCTGGAAAATTCTCAGTAGGCAACGAAAAACAAATTTAGGGAGCAGGGAAGCCTTGTATTTAATGAATATTCAACAAAATTAAGCAGGCTTGGGCAAACAATAGGACGATGAAAAGGGAAATAAGTTAGGAGGTCACTATAATGACATGTGCAAAGACGGATAGATAGTGGGAATGGAGGAGATGAATACCAGGATGTTATGAAGGCAAGACCAAGGTTAAATAAGAGAGGACAAACAAAAGGTGGACTGAATGACTTAGAGAACACAGAAGTGTCACCCCAGAGCCAGAAAAGAATGGGGTTGAGGAGTAATCCTCATTGAATGCTACTAAACGTGGGTTAATTTAGATGTGGGATGGAAGGAATATTTCAAAGATTATATCTGACCCCCGAAAAGTGTTGCAAAAAGTCAGAAGAATAAAGTTAAGTGATAAAAATGATCATCAGAATTTGACTAGGAGCTTCCCAGTGGCAACTGAAGAATGGCTTGGCAGAAATTGGTTGACCAATATGACAAGTTTCATGACCAATATGTCAAGTTTTAACAAGTTGAATGGCAGAGGAAGACAAAGGGATTTTTGCTAGGATGAGGGGAAGATGAACACGTCTGCAGACTTAAGGTCAAGAGAAGGAGAAAATTTTGGATATTCAATTACTGAACACCGGTAACATGAAAACAATTATCTAACAAGTTTGGTTGAATACAGGAAATTTCCTCCAATAAAGAAAGATTGTATCAGTTAAGTCTAATATATATATATATAAAAAAAAAAAAAAAAAAGACCAGGCTGGGCGCGGTGGCTCGCGCCTGTAATCCCAGCACTTTGGGAGGCCAAGGTGGGTGGATCACCTGAGGTCAGGAGTTTGAGACCAGACTGGTCAACACGGTGAAACCCTGTCTCTACTAAAAATACAAAAATCAGCTGGGCCTGGTGCTGGGCGCCTGTAATCCCAGCTACTTGGGAGGCTAAGGCAGGAGAATCGCTTGAACCAGGGAGGCCGAGGTTGTAGTGAGTTGAGATCGCACCACTGCGCTCCAGCCTGGGCAACAAGAGTGAAACTTCGTCTCAAAGAGAAAAAAAAAAAGAAAATCACCTTAAGTAGCAGTGAGTATATGATTCTGTAGAAGTTGACTCCTAGAGCAGCAGAGAGTAAGTACTCAGGATAAATTATCAAATTCTCAATGAACATACACAACCAAAATTATCTGAAAGTAAATTAATATCCACTGAAGAATACAACTGAGACCAGGCACAGTGGCTCACGCCTGTTAATCCAACACTCTGGGAGGCTGAGGCGGGCAGATCACATGTTGGTCAGGCGTTCAATACCAGCCTGGCCAACATGGCAAAACCCCATCTACTAAAAATACAAAAACTTAGGCCAGGCGCAGTGGCTCACGCCTGTAATCCCAGCCCTTTGGGAGGCCAAGGTGGGCGGATCACCTCAGGTCAGGAGTTCGAGACCAGCCTGGCCAACATGGTGAAACCCCACCTCTACTAAAAATACAAAAAATTAGCTGGGCATGGTGGCGGGCGCCTGTAATCCCAGCTACTTGGGAGGCTGAGGCAGGAGAATCGCTTGAACCTGGGAGGCGGAGGTTGCAGTGAGCCGAGATACTGCCATTGCCCTCCAGCCTGGGATACAGAGGGAGACTCCATCTCAAAAAAAAAAACAAAAAACAAAAAACAAAAAAAAAACCACTTAGCTGGGCATGGTGGCACAGACCTGTAATCCCAGCTACTCGGGAGGCTGAGGCATAAGGATCCTAAATCAATTGCTTGAACGCAGGAGGCAGAGGTCACAGTGAGCTGAGATCGTGCCACTGAACTCCAGCCTGGGCAACAGTGTAAGAATCCATCTCAAACAAGCAAGCAAAAAAAAAGAATTGAGGCTGGGCGCGGTGGCTCGTGCCTGTAATCCCAGCACTTCAGGAGGCTGAGGTGGGTAGATCACCTGAGGTCAGGAGTTCAAGACCAGCATGGCGAAACCTCGTCTCTACTAAAATACAAAAATTAGCCGGGTGTGGTGGTGTGCGCCTGTAATTCTAGCTAATTCAGGAGGCTGAGAGAGAACTGCTTGAGCCCAGGAGGCGAGGGTTGCACGTGAGCCAAGATCACGCCACTGCACTCCAGCCTGGGCGACAGCGTGAGACTCGTCTCCAAAAAAAAAAAAAAAAAAGAAAATTGAGAAAAATGAGTAAGAAGCCATGTACTGATTAGAAGGTTGGCTGGCATCACATCAACAGAATAAACAGAACATATGTGGGTGCCAGATGCTAAAAGGCATAGAAGGTAAAGGGCCATAGGGAGGATTTTAAAATAATGTGGATTGGAAAGAAAAATGGATCACTACTCAAGGGGAGTGGGTGTGGGGGAGGAAGGTCAAGTTAAATCAGATAGCATATGAACCAAGTACTTCTGATCAGATTACCATCTTGGAAATTAAAAAGCACTCGTTTCAGAGCTTGGAAAATGACAAACACTGTATTTGAGAAATGGCACTTACCAGGGTATGTTCATAAACATAGTTATCAATAACATTTCCAAGGTTTGTTCCTTCATCCAACAGGCCAACGGAGTAGTTTGCATCATCAATAAATCCTTTCATCTCAGCCGTATTCCACAAAGCCGAAAGTCATAAACCAGGAAAGACAAGAGACGGGCCACCAAGCCTATGTCTGGGTCCTTAGAATATGCAACAAACTGTCAAAATATAAGTTATATAAAAGTCTGTATTATTTCAATAGACATAATGTACGAGTCAATGAAAGTGTGCTAAGTGCCTAATTTAGTGAGGAATTTACGCAATTTTACAATTTCAGAAACATCAGATTATTAATTTCCTTTAACGCCCATTTAAAAAAGCAAATACATGAATTAAAATACATTTACCCAAAAAGGTCAATATAATTTGAAGGGGTAACTCACATATATACACAATGTATTACAAGCCTATATGGTCACCTTACTTACAGAGTTGCAGACCCAATCTGTATTATTATCTTGTTTTGCGTTCCTATAACACACATAATTTTACCCATTTTAAGAGTAAAGAAAGCTAGTGAAATAAGTATCTGCATCCAAGAAATCAAAATACCAGTCTCAACTTCCAATATACTGTCAGCCACGTATTAGCACTGCCAGGTAATTGCAGATAAATGTCTTATAAATAAAAGTCCTGGCCGGGCATGGTGGCCCATGCCTGTAATCCCAGCACTTTGAGAGGCCCAGGCCGGTAGATTGCATGAGCCTAGGAGTTTGAGACCGGCCTGGACAACATAGCAAGACTCCGTCTCTCCTAAAAAAAAAAAAAAAATTCCCAAATAGGTGAAAGTAATAAAAATGGGTGAGAGTGGAGGGTGGCTTGAGGGAACAATCTGAAGCTTTGATACAGACTGCCTAAGCCTTACCTCAAGCTAAAATAGTACTAGCTGTATCAAGTTAGCAATGTTATGAGGTGAGTTGCTTTGGTGAAATCACTGGACTAGGAGTCAGAAGACCTCGTCCTGGCTATATCATTTAGGAGAATCTACATCAATTTCTCTAAACCTCAGTTAACTACCTTAATTATTTCTTCAACAGGTTGTTGTAAAAAAAAAAAAAAATCATAGAGCATATAAATTAAAAACATCTGTTTCAGTGCTGGCTAGAATAGAGCTAAAATTGTCAATTACCAGAAATGCAAAAATAACACAATTAGAAACTACATTTGTAAATTAGGTATCTGTACATCCTGAGCCAGTTACTAAGTAATCTGATTTTTAAAAAGACTTTAGGCTAAATCCTATCCCTCTCCACTCAAATCAATGAAATAAACCTGCCCACTCCCCCGGAGCACTCATTGTCCTAAGGCAGCACATACTATACTGACATAAAGGTTTATCTTCTTTGTTGAACTTCACTGGTCCTTAGGTTACTTTAGGAAATAACTTCGACATAAATGAGATAAAACAGGTCCACCAGACAGGATACTACTCAATATCTGGTACTAATTTCTGGTTGCCACATTAATAATGGCCATTGACCAGCTGTCTGGGCAGCCTGTTTTAAAACCTGCACATCCTTTCCTGTGTCCTTGATTCCTCCCACCACCCCCCTCCACCCTCCCTAATGCCCCAAACTAGAGTTCACCCTTGGGTGATGGCCACTGTCCTGAAAGTATACTCCATTTCGATGGTTCTTAAAAGTGTCAGCATTTTGGCTGCACCAAAACAGTCCTTAATAAGCTGTATTAGTCAAATTTCATGAAATACAAATACTCAGTTTTAACTTTTCAAACACTAACAGCTTCATTTCCAAGAAGCCAACTACATTCAGTTCAACTCATCAGATCTTTCATGCCATATAGCACAGACTGAAAAGTTTAGGATGTTTTTATTTTACCAAGTTAATTGAGGCCTATCTAAATAGACCTAATACCTGTGCAGTGACGTCAAATCACAGCCTGCACATTCTCTAAAGACTGTTATAACAGGACTGCTGTAAATCTGTGCCCAGAAAATATAGACATTTTAGGCTAAGAATACATGTTTATTTTAAGCAATTTAAAGCACCAATTTTGGGGGGATATTCAACTGAGCACTAAGAACAATTAAAAAAATAAAGGTCACTCATTTAAAAAGATAAATATAAGAAAATAAGGTAGAAACTTCCTGTTAAGTTTAACATCACTAACCTTTTTGGCATAGCAGCCAGTTTTCATTTATCTTACTATTAATAAATGAAAAAATACGAAATCAAGACTTTTGGCCTAAATAAAATACTTTGAAATGGAAAAAAAAATAAGTAAATTGTGTCCTCACTTTATGTCAATAGCTTCTTGCAAACTGTGTCTTTTAAGTAAGAGGTAAAACGAAACCATTTTTTTTCTTAACATTATAATGAAATGTTATTTGAGGGCTTGCTGTCTATGTCTTTTTGCTTAAAGTCGCAGTTTCCAAGAACCTACTGATGATGTTCAATGAGGACTTAATTGTATCTCAGTTGCTGTTGCTAAGTCTCTGGGCATAGTCTAATATATATGTAGTATTTAGTACTTAGTTGAAAACCTTTGGTTATTGATTATAAACGACAACACACAACTGCTGCCAAATACAGAAGGTCTAGCTTTTAAGTCAGGATAAGATAAACCTCCATTTCCTACAACCATAGTGTTCTTAGGAAGGGTAATTTTCCTTTAACAGTCAGGATCCTCAGTACTTATAAAAACATCAGGCCCACTGGATCAAGTCTTACTGGCTGACTACCTACATTCTTCAGAGCTTCTGCTACAGTAGTATGATGATATGGATAAAGATATTTTTTCCCAAATATTTTCAAACCATATAATTTCATAGGTTCAACTCTGACTGCCTGCTAAGCTAGCTTAAATCTAACAGTAAACATGTTTATAGCAGTCTCCCAGCCTAAGTGTTTCATCTATTCAATATTAATTCTCTTAACCCTTAAAACCACAATGACGGTATTATCTCCATTGATATACTGAGGAATAGAATAATTAAGTAGGTTAGCTCTAGAGATACTAATGATCAAACTACATTTAAAACAATATGAAAACCTTGCTTCCCCAGCACCCCATCCCTATAAAACACAGGACTCCTTTTTTTTTTGGGAAATCCAACACAGTTCTCAGTCTCTTTAAAAGAACTTTATCATATCCACATAATCAACTAACCCCTTTCAGACATATGAACACTCATACTTGTTGAAAAATGCTAAGTTTATTCACACTGGTATAAAAACATTATCACGCCTACTCACAGCCTTTCTTCATATGATGTCCCTTTTGCAGCAAATCCCCAACTCCACCCCAGGCAACCACTGACCAGCTTCTTGTCACTATAAATTAAGACTTTTATAGAAGCTAAATAATTTTAATCAACTGAAGGCTAAACCAAAACAGCTGACATATAGTGTCATTATCAATATAAATAAAAATAGTGAAAAAATATGACCTCTTCTAAAGGAAAGATAAAATGTTTGTGGAGTTGACTATTCATCTTTGAAATGGAACTGTTACTTCAGAAGTAACAGCAGAGTTGTTAACCACGTCCCAGCTGAGTGACAAAATCATTCTGTTGCAAAAATGAAATAAAATTCATTTGCTATATTGGCAGTACTTGACAAAATGGATTAAGGATCACCTGAATCCACAGATGTAGTACATTAACATTTGTTTTCTTTCATTATACAGAGAACTACAATAAAGTAGTTGATTGAACCCAATACTTTGGGAAGCTGAGGCAAGATTTTGTGAGGCCAGAAGTTTGAGATCAGCCTGAGCAATATAGGGAGAACCCATCTCTTAAAAAAAAAAAAAAAAAAACAATAAAGCTCTAATGGAGGTTTATTTTCTTTGATGCTCTCTTGAAGGCTTTGAGATTGCTGTAAATTCCTAGCCCAGAATAGGTACTCAGAAACAAATGGACAAAAGACTTCACAACAAACAGTGGGGAGTTCTTAAACTTAGGGGTGGTGGTAATGAACTCCCTGGAAGTGTATTGAAAAAGTAGCTCAATTTTTCCCATTTTTTTTTTTTTTGAGAAAAGGTCTCACTCTTGTCACCCAGACTGGAGTGCAGTGGCATCACAGCCCACCGAAGCCTCAACCACTCAGGCGATCCTCCCACCACAGCCTTCAGTCCCACCTCCACTCAGTCAGTCCCTGTAGCTGAGACTACAGGCACATGCCATCATGTCCAGCTAATTTTTTATTTTTTGTAGAAAACTCTTTGTTCATAGTGTCTCACTATGTTGCCCCAGGCTGGTCTCAAGCTCCTGGCCTCAAGCAATCCTCCCACCATGGCCTCCCAAAGTGTTGCAATTACCGGCATGAGCCACTCTGTCCAGCTCTTTCACATTCTTAAAAGAAGCCCGTAACTTTGATATGCAAGCAATCCAGATGTATAGTCATGCGTTGCATAACAACATTTTTAATAAGGACAGATCAAATATATGAAGGTGGTCTCATAATACCATATTTTTACTGTACCTTTTCTATGTTTAGATACACAGATACTTACCACTGTGTTACAACTGTCAACAGTATTCAGTACAGTAACTCGGTATACAGGATGGTAGCCTAGGAGCAGTAAGCTACACCATACAGCTTGGGTGTGTCGTAGGCTGTACTATCTAGGTTTCTGTATGTACACTATGATGTTCAAACAACCACAATGTCACCTAACGACACATTTCTCAGAATCTATCTCTGTCATTAAGCTACCCATGCCTGTGAATGCAAAGCTCAACTATCAGCTACTGTTAAAGACTAAAAGGCCAAAAAAAAAAAAAAAAAAAAAAGCCAATTCCTCAAAAGAATCTGTAAAACACAAACATCTGCAGCAACAAGTTTTCTTTTTTTGTTTTTCTCTTTATGGAGAATGGGGTCTCACTATATTGGCCAGGCTAGTCTCTAATTCTTGGGCTCAAGCTATCCTCCTGTCTCTGCCTCTCTTAAGTGCTGATATTACCAGTGTGAGCCACTATGCCTGGTCAAATTTTCTAATATATCTTGAGGCAACAAACTCTTTGTTCAAATGAAATGCCACTTGGAAACCCAGTATTTCCAACTGAAAAGGGACAAGTAGGTGGGTGAGGTAGGTTGCTTGAGTCTTTCATATGTTGTGCCCCAATCTCACTGAAAGAGTCCTAAAAAAGCAGCTCAAATCATACCTCTGGGATCACTGCTTGCAGTTTTCTTAATATATTAGCAAAAATAGTTTACAGTTCCATTGTTAAAAAAAAGAAAGGTTTATGTTGTGACATTTATGCCTTACTGAAAGCACTAAGAAATATTTTGCCAAAACGTTTTCAGGAGGTATTAAAGTTAATTGGCGACAATATGTCAAACCAAAAGTCTTAAGACACAGCATGTTCTAGGGAGCAAGCATGAAAATAAGTGTGCATGTTTCGGGGGTGAGCAGTTTATACCTTACTCCAGATTCACTAAGTTAATCTACCTCAATCTTCAACACCACAGGGGGCTGGGCACAGTGTAATCCCAGCACTCTGGGAGGCCGAGGCAGGCAGATCACGAGGTTGAGATCGAGACCATCCTGGCCAACATGGTGAAACTTGTCTCTACTAAAAATATAAAAATTAGCTGGGTGTGGTGGTGCACACCTGTAGTCCCAGGTACTCAGGAGGATGAGGCAGGAGAATCACTTGAACCCAGGAGGCGGAGGTTACAGTGAGCTGAGATTGTGCCACAGCACTCCAGCCTGGTGACAGAGCAAGACTCCATCTCAAAACAAAAACAAGAAACAAAAACCCCCGCACAGGGACTCTTTCCAGGACGTCTCCATACCCTCCACTAAGAATGCAGACTCAAACCAAGGTGATATATCAAGTATCTCCTTGCAATTCTGAGTGGAAATAATTCCCAAAAGAAACTGTACCACTTCTTCTGGCTTACAGATCAGAAACAGGACTGATTTACTGGCTGCAACACATTCTGGTGCTATTGGACCTTGAACTAATTATATTAAACTTGAAAAAAAAACTACTCCATGTAAATCTTAGATTCTCTTCATTAGAACTGAACAGCAAATCTAGCTCTGATGTCTAGTATTATCAATAGACACTAGAAAGTATTCTCTACTCACAAGCACTTTTAAGCTATTTTCAACCACCTTATTAACATACGGTTGAGAAAGCTCAGGTTATTTTACACTAATACAGTAGCGTATAACCACAATACTACTTTTATTAATAATTTCCTCTTAGACTCATAACTGAGAAGAAAAAATATGTAACATCCCTTATTCACACCTTCATATGGGTGTTTTTTTAATACATTTTTCCATGAAGAGCTGCCAAAAGAAACAAAAGGCTCCAAAGAACCACACACTGCTCCCTGGAGCCTTTCATGAGGCCGCTGAGTCCTCATGTTCATCGACAGGGTAGCTCCAAGAGTAGTGGCTGCAGGAGCTGGGCACTTGCCTTGTTACACACCTGCTACAAAGGCTTCTACAGTTGATTGTACTTCAGAAGAAACTGATACATCTCTCAAATAATCACAAGATAATTCTGGCAGCAACAGCCCACTTGACACCAAGCTGGATGAATATGAGTCTTGGATTTCTGAAGTGAAGACCTCCCTGGAAGTAGAACAGGGAGAGCTGAAAGGTTGAGAATACTGTTTCAGAGATACCTAAGCAGGAAACCCAACCTTAATACATCAACCATTTTTCTAAAAGGATTTTTACTCATTAAAAATGAGAAAAGATATTCTGAAATTTACACTATTACTGTTACTCTGAAGATGCCTAGGTGCATTTCTACTTTTATTTTTACATAGGCATTTGATGACTTAGCACCCAGCTCACAGCTTTAAAAATATACAACGTTGCTTAAGTCCCCTCTGCATTCTACCTACAACAGAAAATGTTACTTACCACATAGAATACCTTTAAAAGTAATTGACCAGAAGAGCACTAGAAGCTTCTAAAGAATGACATCTACCATAGATGTGAGACCTTGAGTAGGTCTGAAACACTACAAAAGAATTCCAGGAAGCTATATACTGAAACTGGTAGGAAATCCTATAAATTTAGTGATCATAAGATCAGGTAAACTTCTGCCACCCTGGACCCCAAAATAAGTGATAGACAATAACAACAGCCTACATTGAGTACTCAGGATAAATCAGGACAAGGCTTGCTTCAATAAGAAAGCCAGTAATCACAATGCATACCCCTAAACTTATTTTTCAGGTGATGAGGTTGAAAAAACTGAGTAACCTTAGAGGAAGAAGACTAAAGGTGACTGCTAAAGATTTATTTTAAAAGAGAAGAACAAGAATGAATAGGAAATATATAAGGGGGCAAAAAATCCCAAAAGTTATAAGCCCAACAGGCTAAGTTTGAAGTGCCTGTGTAAAGACTGCCCAATGAACTGCCTCACCATAAATATTAAAATGTAGCTTAATGAGAAAACAAAATACACAATTCTCACAGCAATATTATTTTTGCACGTGGAATTAACACAATTAGACTCCCTTAAAAATGTCTTGACTATTCAATGTGAAGACTAAATTTTTTTTCTGGAGAAAATGTGTGTGTACTAAAGTGTGTGTGTACCTGCACTCAAGTGAAATATTTATATCCCTTTTGGCAATTAAGATGTGATAACATTAAAGATAACTATTACAATACAACATGAAGTACACAATCATATTAATTTCAAGTTTTCTAGCTTTCCTGATTACAATTAAGCATAGGGAATAATCCTTTAAAGAGACACACTATTTTGGTTACCTTAAGGCAGAGCTCATTGCCTGCCTGTCCACTACTCACCCAAGGAAAACATATAGAATACATGTGCAATACAGTAATTGCAACCAAGACCAAGTTAAGCAGGTTATTAAGAAATCAGATGCTGGCCGGACATGGTGGCTCACGCCTGTAATCCCAGCACTTTGGGAGGCTGACGCAGGTGGATCATGAGATCAGGAGTTCCAGACCAGCCTGGCCAAGATGGTGAAACCCTGTCTCTACTAAAAATACAAAAATTAGCTGGGCGTGGTGGTGGGCACCTGTAATCCCAGCTACTTGGGAGGCTGAGGCAGGAGAATCGCTTGAACCTGGGAGGTGGAGGTTGCAGTGGGCCAAGATCACGCCACTGCCCTGGGTGACAGAGCAAGACTGTCTCAGAAAACAAAAAAAAAGAAAGAAATAAGATGTAATATCTCAGAGGCCCCTGTACCTCTCCCTTAGAATTTGTTTAGACCTTCTCTAATCATCATTCCTTTGTTACTTAATGGTTTTATTCTTCTATGTGACCCTAAAACAGTGTTGGGCAATGTGGTACTTTACATTCTAGTACTAGAGTCCTTATTCCACTGGCTGGCAGTTTAAGTAGCACTGATCTAGGGACTACAGTCTATACCTGGGACTGGAACTGCTAGATTGTTAGTGGCAAACAGTTTTCAAGTCTTTTGCTCAGTTTCTTGTTTTTGCCTTTTATTTATCTGAAGGAGCTCTTCATGAATTTAGGATAGCAAACCTCTCATTAGGAGTATTATTTTTGGGGTGATTGTTTTGTCAGAATTTCCATGTTGAACATACCAGGATAACCCCATCCTACCTTTGGTCATGCCAAATATAACATGTTCATGCTGAACCTACATGAGCTAAGAAGATACCATACTTGTTTAGGAGATCTTTGCAAACTGGGCATCAGAGGATCCTTGCAGTAAAGAGCAAGAAGCAGATAAAAAGTAATCTGAAGTCAACATAAAGCTCATACTGCCAAGCATGGTGGCTCACGCCTGTAATCCCAGCACTTTGGGAGGCTGAGGAGGGCAGATCACCTGAGGTCAGGAGTTCGAGACCAGCCTGACCAACATGGCGAAACCTTGTCTCTACTAAAAATACAAAATTAGCTGGGCATGGTGGTGTGTGCCTGTAATTCCAGCTACTTGGGAGGCTGAGGCAGGAGAATTGCTTGAACTAAGGAGGCAGAAGTTGCAGTGAGACTGAACCACTGCACTCCAGCCTGGGCAACAAAGGTGAAACTCCATCTCAAAAAAATAATAGTAAAAAAAAAATTTTTTAATACAAAAATTAGCAGGGCGTGGTGGCATGCACAACGTGGCTGGACCTCATGATGGCTGGCTATGGCCTGGGCAGGTTGAACCTGACTATCCTAATCCCCGTAACCCAGTATGCTACACAGTATTTTCTACTCATGCATAATGTAAAAAACAGTGGATTAACGAAAAGGAGAGCTAAATATCTGCTTTAGTTAACTTGTGACAAATTGCTTGATTTGACTGGGCATGGATGTCCCTGGAATGGAGGAAGGACAAAATATCTGTGCTCCCTGGGGCCTCACCAGTATGTAAGCACTTCAACTTGGAAGAGTCTCCTTAGGCTTATCTGAACAATGGCCAGTTTAGAACAGTAGCCTGCCATATACTAGATTTTAAGGTTTACAAGCCTTTTTCATAGATGCAATATCTCATTTATTCTAATGGAAGTTAAATATCGCAAAAGGGATTGGTTTACCTGGGGTGGGGTATGGGGAGACCCAAACTGGAAAACTCTGAAACAAGATCAGGTTGGGTGAAGACTGTGATGGAACACACAGATTGGTAGTCAGTATTAATTTTCTCAGCTAAACTAACCTCTGTAATAAATGCAAAAGCCATTTATCCCGTTTAAAAACTGGTCTATGGTCGGGCGCAGTGGCGCATGCCTGTAATCCTAGAACTTTGGGAGGCCAAGGAAGGCGGATCATGGGGTCAGGAGTTCGAGACAAGTCTGACCAATATGGTGAAACCCTGTCTCTACTAGAAATACAAAATTAGTCGGGCATGGTGGTGCATGCCTATAATACCAGCCACTCAGGACGCTGAGGCAGGAGAATTGATGGAACCCGGGAGGTGGAGTTTGCAGTGAGCTGAAATCGCGCCACTGCACTCTAGCCTGGGCAACAAGAGCGAAACTTCGTCTCAAAAAAGAAAGAAAAAACTGGTCTACGTTGCTTTCCAATCTTTTTGACCTTCCTAAAAAAAATGCTAAATTTGCTCAAAGCAAGAAATACCATGTCTCTAAAACCTTGTTTATCCATTAATATGCTAGTATTCACATTGTGCTTTTACAGAATATTTTTCTGCTACTTTACACAAGCACTGACACACCATTGACTCTACTTTATGTATGCCAAGGGGATATACAGACTGTGTATTTCAACGATAGTGGTTTTACTCATCTTTTTGGTCAAAGAGTATCAACCGCCATTAATGAATGTTCTGTTACATTTGCTCATATCACAGTATCCTTAAAGTACCAAATATCATCTGTGAGAAATTAAATCGGGGGGTGGGGGGAGAAAAGAAAAAAAAGTACCAAATATCAAAACTGAAATTTTCCCCTTTCTCTGCAGTCAGGGTCAACAACCTCCCTTTCCCTTGAGACAGTCTTGCACTGTCTCCTAGTCTACAGTGCGGTGGCACCATCTTGGCTCACTGCAACCTCCGCCTCCCGGGTTCAAGCAGGCCTCAGCCTCCCTAGTAGCTGGGATTACATGCGTGCACCACCATGCCCAACTAATTTATTTTTGTATTTTTAGTAGAGACAAGGTTTCACCATATTGGCCAGGCTGGTCTCAAACTCCTGACTTCAGATGATCTGCCGGCCTCAGCCTCCCAAAGTGCTGGGATTATAGGTGTGAGGCACCGCACCCAGCGGACAACCTCCCTTTCCTACTGATAACTTACAGTGAAACATGAGGAAGGAGTACTAGCAAATTCGTAAAGAACATCTTTCCAGCCAGGCGCGGTGGCTCACGCCTATAATCCCAGCATTTTGGGAGGCAAGGGGGGCGGATCACCTGAGGTCTGGAGTTCAAGACCAGCCTGGCCACATGGTGAAACCCATCTCCACAAAAATACAAAATTTAGCCGGGCATAATGGTGGGTGCCTGTAATCCCAACTACTTGGGAGGCTGAGGCGGAAGAATCAGTTGAACCAGGGAGGCGGAGGTTGCAGTGAGCCAAGATTGTGCCACTGCACTCCAGCCTGGGCGAAAGGAGGAGACTCTGTCAAAAAAAAAAAAAATATATATATATATATATATTTTTTTTCCCTAGTTAAAATAATCCTAATTAGGTAGGGAGCTCCTACTAAGGCATGTGTAAATACTAAAGATTAGGAGACAAAATGTGAATATTTAAAATGCTGATGTTCTTCTGAAGTTCCTACATGAATATATAGAGCCGACTAATGACAACCAGGTAAAAAAAAAAACTTTTTAAAGCAAACTTGTTAAGAGCCCATTTAAGCAAATCAATTAACTGAATCCCTTTTCCATACTGCACAACATTAAAGGGTATGTGATAATGAATCTGACCACATCACTGGATCCACTATGAGAAGCAAACTTAGCTTTTTAAGTTTTAAAATATTTTCCATTAGGCTAATTCATTAATTATAATTAAACCTACAACCAAAATAAATAGAAAACTAGCCCACTGGAAAACCTTTACTCCAGCATCAAGACCTAGGGGATTTCTTTTTTTTTGAGACGGAGATTTGCTGTTGTAGCCTAGGCTGAAGTGCAATGGCACGATCTCGGCTCACTGCAGCCTCCGCCTCCCAGATTCAAGTGATTCTCCTGCCTCAGCCTCCCACGAGTAGTTGGCATTACAGGCACCTGCCACGACGCTCGACTAATTTTATATTTTTTTTTAGTAGAGACAGGGTTTCACCATGTTGGCCAAGCTGGTCTTGAACTCCTGACCTCATGTAATCCGCCCGCCTTGGCCTCCCAAAGTGCTGGGATTACAGGTGTGAGCCACCTCACCTGGCCTAGGGGATTTCTCAAAAGGCTCACAAAAACTTTTTCACAATTAGGGGCCCATTAATCTTTGATATTGACCTTAAAATATTTTGTTAAGACATTTTTACAGTGTTTGCGTACTACATCATACACACATTCTAAATTATGAAAGAAAAGGATTATGTAAGCAACTTCCAAAATTTCCAGATACTTAGTTTATTCCATCAAAATTCAGGTGGTTGATTTAAAACCTAACTCTGAAGCCAATTCTGGATCTCAGACTACCTGCACGGGAATCCTAGTGGACCAGTTCAAGCAGAGTTCATATAGCTACATGCTTTGCAATGCTATGGGCCAAATAATTTCCATGAAGCTGTTTTAACTCCTTTTAATGGTTTTCAAATAATATTGTTGATCTACAGAAAATTAACCCCAGGATTTCGGTGTCCAATAGAGCAAACTCTTATTGATTTGTAAGGATAACACATTTCTGGAATGCGGAATTTTCTCTTGCCAATTTTACAAATTCTAGTCAAGAAACCTTTGGGACTAGGTATCTTTGTGAATTCAGAATTCTCCAGATTTTGAACCATAATGTAGTACACATACTTTACATATGTTATGTAATATTCTTCAGGAGAATGAGTCAGCACCCTGCAACCACAATATTTCTGAAGCAAAATTTAGGAATATTAACACTAAATGGGATAAGTAAAGACAAAAATAGCCTCAAATCAGCACAGATCCAGGTCAAGTTTTTTTTGTTTTTTTTTTTTTTTCCCAAATCAGTTAAGGTCACATCAAGGAAGCTATAAAAAAATTTTTTTAAAGACTTTTTGGATTTCAGAATTCTATGAAAAAGGGATTGTGGACCTGTAGCTTTATAGCAAAGCATCAAATACTAGACATGCAAAATGAGAAGATTACATGTGAATATTTAAAGAAGTTATATTTGTTTGACATAATATGCATTGTACCCGGGCATAATAAAGTTAAAAGCCAGTTATTCTGACTGCCAGAACCTGCAGAATAAATTATCTTTAGCTTCTATCTGCTCCCATTCCCTCCTACCCACAAAGAGGGAGACACTATAGACTTTCTGAATCCTACATTATTAATCTAAAGACTACTTTTCCCTGATTTTGCAGAATCATTCAGCTCACTGACAATAGTCTCTCAAGTTTCTAAGAGGAAACACCAGTAGAAATATTAACTATAATGCAAGGTAACTTTTCTTTAAAGCAAGAGACACGAATTAAAAGAAGGATTATCTTTTATTACGGTCTTCCTCAAAAGACGAAGCTTGTTCTTAAATTTCTGCCTTAGAATGGATTCACAACTATGATGTTAACTTTAACAGATTGCACCACCCAAAAAGGTTTTATATCTCCAAGTCAACTTGGGAGAAAAACATCAGGTATGTTGCAAATAGAACAGATGGACTAACAAAAATTAGGCAACTGACTTAGTATTGAAACAGCAATGACCCTGCTTCTCTTTAATGTGCACACAAGCCACCTGGATATAGACTCTGATTCAGGTTTGGGTGAGGCTGAGATTCTGTATTTCTGTTCTAGGTGAGGATGCTAATGCAATTCGTCCGAAGACTACACTGCATAACCAAGGACAGTAATACACTCAAAAAAAGAAATTATGCCAGTTTAACACAAAAAGAACTGTTCCAGTCCAACATTATGTTATAGCTGGGATTCACATTTGCTCAAATTTACACAGGTAGGAGAAAGCCAGTATAGGAAACCCTCTAGCCAACATTCTAAGTCAAAGGTTTCAAGAAATCTTACTATTTAAACTGTGTTTCCTTCTCTTTAGCCTTAAAAACCTGAGTCTAAAATTCTAATTTGTATTAACATCAAATGTTTGCTTAGAGCAAACACTTTTATCGAATAGGGATCTGTTTAACAAGATCAGATTAAAGAAACACTAAAACTGATACCCTCAGCTTTCCTGAAAACTTACCTCTAAGTCTCTGACCAAACTTAAAAACACTTAAATTTTAATAACAAAATCTGAATTTCCGTAACAATAAGTCTATATACCACAAAATTTTTAAATGAACCCACACAAATCTAGTAGCCCAAATTCAGTTTACTGTGGAATTACATTTTGCACAGGGGCTCAATTCTAAAGTAAAATTCACACATAGAAAACCAAGTATAGTCAAAAACTATCCTTGAAAATCTGTTAAATATCTATATTTTAATACCATACATATATTTTAATACCATATACATATTTAGATACATATATAAATTGAGATATATATATGTATCTCTATCTATCTCTATCATCTTTCAGCAAGTCCTCTAAAAACAATCAGTTAGTTGTTCCTACCAGCTGAGTAGCAAAAATCATTTCACTAAGTTAAATGGTTGAATGATGTGATAAACTATACCTTATTTCCCAAAAGCCCTCTTCAACGTATATTTTCTAAGTTATGCATACAAGATAGTTTTAAATGATCCAGTCATTGGTAAACAATGCACACAACTAAATCAGTCAAGTCTGTAACCAGTAACTGTCTTATCTCTATTTCAGAAATTTAAAAGTCACTGCACTTTAAGAGGTAAATGCAATTTCAAATTCTGAAAAATACTAAGCAAGGCAGCACTCTTCCTTCGATTTTAAAGACCTCCTCCCCACCAACAAATGTGCAAATACTTACATGGACAAGTTGGGAGATGGAACCCCCCTATCATCAGCTAGGTTCCCAAGGTGGCTCAGCGTTGAAGTCGAACTGCTCTCTATACAGCACTTCTCCTAGGCCCTCTGGGTAGTTGTATACTTGGTCAGAAAGTTCGCCCTAAAAGAAGGAAATAAAAGTAGCAGAAGATAGTCCTATGTTAAAAAAATGTTTAGGCTGACTTAAACATGAACTGTAGAATACGTGTTCATTTTATAACAATGTTTCATTAAAGTCACATTACACAAGTGATATTTTCAAAGGGTTTACCACAGTACCAAGTACTTTATGCAGTAAACATTTCCAAGCTGCTATAAAAAATTCACAGAACTTGATGTCATAGCCATCTTACCAAGTCGTTTTATCTGCCTACTCAAGAGTTACCAGCCTTCATTTTTGAAGATGAAAACTTCATTTTTGCTTTTATTTGTCCTCTAAAATTCCACATTTTTAAGTGGTCCAGAATTTAAAAAATTCCAAGTACCCTCACCAACCTAGTGTATATACAAGACTTTATATGAATAATGTACTAGCATGACCCAATAGTTTGGAACCACCCAGAACACTCTTTTACTCCTCAAATATTTGTCTTTTACATTTTAAATGTAAAAATCCACCACAATACCAAAAGATTTTATGACTTAGCTAATGCATTATATATGTATCTAACATAACTTTTGAAAAACATAAAATAACTTGAGAACTTCCTTATAATATTAAGCAACTAATCTCTTAAGATTTATCTTCTCATATCTAACCTATTTGGACATAATTCATTCTATTATCACCAGGAACAAATAAATGTGATAAGTGCACAGCACACTATACAACATGGTAGGTGAGTTTTAGACATTGTTACCACTCATCACTTCTAAGCTAAAATGATATACCTATGTTTCTATGTATAATTCAGTGGTTACTGTTTTCAAGTAAAATAATCTGACAGTGTTTGCTAGAAAGGGGTGGTAAGAAGGAAGCCAGAAAACCAGAAATTATAAAGTCAAGAGTTGGAGGGATTTCAGAAGCACTGTAGGCATACCTAAAGTGTATCTCACCAGGATCAAGGCACTCCTGGTGGAGGCAAAATGTTTCATCTATCTAGGAGAAGCTGATCACATGCTCAATGAATGACATTTATGGATGATGAGGAAAGAACTCCTACAAACATGCAATGATGATAATAATCTTACATTAGATTCCAAATAATGTACTACTCCATAACATTCTGATTCTTTCAACACCAACGTAATTTTCTAAATAAATAAAAAGTTGAGTCATGCTGGGGACAGATCATTCTCAATTATCCTAAGGAATAGGATCAGATACCCTAGGTAAGACATTATTCATCTTTTTCTCAATACATATATCCACAGCTATTTTGCTGCTTAATGCAACCCAAGAGCAATGATGTGAAACATTATGGACATTAAACGTCAGACATTCCAGAATGTTCCTCAGTGAGAACCCTACAACATTTCCATTTAACAAAAAGATACTAGTAGGGAATGAAGGCTCTAGAATTTGAAAGGCATTATTTAAATACAAAAAATAGGGCTAGGCGCAGTGGCTCTGAGCCAGTGGATCACTTGAGGCCAGGAGTTCAAGATCAGTCTGGTCAACACAGTGAAATCCCATCTTCTACTAAAAATACAAAAATCAGCTGGGCATGGCGGTGCACACCTGTAATCCCAGCTACTCAGGAGCCTGAGGCACAAGAATTGCTTGAACTCAAGAGGCGGAGGTTGCAGTGAGCCGAGATTGTGCCACTGTACTCCAGCCCAGGCAACAGAGGGAGAACCTGTCTCCAAAAAAAGAAAAGAAAAGAAAAAATGAGCCAGATGTGACAGTATGCACCTATAGTCTCAACTACTGAGGAGGTTAAGGCAGGAGGACTGCTTGAGCCCAGGAATTTGAGTCCAGCCTGGGCAACACAGCAAGACCCAAAAGGTGCATAGGATAAGCACTTCTTATAAACACATACAGGATAGATAAGCACTTCTTATAAGCACTTACATACAGGATAGATAGAATGTTTATCCGGACAGTTAGGATAAAAAAGCATGAAGAAGGACTTGTTAAATGGAAATGCGGAGAAAAGGCAGTATGGAAAAAAATAAATTATTTTCACTTAGAATGGTGTATGTAAACACTGCAAATTCTCTAACACCTTAGAGAATAGCACAGAGAGGGCTCGGTTGGTCAGTAAGAAACAAGAAGCATTTTATGTAATTTATTTTATTTTATTTTTTTGAGACGGAGTCTCGCTCTGTCACCCAGGCTGGAGTGCAGTGGCGCGATCTTGGCTCACTGCAACCTCTGCCTCTCAGATTCAAGCAATTCTCCTGCCTCAGCCTTCCGAGTAGCTCGGATTACAGGCATGTGCCACCATGCCCGGCTAATTTTTTTGTATTTTTAGTAGAGATGGGGTTTCATCATATTGGCCAGGCTGGTCTCGAACTCCTGACCTTGCGATCCACCCACCTCGACCTCCCAAAGTGCTGGGATTACAGGCATGAGCCACCACGCCTGGCCTATTTTATTTTCTTAAAAATAAAATAGGAATTCAAGCTGGCCTTGAATTCCTGAGCTCAAGTGATCCGCCTGCATCAGCCTTCCGAAGTGCTGGGATTACAGGTGCAAACCACCGTGCCCAACTACAAAAACTTTCTATCACTTTGACAGTAACTATTACAAACTTAGTATCTCAAAATTATCAGTACGTCTCTGAAAACACAATGCCTTTACCAATGATTTTTAAAATCGTTCTGTGGTATTCTTTGTAAAAACTCCAAACCCCAGTCTAATCATGAGAAAAACATCAGGTAAACCCCAAGTTTAGGGGAGGGGAGTATTCTACCAGATATCTGGCAGCACTTTTCTAGACTGTGATGGTAATGAAAAACAAAGGAAGACTGAGAAACTGTCACAAACCAAAGAAAACTGGGAAGACATGACAACTAAATACAATGTGGTAACTTGGATTCTGGAACAGAAAAAGACATTAAAGAAAAATTGGCGAAATCCAAATAAAAGTCTCGAACGTTTCATAGTGCCAAAGTCAGTTTCTTAGTTTTAACAAATGTACTGTAATAACGTAAGATGTTACTAATAACTGGGTGGGAAGTATGAAGAAACTGTATCTTTGTGACTTTGCTGCGCAACTAAGATACTCCAAAATAAAGTTTATTTTTCATTATTATTATTATTTTTTGAGATGAAGTCCCGCTGCTCTTGTCCCCCAGGCTGGAGTGCCCTGGTGAGATCTCGGCTCACTGCAACCTCTGCCTCCCCAGTTCAAGCGATTCTCCTGACTCAGCCTCCCGAGGAGCTGGGATTACAGGAGCCAGCCACCACGCCCGGCTAATTTTTGTATTTTTAGTAGAGATGGAGTTTCAGCATGTTAGCCAGGCTGGTCTCCTGACCTCAGGCAATCCACCCGCCTCAGCCTCCCAAAGTGCTGGGATTACAGGCTTGAGCCACCGCGCCCGGCCTAATAAAGTTTATTTTTAAAAAAAACAACCAAGGGACAGTCACCTAATGGGCTACTACTCAGCAACACAAATAATCTACTGATAATCTACAGATAAAGACAACAGGGATGAATATTAAAAATGTGCTGAGTTAAAAGAAGCCTTTTATACCAAAGAATGCATACTGTATGATTCCATTCATGTGGAAAGTCTGGAATAGACGAAAATAATCTATGGGTTTAAAAAAAAAAATCAAGATCAGCCGGGCGCAGTGGCTCACGCTTGTAATCCCAGCACTCTGGGAGGCCGAGATGGGCGGATCATGAGGTCAGGAGTTCCAGACCAGCCTGACCAACAGTGAAACCCCTTTTCTACTAAAAATACAAAAATTAGCTGGGCGTGGTGGGCGCCTGTAATCCCAGCTGCTCGGGAGGCTGAGGAAGGAGAATCGCTTGAACCTGGGAAGCGGAGGTTGCAGTAAGCCGAGATTGTGCCACTGCACTCCAGCCTGGGCGACAGAGCTAGACTCCAAAAAAAAAAAACCAAGATCGTGGTTGGCTCTGTGGTGACTGGAAGACGATTTGAAAGGACAAGAAAAAACTTTTGAGGGTGATGGCGATGTTCTACATCTTGACAAAAGGTTTAGGTTACACAGCTGTATTTTTGTCAACGTTCATCAAATTGCATACTTAAGACTTGTGGGTTTATACTGATGTGAATTTTACCCTCTAAGATTTAAAAAATAGTAAGCGGTACTGAGCTCTATTTAATATGCACATACTAAAGTTGGAGGGGTCTCCAACTTTACTTTGAAATGCATCGACAAATAAGGTAAAATGTTAATTACAGAATCTAGGTGGAAGTATAACTCTTTTTCACCTTCTGTTTGAAAACGTATGTGATAAAACCTTGGGGGAGAAAGGCACTGACTACTCGACCTCACTTATCACCACCGATAATCATTTTCTTTTGGAGTCTTTCCTAAACTCCTTGGGGCTTATTTCTAATCATGATCAGCATCTGCACGCTCTCGTATATGTAAAAGAAATTAATGAATTATGAGGGCCTTTCTAGACAATCATGAGCCATGTTTCTGCCAACCCTTGCTGTATTTGATGTGCTTTGATGTACTTCTACTTTGTGCTTTGATGCACCTCTACATCAACCTTCGCTGAGCACAAGGCAATTCCCCCTCCTTTGAGTCCTTAGATTCCCACCCAGTCTGGGAATTCACGATAGAAACACGACGGGACACAGAACTAATATAACCAAGATGCCACCACAAAATTCAGTTAAATGTGCTGAAACATGAGGCGGTAAACTGTGTCCCCGACTGTTTCGGGTTTCTGAACCAGCAGCTTTGTCTACGAAACACACATTCAGGATACCGTGTAAGGGTTAGAACATGTTACCACCACCAACTGTTGGCAGTCAAGACAGTAGTTGATAAGCCACCCGTCTACCAATCTCCCTCTTTCTGCCTAGGAACCATGGCGCGGACGGAAAAACGAAGCCATGGTGACTAATCCTCAGGCTCCAGGAGGTGACTGGGGTGAGTGAAGGCGACTTGACCCAATCAGGAGCGCCGCAGGGGCGGAGCAGCAGCCTCGAGGCTTCCAGAAGGGGCCAAAAGCCTCTCGCTGGCTACCTGACACCGGGGCTTCCCCGCCGCCAGGCCCCAAGTGGCGTCAACTTTCCTCCACCAGAGGGGGACCGCGCTCCCCGCGCCCCCCAGGAATCCGACTTCCTCCGCAGCTGTCACCAGAGGCCGGCGCGGGGCCCGCCCCGCTCCATTCATAACCAGGACCCCAGCCGTTGCAGCCCACAGCGCCGCCCGCCCGCCGGGCTTCGGGAGGCAAAGGTGGCGGCGGCGCACCGCGGAGTAGGGGCTGCGGGACCCCGGCCCCTCAGGGCTGCGGCCGGGCCCCCTCCCCGGAAACAGCAATGCACCACGGGAGAGGGGTGGGGGCCGCACGCCGCCAGGAGGGGACGGCGACCCCCGGCGGCGAGACCCCCGCGCGCTCCCCCACTGGCACACGCCCCCTCGCCCCAACTGCTGCGGCTCCGGCTCCGCCAAGCGTCCAGCAGCCGCCCGAAGGTCCTGAGGCGCGGCCCGCCGCCCAGCCCCGCCGCCGCCGCCGCCGCCGGGGGCACAGACAGCCGCCGCCGCCATGTTCGAGGCGGCCGGCCGCGGGGCGCTGCGGGGACGTCTTAAGGGCGGCGGGGCCCAGCCGGAGCCCCCCAGCCGCCCCCCAAGGCCAGCCCCGCGTCCTGGCCCCTCCCGCGCTCCTCGGCTCGGTACTCACGTGAGATAACGGCCCAAAGAGTCGGGTAAAGCGTCTTCTCTTTTTCGGCGGAATTTTTAAAGAGGGATGTGGTTACCTTGAGCAGAAATACCCAAGGCGGCCTGGGCCATAGGCTGCGGGAACGACTTGGGGGTAAAAGCGCGGCACCGACACCAGCTGTGTGCAGCAGTGGCGGCGGCGGCCGAAGGAGAAATAGAACAGCGCAGGCAAAAGAAGAAAGGCGCGGGCTGGGTGGGAAGAGGATTCGGACTCGTCACACTGCAGAGCAGCAGAGCGAGAAAGGATGAGAAGAGGCAGAGAAGGCGACGGCAGAAGAAAAAAGGAAAAACTGCGGCCGCGATCAGAGCCTGAAAGTGTGAGAAGGCGGCGCCAGCGACGCCAGTATTTATATTAGGGGGCGTGGCCTGGTGACATCACAGCTGGCCGGGCAGCCGCGCGAGCGGGGCGGAACCCGGTTGCAGCCCGGAGAAAAGGGAGGGGGACGGAAGAGGAAGGAGGACTGAGCCCGGGAGAGAGAGGGGAGGGGTCGGCGCGCGACCGGGTCATGCAGGTGCAGACTGGCCGGTCGCTTCCCGCCCTCCAGCCACCCGCAGCTCCCCGGCAGGCGAAGGGCGGCCGCGCGGGTGTGGGCCGAGAGAGGGAGGCGGCTCGGCTGGAGCGCGCCGTCCGCCCGACCCCCGCCGCCTCTCGGGCGCCTGCGCTCACGCTGCGGGGCCCAGCGCATTGTGAGCCGGGTCGAGCTCCACGCTGGCAGCGTCTGAGAGCTGTCCTGGGCCGGAGGTGGCGCGAACCCTGTGCGGCCTAGAGTGGGCCTGGGGTAAGCCTGTCGGCGCCGCTGCCGAGCCTTCGCGTCCAGCTCCCTCCGCTTTGTGAGGCCTGTAGTTTACCCTGGGGAGTGTCCTCCCGGGCTGAGGCGCCCGCCCTCGGTGATGCGGTACTCCTTTAGGGAAGCGAGTTCCTCGTGGCCAGAAAGGACCGGCCCAGTGTCCGGGTGTTAAAAAGGGTTGTGACCACGTGAAAATGTCCTCAGTGCTCGAACGTTGCAATACGGTGCAGTGGAAATTTTTTAAAGGAATATGGCTTTTATGTCTTCATTTTTAAAAGGATTGGTGGAGTCAGTCCCAAGCAGGACCCGCGTTGGAGAGGGGATTACTGATGTTACAAGCGCACATTACTTCAATCCCCTAGGTCTCATTTTCGCGGTCGTTTTAATTTTTCTACTCCACAACAGACTTTTTTTTACTAGGGGTTCTAAGATTACCTACATAGCTTTTAATTTATTTTCATCTTTTTTAGATGCCTCAGCACTAATGATCATGATCAGAGACCCCGAGTTCTCTCGTGCTGCTACGCTTCGCAACACATAGCACAAATGGAATATGTGTTGACACACCCCTCTGAAGTTAAGATCTTTGATATTAAGACCCTGACTTTTTTCCCTTTCATTCTTCCGAACCCTCTGTGTACTTTGAGCAGCACTGTGGTTGATTAATAAATCATCAAATGTGAAAGGAAGAAAGCGACCTTCCTGTGTGGAAAAGCAGGGTATCTTGCGAGGCTGTATGAGAGAGTATTCGGTAGAATCAGGAGCTGTGGACGCATTCCTGATTTTGTTTTTCCTTATTTTGCTCGGCTATATCTTGGCTCTGTCTTTTATTTCTTCAAAGTTCTGTTCTATTCAGAACATTTGAAAACACAGCCATTCACTAGACCCTCTCTGGTGGAGGAAGAAAAACTAGAGATGAATACAATATTTGAAACCTTGCTTACAATCTAGCAGGGGAAATAAGACAGCAATACAAAATAAATTGTTGGCTGATACAAATAAAATGCTGCAAGGACCAAGTGGAGGGAAGAGATGATTGCAGCTAAGTGAGAGAAAGGCTGCTGGGGAAAGGTAAAGAGTGATTTTGAGAAAAGCCTTTCTAGACAAAGGTGCTTCCTTTTTCACCAAACTCGCCTGTTTGGTGATTTTGAGAGTAGATGTTCCAGTGTTCCAGGCAAGGGAAACGGATGAGAGAAGGCACAGAAGTGGGTGGGTTTAGAGAATTGTGAATAGCCTTTCTGGTTCCAGCATAGGGGCATGGTTGCAAATGAGATTGAAACGGTAGATTAGGGTGACATCAAGAAGACATTGGAGGCTGGGCGCAGTGGCTTACACCTGTATTCCCAGCACTTTGGGAGGCCGAGGAGGGCGGATTACCTGAGGTCGGGAATTCGAGACCAGCCTGACCAACATGGAGAAAACCCGGCTCTACTAAAACTACAAAATTAGCTGGGCATGGTGGCACATGGCTGTAATCCAGCTACTCAGGAAGCTGAGGCAGGAGAATCTCTAGAACCTGGGAGGCGGAAGTTGCAGTGAGCCGAGATCACACCATTGCACTCTCCAGTCTGGGCAACAAGAGTGAAACTGCGTCTCAAAAAAAAAAAAAAAAACAAAACAAAAAATTGGAACTTGGACTTTATTCTGGAACCATATAAACAGGAACATGATATGCTCAAAAATATGTTTTTTAAAAGATTACTCCAGCACCAGTGGGTGGGATTGAAAAGAGGTAGAAAGTTTGGAAGTGAAGGAAACTCTTACAGCAGTTTTCTGGGGTCTTTTGGTTTACTTATTTATTTATTTTAGTACTAAGGGGGCCGGGCGTGGTTGCTCACTTGGTGGCCTAGTGATGGTGTGGTGGCCTAGCACTTTGGGAGGCTGAGGCGGACGGATCACTTGAGGCCAGTAGTTTGAAACCAGTCTGCCCAACATAGCAAAACCCTGTCTCTGCTAAAACTACAAAAATTAACCAGGCGTGCTGGTACACGCATGTAGTCCCAGCTACTTGGGAGGCGGTGGCAGGAGAATTGCTTGAACCCGGGAGGCAGAGGTTGCAGTGAGCTGAGATCGCACCACTGCACTCCAGCCTGTGCAACAGAGATGTACTTTGTCTCAAATAATAATAATAATAATGAAAGTACTAAGGGGATTCAGAATGGATGGGAGGGAAAACGCACAGAGAGAGTAGAGATAATCTTGACTTTCAAAGGAGATGAGAAGGTGTCAAGTGATTTGGGGATATTAAGCTTATCAACAGGGAGAATTCTGGAGCCATAAACAGAGATAGAAATAGAAGGACCCTGCCAGGAGCAGTGGCTCACGCCTGTAATCCCAGCACTTTGGGAGGCTGAGGCAGGCGGGTCACGAAGTCAAGAGATCAAGACCACCCTGGCCAACATGACGAAACCCCGTCTCTACTAAAAATACAAAAATTAGCTGGGCATGGTGGCATGTGCCCTGTAGTCCCAGCTACTTGGGAGGCTGAGGCAGGAGAATGGCATGAACCTGGGAGGCGTAGCTTGCAGTGAGCCGAGATGGTGCCACTGCACTCCAGCCTGGGCGACAGAGCGAGACTCCATCTCAAAAAAAAAAAAAAAAAAAAAAAAAGAGGGAGTAAGATGAGGCTAGGTTTTTTTGCCTTTTGTGTGTGTATGTGACAGTGTGTCACTCTGTTGCTCAGGCTGAAGTGGAGAGGCATAGTCTCGTCTCACTGCAACCTCCACCTCCTGGGACCAAGTGATCATCCCACCTCAGCCTCTGAGTAGCTGGAACTACTGGTGCACCACCATGCCTGGCTAATTTTTTGTGAAGACAGGTCTTGCCATGTTGCCCAGGTTGGTTTTGACCTCCTGGACTCAAGTGATCCACATACTTAGGCCTCGCAAAATGCTGGGATTATAGGCATGAGCCATCACACCAGGCCTGAGGCTGCTGTGATACAGAGTTTTAGCTGTTGAAGAAATAGCCAGGTAAAAATGGTCCAGAGGCCTCTGAAAATGGGGAGATCTAGAACCCTTTGGGTGTGAATTTGGGAGCCTTTCCTACAGACATGATAATTAAGGAATTATTGAGGTATAGAAGAAAAGAGTATAAGCACAGGATCTAGAGAATGCCAGAGATAAAAGACAGCCGCAGAGAAGACCAAGAGGCCGAAGAAAATGACAATAGTGCAATGCTATGCTATTCAAGGAAGAGGGTGCTTATCGCAAAACGGGATGAGTGATCAGGGTTGTCATATCCTCAAACAGGTTGGAAAGGGGATTCTGATTTTATCAATGCTATAGGAACTATATGCCATAGGACCCTAACTCTTATTTAAATCAATTTGTCTCTGGCAAAATTGGTTTTGTTATATGGTTAATGGTTTGACTTAAAGTTACAGTTTCCAAGAACCTATGGATGACATCAAATGAGGATGTACTGTATTAAGTACTATTGTATATAGTAGATTATGGCATTGTAGCATTATAGTATATTATTGCAGTCTTAACAGTTGGGAGTATAATGTGTTTTAGTTCCCTGCCAGCCCACAGAATTATTCAGATGAACCAATAAAATTTTGTTTTGAAATTCAAGGCACATCTCACTTTCTTTTTTTTTTTTTTCTCCTAAAAGACTCTCGCTCTGTTTCCCAGGCTGGAGTGCAGTGGCATGATTATAGCTCACTGCAACCTCCACCTCCTGGGCTCAAGCGATTCTCTCACTTCAGCCTCTCGAATAGCTGGGATGACGGGTGTGCACCACCATGCCTAATTTTTTTTTTAAATTTTTTGTAGACATGGGGTTTCACCATGTTGTCAGAGCTAATCTCGAACTCCTGGGCTCAAGCGATCCTCCCACCTCAACCTCCCAAAGTGTTGGGATTACAGGTGTGAGCCACCACACCAAGCGTATCTCACCTTCTTGATACTACAAAACCTTCCTCAGTCCCCTGTTTGTTCTCTTTGCTCCCAAGTGCAATCCCTGTGTGGGCCTGCATAGCTTACACTACTTTCCTCTTCTTGTCTGAGGGAATGTGTAACTAATAAACTGTTGTTGATCTTTAAAGAAAAAAAAAGTTTGGGTTTATATTCCAAAGGCGTTGGAAAAGGCTTCAATCATGGAAATGATTTGTATTTTAGAAAAGGTGAGAAAGTGGGGCTGGAAACGTAAAATACTCTTAAGTTTTTGGCAGGCAGAACATACGTGAAGCCATTGTAGTCATTCATGGAGAATAGCAAGGGCCTGGAAAGAATTTTATCTGTAACCTTTAACAGAGTAATATCAGCAGAGTAGGAGAAACAGGAAGTTGTAAAGGGTTGAGTGAGGGGCACTTGCAGTCAGTGAATGTTGACCTCTCTTTAAGTAGATGATACTGGACTAGAGCCTAAGCCAACATCATTTGCACCATGAAGCAACTCAACAACATTTATTATGAAAAGTATGTGCCCACACAATTAGTATTTTTGTATTCAGATTTAAAGAATAATGCTAGCTTTACATGAATACAATAGTGCTTTGAAAACTATACCACAGTAGGCCGGGCACGGTGGCTCATGCCTGTAATCCCAGCACTTTGGGAGGCCGAGGCGTTCAAGACCAGCCTGACCAACATGGAGAAACCCCGTCCCTACTAAAAATACAAAATTAGCTGGGCATGGTGGTCATGCCTGTAATGCCAGCTACTCAGGAGGCTGAGGCAGGAGAATCACTTGAACCTGGGAGGCAGAAGTTGCAGTGAGCTGAGATTGCGCCATTGCGTTCCAGCCTAGGCAACAAGAGTGATACTCCATCTCAAAAAACAAAAAAACAAAAAGAAAACTGTACTACATTGGAATAGACAACATAGTGTAACTTTAATGGAAGGATAGCTATCTAATGAGAATGGCATATTTAACTGTGTTTGGGGTTTTAGTTATTTTGCCAAGTCAGGTTACTCATACACAAATATGCAGGTAGTGCCAGCAAAAATATTATCATTAAATAGAGCCCTAAGATAAAATAATATAATACTGTTCCTACTTAAATCACCTAGGTCCATTGATTCAAACTTATATGCTTTTGTGCCAATAGATATGAAAGATTGAATGAATTAGATGATTGATAAGGGTAAGTCACTCAACATAAATAGGTAAGGCTGGGCATGATAGGTCATGCCTGTAGTCTCAGCACTTTGGAAGGCTGAGGTGGGGGGATCCCTTGAGCCTAATAATTCAAGACCAGCCTGGGCAACATGGTGAAATGCTGTTTGTACAAAAAATACAAAAATTAGCCAGGCATGGTGGCATGTGCCTGTAGTCCTAGCTTCTTGGGAGGCTGAGGCAGGAGAATCACTTGAGCCCAGTAGGTCGAGGCTGCTGGGATCGTGCCACTGCACTCCAGCCTGGGTGACAGAGCAAGACTCAGTCTCAAAAAAAAAAAAAAGGTAAACAAAATCATCACCCTATAATAGAAATCTCATGTAACCACATATATAAAAGTTAAGAGTTTATTGGTAATTGAGAGTAAAAATCCCAGTTTAATGGATGCTATAGTTTGAATGTGTACCCCAAAATGCCTCTGTTGGAAACTTAATCCCCAGTGCAATGTTGTTGGGAGGTGGGGCCTCATGAAAGGTAATTAGGTCATGAGGGTGGAGTTAATAGATTAATGCCAGAGGGGGTTCCTTATAAGAGGGGGAGTTCAATCCTCTTACTCTCTTTCTCTCTGTTGTCCTTTCTTTGCTCTTCTACTATGGGATGACCCAGCAAGAAGGCCGTCAGCAGATGCTGGCCTCTTGATCTTGGACTTCCCAGCCTTCAGAACGATGAGCCAACAAATTTCTGTGCATTATAAATTAGCTAGTCTGTGGTATTCTGTTACATCAGCACAAAATGGACTAAGACAATAGGAATGTTTAAAGATAGCTTCCTATAAATTTTTATTGCTAAGGTAAATTCCTGGAATACTCCTTATCCTGTAGAAAACCAACATATATAGATGTTGAATAGTAAAAACATTCACATTTTAAAACATGATATTTTAGCCATCCACTACATCTTTTTTGTGCTCCAATAACCTTTCTAAAAAGCCAACTCACTTACCAATAATCTAATGCTATGGTATTTATGGACTAGCAAAAATGTTTCAAATTACATTGCTGGGTACAGAGTTTAGATTATATACTATTCTCTCTTTTAACTAAATAGATGTAAAAAGCCTAACAGATGCTCCTTTATTTGCTGAGTATCTGTTACTAAAATCCTGACCGGGTGCAGTGGCTCACACCTGTAATCCTAGCACTTTGGGAGGCCAAGGTGGGTGGGTCACTTGAGGCCAGGAGTTCAAGAGCAGCCTGGCCAACATGGTGAAACCTCATCTCTACTAAAAACATGCACACCAAAAAAAGTCAAAAATTGGCTGTAGTCCCAGCTACCCGGGAGGCTGAGGCACGAGAATCACTTGAAACCCAGAGGCAGAGGTTGCAGTGAGCCGAGACTGTACCACTGCACTCCAGCCTGGGCAACACAGTGAGACTCTGTCAAAAAAAAAAAAAAAAAAAACACACACAAATCCTTGGAGTCATTTTTTGTTTTCCTTTTAAAAATTATTTTGGAGGCACAGTCTTGTACCTCAGCCTCCTGAGTAGCTGGGATTAGAGGCATGTGCCACCATGCCTGGTTAATTTTTGTATTTTTATAGAGATGGGGTTTCACCATGTTGGCCAGGCTGGTCTCAAACTCTTGACCTCAAGTGATCTGCTCGCCTTGGCCTCCCAAAGTGTTGAAATTACAGGCATAGCCACTGCGCCAGGCTAGAGTTGTAATTTCTTTACCTGGCTTGGCTTTCACCTCAGATGAGAAATCATTTTATTTAATATAATTGTTATGTTTAATTCTTTTCACAAAATGTAGCACTTAGGTCAGTAGGGTTCTGTGCCGTTCCAGTCTAGAGATGCCCTGCATCCTAGCACTGGCTCATATTCATCACCTATATCTTTGTTCACAGGATAATTTAACCTATGGAATGGTGTGCATGACAAAAAAAGGGTGATAGAGTCCAGATTAAAATTCACATGTAAGGGAAAAGAAAAACATTTTTCCTATTTTGATTTCAGTGGCTGTGTATGCCAGTAGATGGGGGTCAGCATTTTCCCTCATCTGAGTGACTTGGAAGGTTTCTGCAATAAACAAGTCATAAGCATACACTGACGTCTTTTATTACTTCCAGAAACAACAAATTACTCACTGTTAATTTAAGAGGGCTGCTTTAGAAACCTCTGTAAGAGGCCAAAGGAATAATCCAGTTTTACAAGTTAAATGTAACTTAGGTGATGTGTAGGGAAAACTCTATGATTTCTCTCTACTCTGACACCACAACAACAATCAACAACACGAGAAGACTTCTGTAACCAAACGTGGTTTTTTTTTTCCCCATGCACCAAGCAGTGGACACCAGCTGGGTGTCCTCTAATTCAATTCTGACACTATCTACCTGAAGATACTGTCAGAACCCACAGGTTGAGGGCTCAGTCCCCAAGACTGCCCACCCCGCAACTCCAGTCATTAAGTCCAGGCCTCCTGAACTTCTGACCTACAGGCTTCAAGTTGGGGTTCCCATGACCTCCTCTTTGGGTTCGATTAATTTGCTAGCACGGCTCACAGAACTCTGGGAAACACATACCTGTGTTTACTGGTTTATTATAAAGGATATTGCGAAGGATACAGATGAAGAGACACATAGGGCAAGATACAGGGGGAGGGATGTGAAACCTCCATGCCCTCCCTGGGCCCGCCACTCTCCAGGAACCTCCATGTGTTCAGCTATCTGGAAGCTCTGTGAACCCAGTTCCCTTGGGTTTTTATGGAGGCTTCCTGACATCAGCATTCCTTCCCCCAGGGTACAGGGCAGATTCTTTCTGGGAAAAGTCTTAAAACCCACAATCAGAAAGATAGAAGATTAGAGTCCTGCCTTGGGGCAGGTGAAAGGAGGGCAGGAGAAGGTCAGAGGCTTGCTCCTGAGGCTTAACACACCTCACATTATAACAAAAGACTGTAACAAGGGCTGTAGGAGTTATGAGCCAGGAACTGTGGATAAAAACCAATGTATATCATAACACCACAGATTATTAGAATAAACAATGGACAGATCCATGAGCTTGCTTTGGAAGTTAGTAAATCCTTGTAAAATTAATTTCATTTTCACTTTGCTACCAGGCATTTTCCGATGACAAATATATTGTTTATTGCATAATATATTGTAAGATAGGTTTGTATCTCTCTATCTCAAAATAGCGACCTGGCAGCTAGCCTAACATTTTTGGTTAAGGGCTTAGAAAATGGGAGCTCTGAGATTGAGTCTTGTTGGGTTTGAATTGCGGTTTACTTTATATTCTTTCATAATGTAGCCTGGATGCTATCACATGAGCTTATTCTTCTTCCTAAATGTTAATAATGGTAACTGCAGGCTACATTTTCTTGAATGAGACTTTTAAGATTACTGTGTCATTTAATTTGATATTTTGCACGTTTTCTTAACCTTTTTATCGATATAAATTTGCCTTCTCTGATTGTAACTGGAAGGAGAAAAGTCCATGCAATAAAGACAATAAGATATTAGTTCTTTATCAAAATAGGGAGAAGAGAAACATAAACAACTTTCTTTCACAAAAATAATCTTTTTGTATCTGACTCAAAAAGATTATCAGGCGAGGCTTGGTGGCTCACGCCTATAATCCCAGCACTGTGGGAGGCCAAGACGGGCAGATCACTTGAGGTCAGGAGTTCAAGACCAGCCTGGCCAATATGGTGAAACTCCGTCTTTACCAAGAAAATACAAAAAAAATTAGCTGGGCGTTGTGGTGTGCACCTGTAATCCCAGTTACTTGGGAGGCTGAGGCATGAGAATTGCTTGAACCCAGGAGGTGGAGGTTGCAGTGAGCTGAGATCGTGCCATTGCACTCTGGCCTGGTTGACAAGGTGAGATCTTGTCTCAAAAAAAAAAAAGATTATCCAGTCACCTATGATAATAGCAGTTAAAAGACTTCAGTCAGTCCTAGCTCTGCTTGGCTAAGTGACTTAACTGTAAACCATCTCCATTTGTTTCAGAAAATGTATTTTCTGTTCTTTTGGAAGTACTTTTCCCTTTCTATTCCCTGAGTTCTGTTGTGAGCTGTCATCATAACCTGGGCCTCCCTGGCTAAGTAATTGGTACAAGGGCTTACAACTTCTTGCCCAATCTTGGGAGTTAGTGCAGCTCAATAATGATTGGCACATGTTTGATTCAGACCGTTCTCTCCCTGGGATTTTTCTATTAATAAATGGTTGCAGGAAGGAAGACTTGAAGAGGGAATCATTTCTTTTCCGTCTCAAGTTATGACAATATGAGTCAAGAGCTGCCAGTAACTGGGGTTCCAGGAGAAACCTATGTGAGAAGATGAAGCCACCATTTGTCATCATAAGGGGTGGGTCAGCATTCCAGTTGTCCCATTTTTCTTGCTCTTCAGTTATACAAATAAAGAAAATTTAGGCCGGGTGCGGTGGCTTACGCCTGTAATCCTAGCACTTTGGGAGGCCAAGGCGGGTGGATCACAAGGTCAGGAGATCGAGACCATCCTGGCTAACACAGTGAAACCCCATCTGTACTAAAAATACAAAAAATTAGGTGTGGTGATGGGCACCTGTAGTCCCAGCTACTCAGGAGGCTGAGGCAGGAGAATGGCGTGAACCTGGGAGGCGGAGCTTGCAGTGAACCGAGATCGCGCCAGCCTGGGTGACAGAGTGAGACTCTGTCTCAAAAAAAAAAAAAAAAGAAAATTTTCATTCTTATCTAAGGTAGGTCCGGCTAGCTTTCTGTCACTTGCAACCAAAAGTCCAGGCTTATACAAGAGACAGAAACAAAAAGATATTTAGGTTAAAAAAATCAGTTGCACAAGTACAAGACAGGAGAGGCCTGCCTGATTATTCACAGTTTACATAGTACCTAGAAATGTTAGTTAACCACAAGCCTGCCATGAACCAACGAAGGCACAGAATTGCTTAAAACAGAACAAAACCTGAGTGCAATTTGGATTGCAATAGTAAAAGTATAGGTCAGAAGGGAGGTAGCAGTTTGGTTTACTATGTTTGGTCAGATCCTGGCTGTAGCTTTTCTGTTTTGGGGAAAAGTTGTATTGTTGTAAAGTTCTAGATAGCACATTGTACAGGAGAATGAAAACTAGATGGTATGGAGGAGGATAGCCATAAAAGTGAGGAGATTTAGGAGAAAAATGTATTACTAGTAATGATAAAAATTCTAGAGAAAGGTTGGTGAAAAATAACAAGGGAAATGGAAAAAAGTAGAAGCAAAAGCCACCATCTTTAAACACCAAATACCAGGCACTATACTCATGCACTTTATTTTGTTATTAAATCCTTCAGTAAGCTTCTCAGGTAGATAGGTCTTACTATGCCCATTTTACAAATGAGAAAACAGAAGTACAGTGAAGTTATGTAATTTGTTCAAGGTCACCTGGCTAGACAGAGAGGGTCCACATTTATATCCAAACATGTCTAATCTAATACCTAAAGCCAAACTCTTTAGCTATACTACCTCTTTGGATAACTTTCACTGAATAATATGTCAAGCTCTGACAGGTAAATGAAATAAATTAGCGTCAGTACATGAGGATCAGTGGTTCCCTCTGCCAGACAGGCTATCTTGTTTCTCCCTCTGAGTTTCCATGAGGTTTGGTTTGTGCCTTTCTAATGCCCTTTGAATTTCTTGTCTGATGTTGTTGTATTATTGTCTGAACTCTGTGAACAAGATATTAAGTTTCTTTAGGGCAAAAACTTTGGTGTTTTTTGTTTTCTGTTTTTTTTAATCTCACAGAACACTCAATACAGTGCCTTGTGCACAGACTTCTAGTGTCTTCCTAACCATGGGGTAACTGACAATGGAATGGGATTTCTCATGGAGCAGAAAGCTATTATATCACTGGATTTGTTCAGAGATACAGAGGGAATATCTGCATTGGATGTTGGACCAGAGGAACTCCTTAGACACTTTACTTCCATAGCCCCAGTGTTCATTACATATTACATTTTTCAAAATGAAATTAGCTTTAACTTTAAATATGATGATTGCATATTAACATAAAGAAGTTGTATTTCTTTATAATCTTTGTAATTATAAAGAAATATATATAATTATATATAATTGTAATTCTTTATAATTATAAAGAAATATATATAATTATATATAATTGTAATTCTTTATAATTCTTTGCTTACCCATACTAAAATTAGGGTACTTTTTATTTATTTATTTATTTATTTTTAAAGACGGAGTTTCGCTCTTGTCGTCCAGGCTGGAGTGCAGTGGCACGATCTCGGCTCCCCGCAACCTCCGCCTCCTGGGTTCAAGCGATTCTCCTGCCTCAGCCTCCCAAGTAGCTGGGACTACAGGTGTGCGCCACTATGCCCAGCTAATTTTTGTATTTTTAGTAGAGACAGGGTTTCACCATCTTGGCCAGGCTGGTCTCGAACTCCTGACCTCGTGATCCACCCACCTCGGCCTCCCAAAGTGCTGGGATTACAGGTGTGAGCCACCACACCTGGCAAAATTAGGAAACTTTTTAATCAGTGTTGGCCATATTATTGATTTCTCCTCCCAAGAGAAATCAGCAACGTACAATAGGAAAAAAAATGCCTATGGCTGGGCACAGTGGCTCACACCTGTAATCCCAGCACTTTGGGAGGCCAAGGCGTGCAGATCATTTGAGGCCAGGAGTTCAAGACCAGCCTGGCCAACATGGTGAAACCCTGTCTCTACTTAAAAAATACAAAAATTTCCAGGCGTGGTGGCTCACGCCTGTAATCCCAGCACTTTGGGAGGCCAAGGCAGGCAAATCACCTGAGGTCAGGAGTTCGGGATCAGCCTGGCCAACATGGTGAAACCTCATCGCTACAAAATACAAAAAAATTAGCTGGGCGTGGCAGTGTGTGCCTGTAGTCCCAGCTACTCGGGAGGCTGAGGCAGGAGAGTCACTTGAACCTGGGAGGCAGAGGTTGCAGTGAGCCGAGATCCTGCCACTGCACTCCATCCTGAGTGACAGAGTGAGACTCCATCTGAAAAAAAAGAAAAAAGAAAAAATGCCCATGTCGACTGGGCACGATGGCTCATGCCTGTAATCTTAGCACTTTGGCAGATGGATAGCTTGAGCTCAGGAGTTCAAGACCAGCCTGGGAAATATGACGAAACCCTGTCTCTACCAAAAATACAAAAATTAGCTGGGCGTGGTGCAGTACGCCTGTGGTCCCAGCTACTTGGGAGGCTGAGATGGGAGGATCGCTTGAGCCCAGGAGATCAAGGCTGCAATGAGCTATAATCATGCCACTGCACTCCAGCCTGGGAGACATAGTGAGACCCTGTCTCAAAAATAAATAAATAAATAAATAAATAAATAAATAAATAAATAAATAAATAAAATAAAAATTTTTAAAAAAGCCTGTGCCTAATTTGAAAGAAATTTATAAATTTTAAGTTTTTAGTCAGGGAAGTGGAAATGAACTGTCGTAAAATGGGAGGTTTTATATTTATTTTTGTTCCTAGTTACTAAGACAAGAATGCTATTCAAAGAAAGTGAATGAATAGAAAATGGGAGACACTATAATAGTATAACATCAAGAATGCTTAAAAAAACAGTCTCAGAATTGTTCTTTGTACACAAAAACAATGGTGCTTAACAATATATTGGTTCCTAAATCAAATTTCCAGCTGCCAGCAGCCACCCTTGAGTGGGAGGTGATTTAGTGCGAGCAAGTTGGTTGCAGCATGCCTCCTGCTTCCCAGGCACCGAACCCACTGGTAGCAGAGCTAGAGGACTGTTGAGCACTTGGATCCAACATCCTACTGCTCATAGTGCCATAAAACCATGAACTAAACCTTTTAATTATTAGAGAACAATGATCCGTAAGGCAAAATCGGTGTTCTTCCAGATGGTATTACTTGGGGCCTCCACTGCTGCTTGCTCCTGCCCTCTGGTTGCTTAGATCTTGGGGAGCCTCGTTAGATGGGGCAAAGCCTGCATGATCTGACAGCCTCAGTGAGCAGACCAGAATCGCAGGGGAGAATATGGGACAACATGTTCTACAATGATGGCCTTACTATTAGGAGAGAAGCCCTTGGGAAACCTACTTCATGTTCTGTCATTTTTGCCATTTCGGGAAACTGCCAAACCTGCTTATTTGAAGTTCATCCATATTCTTTTTCATCCCAAGCACCCAGAATACCAAATCAAAATGTGAGGAAAGCAGGATGGTACTAGAATGTGGGGGCAAATATGGGGGCCTTCAAAGCTCATATAATTAATCAAATCGACAATAAAAAATACAACTAGAATTTCAGCTTTATCATAATGGACATGAAAATGGGAGAATATAGCCTTTGTGTTTTTCCTAGATGCATTCTAAATTGTACTGTTAAAGAAATTTCTGAACTTTTACATACAAGTTTTTAGTTGGTCATTGTGCTCATAAAAATACTTTTAGAAAACAAGTGAAACTTAGGAGTGCTAATTTAGTAAAATGGCTGTCAAGATCTGGCAGACTGCCTTACATCATGGCTCATGCCTGTAATCCCAGCTTTTTGGGAGGCCGAGGTTTGCTTGCTTAAGCCCAGGAATTCAAGACCAGCTTGGATGACATAGTGAGACCTCCATCTCCACAAAAAATAAAAAATTAGCTGGGCATGTTGGCACACCTGTAGTCCCAGCTACTCGGGAGGCTGAAGTAGGAGGATCAATCAAGCCCGGGAGGTTGAGACTGCAGTGAGTTGTGATTGCACTGCTGCCCTCCAGCCTGGGTGACAGTGAGACCTTCTTTCAAAGAAAAAAAAAAAAAAAAGATCTGGTAGACTGAGTTAGATTATTAGGATTTCTAAAGATATATTTGAAATCAAATGATAAAATCCTATGAGTTGCTCAATATTTTACATTTTAATAAGATTGGAGATTTTTCAAATTATAAAATATTTTCTTCATGTCTGTGATATTTTCACTCAGCCTTAAAATCAGTACAAAAGAACTCTCATCCAAATTAAAATCACTGGATAACCTTAAACTTTCCCGTCTTGTCTCCTGATAACCTCCTGTTTATTCTTTAAAAATCAGTATAAGCCTAATTTTCCTCTATGGAAATTTTAATGAATTTTTCCTGTAGGTAAAGTTATTTTTGCCTTCCTTGATGCCCAAATTCTATCTGTCCTAGCTCAATGGATTCAATATTTATTGAATTACCCAGCATGTGTGAACCAATTACAAAATTGAAGACATGGGTATTGCTATAGTTTGAATGTCCCCTTCAAAACTCATGCTGAAACTTAACCTTCCATGTGGCAGTATTGAGAGGTAGGGACTTTAAGAGGATTAATAAATTCATTGATTAATGGATTAATGGCTTCATGGATTAATAGGTTATCATGGGAGAGAAACTAATGGTTTTATAACAAAAGGAAAACAGACCTAGCTAGCATGTGAGCACACTCACCCCCTTCACCATGTGATGCCCTGCACCACCTCAGGACACTGCAGAGTCCCCACCAGCAGCAAGAAGGCTCTCACCAGATTCGGCCCCTCAACCATAGACTTCCCAGCCTCCAAAACTGTGAGAACTAAATTTCATTTCTTAAAAATTATCCAGTTTCAGGCCAGGGGTGGTGGGTCACTCCTATAATCCCAACACTTTGGGAGGCTAAGGCAGGAGGATTGCTTGAGGCCAGGAGGAGTTAGAAACCAGCCTAGTCAACATAGCGAGGCTCTGTCTCTACAAAACAAAAATTAAATTATTTTTTAATTTTTAAAAATGTTAAAGTAGCTTGGATGTGGTGGTGTGCACCTGTGGTCCCAGCTACTCAGGAGACTGAGGCAGAGGATTACTTGAGCCCAGGAGTTTGAGGCTGCAGTGAGCTGTTATTGTGCCACTGCACTCCAGCCTGGGTGACAGAGCAAGGCCCTATCTCTAAATAAATAAATAACGAACCAACCCAATTTCAGATATTCTGTTATAAGCAACAAAAAATAGACTAAGATATCTAAGAATATAACTGTTAGATACTGTGGCAGGCAGCCTCTAACATGGTCCCCAATGATCCCACCTTTTGGTGTGTAATCTCTTCTCCTTGAATATGGGCTGGATTTACTGACTTGTTTCTAATGAAAAAAATTTGGCAAAGGTGATGGGATGTCACTTTTGGGATTAGGTTATAAAACAACTAGGGCTTTTTCTTGAGCATCTTCTCTCTGTCTCTCTCTCTCTCTCTGAAGGAAGCCAGCTGCCATGTTCTGAGTACTCTCTGGAAGGGCCTGCATGGCAAGGAACTGATGTTTCCAGCCAGCAGCCAGCAAGAACTGCAAGCCTTGTGAATGAGCTTGGAAGCAGATCCTCCCCTCACTCAAGCCATGATATGACAACAGCCTGAGACCCAGAGGTCAGTAAATTGTCAAGTTTGTATATCTAGCAAATAGCAGAGCCAAAATTCCTGTCACTCAAACTCAAGATTTCCTCATCTATAAAATGTAGTTGTTCCACATGGCCAGATGCAAAGTGTCATTTAGCTATAAGAGTCTAATGAATCTAGGTCCCAAATTAAGTTCATCATTGTCCCCTCCTTCCCCCTACACCCATCCTCTTCTTTCAGGCTCCCTGCCCATGTTTTTTTTGTTTGTTTCTTTTTTTTTCGCCTGCCCATGTTCTTGATTAACTGTCAAATCAGTCAGGCTCAAACTTTTGAAAATTTTAACGCCCTCTTTTTTTCTCCCTTCTCATGTATAAAATGAGTTCTGCACGTTTTTTTCTTGAAATTATCTTTTTCTTCTTCTCCCTAGTTCAAGCTTCTACCATATCATGTGTGGATAGTTGCAAAACCGACAGAGTGTCCAGTTTTTCCTGGCCCAATCCACTTTGTGTGGATACTTCTCATACTAATCTTCTTTAAATGCTATTTTCATCGATGCCTCCAAAAACCATAATGAGCCCCTGTTTCTTATAAATTATGTCCCACTCCTCTCTTGGCTTAGCTCTCCAAAAGCCAGCACCACCCCTGGGAGCCAGCTTTCTAATCCCCAACACAAACCTCCTGCTTCAGTCTATCTGGCTTGCTCTTGGGCCCTTGAGTTATCCATGCTGGTGTCTGCCTCTGAAACTTTGTATTGTCTTTGGATTGTTATTTTATTGTTTACCCAAATTCTGCCATCCATAGCATCCCAGCTAAATCCAACATCCTGCTCAGATCCCAAGAGGCTTCACTATTGCTAAAGTTGATATCACAGATCTTTCTAGACCCTTAGGGGCTGCTATTCCCCATTAAACTTCCCTATTCTCTTTCCATACAAGTACCTAAAATGTAAGTGTCCCCACTCATCCATCTTATCCTGTACACTGGTCCCCAGACCCCCTTGTGCCTCCCCAAACTCATTCCCTCACTGCTTCATTCCTCCTCATACCTTTCTGCTGTACTCTCCGGAACCCCCATTTTATGGAGAGCAAACCATCCTACATCCCCAGCCTGTCTCCCACTCCTTGCCTTAACAGAAACTTGGCTATCTTACAAGAACATAGCTTCCCCTGCTGCTGTCTTGAATTGAGGGGTGTTTACTTTACCAGTCCTCATATACTGCGGGGTTGGGAGCAGGGTTGGCCTTCTCCCAGCTTCACAGTGCTACTGCTACGCCATTGCTCTGAAAATAAATAAGAGATTAAGCCAGCTGGCATGCCCGCCCCCCATCCGTCCATGCCTGTATCATCTAACACCTTCCTGACACTCCTACGATGATTTTTTTTAAAGGCACCTGGTTTATAATCTTTCTCTCCTAGATTAAAGATCTTAAATTACAGCTTTAAAACAATATTTTTTTATTATTCTTTCTCCTTAAAAATATACTATAATACGCCATGCTGGATGGCTCACACCTGTAATCCCAGTGCACGGGGGGGCTGAGGCAGGAGATTCTTGAGGCTAGGAGTTTGAGACCAGCCTAGACAACATAGCAAGACCTCATATCTACAAAAAATAAATACTAAAAAAATTAGCCGTGCATGATGGCATATGCCTGCAGTCCCAGCTATGAAAGAGGCTGAGGGGGGAGGATTGCTTGAACCCAGTTGGAGGCTGTAGTGAGTTATGATCGCACCTGTAAATAGCCACTGCACTTCAGCCTGGACAACAGAGTGAAACTGTATCCTTGAAAAAAAAAACTACTATAATAAAATCCCTCTATAATCTTATCTATCTGCACCCTACTCCAGTGATGACCACCATGCACAGCTTGGTGTGCGTGCTTCTGAAACTGCAGTCTCGAATCTACTTTAGAGGTCATTGTCTTTGTGGATTACCTTTAAAGCACCCTACCCTTCCTGCACTTTTATCTGCTCAACTCCAGGGACCTTCACCTGCCCCCAACTATTCTGTATTAGAGGGCTTAAACTCCAACCTTCCTCCCTCTAACTACAACCTCCTTTCCCTTCTAGTTGCCTCATGCTGTCCCCATACCTGCTTTTAAGGTATAATCACCCAATCTTTTCTTTTTAATTGAGCTGAAGTTCACATAACATACAATTAACCATTTTAAAGTACACACTTCAGTGGCATTTAGTGCATTCCAAGTGCTGTGTAAATACTAGCCAGTCTGCAGATTCAATGCAATCCCTATGAAAATCCCAATTTTTTTTTTTTTTTGCAGAAATAGAAAAACCCATCCTAAAATTTATATGAAATCTCAAGGGCCCCTGAATAGCCAAAACAACTGATGTAGAACAAAGTTGGAGGGGTTCACACTTTCTGATTTCAAGACTTACTACAAATCTACAGTAGTCAAAACAATATGGTACTAGTGTGAGGACATATAGACCAATGGAATAGAATAGAGAGCCCAGAAATAAACCCTCACATATATGGTCAATTGATTTTCAAGAAGGATGCCAAGACCATTCAATGGGAAAAGGACAATCTTTGTAACAAATGGTGCTGGGAAAACTGCATATCCATATGCAAAAGAATGAAGTTGGATTCTTACCTTACATCATATATACAAATTAACTCAAAATGGATCAAACATCTAAAGGTAAGACCTACTCTTAGAAGAAAATGCAGGAGAAAATATGACATTGGATTTGGCATATTTGTTTGATGTGATACCAAAGACAAAGGTAACAAAAGAAAAAACCAACAGTGGACCCCATGAAAACTAAAAACTTTTGTGTGCCGAAAGACACTATCAATAGGGTAAAAAGGCAACCTACATAATGGGAGGAAATATCTGCAAATCATATATCTGATAAGGGATATGTTTGGGATATTTCCAGAATATATAAATTACTTTTTAAAACAAAAATATACTATTTTTGTGAGGTAAAAGATAATTAAAATTTAGAGGTTTACTCTCTCTATATATATATGTATTTGTATATGTGTGTATGTGAGTATACAAATAGACCCCAACTTATGATGGTTTGACTTACAATTTTTCAACTTTATGATGGGCTTATTAGGGTAGTAAATGCATTTTTGACTTAGACTATTTTCCATTTACAATGGGTTTATTGGGATGTAATCCCATCATAAGTGGAGCATCATTTGTTTTATAGAATATATATGTTGAGGAAGACATATATAAGTTAGTATAATAAGCATCATGAGATTAGTGGCCACATCTGGCATATGTAACATTTTTTCCCACAGTGCCTTGTAACACAATCTTGACCCACAGTAAGTTTTCAATATTTTTTAAAATTAAATGAATGAATGACAGAGAAAGAATATTCTGTTTAATCCCTACATTACTACCAGCATTATTTTTCTAAAATTCAGATCTGTTTGTGCTGTTCCTTGTTTAGAAATATTGTGTGACCTCACAATGCCTTTAGAATCTGGTATGAACTCCTTAGATGGTGGGCAGACCTTCCCTCCATCTGTTCTCATGCTCAGCCCCCACATGGTACAGTAGAAAAGTGGCTTCAGCTTTCATGTACCTTGGTCAAATAGGGGCAATAGACACTACCTCAAGGATTGTTGAAAGGATTAAATGAGGCCGGGCATAGTAGTTCACGCCTGTAATCCCAGCTCTTTGGGAGGCAGAGGTGGGCAGATCACTTGAGCTCAGGAGTTTGAGACCAGCTTGGCCAACATGGTGAAACCCGATGTCAACTAAAAATACATAAATTACCCGGGTGTGGTGGCACGAGCTTGTAATCCCAGCTACTCGGGAGGCTGCGACAGGAGAATCGCTTGAACCCAGGAGGTGGTGGTTGGAGGTTGCAGTGAGCCAAGATGGCACCACTGCATTCCAGCCTGGGTGACAGAGTGAGACTTGGTCTCAAAAAAAAAAAAAAAAAAGACGAAGAAGCAGCCAGGCACGGTGGCTCATGCCTGTAATCCCAGCACTTTGGGAGGCCAAGGAGGGAGATCACCTGAGGTCAGGAGTTCGAGACCAGTCTGGCCAACATGGTAAAACCCCATCTCTACTAAAAATACAAAAAATTAGCCGAGTGTGGTGGTGGGCACCTGTAGTCCCAGCTACTCAGGAGACTGAGGCAGGAGAATCACTTGAACCTGGGAGGCGGAGGTTGCAGTGAGCCGAGATTGCGCCACTGTACTCCAGCTTGGGCAATAAGAGTGAAACTCCATCTCAAAAAAAAAAAAAAAGATTAAATGAGGTGTCACCTGAAAATTTCCAGTGTATAGTTGTGATGAGTCAATTAACGTGTTTCCTTTTCACCCTCCTGCATGCTGCTCTTCAGCACACTATACTCTTCACACTTTCAGAGTGTACATGTAATTTCACTTCTCCATATTTTGTTCATGCTTTCCCCACTGCTTTGTGTGTGTCTTCCCCATCTTCCACCTCTCTATAAAAATTAAATGAAAGCTTCAAGACAAGTCTCAAATTGCACTTAGTAAAAGCTTTCTGACTCCCCCAGGAGGGCTTAATTCTTTTTTTATGCTTTCATGTAATTTTATAAGACAATTTCTAAGAAACTTTCATAGACTATCTTATATTACAGTTATTTGTGGACACAACTTGTGGACATGTATCTTAAGAGCCCAACACAATATTAGTTAAACTGAGTTGATTTTTTTGACCAGGAAATTTGGATCTTAAATCTCATAACTGAAATATATCATGAAATCATCCAAAGCATGCTCTCTCTATACATAGTTCCTCTCTTTATGTGATAACACCCAGCCTGGCAGTATAGCACCCTTGCCACCCACAGCTCTCTGGAAGGTACAGCTGTACAAGATAACATGAGGTAATGTGACTTCTGGGGATAGGTGGTGGTGGGGAAGCCCATCACTGCTTAGACCAGCGTCGAACATGCCTGACCCAGGTGGAGTAAATTATTTGCTCAGAAATGACTTGTGTGGTCCAGGTTCTCTCAGAGGAGCCAGGCTAGTTCATGAAGAAGAAGTTTAGTGTGTATTGCCAGTTGATTGTGAGTACTGGAGCTCAGTGGTCTTCCTTGTCTAGATCCAGAAAGAGCAGCCATGTTGTGCCTCACACAGGATGAAGGAGCCGAGGAAGACAGACAGAATGTGGGAGAGGCTGGAGCTGGCTGAGAAGCAAAGACAAGGGGGACACAGAGGGACAAGCCACCCTGTCCCTGAGAATTCCCCAGTTTTCTGGCCAATTTGGGTGAAACCCAGCAACTCTTTGTGTTCCATCCGTCGATACTGTGAGGTCTCTCTATACACTCAGTAAATGCTCCTTTTTACCTCACTGGACTAATGCTTTTTAGAGTCACATGCATGCTGACTTCAACAAAGCAAATTGTTTATCTGAATCAACTCTGCCGTGTACCATGTCCAGTCACTTGAATTTCTATTTCATCTTTGACTCTCCATTTGCTAATTATGACTTTGGGCAAATCTTTTGTTCACTCTGTGTATTTGTCCATTTTCACATTGCTGTAAAGATACTGTTGAGACTGGTATCTTTATAAACTGGTAATTTATAAACAAAAGACGTTTAATTGACTCACAGTTCTGCATGGCTGGAGAGGCCTCAGGAAACTTACAATCATCTTGGAAGGAAAAGGGGAAGCAGGGCGCATCTTACATGGCAGCAGGCAAGAAGAAGAGAAAGGGGTAAGTGCCAGATACTTATCAAACAAGCCCATCTCATGAGAACTCACTATCACGAGAACAGCAGGGGGAACTGCCCTCATGATCCAGTCACCTCCCACTAGGACCCTACCTTGACATGTGGGGATTACAATTTGGATTGCAATTCAACATGAGATTTGTGTGGGGACACAGAGCCAAACCATATCACTCTGTGTCTCAGTTTCTTTAGTAGGTAAAATGCAATAATTTCATATGGTGCTTTATCAATTTCCATACATTATCTCATGTGAATTTTTAAAAAGTTCTTATGATACAGGCTAAGAATTTTTCCCCATGTTTTACAAACAAAGGAACTTTCCCAAGATCTCACAATTAAGTCCTAGTGAAATGGGACTCAAACACCAGTCTCTGACTTCTATCTACTCAGGTGGTCATCAACTCTACCTCAGAGAATATAAATTTTTTTTTAATGGTAAGTCTTTGCAGATTGATTAAGATCCCCTTGAGAATTTTTGGTAAAAGACTTTGAAGTCATAAGAGGTAACAGTGACTTCATATTATATTTGTATGAGTCCTGTTTCAAAATATATTGATAATGTGGCTGGGTGTGATAGCTCATGACTGTAATCCAGCACTTTGGGAGGCCGAGGTGGGTGGATCACCTGAGGTCAGGAGTTCAAGACCAGCCTGGCCAACATGGCGAAACCCCATCTCTACTAAAAATACAAAAATTAGCCAGGCATGGTGGCACATGCCTGTAACCCCAGCTACTTGGGAGGCTGAGGCAGGAGAATCGCTTGAACCCAGAAGGCAGAGGTTGCAGTGAGCTGAGATCATGCCATTGCACTCCAGCCTGGGCAACAAAGTGAGACTCCATCTCAAGATAGATAGATAGATAGATAGATAGATAGATAGATAGATAGATAATGAATTCTATGATAGGACCACTAGAGTGGAGATCTGTAGTTCTAATAAAGTACTTTATTTCTAAAAATATGCATAATACTTGCCTGTGTCATGGGCTTCATGAAGAATTCCAGTTACTATCTGAAAGTTTAATTGCAAGGTTTGGAGCTCAAGATGTTACTTATCCTCATGGGCAGTACCTGTTACTTCCCCACTGTAAAATATGCTAGCTCAGGTCACAAGGAACTTTGAGTGCTAGGATAGTACCCCACGGTCCAGTTCCCCAGAACTTCTTCCCAGTGTCTCCACAGCCACTCACACAGCCTGAGCAGGTCTTGCCACTGGCAGCTCTCTTCCCCTACTTCCTCCAGGCCAGGGGTTGGCCTGATTCTGCTTAGAGCCTGCATGCGGCTCCCTCAGAGCCTTGGGGTGGCCAATCTTTGCTGCTTCCCAGAACCACCTTGTACTCTTCCATGCAGAGCCCTGTTGAGTCACCATGCCTTCCTCCAGCTGCTGCCACAGACCACATGGCTTCTTTCTCAATTAACTCTGAAAGAGAAAAGTACGTTATGCAAACCAGGTGGGAGCACAAGAGCGCAACCCCCTTCCTCCCCAACACAGAGAAGCACACTGGGGCTCCTTGTGTAATTTAGAGGTTAACTAACACATCATGTTGCAATTGTGCCTATGTGAAAAAGAAATGGAAGGAGGAACCAGGTTTGGAGCTGATTCTCTGCTGCAAGGGCTTACCCTCAGTCTGACCTGTGCAGTAAGACTGAGAGAAGCACTAAGGGTATGGCTGGAAAAGATCATAATATTAAAACTATTTTACTATAATGATGATAGCTACCATTGTAGTGATATGCAATAATATTAGTAACACTGAAGTCTTTACTATATGCCATCCTGTGTGTTAAATCTTTTATGTATGTTGTGTATATAATACATGTAAAGCCTTGTTGTTGTTGTTTTTGAGACATAGTCTCACTCTGTCGCCCGGGCTGGAATGCAGTGGCGTGATCTCAGCTCGCTGCAACCTCTACCTCCCAGGTTCAAGCAATTCTCCTGCCTCAGCCTCCCGAGTAGCTGGGACTACAGGCGCCTGCCACCACGCCCAGCTAATTTTTTTGTATTTTAGTAGAGACAGGGTTTCAATGTGTTGGCCAGGCTGGTCTTGAACTCCTGAGCTCAGGCAATCTGCCTGCCTCGGCCTCCCAAAGTGCTAGAATTACAGATGTGAGCCACCGCACATAGCCCATGTAAAGCCTTTAACATAGTGCCTGGCACAAAGTAAGTGCTCAATAAAAGATAATCATAGCATTATTATTTTGTTTATCTTCACAGCCATCCTGAATTATTTGACAAGCCTTTGCTCTTCAGTCAGTCGTTCCTTTAGGGAATGTTTATTGAGCCTGTACTATTTACCCAGCACTATATATATATATATATATATATATATATATATATATATATATATATATATTTTTTTTTTTTTTTTTTTTTTGAGACAGAGTTTTGCTTTTGTTGCCCAGGCTGGAGTGCAATGGCTCGATCTCGGCTCACTGCAACCTCTGTCTCCTGGGTTCAAGCAATTCTGCAGCCCCAGCTTCTCAAGTAGCTGGGATTACAGGCGCCTGCCACCACGCCTGGCTAATTTTGTATTTTTAGTAGAGATGGGGTTTCACCATGTTGGTCAGGCTGGTCTTGAACTCCTGACCACAGGTGATCCGCCTGCCTCAGTCTCCCGAAGTCCTGGGATTACAGACATGAGCCACTCCACCCAGCCTTCCGAGCACTATATTAGGCGCTGGGGATACTTAGAAGAGTGAATGCCCTTTCGGACATGGGTTCCAATCTGGCTTAACCACTATCTTTCTGGGTAACTTTGAGCATGCTTCTTAAGCTTTCTGAGCCTGAGTTTATTCAACTGTTAAATATGTACAATAATTTCTATGTCATAAGATTGTTGATAGGACTGGAAACACATGCAAAGGGCTTAGCCCAGCTCAGTGTTCATACAAGGAGAAGCTCCTCAGCCAGGCCTGCTGGCTCACGTCTGTAATCCCAACACTTTGGGAGGCTGAGGCAGGTGAATCAATTGAACTCGAGAGTTCGAGACCAACCTGGGTAACATGGCAAAACCCTATCTCTACAAAAAATACAAAAATTAGCTGGGTGTGGTAGTGCCTGCCTATAGTCCCAGCTACTCAGGAGGGGGAGGCTAAGGTGGGAGGATTTCTTGAGCCTCCGAGGTGGAGGTTGCAGTGAGCCAAGATTGTGCCACTGCACTCCAGCCTAGGCAACAGAATGAGCCCCTGTCTCAAAAAAAAAAAAAAAAAAAAAAAAATTCAAGCCGGGTGCGGTGGTTCATGCCTGTAATTCCAGCACTTTGGGAGGCCGAGGCGGGCGGATCAGGAGGTCAGGAGATCGAGACCATCCTGGCTAACACGGTGAAACCCCGTCTCTACTAAAAATACAAAAAATTAACCGGGCATGGTGGTGGGCGCCTGTAGTCCCAACTGCTGGGGAGGCTGAGGCAGAAGAATGGCATGAACCTGGGAGGTGGAGCTTGCAGTGAGTCGAGATCGCATCACTGCACTCCAGTCTGGGCAACAGAGCAAGACTCCGTCTCAAAAAAAAAAATTATTTACTATAGAACTTGTATATGTATTCTTGAAAAAGAATTCAAAGGGAGAACCTCTTCCCAGGGTCACAGAGTGATCAGTGCCACAGCTTGGACTTGGAGCCTTAGCTTATCTGCCATCTTCCTACTGCATCAAAGCAGAGATTGCCACGTGATTGCCCAGTGTGATTGAAAGTTTGAAGTCCGTATTTCTCTGAAAACTTTGGTGTATCTAGATTCTGTATGTCTCTTGGACAGATGAAGAGCTGCTGTACACAGAAGGGAGATTTTTTTTTTTAATTGAGGAATCTAACTCAAGAATAAATTCAAGGCCAGGTGCAGTGGCTCACGCCTGTAATCCCAGCACTTTGGGAGGCCGGGGTGGAAGGATCACCTGAGGTCAGTAGTTCGAGACCAGCCTGACCAACGTGGTGAAACCCTGTCTCTACTAAAAATACAAAAATGAGCTGGGGGTGGTGGCGTGTGCCTGTAGTTCCAGCTACTCAGGAGACTGAGGCACAGGAATCACTTGAACCTGGGAGGTGGAGATTGCAGTGAGTTGAGATCATACCACTGCACTCCAGCCTGGGTAACAGAGCAAGACTCCATCTCAAAAAAAAAGGAAAAGAAATTTGGATCCTTTAGAAATCTTCAGACACTTGGCATAACATGAAGTTAAAACAACACCCCACTTAGTTCCATGATATTTCTGATGAATAAGAAATATGACACCACAGAGTGAAACCAATATTTTTAAAAACCTCCTGAAGAGACTTTTTTTCTTTGTTGATTACCATCCAGAGACAACATTTGTTTGAAACTTTGAACAGAATCAGTTTGTAGGGATGAAACCCTCATTCTTCCCCGCCTGGGCCCAGACTTTCCATATCTTGTACTCTGAGAACCTTAAAGTCTTGAAATGATTTGCAGTCCCAGCGAAGAAGCTAAAATCAAAACTGATTTGGGGAAAAACCGTTTACTTTCTGACCTCTTTGTACTCTTCAGAGAATTTTTGTATGCTTGTTTATTTTCTTAATGTCTCTTGGTAATGTTTTTTCCTGTTTTGGTTTCATATATGAAATGTTCCATCTGTGTATTCATTTTCTGGATTTATTCCCTAGAATTTTAAGTAAGAGTGTTTCTCAAACTTTTTTTTTACTCCAACCCACAATAAGAAATATATTTTGCATGTTAACCTAAATACACATATATTTACATATATATCTAAAACAAGTTTCATGAAATAATACTCTTGCAATGAGGTATGCACTATGGTTTTTTAAAATTCTATTCCACTTTATATATACAAAAGTTGGGACAGAGGTTCAGGAGCAGGGAAGGGATGAATAGGCAGAACACAGGGCACTTTTAGGGCAGTGATAGATGCATGACATTATACATTTATCAAACCCCACAGAACTGTACAACAAAAGAGTGAATCCTCATGTAAACTGTGGACTTTTTATTATTATTTTTTAAGACAGGGTCTCACTCTGTCACCCAGGCTGGAGTATAGTGGCACAATCTTGGCTCACTGCAACCTCCACCTCCTGGATTCAAGTGATTCTTGTGCCTCAGCCTCCTGAGTAGCTGGGATTACAGGTGCACGCTACCATGCCAGGCTAATTTTTATATTTTTAGTAGAGACAGGGTTTCACCATGTTACCCAGGCTGATCTCAAACTCTTGGCTTCAACTGATCTGCCTGCCTCGGCCTCCCAAAGTGCTGGGATTATAGGTGTGAGCCACCCACCATGCACGGCCAAACTATGGACTTTGGTTAATGCTAGTGTATCAATATTAGTTCATTAATTGTATCAAATATACTTTCTGTGCAATTTTTGTGTTAACCTAAAATTGTTCTAGAGCATATTATAAATATTTGTAAAAGTAAAACACGAAGTTGGATTTAGCCTACTAAAATTGACTTTACTATCCATTAATGACTTGCTTTCCATGGTTTGAAAACTTGTGGCCGTGGCCTGGTGGGGAGTACCCTGGGTTTCTCTTAGGTTGGTGCAAAAGTAATTGCGGTTTTGCCATTAAATGGCAATTACTTTTGCACCAACCTAATAACTACATCCCAGCCTCTGTCACTCTATAGAGCCTGCCCTTCAACAAGCCACATAATAATGTCTCTCAGCTTTCTCATCTGAAAAATAGAGTGTTTGATCAGATGAATGCCAAGGTCCTTTCCAGATCCAAAATATTATACCTGTAAGTATAAATTCTCATTTTAAAATGTCTTAGAGTAAAAGAAAAGTCATGAAGCATGAATTGTAAATTATGTGCATGTTATTTAGGCATGTTTTATGTTTTATAGGCATCAAATGGGTACTTTTCATCTTATTTAAAATAAGTAAAATGAAAAGTAATTGTTCTCCAGCAAAATATATAAATTACATTTCTCTCTGAGTTCCTGATTCAAGATCTCTGTAGAAGAAGAATAACAAAGAACACCTAGGAATGATACAAATGATACTTTCAATTTTGGCACTTGTCTGCCCTACTGCCATGTCCTCATGAGAGTATCCCTGAACTCAGTTCTCGTTGGTCATTTGACGTTTGCTGGGAGCGTACTATGGGCGAGGTCTTATGCTGAGGGTGAGCCTAGTGGTGTCTCACTTCTTGTAGCTTGGGTCAGGAAATGGAGATCAGCTACTGTATCCCAGAACCTTCTTGCCTTCCCAGTCCCAAGGCAGGTGCTGTGGGAAGAGTGTGTATAAGGTCTGATGGGGACAGACCTGGGGTGAATCTCAGTGGCACTTCTCAACAGCTATAGATCCCTAAGTAAGTTATCTAATCATCATCCCCACAGTGTTCTCAGATGAAAATGGGGGGTAATACCCCATCTCATAGGAGTTTAAAAGGATTAAATAGGGAATGTAGCTATCATCTTGTGCCTGGAATTCTGCAAAGCATATGAAGGTGCCCTTGGAACTTCCTTCCCATTTTTCATATTTGCTCTGCCACCTCTACACCCAGCCCCGCTTTCTGCAACCAATTGTATTATAACCCCCTCCCAAACACTTAGTGCATCCTCCCACTCATGTAATTTGTTTACCTTGTTTTCTATTTATTTCTTTTGAGATGGGGTCTCTGTCAGCCAGGCTGGAGTGCTGTTGCATGATCTCAGGTCACTGCAACCTCTGCTTCTTGGGCTCAAGTGATCCTCTTGCCTCAGCCTCCTGAGTAGCTGGGACCATAGGCACACACCATCATGCCCAGCTAATTTTTTGCATTTTTGTTAGAAACGGTTTCACCAGGTTTCCCAGGCTTGTCTTGAACTCCTGAGTCAAGTGATTCGTGTGCCTCAGCTTCCCAAAGTGCTGGGATTACAGATGTAAGCCACCGTGCTTGGCCTTACCTTATTTTCTAAGAACTGATGACCATAAGTAAGTTTTGGCACACACCACTTTGTATGCTTCGTCTCTCATCCCACATGTCCGTGGAGATAAACCTCATTGACATGGAACCTCAGAGGCAGCTTGCAGAAGGAATAATACATCACAACAAGATGGCAACACTCTTTAAGAGCTGCATTTCCAGTCCTCTGGCTTTGTTTCAGTGGGGCTGCTTTTAGGTTGATTGAATAACTAGCAGCAACGATAGCACCTAAATTATTAGTTAATGAAAGTCTGTAATTTGCTAGGCATGTGCTAACCAGTTTACATAAATCATCTGAAAGCCTCACAATAACTTTGAAAGGCTAGGTTTTCCCTTTCACAGATGAAGAAGTTGAATATTTGATTTATTTATTCATTAAGGAAGAGATTTTTAAATAAAAATAATTTTTTTGTAGAGATGGGGATTCCCTATGTTCCCCAGACTGGTCTCGAACTCCTGGGCTCAAGCTATCCTCCTGCCTCAGCCGCCAAAAATGCTGAGATTACAGGTGTGAGCCACCATGCCCAACTAAGGAACAAATTTTAATGGGTGCTTCTTATGTGAAAAACATGGGATTAGACACTGGGGATAGAAAACCGAATGACACATAGTCCTTGCTGTTAGGAAATATATGGTCTGTTGGGAAATCTGGCAGATCCACAGACAATTACAATCCTGAGGTAAACCTTGGGAAGGGTTAGAAAATACAGAAGATGGGCTGGGTGCAGTGGCTCACACCTGTAATCCTAGCACTTTGAGAGGCCAAGGCAGGCATATTGCCTGAGCTCAGGAGTTCAAAACCAGCCTAGGCAACACGGTGAAACCCTGTCTCTACTAAAATACAAAAAATTAGCCAGGCGTGGCAGTGTGCACCTGTAGTCCCAGCTACTCAGGAGGCTGAGGCAGGAGAATCGCTTGAACCCTGAAGGTGGAGGTTGCAGTGAGCCAAGATAACGCCACTGCATTCCAGCCTGGATGGCAGAGCAAGACTCCATCTCCAAAAAAAAAAAAAAAAAAAAACCACGGAATATGACACCTGACCAGACTGAGGTTTGCATAGGAGGTGAGGATAGAAGCTGTATTAGTCCATTTTCACACTACTATGAAGAAATACCTGAGACTGGGTAATTTATAAAGGAAAGAGGTTTAATTGACTCACAGTTCTGCATTGCTAGGGAGGCCTCAGGAAACTTACAATCATGGTAGAAGGCAAAAGAGAAGCAGGCACCTTCTTCACAGGGCAGCAGGACAGGGAGTGCAAGCCAGGGAAATGCCAGACGTTTATAAAACCATCAGATCTCATGAGACTCACTATCACGAGAACAGCGTGGGGGAAACTGCCCCTATGGTCCAATTACCTCCACCTGGTCCCACCCTTGACACGTGGGGATTATGGGTATTGGGATTACAATTCAAGATAAGATTTTGGGTGTAGACACAGCCAAACCAAATCAGAAGCCTCAGGTCTTTTCTTAAACCTAGTTAATCTGAAGTCTGTCCCCTACCTTCCCCAACCCCCACACCAGATTAACAAACCTAGAGCAATTCCTCCAAATCTCCATAAGTACTTTCCTGCCCTCAGTTAACTAAGCTAGTAAATACCAATGCCCAAGGACCATGTGAATCTTAACAGGACCCTCCCACAGACAACATGTACTGAAGCTGGGAGGACCATATAGTTTATCACAAAAATGAAGACACTTTTGAGACTGAAAGGGGCCCTATTAACAATTATTCCAGGATAACAGGTATAAACTAGGTATGTCCTAGCAACCTGGGACACAGGTTTAGGTTAAGTATAACCTAAAGGAAGGCCTGTAACGAAAAGACTCAGGCTGAATGCTAACCAGTGGGGAAAACACTGGGGGCAGTAGTTCCTTGATGTCCCTCAATCCTCTCCACTAAGCAGTGACATGGGCTTAAATCTGGGGCCTACTTTCCCTAAGCTCAGGGAAGCACTGCCTGACAGTGGATGTGGGGGTGGGGGATGGTTGCTCTAGCAACAATCACAGAGGTCCCTTTGGAATTGTTACCAGGGTGAACTCACCAGCCAGGGGAATACCCCAGAAAGAGCTGCCAGTAGGAGGAGGGCCAGCCTCACTGGTGATTGGAGTCCAGCAGTCCCACTGATTGGGAGTGCTGAGCCAAGCCCATGTCGTGCTTCGCTGATGCATGGCTGGGCTGAAGAAAGAGCTCTTTGAATTTTTCATAGAAAAGACTGGTGCCCAAAAGGCCAGGGCTCGAGAATGAGGCTGCCTCAAGCACAGTGCTTGGCAGGACACCAGGGCTGAAAGGTACAGCAAAGTCCTCCCAGAATCGCTTGTCAGAGCAGGGATTTGCATCACAGACTGGCCACTGCAAAGACAGATGGGAACTCACAGGTTTTGTGTGTGTGTTTGTGGTTCACTGCTGATGGACGCATGTCAGAAGCCACCTGAGCCTTGGCCCAGCCTTCATGTGGAGTGAAAACCCAGACCTGTGTGAGCAGCAGGTACTTGAAGCAAGAGAAGCAAGGCCGAGCCTCCAGGGCTTTGTCAGAGGCTCCTTCCTTCCTGGAATCCAATTGTACAACCAGGAGCCAGAGGTCTTGGTGGCCGGATGTGGGTCTAATCCTGGTTCCATGGCCTCCCAACTGAGTGAATGAGATTATAATGATAAAATATAATTTACTGTGTACCCGGCACTGCCCTAAGCACTTTGTGTTTCTTATCTCATTTACTCTTCACAGAAACTCTTGGTACTATTACTATACTTGATTTCTAGAGAAGAAAACTGCGGCACAGGATAGAGTTGGTTTGCCAAGGTCAGGACATACACCTCACTGTGTGAGGTTAGAAACTGAGCACTGGACCCCCATCCTACGCTGCCTGTTTCATGAATTGTAAAAGGGGGGATAAATGTAGCACCTCCTCCCTAGGTTGTTGTGATATTCAAGTGGGATAATCCATTTACAGCATGGGCATGGTGGCTGCCTGTGAAACAGTGGGAGCTACTGTCAGTTTGATTAGTTCTGGCCTCTCTGCAGCCTTGCTACTCTCTGTTTATTCTCAGCAGCCTTCAGACAATTTTCTTTTCTTTTCTCTTTCTTTTCTTTTCTTTTTTTTTTTTTTTTTTTGGAGACGGGAGCCTCATTCTGTCACCCAGGCTGGAGTGCAGTGGCGCAATCCCGGTTCACCGCAACCTCTGCTTCCCTGTTCAAGCAGTTCTCTTGCCTCAGCTTCCTGAGTAGCTGGGATTACAGGTGCATGTGCCACCACACCTGGCTAATTTTTGTATTTTTAGTAGAGACTGGGTTTCACCATGTTGGCCAGGCTGGTCTCGAACTTCTGACCTCAAGTGATCCACCCTCATGGCCTCCCAAAGTGCTGGGATTATAGGCGTGAGCCACCACGTGCAGCCTATTAAGACAATTTTCTGTTTGAACTTCACAGGACTTTCAGCTTCTTGGGTTGGGACACATTGTCTATTTGTTGCGTGTGTGGAGAACAGTGGACAGCAAAGATCAAAACCCTTAGGGGAGAGGGGCAAGAGAGAGGATATGAGTGGGGATTCTCTGCTCCCCTGAACAGTATTCCAGGATTCCTTCACCAATTGAAGTTCAAGTTTGGTCCTCTGAGCAAAAAGTTTAGAGAAGTTCCTTTATGCGTTTATTTAAATTTAGAATAAACATCTCTGTAGCAATAACAACAAAGTGAACACTCCCGGTTTTGTTCTTTTCTTATTTTTTTTGTTTTGTGGCTCTCATGCACACATGGAAAAACAACACAAAACAAAACCAGATGAACTGAAACCGTTTCTCTATCCAAGGCTCCCATATGTAAGAAAAGGAAAGATTTTTTCCTTCTTGGGCAGGGTTAGATGGTGTTGGTCGGGGGGAGTTGGGAGGGAATGGTTCCACCATCCTGTTCCAAAGCTCCAATTCCCCTCCAGTACCAAAGCTGAGTTATCCAAGAGAAGCCCCAGGGAAATTTGCTCCCTGTATACCAAGGGGATTCGTGAATCTCTCCTCAAGGTAGAGATCATCAAGGATGTGCCCAGCCACTCCATGGAGAGAAGCTGCTGCTGCTCACAAAGAACATTGCATGGTGGATTTCCAACTTGGAACTTACATGTGGGGAGGCTCTGGGACTCCTTCCTTTATTCCTTTTCCAGTCCTATTAGTCTCAGATGCATGTTTCCTGGTCACTGAGGGAGCTGCAGGCCCAAGGACCATATCTGCTTACACTTACCCACAGTGTTTCACTTGCTCTAGCCTGAATGTCAGCATTCCAGGACCACTGAGGGAGGGACAGAGCAGAGAGGGCTGGGTCAAGTGGGCAGCTTCCAGGAACACCCCGGGAGACCTGTGGGTAGCTGGGCTGCACTAGAGTCTGGGCACAGCAGCTCTTCCGAACTGCAGACCCACTCCCTCCCTTTAGTATTGTCCTGTCTCTGTAGGCTTGAGGATTAAAGGCATGAAAAGAGTTCACAAGCCAGTGGCTTAAGACTTCTCTTGATGTTCCCAGACAGCTCTGTTCAGAGGCATTAGCTGTCAGAGGGAATATTCTGCAAGATTTGAAGCTGTGGCATGGTTTGCTCGTCCAACCTTCTTTACTCCCATATTTGGCCTTTGCAGTTGACAAGTAGAGCTGGTTTGCCTTCCTCCAAAAATGTCCATGGAGAGGAGCAAAGAAGACCTAGGAACAATGAAGGGAAAGGGAAATAAAAAAGGGGAAAGCCAATACCAAAGAAACGGGTTAGGAAATTTTCCAAGGAAGGTTGATCTGAATGAAAAAAAAATCACAAGTTTTCTTTTTAGAGCAGATAATGTATCTCCGTGTGTGTATATATTACAGCCTCACTTAGAAATGCCACAGGGGGCTGGGTGCGGTGGCTCACTCCTGTAATCCCAGTACTTCGGGAGGCTGAGGAGGGTGGATCAACTGAGGTCAGGAGATCCAGACCAACCTGGCCTACCTGGTGAAACCCCGTCTCTACTAAGAATACAAAAATTAGCCAGGCGTGGTGGTGTGTGCCTGTAGTCTCAGCTACTCGGGAGGCTGAGGCAGGAGAATCACTTGAACCCAAGAGGTGGAAGTTGCAGTGAGCTGAGATCGCACCATTGCGCTCAACCCTGGGCGACACATCAACTTTCATAAAGCCAGGCAGGTGGAACTTAACACTTCCTGGTGAAAAGGACTTTGTGGGTGAGGTTCTTGGACAGCTGTCCCAGGGAACTCCTGGGAGAAAGATCTGGTTCACCCGAGACTGGTGGAAAGCAACCTGTGCTAAAAACTTGCTTTCAGCCAAGAAAGCCAGGATTTGGCTAAGAGATAAGCGTGGGCACGTTTGACCCTTTTGTGTCTTTCATTTGATATTAACATAGCTAGACAAGAGGGAGAAGGGTGACCTCAAAGTGATAAGGTCTGTTTCCTTTAGAACTAGAGGACCCAAAGATCTCTTTGTTTTGTTTCTGCCTGGAAGACAAGTAGAGCTCATTCCAGTTCTGTAAAAGGTCACCAAATACCCTGCAGTCTTGTTGTAGTAACTGTTTCTGTGAACTTGCTTCAAAGGAAGCAAACATACTATTTAATACTGACCAAAGACACCTGGGGTTGTTTTCTGCTTCTTGTTGTTTGTTGTTTTATTTTGCAAGAGCAGATAATGATCAGTTTAGAGTCTGGTTTCCCTGGTGCCAAAAACAAACCCTAGTACCTCCTGTTTCTGGCTCAACTGTCCCCAGCCGTCTCAAGTGATCCAGTTGGAACGCGGAGAACAGAGAACAACTGACTTCCCCTTCCCCTGGGTGGTGCGTTAGAGTTCTTTCCCAGATGACACACAGTATCTGAGACTCTGCCATGGAGGAATCCACTCTGTGGGGACCTTCTCCTTTCCAGTCCCCAACCCGAATTTCTTCACAAAGTAGCAATAATTAGTTCCTAGGGCACATGGTGCTTTGCAGTCTGCACAGCTGAAATGGCTAGTCACAAGATGGTTTGTAATTTTAAATATACCTGTGCCCCACCCAGATTTCAACACATTAGGAATTATTCCACTCCTACAACCTGGTGACTGGGAGGAAGGAGAGAAGAGGGGTCAGGATTCAAAAGAGCAGCTGCAGGGCTCAGATCTGCTGTCCCCTGCCTGCTAATAATAGCTCCCATTTTAGCCAGCGCTCACTCTGCCAGGTATGTGCTAAGCACTTCTTTGTTGCCTCTGATCCCCGAGACAGCTCTGGAAGATGCAGGTGATTCCTATTTTGATTATGGGGAAACTAAGGCTTTGAGAGATGGAGGAATTTGCCTAAACTCGCAAAGCCAGTAAAAACTGGAAGCGGGTCTGAACTTCCTTCTGGTTCTCAAGCACTGCGCTTTTCATTCTCACACTGTACTGCTGCTTCAAGCTGATGAATTTAGCAAGAGTGGGTACCAGGAAATGCCAGTGAGACAGGAAGGGAACAACTGCCAAAATGCCAAACCAAAAGGGGTTTGAAACCTGAGAGTTGGCAGTTCACCACTGCAAAACCACGGGGCTGCGTGGAGGTATTCATGGGACACCGAGTGGTATCACTAGCAGCGGACTCTGCATGCTTACTTAGAGCATAAAAGGATAGCACCCTTGGCCATTGCCTGACATGAACTCAGTTTGGAAATTGCAGAGGTGTGGAGAGCCATGGATGGGTTTTATAATTTATTCTAATGTAATCTCTGTGCTAAAGGCTGTTTGAAAAAAATAATGAAGTTGATGTTGCTTAAGTTATATGCAAATGTAAACTGGTCTTCCTTCAAGATGTTTGGAATGGAATGAATGCCCTTCCCCTGGGTACCTCCCAATACCTACCCTCAAAAGAGCTCCAGTAAGGCTTCCTTATCTTTCCTTGCCCTGCTTCCTACACTGCTGCTGCAGGTGTCTCTGGGTGATTGTGGGGGAAACCACTGTGGTTAAGCACCAACACCAAGACATGGCACCAAGCTATCTTCTCCCTCACCGTACAGCCAGGCGGGCTGCTTGGTGGATTTGGGGTCACCCTCTCCGTCTGTCTCTCCCTGATAGTTACATTTCTCTTCCATCACTGTGTGTTTGGCAGTGGATGAACCTAGAGCATTACATACATTTTTTAAAATTTATTTTTTTCTGTTACTGATCTGAATGGGTAGATGAAAATTACATACATTTTTAAGAGAGCACTTACTATATGCCAGGCATTGTTCTAAGTCCTGTACACATCTTAACTCTTATCCTCATAAAATGGCACAAAGTGGGTAGCACTATTATCTCCATCTTATAGATGATAAAAATTGGGGCCCACAGAAATTAAGTAACTTGCGCATGTTACGCAGCTGATGAGTAGGAATCTGGGCTGCTTAATCCTTTGCTTCTCTTCCATAGTGGTTCTAGCGTGAGTCAGAGTGTTCATTCAGACATCTCTTCCTGGGCATGCTAGCCCCATCCATGGTTGGGTTGCTGCTGCTATAACTGGCTCTTGGTGGCAACACTGAAATTATATCAGGTTCCCAGGTGAGCGTGTTGCTATTTTAGGTGGTCAAGGATAATATCGCAGAGTGCTGTTGATATTCTCCACAGGGTGGCTCTGAACGAATCATCTTCCTCTGGGACACCCTCTTCACTTGCTTTGTATCTGGGCACTGTGACTCAGTTTCTAAGGTTATCAACTACGAGTGCTAGATACATTTGGTGGCGTCATTGCCTATTCGTAGAACATGCCGTCAGCCATCCTGGAAAGGCATACAGCAGAACACCATAAGAGGAGCAGTATTTGGGGTCACTCCCCAAATGACCCTGCAGGAACATGCCAATTCCAGAGCTTAAGAGGGAACTTGGAGGGAGTGAGGATAATAATAGCTAATGCTTATTAAGCCCTTACAATATGCCATCTCTGATCTAAGCACATTCTGGGAACTACCTCATTTAATCCTCACCACAACCAGCTGATGCAGATCCTATTACTATCCCCCATTGGCAGATGAAGAAAATGAGGCACAAAGAGGGGACCTGATTTCCCACAATCACCAGGCTCATAAACGGGATCCAGGATTCCAACACAGCCAGCAGCTTCAAAGATTGGGCTCAAACATGGTGCTACAACTGGCCCCTGAACCCATGTCCTTCCCTGTGCTTTATTTTGGGGAGATGAGGACTTTCAGCTATCTTATTGCCATCTCGTTTTCAGCCTTGAAGGAGCCCTTAGAAATAAAGTGAAAAGAAAACCTGGCCTGAAACAACTGCCAAATCCCAATTAGGGAACAAGGTTGGGAGGAGAGAGGAGGGGGCAGGATCTGACCAGGTTGTAATTCAGTAACTGATGTCTCTAATTGATCACTGAGAGGAAGAAGCAGGAATGGCCTTCTCAGTCAGCATTCATGGTGGCAGGAGAATCCAGGATCTGTTCCTTGACCTTCTTGTTCTGGAAATGAGACTTCAGCCCTGTTCATCCTTTGGCTCCCACACTACCTACTGGACTCTCCTTGCCACCTGTTGCTGCTGATTGCTCACCCCCATTTCTAAGACACTGACAGGAAGGAAGGGTGTCTCCCAGCTGGCAGCATAGGTTTCATTTTAGCATCCGAAAAGCTGAGCATCACCACTCCGATTGCTGTTAATTATAACATTAGTACTTTATTTTGGATGACGTTTAAAAAGTTATGCAAAGGCCAGACATGGCCAGGCATGGTGGCTCATGCCTGTAATCTCAGCACTTTGGGAGGCCGAGGCAGGCAGATCACCTGAGGTCAGGAGTTAGATACCAGCCTGGCCAACATGGCGAAACCCGTCTCTACTAAAAATACATCCCATAGCTGGGTATGCTGGCACACACCTGTAATCCCAGCTACTTGGGAGGCTGAGGCAGGAGAATTGCTTGAACCTGGGAGGCGGAGGTTGCAGTGAGCCAAGATTATGCCACTGCACTCCAGCTTGGGCAACAGAGTGAGGCTCCATCTCAAAAAAACGTTATGCAAAGATATTTGCAAATATTATATCTGATAAGGGATTAATATCCATAATACATAAGGAACTACAACTCAACAACAACAAAAAATCGTATTAAAAAATGGGCAAAGTATCCTGCACGTGTACCACTGAACTTGAAGTAAAAGTTGGAAATATTTTTAAAAAGGGCAAAGTAGTTGGGTGTGGTGGTGCATGCCTGTAGTCCCAGCTACTCGGGAGGCCAAGGTGGGAGGATCACTTGAGCCCAGGAATTCAAGGTTGTAGCGATCTATGATCATGCCATTGCACTCCAGCCTGGGTGACAGAGTAAGACCCCATCTCTGAAAAAAACAATGGGCAAATAATTTGAATAGACCTTTCTTCAAAGAAGGTATACAAATGGCCAATAAGCATATGAAAAGATGTTTAACTTCACTAGTCACCAGGGAAGTTCAAATCAAAACTACAAAACCCATTAGGATGACTGTTATCAAAAAATGAAAAATAACAAGTATTGGCAAGGATGTAGAGAAATCGAAACCCTTGTACATTGCTGGTGAAAACGCCACCTGGTTACAGCCACTGTGGGAAACAGTTTGGCTATTCTTCAAAAAGGTAAACAGAATTACCGTAAGATTCAGCAATTCCACTTCTAGCTATATATCCAAAAGAATTGAAAGCAGGTATTCAGAAATTGTACATCCATGTTCATAGCAACATTATTCAAAATAGCTTAAAGGTTATTGAGAAACAACCCAAATGTCCATCAATAGATAAATGGGTTGACCAAGTGTGCTATACACATAGAACAGAATATTACTTGGCCGTAAACAAGAATGAAGTCCTGATACATGCGACAACATGGATGAACATTGAAAACATGCTCAGTGAAATAAGACGGACACAGAAACACAAGTTTTGTATGATTCCACTTGTATGAGATACCTAGAATAGGCACATTCATAAAGAGAGAAAGTAGAACGGACACCCGGGACCAGAGGGAAAGGAGAAATGGGAAGGTATTGTTTAATGGGCATAGAGTCTGTCTGGGATAATGAACAAGTTTTGGAAATGGATAATGGTTGCACAACATTGTGATGTAGTTAATGCCAATGGATTGTACACTTTAAAATGGTTAAAGTGGTACATTATGAACATTTCACTATAGTTTTTAAAAATCAACAAAAAATTTTATGTAAAAAGTTCTGTGGGGTTTAATCTTTTAGCAGTTCATAAATCCATTAACATTTGCCACAGCTACCCTACAGAGAGGCATACTATGTGAACACCACACTTGGCTTTCTGAGCTGGAACTAAAAACACCATTACTCTACTCCTTGGAGTTTCCCCAGAGTGAGTCTGTCCACACGTGGTTGCTATTGGACCCTACCTGTTGCTACTGTATCACTGTGCTGTGTTACTAAGGAGTGTGACACGTTCTGACTTTCAAAGCATTTACACAGTGAATAATACCACTTTTGTGCTCCTTGGTATAAGGCCACATCTTCAAGTACTTCAGCATTTAAAAAAAAAAAGTGAGCAAAGGATTTATCTGGCTAGAGTTTAAACTCCAATCATTATTTAGTCAGGGACAGAGCCAATTGTAGTGTTTAAACAGCATTATTATTTAGACAGGGACAGAGCCAAGTTTACGGAATTCTGGAAGGCAAGCTTAACCTCGGGGTACCTTAGCAGTGTTCTATGTGCTGGTCCTGAGCATTTAATCCAGAGCAAACTGGTGATCCATTTATAACCCAAGTTTTCTCTGTAAACTGGAAATAAAAAGATGGATAAGGCATAACTCCTGCTGTCTGTCATGGGGTTGAAAGTCTAACAGAGGCGTAGAAATAATGCGACTAGGGTACAATAAGTGTTAATCAGCACATATTCAAAGTGTGTTGGGTGACTGGGGTCAGGGTCCAGGGCAAGGTCACAGAGATGAGATGGCATTTGAGCCACATCCTGAAGGAAGAATGGAGTTTTCCAGGATGACAAAACACAAAACGAAGGAATATGCATATTCCTTTTGCATATGCAGAAGGAACTGCATATGCAAAACCTCAAAGCATGGCAGGATGGGACACCCAGAAAACCACAAGCAGCCGTGTGTGGGTAGAGCAAAGGCGAGTAGGAGAGTGGCAGATCCTGAAAGGACATAGAAAGAACTGAGATTTTGTCATAGCTCAATGGGCAACATGGGCAACTGTTGAAGGGTTTTAAGTGTGGAAGGGGCCTGGAGGGGCATGATCAGGTTTTCATTTCAAAAAAGAAATTTAAGTCTGGTGGATGGATTTGAAGCTTGGGACAAGGAGACTAGTCTGAAGATTGTCAGAGGAATCCAGGTGAGAGGTGAAGAAAGCCCAGGTTCCAGAGCTATTTCAGAGGCAGCAGAGACAAGAATTGTAACTATTTCACTAGAATGAAGTTCAAAATGAGGTCACCGTTCCTTTCATCTTGGAATTATAGCAAGGTGAAGCCCGCAGAGCTGAAGGGCAGCTGGTTCCTCCTGTACCCGCTTCTTGTGGCCAAGCCGCAGGAGCCTCAGCCTTGCCATGGGAATGGGGCCTGTAGCTGCTTTTTCTCTCTCCTTCCTCTTCTCTAGGGCACCCTTACTCAGCCTTCCTAAACTATTTGAAGACATGGCCTTTAAATTTCCTGTTGTCTTAATTTATTTTTTTTTTGACTCAGTTTTATGGATACTTCAAAAATCAAGAAAGAATAAGAAGATAGTAAAGAATGTTCCTCTCAGCCACCCTGCATCCATCCATTTCCCACCCCAACCTGCAAAAGGTAACCACTGGATGGGCCCGGTGGCTCACACCTGTAATCCCAGCATCTTGGGAGGCCAAGGTGAGCAGATCACTTGAGCCCAGGAGTTCAAGACCAGCCTAGGTAACATGGGGAAACCCCATCTCTACAAAAACACCAAAATTAGCTGGACGTGGTGGCGCATGCCTGTAGTCTCAGCTACTCGGGAGGCCGTGGTGGGCGGATCTGTTACTAGTCTCTTATGTATCCTTCCAGGGATTTTTGTAAACCTATAGTCAAGCAAATATGATTTTACGTTCTTCCTTTCCCCCTTTTATTTCCATTCTTTCTTGGGGACAGGGGTCCTTCTTAGGATAAAGTTAGGAAGCCCCAGGGGAACTCATTCAGACCTAAGGAGTCAGTCCTAGTTGCCGTTGTCTATTAGTAAGCCCTTTTCCTCTGCAATACCTTACAGTCTAAGGGCCCCAAACAAAAAGCCTTCCAGTGGGGCAAGGCCTGATTGCCTTAGGAGGCCCCACAATGGCCGAGGCCTCCATCTATCCCTGGACCTACTGAAGTAACTGAGGCACCCATGCTGGCCTGCACCAGACAGTGTGTGTGAGACCCTTGAACACAGTGGAAATGCAGGCATCACTGAGGCACCCAGCCTCAGGCTGAGGACAGAGTGCCTGTGCTGTAATTAGATGTGACTCCTCCACAGCCAAGAGGGCCTACACTCTCAGTGACGATTCTTCCATGACATTCAGGCACTTTCCCCAGGTACAGCCATGGCAGAAGATGGCTGGGCACAAGGGACCAGCTGCACGCTGCTCCTGGAGTCAGCTCTCCAGGACAGGCCTCAACCTTGGGCCTCTTCAGAAGCACTGCTCCTATTTCTTGCCAGCCGATCTCAGCCCAAGCCACCCAAGTCTGCACCCCCCTGAGTACAGTGGAGATATTACATTAACTTTGAAATAAAAGGAGAGACTCTAGGTCTCACTGCTCCCTTCCAGAAGCTTCTTTTGCCTCTTGCAAACATGGGTGGCTTTGGGAGGAGTGCCAGCACACTTCATATACCAGAAGCACCTCAGCCCTGAGGTCTTGGGGACATAGATAGGTTCTTCATCTCACGTGATGGGGACTGAGCTCTTTTTGGTGGGTAAAGTGGATTGAAATAAAGGAGGAGGGCTGACAGGAATTTGAGACTAGCCTGGGCAACAAAGCAAGACCGCATCTCTACAAAAAATAAAATAAGGTTGGGTGTGGTGGCTCATGCCTGTAATCCCACCACTTTGGGAGGCCAAGGCAGGAGGATTGCTTGAGCCCAGGAGTTCAAGACTAGCCTGAGCAACATGGCAATACCCCATCTCTACAAAAAATACAAAAATTAGCCGGGCATGGTGGCGCGTGCCTGTAGTCTTAGCTACTCAGGAGACTGAGGCAGGAGGATCACCTGGACCTGGGAGGTCCAGGTTGCAGTGAGTAAAAGAAAAGAAAACTGAGACCCATGGAGGTTAAGTAACTTACTTTTAATCACTGTTACTTATTTTTTTCTCTTTTTTTGAGATGGAGTCTCACTCTGTCGCCAGGCTGGAATGCAGTGGCGCGATCTCTGCTCACTGCAACCTCAGCCTCCTGGGTTCCAGCGATTCTCCTGCCTTAGCTTCCCAAGTAGCTGGGACTACAGGCGTGCACCACCAAACCCAGCTATTTTTTGTATTCTTAGTAGAGACGGGGTTTCACCATGTTGGCCAGCATGGTCTCAATCTCTTGACCTCGTGATCTGCCCGCCTTGGCCTCCCAAAGTGCTGGGATTACAGGCATGAGCCACTGTGCCCAGCCCAATCACTGTTACTTTTAAGGAAATCCATTTGACTACTAAGGCATAATGTCACAGTGGCTTAGACAAAATAGGAGTTTCTCTCTCATGTTAGTCTCATCATGAGCAGTCCAGGGCTGATAAGACAGCTGAGTCTTGTTGGGGACCCAGGTTTCTTCTTTCTTGTTGCTCTGCCTTCTCTAGGGAATACCCTATTCCACCTTGTCAAAGATGGAGCAATGCCACCTCTGCATTCCAATGGAAGAAATGGGAGGAAGTGGAAGACACAACCTTCCCTTTTAAGGGCATAACCTGGAAGTTGGGCTCATATTTCAATGGCCAGAATGTGGTCCAATGGCCATACCCAGTTGCAAAAGAATCTGGGAAATGTAGTCTGACTGGAAGGTGACTCATACAGCTAAAATTCAGGGAAGAAGGCGAGAATGGATAATGGAAAACAAATAGGAATCTCTGTCACAGTCAGAAGTCGAACTGGGATTCAAACCCAACAGTTTGACTTCAAAGCCAGAACTCTTAACCATAATCTTCATTATGCTGTTGTTTTAGAAGAATTAAATGAGGTCCACAGTTGGTAAGGTCTTTCTCTACAGTTTGAGACTTCATTAACACATGTATGCACATACATTTTTGCTAAATGGATAGATTATAGCTGCTCTTGCCATAATATTATAACGCTTACTGTGAAAGTTGTTCAACATTGATGGGGAATCAAGTAATGTTTCCTTTTTTTTTCTTTTTTTGTTTTTTTGCCTTGAGACAGGTTTTTACTCTATCACCTAGGCTGGAGTGCAGTGGTGCAATCTTGGCTCATTGCAGCCTTGACCTGCTGGGCTCAAGGGATCCTCCCACCCCAGCCTCCCAAGTAGTTGGGACTACAGGTGTACGCCACTTGTAGTCAAAAAATAAAAATCAATTTTTAAAAACTGATTTGTAGAGGCAGGGTCTCTCACTATGTTGCCCAGGCTGGTCTCAAACTCCTGGGCTCAGGTGATCCTCCTGCTTCCCTTCCCAAAATGCTAAGAATACAGACATAAGCCACTGCCTTTTATCCTCTTCTCATAGACTTTCCATTTTTAGTATTTTTTTGTGAGTCTTTCTTCTTTTTCTTCTCTTTATTCTCCTCTCCCTCCTTTTCATGCCTCATACTTTATGATGCTTGGTATATGAGGCCATCATCAGTTTTATAATTTTTTTCTGCATCGGATTGTAGGATTGGGCTTGGAAATAACTGCCCCACCAATGAACTTTCTAACCTTTCACAAGCAAGTGGGGCAAACCAGGGTAACTTCTTTTTTTTTTTTTTTTTTTTTTTTTTGACACAGTCTCGCCTTGTTGCCCAGGCTGGAGTGCAGTGGTGTGACCTCGGCTCACTGCAACCCCTGCCTCCAGGGTTCAAGCAACTCTCCTGCCTTAGCCTCCTGAGTAGCTGGGATTACAGGAGTGCGCTACCATGCCTGGCTAATTTTTGTATTTTTAGTAAGACATGGTCTCTCCATGTTGGCCAGGCTGGTCCTGAACTCCTGACCTCGTGATCTACCTCTTTGGCCTCCCAAAGTGCTGGGATTACAGGTGTGAGCCACTGTGCCCGGCCAGATAACCTTTAAGAATTCTTAGAAGCCCAGAAATAAAGCCAAACCTATATGGTCAACTAATTTTTGGCAAGAGTAACAAGAAGACACCTGGGAAAAGAACAGTATCTTCAATAAATGGTACTGAGAAAACTTGATTTCCACAGGTAAAAGAATAAAATTAGACTCTTACACCACATGCAAAAATCAACTCAAAATGCATGCAAGACCTAAGCATAAGACTGGAAACAATAAAACTCCTAGAAAAAAACACAGGAGAAAAGCTCCTTGACATTGGCCTTGGCAATGATTATTTTGCATATCATAGCAAAAGCTGAGGCTACAAAAGTAAAAATAAGTGAGACTGCATCAAACTAAAAAGCTTCTGCACAGCAAAGGAAACAATCACCACAATGAAAAGGCAACCTACAGATTGGGAAAAAAATATTTGCAAACCATATATCTGGTAAGTTGTTAGTATCCAAAGCTTACAAAGAACTCATACAACTCAATAACAAGAAAACATATAACCCAATTTTTAAAATGGACAAAGGACCTGAATAGATATTTCTTCAAAGAAGACATAAAAATGGCCAACAGGTATATAAAAATAAAACATCAAAACCACTATGAAATGTCACCTCACATCCATGGATAGCTATTATCAAAAAGACAAAAGATAACTGTTGGCCAGAGTGTAGAGACAAGGGAACCCTTATGTGCTGTTGGTGGGAGTGTAGTTTGGTGCAGCCATTATGGAGAACAATATGGAGGTTCCCAAAGAAATTAAAAATAGAACCACCGTAGGATCCAGCAATCTCAGTTTATACCCAAAGGAAATGAAATCACCACCTTGTAGGCTGGGTGGAGTGGCTCACGCCTGTAATCCCAGCACTTTGGGAGGCCGAGGCAGACAGATCACCTGAGGTTGGGAGTTAGAGAACACCCTAACCAACATGGAGAAACCCCGTCTCTACTAAAAATACAAAATTAGCCGGGCATGGTGGGTAATCCCAGCTACTCTGGAGGCTGAGGCAGGAGAATCGCTTGAACCCGGGAGGCGGGCCGAGATGGTGCCATTGCACTCTAGCCTGGGCAACAAGAGTGAAACTCCATCTCAAAAAAAAAAAACAAAAAAAAAACAAAAACACCTTGTAAAGATATCTGAACTCCTATGTTCTTTGTGACATTATTCACAATAGCCAAGATATGGAAGCTACCTAGGTGCCCATCAGTGGATGAATGGATAAAGAAACTGTGGTGCATCTATACAATAATATGTTATTCAGCCTCAAAAAAGGAGGAGATTCTGCCATTTGCTACAAAATGGATGAATCTGGGGGACATTATGCTAAGTGAAACTAGCCATACACAGAAAGAAAAATATTATAGGATCTCACTTATATGTGGACTCTAAAGAAAAAAGTCAAATTACAGTGAAAGAGAGTAAAACAGTGGTTACCAGAGGCAGGTAGAGGGGAGAACAGGGGAGATGTAGGTCAAAGAATGCAAGTAGCAAACATGTAGGATGAACAAGTCTGGAAATCTAATGTGCAACATGAGTTAATAATAGTGTATGGCATTTGGGATTTTTGCTAAATGAATAGATTATAGCTGCTCTTGCCACAAAAAGCGGGGGGTAACTGTGTGATGATGGATATGTTAATTTGCCTCACTATAGTAACCATTTTACTGTTTATATGTATCTCATAACATCATGCTGTATACACACAAAATAACATTTTTTAAAAAAATACTTAGAAAATATGAGAATATTTAAAATTAGGATACATCAAACATCATGATTTTGCCACAATTTGATGATTTTCATTAAAAGAAAAATTCATGTAATTTGTAACCATTTTACTGTTTATATGTATCTCATAACATCATGCTGTATACTTTAAATACACAAAATAACATTTTTTAAAAAAATACTTAGAAAATATGAGAATATTTAAAATTAGGATACATCAAACATCATGGTTTTGCCACAATTTGATGATTTTCATTAAAAGAAAAATTCATGTAATTTGTTCCCACGTGTTGTATTTTAGGGTTGACATAATAGAACGCTATCAAAATTAGGAAGTTTCATAATGATCCATGTATGTACAACTGCACTCGGGTACCCCTGTCTTCTCTCACCTCTGTAAGAGCAATTTTGTTTGCATCTCTCAAGACTCTGGAGACATGTTTTACAAAAGCAGTTTGAAGTGAGTATTCATTCATTTGGGTTTTCCTGGTGTGGCCCTTTCAGCTCTGCAGAATGCCACAGCAATGAGGAAACTGTTTGTTTCCAAGCAGGAGATGCCAATGTGATGACAGACTTTTTGAAAGCATGTAGCTGGTGGCTGTTAAATCTGCATTTCCTGCCATGCATAATGGTCCATAAGCTGCTGGATGTGAGCAGAGAGTTGGTTAATAATCAAGCCTTCTTTTTCATAGTGTTTAACAATGCAAAGTGCTTTTAAATAATTATTTTAGCTAATCTTAACAATAACCCTATGAGATCGGTAGGGATATCCTGGCAACATAAGAACATATTAAACGTCATTCTCATAAGACAAAGGTCTATTTTCCCCAGTTTAGAACCTAGGTACTCTCTGATAAGTAGAATGCACACTTAAATTATATTATTTTCAACAAATGTCCATTGAGCCCCACCTATGGGCCAGTGGGCACTGCAAGATGTTGGAGAGCTGCAGATGAACAGATGAACAAGACACAGCTGCTTTTCTCAACTCCGTCTCTCAGGAGAGAGACATGAACACCACTATCATCAGATGCTAAAAGTGCCATAATCAATGTCTTCTGGGAAAATGAGGGAGAGGAGAGAAGGTTTCAGAGAGCTGCAGAGGATGTTTGTGCTGATAGGATTCTGTCTGGCAGTGAAGTGAAGGGAGGACATTCCAGGGAATGGGTGCAGCATATAAGGGGGCAGAGGCATGGACTACATGATTTCTTCAGAGAATGAGAGGGGAAGGAAGGATGCATTCGATTAGCAGATGGTGGAGAGCCTTGTTTGCTGTGCCAAAAGGCTTGAATTAGTCCCACAAACCACGGAGGCAGTAAAGAGCAGATCTAGTTAGGTGTGAATCCAAATTCCAAGAACTTGCTGACTTGGGGGAGTTGCTTAATCATCATCTGTAAAATAGGGGTTATACTCAACCTTCTGGGTTAGTTTTGATAAGCACTTTATAAGCTGGTGTATATAAAGTGCTTGGCACAGTGCCTAGCACACAGTAAGTGTTGACTATTAACTACTATCCAGTAATATTTCCTAATCTTTTTTGAATCAGGTTCCTTTGAGAATGAATGAGTCCTCTCCTCATATACAGTATTTTGTATATTATTTAAGGGGATTCACATTATCTCCTGAAACTGGAGTCCAAGATAAGAGTCCTGCTGTGTCTTCTCAAAATTTTTTTAACTTTATTTTTTTTTAGAGCAGATTTAGGTTCACAGCAAAATTAAGAAGATACAGAGATTTACCTTATATTCCCCACCCCTATTCATGTATAACTTCCCTGATGATATCAACATCCCTTACCAGAGTGGTACACTTGTTACAACTGATGAACCCACATTGATGCATCATAATAACCCCAAGTCCATGGTTTACCTTAGGGTTTGTCCTTGGTGTTATATATTCTATGGGTTTAGACAAATCCATAATGACACATACCCATCATTATAGTATCATACAGAGTAGTTTCACTGTCCTAAAACTCTGCGCTCTCATCTGAAGTTTTCTTTCTTTCTTTCTTTCTTTCTTTCTCGCTTTCTTTCTTTCTCTCTCTCTCTCTCTTTCTATCTTTCTTCCTCTCTTTTTTAGAGTCTCACTCTGTTGCCCAGGCTAGAGTGCAGTGGCGTGATCTTGGCTCACTGTAACCTCCGTCTCCCAGGTTCAAGCGATTCTCCTGCCTCAGCCTCCTGAGTAGCTGGGATTACAGGAACCCACCATCATACCCAGCTAATTTTTGTATTTTTAGTAGAGACGGGATTTCGCCACGTTGGCCAGGCTGGTCTTGAACTCCTGACCTCAGGTGATCTGCCCACCTCGGCCTCCCAAAGTTCTGGGATTACAGGTGTGAGCCACCACGCCTGACCTGAAGCTTTCTTTTTCTTTTTTTCTTTCTTTTTTTTTTTTTTTTTTTTGAGACAGAGTCTTGCTCTGTTGTCCAGGCTGGAGTGCAGTGGTGTGATCTCAACTCACTGCAACCTCCACCTCCAGGGCTCAAGCAATTCTACTGCCTCAGCCTCCTGAGTAGCTGGGATTACAGGCACCCACCACCACGCCCGGCTAATTTTTGTATTTTTCATAGAGACAGGGTTTCACTATATTGGCCAGGCTGGTCTTGAACTCCTGACCTCAGGTGATCTGCCTTCCTTGGCCTCCCAAAGTGTGGGGATTACAGGGGTAAGCCAATGCATTCGTCTTTATGTGAAATTTTAAAGCAGGAGAGTGCTAATATCAGGTTTTATTTTTTATTTTTGTGGGGAGAAATACTGGGTATTGGAGAAGGACACCAACTTTGGTTCTCAAATTTTTTTTTTTTTGAGATGGAGTTTCACACTTGTTGCCCAGGCTGGAGTGCAGTGGTGTGATCTCAGCTCACTGCAACCTCCCCTTCCTGGGTTCAAGTGATTCTCCTGCCTCAGCCTCCTAAGTAGCTGGGACTACAGGCGCCCACCACCATGGCCAGCTAATTTTTGTATTTTTAGTAGAGACGGGGTTTCATCATGTTGGCCAGGCTGGTCTTGAACTCCTGACTTCAGGCAATCCGCCTGCCTCGGACTCCCAAAGTGCTGGGATTACAGGCGTGAGCCACCGCACCTGGCTGGTTCTCAAATCTGACTGTACATTATAATTACCTGTAGTGATTCTTAGAAACCCTGGTGCACCCAGCGTCACTCTTAGATATTCTGATTCAGTTGGTCGGGGTCAGGCAGAGCATCAGGATTTTTTACATCTTCCAGGGAATTCCAATGTATAGCCAGTTTTAAGAACCATTTGGCTGTCTCCAATGTTAGACAGCCAGAGAGAGGAGAAGAGCAGAAGACGAATGGAAAGAAGAATAAAGGAGAGGAAAGATTCAGAACACTTTGGAGATGGAATCAATCAGACCAAGCACCCAATTACATGCAGTGAGGGAAAACGGTGTGAGGTGGTCCAAAAGGGGAGGAGGTATTTGTGTTTTGTTTATTGTTTACTACTTTTTCTTCACTATGTAAAAAGGAGGAGTGGGCAAGAAGAAAATAATTCATTCAACAAACATATACTTAAAATACATGTATTGGCCAGGCATGGTGGCTCACACCTGAAATCCCAGCACTTTGGGAGGCTGAGGTGGGCAGATCACCTGAGGTCAGGAGTTTGGGACCAGCCTGACCAACACGATGAAACGCCGTCTCTACTAAAAATACAAAAATTAGCCTGGTGTGGTGGTGCATGCCTGTAATCCCAGCTACCCAGGAGGCTGAGGCAGGAGAATTGCTGGAACCTGGGAGGTGGAGGCTGCAGTGAGCTGAGATCGTGCCACTGCACTCCAGCCTGGGCGACAGGAGCAAGACCCCATCTCAAAAAATAAAAATAAAAATAAAAATAAATAAATAAAATAAAATACACATATTAAGTGCAAACTGTGGATCGAGATTTTGTTTTGGGCATCTTTAACATGCCTGTGGAACATGGACATGGCACATAGGCACCTGAAAATACCAGAGCAATTGGAAGTCACCAATTCATAACTGGGTGATCGTGAAAGAGTGTGGATGAGATCACCAGGAGAGAGTCGAGGAGAGCCAAGAGGGTGATGAACATGGGGAATCATGGACCACGGACCCCGGGGGACTGGGGAGGAAAGCCTTTGTGTGGGATGGTGAGGGCGTGAGAGAAGGAGGCAAGAGTTTCCAGAAGGAGTGGGTGGCCAGTGTGTGAAATGCAGTAGAGAGATGGCCAGAGGTGAAGGCCAACAGGAGCAGGCCCCTCACTTGATGATTAGGAGAGGGCTGTGGCTTTTGAGACAGTGGCAGGGATGGAAGCCAAATTCCAGTGGCTGCAGATGAAAAAGAAAGTGAGGAAGCACAAGCATTGACATAGGAAGTTTGGGGAAAAAGCAATGAAAGCAGTAGCACAGGGAAGGAAGGGTGGAGGACAGAGCTTTATTTTAGACTGGAGTGGCATTATTGTAGTCTGAGGGGAAGGAGCCAGGCTAGAGGAAGCCATGAAAAATACAGAAGAGGGAGGAGACGGGCAGTGGAGCCAGGGCTCCGCTGCGGCAGGCGGCCCGGGGCTCACAAACACTGGGTGAGGAATTGCTCTTGGATGGGACTAGGGATGCTTGTTTCTTGGAGGCTAAAGTGAAGAAGTTTCCAGAATGATGCAGGCCTGTCCGAGAAGCCACCCAGGGTCATTTCTGATTCCCGTGACAGCCTCCTGCCTATATTCTCCCACTTCCCAGGACTCAATCTATTTTGTGCTCCCCTTGAATGCTGCCTCCACCCCAGGACTTGAGGCTGGCTGGAGAGTGAGATGGGATAGCTGAGGTTTCCATCTCTTTCACTGTCCCAGAAGAAAAGCATGGGGCCTCTTTCTGTTTCTAGTTTATGGCTAATCACAATGCATGAAGAATCCAGCTGCAGCTACAAAGATTTGTGGATTCTCAAAAGGTCTTCAGTTATTCTTACTCATTCTTTCTTCCCCTTCTCAGAGGGTTCTCTCCTCTGCTCCCTGGCTCTCTTGTATTGACCTTGCTTCCAGTTATTATACATTGCTGGACATCCCCTCTTCCTGAAAGTCTTTCTCCTCTGAGCATTAGTGACATTCTTCTCCAGGTTGTCTTCTTGTCCACTGTCTCCCCTCCTGTTTCTGACCTCTAGATGTGGAATGCCAGGATTCTGTCCCATGCTCCTTCTCTTCCCCAGGTACACGCTCTCAGAAGGCCATTGTGTCTAGTCCATCACTTTAAATTTCATCTCTACACTGAGATGTCCTGACCTCCTGCTCCAATACCAGCACCCCCCACTGTGTGACTGAAATTTCCATTTGGATTTCTCACAGGGATCTCAAATTTAACATGCCCAAAACAGAACTCTTGATATCTTCCCCCCCTCAATCTGCACCTTCTTCTGGTTTTCCACTCTCAGTATATACTGGCATTTGTTCCCTCAGTTGCTGAACTGGAAACTCAAGGTCAGATTCTTCTCCCTTGCAAATGCAATCTGTCAGTAAATCCTATTGACTCTACCTCCAAAATGATTTGAAATCAGTCCACTTCTTGCATCTCCAGTCTGGTCCAATGTTACTCAAAGTGGGGTTTACAGACCAGCCACATCAGCGTCACCAGGGAACTTGTTAGCAATGTAAAATGTTGAGGTCCTTTCCGTCCAGAATCAGACACTCTGGGGATGGCACCCTTCAGAGAATTCTGATGCCTGCCCAGGTTTGAGAAGCACTACTCTGGTAGTGCCCTCATAATCTCCAGTCCAAGCCACTGCAATAGCCTCCAACTGCTCCCCTTACTCACTTACCCACTAGAATCTGCTCTCCCCCTACAGCCAGAGTGATTGTTTTTAAAAACAGTATCAGATTATATCACACGTACGCCCTCTATCCCCCAGTTTAAGATCTCCCATGGCCTCCATTGGACATAACACAATCCAAGTTCTCTTTCCTGACCCATAGAGTCCTGAGGTGAGATCTGACTACACCTACCACTCCAGCGTCTGCCAAAACCTCCCTTCCCCCTTCCTCTGGGCTTCAGCTCAACGGGCTTTCTCCCACAGTGCATCAGCTTGTTCCTGACTTGGGACTTCTGCACTGGCTGTTCCCTCTGCCTAAAATGCTCTTCCCTTGAACTTCAGTTGCTGGTTCCCTCATGTCATTTTCTGCTCAGTGTAACTGGCACCCCCTTTAGAGGGGCCTTATGCCAATGAACAAATCCAAAGCAGCTCCTTTTTACAAAATATGCAGTTTTAACCTGTATAGCACTTACTACTATCAATTTTTACAAATTTTCTTATTTATTATCTAATGCAACATTTTTGGTCTTAAGTTTTTTTTTTTTTTTCTTTTTTTGAGACAGTGTCTCACTCTGTCGCTCAGGCTGAAGTGCAGTGCGTGATGATGGCTCATAGCAGCCTCAGCTTCTCTGATCCTCCCACCTTACCCTCCTGAGTAGCTGGGACCACAGGTGCACACTGCCACGCCTGGCTAATTTTTGTAATTTTTTTTGATAGAGACGAGGTTTTGCCATGTTGCCCAGGCTGGTCTTGAACTCCTGGCCTCAAGCAATCTGTTCATGTCGGCCTCCTAAAGTGCTGGGATCATGTGCGTGAGCCACCACACCTGGCCATTAATGTACGTTTTATGAGACCTGATTTATCTTGTTCATTGCTGTGTCCAAGTGCCTGAACAGTGCCTAGCACATAGATGCTCCCTAAATATTTGTTGAATGAATGAACTTCACTTCTTCCTTACTTGTAGGCCTGAAGTTGCTATTAAGAAATAATAATTCAGGCTGGGCGCAGTGGCTCATGCCTGTAATCCTAGCACTTTCAGAGGCTGAGGAGGATGGATTGCCCGAGTTCAGGAGTTTGAGACCAGCCTGGGCAACATGGCAAAACCCCATCTCTACTAAAAATACAAAAAAATTAGCTGGGCGTGGTGGGGCGTGCCTGTAATCCCAGCTACTCAGGAGGCTGAGACATGAGAATTGCTTGAACCCAGGAGGCGGAGGTTGCAGTGAGCCGAGATCGTGCCATTGCACTCCAGCCTGGGTGACAGAGCAAGACCCTCAAAAAAAAAAAAAGAAAAGAAATAATAATTCATGAACTAGTGTTTGCTCAAATGGTTACTCACTCCTCTCATGTGGCTGCATTTCTGGAAGCCTCCAGCCAGTGTCAGTCTCATCTCGGAGGCCGGGGTCCACATATTAGTGTAGTCCCCTTACAGCACATCTCAAAAGGAGGCAGGAACGTGAGAAGACATTACCCTGAAAAGATGGCAGGAGTGCAAAAGGACACTAGTGGGCTACTTTCTTAGAACTTTAGGGAGAAAATCCGTGAATGATACCTGAGGGCCTCTATTTTTGTTGTTGTTGAGTGGTAGGCAAAGTTGCCTATTTTTTTTTTTTTTTTTTGAGATGGAGTTTCACTCTGTCGCCCAAGCTGGAGGGCAGTGGTGCAATCTCGGCTCACTACAACCTCTGCCTCCCAGGTTCAAATAATTCTCCTGCCTCAGCCTCCTGAGTAGCTGGGATTACTGGCGCTTGCCACCATGCCTGGCTAATTTTTGTATTTTTAGTAGAGGCAAGGTTTCACTATGTCGGCCAAGCTTGTCTTGAACTCCTGATCTCAAGTGATCCACCCACCGCAGCCTCCCAAAGGGATTACAGGTGTGAGCCATTGCGCCTGGCCAAAGTTGCCTAATTTTTAAGAAAATTGTCTTTATGGTCATAGAAGCCTGGGTTTAAGTCCTGGCTCTGCCACTTATTGCTGTGAAACCTTGGGCAAATCACTTAAACACAGTAAGTCTTAATGTCCTCATTTGTACACCAGGGGTGAGAACAGTACCTACAACACAGGACCGTTGACAGGCTAAATGAGACACCTACAACGTATCTGGCAATGGCAAGCCACCGCCTGAGTGTCAGCTATTATTGTTATTATTTTATAATGAGAGAGAGAGAAGGGTGACTAGCACCGAGGGCTCAAAAAAACAAAAAACGAAAAAAAGGCTGGGTGCGGTGGCTAACGCCTGTGATCCTAGCCTTTTTTGAGACCGTGGAGGCAGGTGAATTGCTCGAGCTCAGAAGTCCGAGACCAGCTGGGCGAGATAGTGAAATCCCATCTCTACAAAAAGCACAAAAATTAGCCAGGCATAGTGGTATGCACCTGTAGTCCCAGCTACTTGGAAGGCTGAGGTGAGGTGAGAGGATGGCTTGGGCCTGGGAGGCGGAGGTTACAATGAGCCAAGATCATGCCACTGCACTCTGGCCTGGGTGATAGAGCCAGACCTTATCTCGGGGGGCGGGGGGTGGGGAAGGCACAGCTATACACAATAATAAGAGAAACACAAGCTAGAAGTGCATAAAAATGTCATTCTTCATCTTCCAAATTGGCAGAGCCTAGAAGTTGGCTGACACTGTTGGTGGAACACAGGGAAGCTGGTGGGAGGGTAAATTGGTACAACCTGCTCCACGGAGAGAACTTTGGCAACTGCTAAGAAAATTACAAATAAACATGTCCTTTGGCCCAGTCAGTCCACTTCCAGGAATTTATGCCACAGATATCCTGGCACATATGCAAAATAAGGTAGCTTCAGGTTATTTATTTCAGCACTGTTTGCTTAACAAAATATTGGAAGCAACCTAAATATCCATGAGTAGAGAAAGGTTAAATAAATCATGGTCTATTTATACAATGCAACAAATAAAATGAAAAACTTCCTGTATATACTGATGTGGAACACTTTCCCAAATTGATTGTTACATGAAAAATGCAAGGTGCAGGATTGTATGTATAGCAGGATATAACAGAAAGCAGGTTGTGGAAAAAAAATATATACCTGTATGCATGTGTCTTTTGTTTTGTTTTGTTTTGTTTTGTCTGAGATGGAGTCTTGCTATTGTCCGCCCAGGCTGGAGTGCAATGACGCAATCTCGGCTCACTGCAACCTCCACCTCCCAGGTTCCAGCAATTCTCCTGCCTCAGCCTCCCGAGTAGCTAGGATTACAGGCACCCCGCCACCACACCCAGCTAATTTTTGTATTTTTTAGTAGAGACGGGGTTTCACCATCTTGGCCAGGCTGGTCTCGAACTCCTGACCTTGTGATCCGCCCACCTTGGCTGCCCAAAGTGCTGGGATTACAGGTGTGAGCCACCGCGCCAGCCCATGTGTCTTTTTATATAACCAGAAGACCTCTGAAAGGGCAGAGTAGAGGAAAAGTTTTTTTGTACACTCTTTTGTAGTTCTTGAAATTTGAGCCATGTGAATGTATTATCTGTTTAAAAAAAAAGGTGAAGATTTTAATTTTTTAAAACTTGTGAGTACTAATGCTCAATGCTTCTTACCTGTTACGTGATGATTGGTTCTAGGAATGGTGGATGGTAAATCTCTCTCAATGACAGCAAATGTCAAATACAAAAGCAATGATAACAAAGGTACTAAAGACCCAGACATTCTTTGGGTTCTGTGCTTGATGATGTAATTGTTGGCTTGCAAGGGAGTTGTTCACGAGGAGATAATAACCTGGTTATGCCCAACGGAATCTGTATCAATCGGCAGAGAATGTTCTGTATTTCTCCCAAGTTTTTGAAAACAATTTTTTTCTTTTTCATTTCTTCCAGCATAAAAATGCATAGTTAACATGCATTTGGATGTCAACTGTGAGCCATATGGATTTAACTGTGCTTTTTTTGGAAAGAAGCAAGAGGGAGAGTGGATATACATTTTCTTCACGTTTCTTCTGCCTTCTATTTAGCTAGCAATTTTGTGAGAGAACCTCTAAGCACAGCTTAGAGGAATGTGAAGTTGGCCTCCCAGTGGGCACTACTTCTCTGTTTTGAGAGTTTCTCTGCATGGCAAGCCCTCCTATACTCCTGCCAAACACTACCAGTCTCCAACTTCCTTACTACACATTGCAAAATTTTATGCAGGTTTTTTCCCCCTTCCTTCTGATTTGTTTCTAATCCCCTAACTCCCTGCAAGTCTAGTTGCCCTGGGTCCTTCTAAGACTCCATGGAAGTAAATGGGTGTTAATATTATTAATTGATTACTTCATTCCATAAACATTTACTAAGTCCCTAGTATGTGTCTGGCACCATGTCAGTGCTGGAAACTTGAAAAAGAATGAGAAATGATTCTGAATTTAAGGCACTTACAGTTGTTTTGGAGAGACAGAAATAAAGTACAGCGTGGGAAGTACGTGGGTGCTATGTGAGCACCAGAAAGGGGCACCTAACCCAGCTTTCGTGGGAGAGTGGGATAGGAAGGGATTCCTGGGGAAGCAACGCGTGAGGAAAGGCTTAAAGGATAAGTGGAAGTTAACCAGGGAAGGTGGGGTGAGGGGGATGAGCGGGGTTGGATATTGGAGGTAAGGACTACCTGTGTGAGAGTGAGAAGGAGCCTTCTGTGTGATAGGAGGGGTACGGTTTCAGCAAGAGCGAAGGCTTAGAGGTGAGAAAACACCCCAGGGGTATGTGTGTTCACGCAGTTTAACTAGGATGTGATGTGTGCAGCAGGAAATGGCAGTAAATGAGGAAAGGAGGACGTTATTGAGAACATCAAGTGCAACAGAGGGGCAGAAACACAGGGCTGAAGATACTAACAAGTAATAGGTCATGGGTGACCTTGATGAAGTGGTTTCTCAGGAGTGGTAGGGCCTGAGACAGGATCTGGTATATTGAGGAGTGAAAGGGAGGTGAGCCTACACTCAGATGATAGTTAACATTTACAAACCACTTTCTATATGACAAGGCTCTAATGCATTCATTTCTCACAACAGCCTGAGAGGTAGACATTATCCACAGCCTTATTTTACAGATGAGGAAACTGAGGCACAGAAAGGTTAAGCAACTTGCCAAAGGTCATGCAGGTAGAAGTGGCAGAACTGAGACCTTAAGGCTCCAGAAACCAAACTCCTGACCAGTAAGAAACTGGGATTCCAGAAATGCAGCCATTGCTAGAGAGTGACTCAAGGCTACTGGAGATTGTAGCACATTTATAGACACAAAGAAAGGTGCCTGGAGACATGCGGAGAGTGATGTCTGACAGAGCAAGGTCCAGGAGGATAAGGCTGAGCCCTGGATTTGACAACGAGAAAATCACTGGTGACTTCTCAGATAGCAGTTTCAGCAGCAGCTGGGGACAAGCCAGATGAACCAGAATGAGGGGAAAAAGGGCTTAAGAGCCACCATTTAAGCACAAGGGGTGGCAATGCCCGAGGGTTGGATGGAGACAGCCCCATCCAGAGGCAGCAGAAAGGGAGTGCATTAGTCAGGGTTCCCCAGAAAAAATATAGGAGTGTGTGTGTGTGTGTGTGTGTGTGTGTGTGTGTGTGTGTGTGTGTGTGTTTATGGAGAGAGAGAGAGACAGAGAGAGAGATTTATTATAAGGAATTGGCTCAAGTGGTTATAGAGGCTGACAAGTTCTAAGGTCTGCAGTTGGCAAGCTGGAGACCCGGGAGAATTGATGATGTAGCTCCAGTCTCAATGTTAGCAGGCTTGAGACCTAAGAAGAGTTGATGTTTCAGAATGAGTTCGAAGGCAGGAAAAAAATCCAGCATCCAAGTTGGAAGACAGGCAGGAGGAGTTCCATGCAGGCCTTCAATTGATTGGATGAGGCCAACCCACATTAGGGAGGACAATTGGCTGTACTCAGTCTACCAATTCCAAGACTATTTTCTTTTTTTCCCTTTTTTTCCTCTGCATTTTTGCTCTGCTTTATCAAATGTTGATTTCATCCAGAAACATACTCACAAACACACCCAGAATGATGTTTGATCAAATATCTTGTCGCCCTATGGCCCAGTTAAGTTTATATCTAAAATGAATCATCACAGGGAGATAAGGCCAAGTATGACTGCAGATAAATCTGTTTTGGAACACAGAAAGTTCAGAAGAGGACAGACTTTTGCCCTCTCCTAATAACATATATGCATCAAACTAGAAACGATCTTTCTTTTTTTCTTTCTTTCTTTTCCTTCCCTCCCTTCCTCCCTCCCTTCCCTCCCTCCCTCCCTTCCTCCCTCCCTCCCTCCCTCCCTTCCCTCCCTCCCTCCCTTCCTCCCTCCCTCCCTCCCTCCCTTCCTCCCTCCCTCCCTCCTTCCTTCCTTCCTTCCTTCTTTCCTTCCTTCCTTCCTCCCTCCCTCCCTCCTTCCCTCCTTCCCTTCTTTTTGACAGGGTCTCATTCTGTTGCCCAGGCTGGAGTGCAGTGGCATGATCTCGGCTCACTGCCAACTCCACCTCCCAGGTTCAAGCGATTCTCCTGCCTCAGCCTCTTGAGTAGCTGGGATTACAGGCGTGCACCACCACGGCCAGTTAATTTGTGTATTTTTAGTAGAGACGGGGTTTCACCATGTTAGCCAGGCTGGTCTTGAACTCCTGACCTCAAGTGATCCACCCGTCTCAGCCTCCCAAAGAGCTGGGATTACAAGCATGAGCCACGGCACCCAGCCTAGAAACAATTTCTTAAACCAACTTCAGCTGGATCCCTGAGGTCAGGGTGACGTTTTCCATTTCTCAAATGTCTTTGAAAGGGTGGAGGCTGAGCTTTCAATAGTAATTATTATTTATAACTTTTATTATTATCCAAAAAAGTGCCAGTTTTGTGATTGGCATTTAAAAACACTGAGTTATGTTCTGATGATGACAGACTCTTGCTAACCATATGGTTACCTTGTATCAGTTACCGAGATACACATGTTCAGCCCTGCTAAACGTCCTGGCCCTTGAACCTTTTCACAGACAGTGCGTGAGTGAGGCTGGGCGGTTCAGTGACCTGGGCGGTTCAGGAGTCTGTCGCTCAGCCAGGAAGTTTCACAGCCAGAATTTAAACGTACATCTGTTAGACTCTAAAACCAATAGCCTCACCACTATGCAAGCACACTCGTAATCCAGTATGTCCACCAAATTTCATTCTAAACTATCTTAAAGGAGAAATTTTACTTTGAGACAGGGTCTCGCTCTGTTCCCCAGGCTAGAGTGCAGTGGCGGGATATTGGCTCACTGCAACCTCCGCCTTCAGGGCTCAAGCAATACTCCCACCTCAGCCTCTCAAGTAGCTGGGACTATAGGTGCACACCACCATGACTAATTTTTTTTTCTTTTCTTTCTTTTTTTTTTTTTTGAGACAGAGTCTCACTCTGTCGCCCAGGCTGAAGTACAATGGTGCGATCTCGGCTCACTGCAACCTCCGCCTCCCAGGTTCAAGCAATTCTCCTGCCTCAGCCTCCCGAGTAGCTGGAATTACAAGCATACGTCACCATGCCCAGCTAATTTTTTTTGTATTTTTAGTAGAGACAGGGTTTCACCATTTTGGCCAGGCTGGCCTCGAACTCCTGTGATCTGCCCACCCCGGCCTCCCAAAGTGCTGGGATTACAGGCATGAGCCACCGTGCCCGGCCCCTGACTCATTTTTTTATTTTTATTTTTGTAGAAACAAGGTCTCACTATATTGCCCAGGCTGAGAAATTTATTTATTTATTTATTTATTTATTTATTTATTTATTTATTTATTGAGATAGAGTCTCACTCTGTCACCCAGGCTGGAGTGCAATGGCACAATCTCAGCTCACTGCAACCTCCACCTCCTGGGTTCAAGCGATTCTCCTGCCTCAGCCTTCTCAGTAGTTGGGACTACAGGCGCCTGCCACCACACCGAGGTTATTTTTATTTTTATTTTTATTTTTTGTATTTTTAGTAGAGACTGGATTTCACTGTGTTAGCCAGGATGGAGAAATTTTAAATGAAGGGTTTGCAAGGCTCTCCAAGAAAACAGACAGGCATTATTTATTATTTCCCAAAGCTTTTGCTTCAAAATACATACAACATCTTATTTTTTTAATTTAGGAAATTTTTATTAACAAAATTCAAATTTGAGGGGGTTTTTGTTTTTTGCTGTCAATAAGTTTATTGTCTTTATCTGAAAAATCCTCACAGAAAGTTGTTTGATTTAGCTCTCAGCAGCCCACTCCTGAGCTCTGAGGAATCTTGCCCTCTTTTGAGCTACCCTTTCTTCCAAGCAAGGGACATTTTGGGACGGTTCCACCTCTTCTTTTTAACTTCTTTCTTGGGCTTCTTCTCATAGACCGGATTCTTTCGTATAGTAGCATGACCTTTCTTATACATCTCCTCCATCATGTCTGAAGTTACGCTGTTCTTTATGTATTGAGAGAGCTGTTTCTTGTAAGCATCTTCATCTTCCTCCATTAAGTAGCACATGTACTGCAACATTCTGGCCCTTGATGTACTTCCGGTGTATTTCTGCATTAAATTCCTTGCTTTCAGAATCATAACCAGGGAATCATTTGGTACTGTGAGGGACAGACAAGCCTCCATCCACAGCTCCCTTCAGGGTGCCGAAAACTTTATTGCCAGTGGTAGTTCTGGCAAGGCCTGCATCCAAATAGCAGGTTAAGGTGCCTGGCTGTCCATCAGTGCTTTCCACATTGTATTCATCTCCAGTCACCTCCACTTGGCCTTCATAGATCTTGTCCATGCCAAACCTATTGAGAAGCCTGCAGGCCAACAGCAGGCTAGTACAATATGCTGCAGCATCATTTGTCAGGCCAACCTTCACACCATATTTTGGCAGTTTGTGTACATATGCTCCAGACTATTATATCCCCTTCTATGCAGGCATAAGCAATCTGACAAATGATATATCTGTTACACGAACTATCAACGTGTATTTGGGTGTGTTGTATTTATTTTTATTCTGTATCACCAAGCGTTTGTGAGCATAGTAATCAGTTTTACCCTCTAGTTGTCTTCTGAATTTCACTTGGTATCTCTTAAAGTAGGCCTTATTCTTAACAACTTGAACAACAAACTCCATCCTGTGGAACAGAGACCCGCATCCGCTGCTCAACAGAGACCTTGCAGGCCCAGCAGTGCTGGGGGCAGAAAAGGCACAAAATTCAAATGTTTATTTCAAATAAATTTAAAGAGGGAAAGAAATATCCACCAAAATGTTACCTCCGGAATTAGCTGTCACACTTCTCTGTTTCCCCTGAGACTGTCTATAGGCATATACAGTGTGTATGTGTATATATGTTTGTGCAGATATATTTCTTTACATAAAGAGCATCACTGGGTACCTATGCACACATAAAAATATAATTTTAACACCATTTTGATGGCTACCTGAAATACTTTTATAACAGACTTGTCTATGCCATAAGTTCTTGGGAAAACAAATAATCATAAGAATAATATCAATTGATATAAGAATATTTGTCAGTTTACTTAATAAATGCTAGGAGGAAGTCTGTTAAAATTTTTTTGTAATTTGTATTGGAGTGCCTTCACTGTTTAATATAGACTGGAGGGTGGTAGAGCATACAGGTGAAGTGTACAGGCTGAGGCTTAAATCTCAGCTCCCAGTTCCCCATTTGCTGTGTGACCTTGAGCAAGTCGCTTATCCTCTCTGTGCCTTGGTTTTCTAATCTATATAAAGGGGAATAATAGAACTTAAATGAGTTAGTCCATGTAAAGTGCTTTAGATCAGTGCCTGGCTCCTGGTAACAATTAGTTTGTGTTACAAGATATATTCATCTGTACTCTATAAACATTCAAGTTGCTGAGTCACTTAGTCCAAGAAAACCCCAAGGCAGTTTGACACAGCTGAGGCGGTTGTAGGGGAATTTTTCAGGCTGATTTCTGGGGTGGGAACTTGGAGTCTGTATTTTTACAGAACTCTTCAGGTAAGTGACTCTTAAGGTCAGCCGGGCTTATGAACCACTGGGTGAGAACACTGGGCACAGTTAGACAGCAGTTGGGTGGTGGGCGAGACTGGAAAGATTCAGAACAGTGAGTTTGAGACGGCCCGCCCAGACACAGTGGCCCTTTGTAAGCAGCAAAGCAGGGTGATATGATATTTAAAACTGGAACTTTGTCAGCTGAGAGTCAGTTGAGATAAAGAAGGCCAAAGCAACAAAAAGGTGGAAGAAACCCACAGATAGAGTAGGTTTCTCTCTGAAGTTACCGAGTAGTTTGTGCGGGAATATTTTTTCTTCTTTTTGTTCCATTTGGTTTTGTGTATCTTATTTTTAAAAGCATGCAGAGATACATTTTTTCCTCCTTGTGATAACAGCTAATGTTTACTTAGTGTGTGTCATGGCTGTGCTAGCAGTTTTTAAGCTTTCTTCATGTAATCTTCCAGACAGCTGTATGAAGCATGTTCTATTGTTCCCACTTTAAAAGGAAAAAACTAAAATTTGGAGACGTTAAATAACTTACATAAGGCCCATATCCATTTTTCCTTTCTTCTTTTGTAACGGAATTTCAGCTTTATTTGGAGTGTTCACATCCAGTGAAAATAAATTTCCCAGTACCTCTGACAGCTATGTGTGGCCATGCGACTAAGTTGTAGCCAAAGAGATGCAAATAAAAGAACTATCTAGGGCCCCGTGGGAAGGTTTCTTATAGGGTATTGATTTGGCTGTGAGGTATGTCCCTATTTACCCTTCTCCCATCCTACTTTCTGGTGCCTACAATGCAGATGTGAGCTTTGGCAGCCATCTTGGACTTTGAGGATATAAAGCATGTATTCAATGGTGGTAGAGGGGTGGAGGAAGACAGCGCTTCTGCCCCCAGTGACCAAGGAGCTGCTATACCAGCCCTGGGCTGCCTACCTCCGACTTCTTTTATTTGAAAGATATATAAACATTTTGGTTTTTTTTTTTTTTTTTTTTTGAGACAGAGTTTCACTTTTTTGCCCAGGCTGGAGTGCAATGGCTTGATCTTGGCTCACTGCAACCTCTGCCTCCTGGGTTCAAGCGATTCTCCTGCCTCAGCCTTTCAAATAGCTGGGATTACAGGCACTTGCCACCATGCCCAGCTAATTTTATACTTTTAATAGAGATGAGGTTTCACCATGTTGACCAGGCTGGTCTCTAACTCCTAACCTCAGGTGATCTGCCCACGTCTGCCTCCAAAGTGCTGGGATTACAGTGAGCCACCGCACCTGGCCCCTGAAAGATATATAAACTTTTATCTTGTTGAAGTTGCTCTTATCAACATACAAATATGATCCAAACCATAATACTGGCTTATGCTTATATTACTTATACTTTATCAAAGGTAACTATATGCTAGACACTTTTCTTGTGATTTCTACATACTGACTCATTCAGTCCTCATAACAGCCCTATGTGTACATGCGGTTATTATTCCCATTTTGCAAACGGGAAATTGAAGCAAAGAGAGGTTATGTGGCTTGCCCAAGGTCACATAGCTAGCAGTGACAGAGCCAACAACACACAGCTAATAAGGCCAGGTGCGGTGGCTTACACCTGTAATCCCAGCTTTTTGGGAGGCTGAGGCGGGCGGATCACATGAGGTCAGGAGTTCGAGACCAGCCTGGCCAACACAGCAAAACCCTGTCTCTACTAAAAAATAAACAAATTAGCCGGGCATGGTGGCACAGGCCTGTAATCTCAGCACTTTGGGAAGCTGAGGTGGGTGGATCACTTAAGGTCAGGAGTTCAAGATCAGCCTGGCTAACATAGTGAAACCCCATCTCTTTTTTAGTACTTTTTTGTAAAAAATACAAAGAAATTAGCCGGGTGTAGGGGTGCCTGCCTGTAATCCCAGCTACGTGGGAGGCTGAGGCAGGAGAATCACTTGAATCTGGGAGGTGGAGGTTGCAGTGAGCCGAGATCACCCCACTGCACTCCAGCCTGGACTCGGTCTCAAAAAAAGCCAAAATACAAAAAACCAAAAAGTAAAAAATGAAAAATAAACCCATACTCAGTATGAATGTGGTATGTTTTGTGGCTTTCCTTACCTAAACCTTACCTTCTGCTTTAATTTATAAAATGGAGGACTCCTAGCTGGTTGCCATGAGAAGGAAACCATAGTCTCTCCCGAAGATTAAAACAGCCTCATTAGGGTCCACCTTAAAGCCCTAATTCCTTAGTGAAACCTCCAAAATAAATGTCATGGATGCGTTCTAAAGTTAATTATTTTAAAAAGCATCCATGGAATCTCACTTGCCATTGTTTTCATTAGAACATTGTTTTGCTTTTCTTTTATCAAGCAGGACTCTTTAATAAACAGAATTGAGCCATCTAGCTGTCTGTCCATTCAACAAACAGTAAGCACCTGCCAGAGCCAGCCACTCTCCCAGGTGCTGGGATGCAGCAGCAATGAATAGACATCACAGAATTGACATTCCAGACACGGGAGGCAGGTAATTAACAAATCAACACACAAGAAAAGATCACGTGCAAACAAGTGCTACAAAGAGAAGAGGAATGTGGTAGAGGCTTCCTTAGGAAGGTTTCACTGAGGAGAAGATATCTGAGCTGATGCTTGGAGGCAAGAAGGAAGCATCTTCCAGAGTGAGGGAACGGTGATTCCCTGGGGTCAGAATAAGCATGGCTTGCTTAAGGGACAGACAGAAACCCCATGTGACAGAAACATGAGCATGGAAGATTGGCATGAGATGAGGTCAGAAAGTTAGGTGGTGCCAGGTCATACCATACATCAAGGCCAGTTTTGGGACTTTTACTCTGAGAGGGGAAGCTATTGGATGGTTTTAGGCAACATACTGGATAATTACCACCCTGGGCATTGAAAAGCCCTTCTTATTTTTGGGAATCACAAAACTTGTGGCATATCAGGCATCAGTTCCACTATTGAAGCTACAACTTAGAAATGAATAGAAAAGATGGTTTCTCTCCCCTTCCCCCTGGCACTTAGAGCAACGTCAATCAGATAGATGCTCCTACCTGGGACTTTGAATCATGAGGTCATCTTCCAAGAGGTAAGGTCAGTTAGAAATTAATAGGGTGGCTCCCCATCCGGGAGGGAGGTGGGGGTCAGCCCCCGCCAGGCCAGCCGCCCCGTCCGGGAGGGAGGTTGGGGGGTCAGCCCCCCGCCCGGCCAGCTGCCCCGTCCGGGAGGGAGGTGGGGGGGGTCAGCCCCCCGCCCGGCCAGCCGCCCCGTCCGGGAGGTGAGGGGCACCTCTGCCGGGCCGCCCCTACTGGGAAGTGAGGAGCCCCTCTGCCCGGCCAGCCGCCCCGTCCGGGAGGGAGGTGGGGGGGTCAGCCCCCCCGCCCGGCCAGCCGCCCCGCCCGGGAGGGAGGTTGGGGGGTCAGCCCCCCGCCCGGCCAGCTGCCCCGTCCGGGAGGGAGGTTGAGGGGTCAGCCCCCCGCCCGGCCAGCCGCCCCGCCCGGGAGGGAGGTTGGGGGGTCAGCCCCCCGCCCGGCCAGCCGCCCCGTCCGGGAGGGAGGTTGGGGGGTCAGCCCCCCGCCCGGCCAGCCGCCCCGTCCGGGAGGGAGGTGGGGGGGTCAGCCCCCCCGCCCGGCCAGCCGCCCCGCCCGGGAGGTGAGGGGCGCCTCTGCCCGGCCGCCCCTACTGGGAAGTGAGGACCCCCTCTGCCCGGCCACCAACCCGTCTGGGAGGTGTACCCAACAGCTCATTGAGAACGGGCCATGATGACAATGGCGGTTTTGTGGAATAGAAAGGGGGGAAAGATGGGGAAAAGATTGAGAAATCGGATGGTTGCCATGTCTGTGTAGAAAGAGGTAGACATGGGAGACTTTTCATTTTGTTCTGTACTAAGAAAAATTCTTATCCTGTTGATCTGTGACCTTACCCCCAACCCTGTGCTCTCTGAAACATGTGCTGTGTCCACTCAGGGTTAAATGGATTAAGGGCGGTGCAAGATGTGCTTTGTTAAACAGATGCTTGAAGGCAGCATGCTCCTTAAGAGTCATCACCACTCCCTAATCTCAAGTACCCAGGGACACAAACACTGCGGAAGGCCACAGGGTCCTCTGCCTAGGAAAACCAGAGACCTTTGTTCACTTGTTTATCTGCTGACCTTCCCTCCACTATTGTCCTATGACCCTGCCAAATCCCCCTCTGCGAGAAACACCCAAGAATGATCAATAAAAAAAAATAAATAAATAAATTAAAAAAAAAAAAAGAAATTAATAGGGTGGCTGTGGTGGGGTCAGGAGCGCCCAGGAATGAGTGTGCCGTGGCAGCAGAGTCCAGCATATGGCAACCAATGTCCACTGACACCTGGCTGCCCGTATGTCTCCTGTGGTATGGTATCAGTGGCATAGCAAGCCGTGCTGGGAGCTTTGCTGTGACAGCCTTACTTGGTACCTTGTTCTCCAGTCTTCCTCTTGATTCTCTGAGCTCCCTAGTCACTTTCAATAAATCCCTCCTCTGTTTAAACATTAGCCAGAAGTTGTTGTTTGAAACCCAGCACCTTGACTAGTACAGCGGGGGAGTGAGCCACATTTTCAAAAGATAACTGGTAAATGGAAAATGGATTTCAAAAGTCTGCTAAATGGAAAATGGTTTAAAAGGGTTATCAGCCATTGGCCAGTCAGAAACAGAAGACACTGTAGGTATTTCAGTAAATATAAAGAATTGGTTTCACAGGCATTAGAGGGCTGAAAGAGTAAAAGGAAAAAGGAAGAGGCTAGGTAACCTAGGGATTAATAACTGCAGGAAGCAGCTCTCGCTCCCAAGGCTGACCAACAGGAGGGAACAGGTGGAGTTGCCTGTACTGAGGAGCTTGGAGGAGGGGCCCCACGGGGCTGGTGCTTGGATTTCTGAGGACAGCTCTGCCTGGCTCAGATCTCGGATGAGGGGGTTGCTGTCTGGCTGGTGTTTCCACCAAAGGGGCGTGGCTCTACAGGTGCTCAGACCTCCCTGGGGTGCAGCCCAGCAGGTGAGGGGGTGTGGCATGGCTGCTGCTGGCACCTGGGGCTTGAGGGGAGGCACAGCAAGGTTGGTACTGAGAATACTCAGAAGCTGGAGCTAGGGCCAGTTATGTGCTGCTACTGAAGTAAAATTGAAAACAGGAAGTGGAAAACAAGGTAGAAGTCCCTTCTTTTCTTCTGCTTTGTGATCTCCTTCTAATGCCTCAGATTGGAAAACCTAACAGGAAGCCAGCTAGCTGGGAGGTGGAGAGATTTCGTTTGCATCATCCCAACCCCAGGATTACAGAGAAGAGCATAGAAAGATATCTTGGAGATCACAGATAAATCGCCAGCACAGACAACATCATGTCCAGTTAGGAGGCCATGGCAGTAGCCCAGGAGAGAGAAGATGATGGCCCAGACATTTGGTCAGGTATTCTGGGGGTGTATGGGAGGGTGTTTTGGGTGGAAATTAACTTTTTTTTTTTGAGACAAGGTCTGGCTCTGTCACCCAGACTAGAGTGCAGTGGCATGATATTGGCTCACTGCAACCTTCGCCTGCTGGTTTCAAGTGATCCTCCTGCCTCAGCCTTCTGAATAGGTGGGATTACCGGTGCACATCACCATGCCTGGCTAATTTTTGTATTTTTTTGTAGAGACAGGGTTTCACCATGTTGACCAGGCTGGTGGAACTCCTGAGCTCAAGCAATCCTCCTGCCTTGGCCTCCCAAAGTGCTGGGATTACAGGAGTGAGCCACCACGCCCGGCCTGAGATGAACATTTGAATTGGTAGATGGAGTAAAGCAGACTCCCCCTTACCAATACGAATGGATGTTATCCGATCAGCTAAGGTCTGAATAGAACAAAAAGGCTGACCCTCCCACGAGCAAGAGAGAACTCCTCCTGCCTGTCTTCAAGCTGGGACATTGGCTTTTTTTCTTGTTTTCAGACTGGAACTGAAATGCTGGTTTGTCCTGCGTCTCTAGCCTGCCAGCGTTCAGACTCAAACCACACTTTTGGCTCTCTTGGGTCTCCAGCTTGCTGACTACAGATTTGGGGATTCAACAACCTTCATAATCATGTGGGCCAACTCCTTATAACAAATAAATAAATATAGATATGAACATAGATCCTATTGGTTTTGATTCTCTGGAGAATCCTGACTAATATAAGTGCCTTATGAGACAGGCAGGGCAGGTTTATCTCCAGAAAGAAGCAAATATGGCAGTTTGGAAGCCTCCATAAGAGGACAAAAATGAAAATGTAGGACTTCACTCATTCCTTTGCGTCATCATCTGTTTAAACCACATTTTCCTCTGTTTATGTAACTCTCAATAGTGACAGGGTTTCCCATGCTCTTTTTTCTGCTTCTTTCCACAACGGCATCTACCCACTCACCCGGGTAAGACCTTGAAATGCCCTTTCTTTTCTCCCCCATCTAAGTTGTTGCCAAACTTCCAAAATAGCTCTTTAGTCTGTTCTTTTCCATATTTCCCCACAATTTGGGCCTTACTCTTTTCTTCCCTGGAGTACACTCATAGTGCGTGATTACACATTTGTGGGACTGTTCATTAAGTTGCTCTCCCACACCAGACTTGAGGTTCCAAAACCTCACTATTGTGACTCCAGCTCTTGTCACACACACAGAGGTCTCAAAAAGTCTGTTGTTGAATTAACCAGACTGCCTATCTCTAGTCTCTTACTCCCTCTAATCATACTGCCCAAGAGTGACTAAATATGCAAATCTGAACTTTCCATTTCTCTGCCTGAGAGCTCCCTTCAGTCCAGCAGAGGTGGTGAGCTGGAGGCCCTTGACTGCATCTAAAGGTGTTTTGTTTAGCCCCCTCAGTGGTTTTGTTTTTTGTTGTTGTTGTTGTCGTTGTTTTTGGAATAATTGCCAACTTAAAAAATCTGGGCCTGTCTTATAAATATTGGGAATTCCAGCTTTTCTTGACGATTTCGAAGATTTGCTAACCCTGGGTCTGTACCCTTCCATGGCAACAACTGGCAGAAGCTGGTTGACCGTTACTTCCTTTAGTTGGGAATAGACTCAGTTTGACAGATTTGCTTCAATCCCAGCAGGGCCTTCTTCATTCCCTTACTTATCCTTCAGTCCTGAACTCCAGGGTCATGGGAATCAAGTTTACATGTCTGATCATGGCTGCTAGGGCCTTCCATCATCTCATCCTGCTTACAGTGCCTCCTGGGCTCTAGAGCCATGTAGATTATTTACAGGAGACAGTGCTTCTTCTCACCTCTGTGCTTTGGTCCTGAAAAGTCTAGGATGCCCTTCTGATGAATGGCCACACCTCATAATCCCCCTGGGGACTCCTCTTAAGCCTACAGGACTTAGCTTGGTTCATATCCTCTGGGAAGATTTCCTCCTTGGCAGTAGTCATGCTCTTCTTTTTTTTTTTTTTTTTTTTTGAGAAAGGGTCTCACTATGTTGCTCAGGCTGGAGTGCAGTGGCACAATCACAGCTCGTTGCAGCCTCCAACTCCTGGGCTCAAGCAATCCTCCCATCTCAGCCTCCTGAGTAGTTGGGACCATAGGTATGCACCATTACACCCGGCTAATTTTTAAAAAATTTTTTTAGAGACACAGTCTTGCTAGGTTGCCTAGTCTGGTCTTAAAGTCATAGTCTCAAGCAATCCACCTCCCTCAGCCTCCCAAATTGCTAGGATTATAGGCATGAGCCACCGTGCCCAGCCATTCCTCTTCCTAATGTACTATTCACTTTGTTTTGGAATTACTTGTAACCATATGACCCCCCTCACCAGATTAAAGTACCAATAAAATCACATTCTTTTTGAGTGTTAAATAAATTGGTAACAGCCTCCTTTCGCCAATTTGTGGAAACTCTAGTGGCTCACATTAGAGAACTAGAACTGGAAATTCTCACCAGTTTCCAGTAGGCCCCTGTTTTCCACTGTGGTTGATTCTGTTACTACTCTACAGTGCTGGTATTAAAAGTTGGTTTTGTAGTCCAGTATGTGCTTGTCTGCTGCTGCTGAGATGACAGTCTTTCAAGTTAATATTCCTCACCGGCCAAGAGGTCCTCGGGGGGAAGGTGATCCCATGCCCTCAGTGTTGTCTTGTTAGAAATCTTTCCCTCTTTGGCTCTTTAACTTACAATCTTATGATCATTCTTTTCCCCAAAGCCCACTTTCACACCAGGATGACTGGGACGTGAGGGGCTTCCCAGGGACTTCTCCTTTGCTCCTAGTGAGTTCTTCTCTAGAGCCTTTTTCTCTTTTCTCACCAGGGGACCTCAGTTGGGACTGCCCCATTTATCAGAGGAGTTATATAAACCTCAAAAGGGAGAGGGTTCCAGGTCTCCATTCCTCCCCTCCCAGGAAGCTTCTTGTCCTCTATGCAAAATTATCCACATTCTCCCCAACAGACCAGCTCTGTACACTGGGACCAGGTTTTCTCACACTGCAAATACTCTGTCCCCTCTTTCTCCCAGGTAATGGGTGCCTCCTTCTCTATATTTATACAATGTAGATAAGCCATCCTGGTGATTCTTCTCCAAAGACTTCTTCCAAGGTAACTAGTGTTTTCTATTTGGAAAGTAGGCTCTGGCAACTGTGAATAGGACAGCTTTTCCTAATAATAATTTTCTAAGCTGCATCTTGTCTTAGGTGGGGTTCCCTGTAAAATGGACTCAGAGATGGAGATTTATATGCAGATGGGATGTTTTGGAGTGTGTTCTCAGGAACAACACCTATAAGGGAGTGAGAGAAGCAGAACTGGGTAAAGGAAGAGTTGAACTGTGGTGCAGTTGCAGCAGAGGCCTCAGCTGACTGGGTAACCTTTCAGTGTTTACTCCAGTTGAGACAAGGAGACTGGCCTTGGTACTCCCTCAATGGCCAGTCATTGGCCAGTCATTGGATGCAGACTGCCCCAATTCCAGGAAGGGGCATTAACCTTGGGGAAGACAGCTCCCTTCAGCCAAGGGCAATTCCTGGGGATGGACTCATCTGAGTCTTTAATGGGCAACTCTGCATAGGGAGGAAGAGTGTCTCCATCTTGAAGCGGTGATCTGGGCAGTGCACCACAGTGTCCACTATAGACCTATCTAGACATAATCTGTTCATAGCTCTGTCTCCTCCACTGTACTCTAAGCACCTTGCTATGGACTGAATGTTTGTATCCTCCCAAAATTCTTATATTGAAGTCCTAATCTCCGGTGTGATAGTATTTGGAGGTGGGGCCTTTGGGAGGTAATTAGGTCATGAGGGTTGTATTAGCCCATTTTCACTCTGCTATAAAGAAATACCTGAGACTGGATAATTTATTTTATTTATTTTTAATACATAAATAAAATAAAATTTTATTTTCCCTCTATTTCCCAGGCTGGAGTGCAGTGGTATAATCTCGGCTCATTCCAACCTCCGCCTCCCAGGCTCAAGCAATTCTCATGCCTCAGCCTCCCGAGTAGCTGGGATTACAGGTGTGCACCACCATGCCTGGCTAATTTTTTGTGTTTTTAGTAGAGATGGGGTTTCACCATGTTGGCCAGGCTGGTCTTGAACTCCTGGCCTCAAGTTGATTTGCCCACCTCCACCTCCCAGAGTGCTGGGATTACAGGTGTGAGGCACCACCCCCGGCTGAGACTGGGTAATTTATAAAGGAAAGAGGTTTAATTGACTCACAGTTCTGCATGGCTGGGGAGGCATCAGGAAACTTACAATCATGGCAGAACGAGAAGCAGGCACCTTCTTCACAAGGCAGCAGGAGAGAGAGCTTGCATGTGAAGTGGGAGGAGCCCCTTATAAAACCATCAGATCTCATGAGAACTCACTCACTGTCACGAGAACAGCATGGGGGAAACCGTCCCCATTATCCAATCACTTCCCTTTCTCGACACGTGGAGATTACAGGTCTCTCCCTTGACATGTGGGGATTTCAATTCGAGATGAGATTTGGGTAGGGACACAGGACCAAACCATATCAAGTGTGGTATCCCCATGATGGGATCAGACACTGAATTTGCCATGATCTCATCCTGCCAGCACCTGGATCTTAGACTTCCTAGACTCCAGGCCTGTGAGAAATGAATGTCTATTGTTTAAAACACCAAATCCATGGTATTTCATTATAGCAGCCTGAGCAAACTAAGACACATCATGAGGGCAGAAGCTAGGAATGTCCAACAGAGTGCCTGGAATAGAGTATCCACTCAGTTGGTAGACAAGAGATGAATGAATAAATGCATGTATGAAAGAGTAAATATAAGCCCAACAACACTGTCATTATTATCGTTTGCATTTATGCAGAGCTTTATATATGCAAATTACTCTGCTAAAATATGTTATAAATATGTAAGTGCTCTAAGCAATAATTCTTAATAAAACCTGCCATCAAAATGAATTAATATTTAGTAGGCACAAACTAGGAGCACGAACCCTGTATTAGTCAACTCTCCAAGAATGCATCTCTCTTCATAATAGAACTATTTGGAGGTTTCAGAGCCGGCATCCTAACTCATCTCTTAAATTGCTTTTTATGCCCCCTACATTGTTAAATAAATCTCCTTTCCTTGTGCCCAAATCCTGTTTTCGTGATATAGTGTTTCGAAAGTCTACTGAGCATTTTATTCTGCTACCAAACTGTTTGATCTTACCTCTTTTTGCATCTCTTCTGATGTTTGTAATTTTCTTGCTGGTAGTCCGATTTCTCATGGACACTTATAGTTTTGACTATTCAGAACAGCAACTCCCTTCTGAGAAAGGCTCCATCAAAACCCCATGTGACCCTAGTATGTGGGGAAGGTGACATCATAGAACCTCACCCCCAGGACCACAGTGATTGGCCCATGGTTGAGCACATGACCCAAGCTGGACCAATCATGGTTCTTCCCTCCAAAAGGTTTTACTTGGGAAAAACAGGAAAATAAGTTGGGAAAGAAGAGGGCTTTTTTCCCCACTCTGTGAAGTTGCTTGCTTGGCTGGAAGTCCAGAGCTATCAGAGGCCATCCCTTACCCCGTGAAGGAGCTGTCTTGCAATAGAAGAAGCAGCCCACCCAAGGAGAGAAACAGGGTGAGAAGTGGGAGGGTCCTGAGAGCTTTCAAATTCCTGATTTCAGGAGCTGAAATCTCAGAGATTCTCTGTTTCCTGACCTCCCAAGGCTCAGCTGTCAAATTCACCCTTCATTCTGGAAGCCACCTCAGCCTGCTGCCAAAAATCTCCCTTTTGAGCTGGGTGCAATGGTTCATGCCTGTAATCCCAGCTACATGGGAGACCAAGGTGGGAGGATCTCTTGAACTCAGGGGTTTGAGACCAGCCTGGGCAATATAGTGAGACCTCAATCTCAAAAAATAAAACCAAAAATTCCCTTTTAGCTTAAGTTTAAACTAATGTTTAAGTTGTGTTTCTGTTATTTCTTATCCAGAGAATCCTCCTGTACACCCCCCTCAACTCCACATACATTTGCTAGGATCACTGTAGAATTCATTGGATTTAAGCAGCAATCTGAATACTAAACATGTAAACTTTAAATCATTGAAGCAGGCAACTCTCCATGAGGTGATAAAAGATAGGGTTGAAGATTTTCAGCTCAAGAGCCTTGGGTTCAAATTCTACCTTCATCACCGACTAGCTAAGCGACCTGCCTTAGCTTCTCATTTGTACAATTTGCAAAATGCTAAGAGGATCATTGTGCACATTTAATGCGATTATATCTTATATCTTTTCTTTTTTTTTTGAGACAGAGTTTCGCTCTTGTTGCCCAGACTGGAGGGCAGTGGTGCAATCTCAGCTCACTGCAACCTCCACCTCCCAAATTCAAGTGATTATCCTGCCTCAGCCTCCCGAGTAGCTGAGATTACAGGCACGCACCACCACATCCAGCTAATTTTTGTATTTTTAGTGGAGATGGGGTTTCACCATATTGGCCATCCTGGTCTCGAATTCCTGATCTCATGATCCACCCACCTTGGCCTCCCAAAGTGCTAGGATTACAGGGGTGAGCCACCATACCTGGCTGGAATTATATCTTTGAAGTCACAGGACAGCACCTGGCACATAGCAAGAACTAATAAATGTAGCTATAATGACCACTACTTTCCTCTCTTGTCATTGGTGTCTCCCATGGCACAATCACCCCATGGGATTCAATGCACATTAATTTACTTAAGAGCCTCAAATTTCTTCATTTTTACTTTTGGATTGTTAAATAAATATTAATTTCTGAATTGAATGGGCTTTCCCTTGGACCACATTCTACTTCTTCGTTTTGCAAATGATTCCATCCTGATTGTTGCTCCTTCCCTATTTCTTATTAGTTATTTTTCATAATACTTTCTATTCCTATCCCCCAACACCATTTTCTTCCTTCCTTAGGAAATTCTTCTTCTTGTGCCCATACTCTGGAACTTTCCTACGACAAGGAGCAATTTGCTGTATGTTTATTTTCTTTGGAATCATCTCTCCTTCATGGAAGCAGGGTTATTTATCAACCTGTGATGGAGCTCTTCCTGGTTTGGTTAGGGCATGCTGCATACTGCTCCTGTAATAATGCTTTCTTTGGCCAGGACACAAACCACAGTCAAAAAAGGTCTTCCTGAGTTCTGAAGGTCAAGCAATTAGAATTTTCTCAGGCTTGTAGAAGAGTGGAATTCTGGAAACCAGTCTTCGCCTCAGGGGAGCATCTGTTGGAAGTTCTTAGGTAAGTACTGGACTTAAAATTGGTGAAGTGTAGGTGAAGTTCTCGCTCTGCTACTTCCTGCCAGGTAGCTGCCAGGCTAGTCACCTTACCTCTCTGAGCCTCAATATCCTCATCTATCACATGGGTGTACAGTAGCATTATTCTGATGTTGTGTTGTAAGTTCTCAGAAAAAGATACCCAAAATGAAGCCCTCAGAAGCAAAAGTTTTTCTCTGACCTTATCCTGTTCTGTCCTTGGCACCTCATTCTGCCACTAGGCTAGCCACAGAAACTAGAGTCTCTGGCTAGGCACGGTGGCTCATGCATGCACTTTGGGAGGCCAAGGCTGATGGGTCACTTGAGGTCAGGAGCTTGAAAGCAGCCTGGCCAATATGGTGAAACCCCGTCTCTACTAAAAATGAAAAAATTAGCTGGGCATGGTGGCACATGCCTGTAATCCCAGCTACTCAGGAGGCTGAGGCACGAGAATCACTTGAACCAGGGAGGTGGATGTTGCAGTGAGCCGAGATCGTGCCACTACACTCTACCCTGGGCAACAGACTAACAGACTGAGACTTGTCAAAAAAAAAAAAAGAAAGAAAGAAAAGAAGGAAGGAAGGAAAGAAGGGAGGGAGGGAAAGAGAAAAGAAAGAAAAGAGAGAAAGAGAAAGAAGAAAGAAAGAAAGAAAGAAAAAAAGAGAAAAAGAAAGAAAGAAAGAAAGAAAGAAAGAAAGAAAGAAAGAAAGAAAGAAAAAGTTAGAAGCTCTCATCTCCAAGAGAGATCATAGAAACCAGAACCCCTTTTCTCTCAAAGCCCACCATAAAACCTAAAAATATTACTCTAACCTTACCTCTCTACCCTCACCAGCCTTTTTGTGTAAAAACTGGCCTTAAAGAAGTTATCTGACCTGTCTTATTTAATTGTAGGTTATTGGATCCTCATTCCAGAGAGGGCCCTGCTCCATACCCAGAAGGAAGGAATGCTGCACAGAGAGGCCAATAAGAATCTAGACAGGGCTGGCTCAGTTTCCCCAGCCTGTGAGCATTAGATCACCCCTTTTTGTCCAATCACTTTTCTACACAGCTGTCCATACTTCAAACCTGATCATAAAAATGGGCAGCGTCTTCTGTATCTTTGGGTCTTCATTCTGAAGTCTCCCATGTCACATACAACTCTGATCAAATACATTTGTATGCCTTTTCTCCTATCAATTTGCCTCTTGTCAGTGACTTTCAGTGACTCTTTAAAGGGCAGAGGGGAATTTTTTCCCCTGGTCCCTACAGTGTGAAAACTAAACTGAAACAATATGATAGTTTGTGAATTGTAAAGTACTACAAAAATGGGAGTTGCTACTAATGCAAACTTTAATAGGAAACCAGTGACAGACATAAAGCAGGGAATAGTTCTTCTTAGTTTGGATCACATAGTGTCATGTGCAGACACACAAGACTAATTCAGGATACTTTGGTGGAGAGCCACATTGAGGATTTTCATAAGTAAAGCAGACAAATGGAACTAGTTATTCATGGCCACAGTCCCTCTTAGTAGTTCCAGAGAATAGGCTCATCAAAGAATAATTTTAGGCTGGGCGCAGTGGCTCACACCTGTAATCCTAGCACTTCAGGAGGCTGAGGTGGGCAGATTGCCTGAGTTCAGGAGTTCGAGAACACCCTGGGCCACATGGTGAAACCCTGTCTCTATTAAAATACAAAAAATTAGCCGGGCTTAGTGGCGTGTGCCTGTAGTCCCAGCTACTCGGGAGGCTGAGGCAGGAGAACTGCTTGAACCTAGGAGGCAGAGACTGCAGTGAGCTGAGATCACGCCATTGTACTCCAGCCTAGGCAACAAGAGCAAAACTCCATCTCAAAAAAAAAAAAATTAATTTTAATTTGTGAATCTCAGTAGGAAAAGGTTTCAGAAGTAGAGTTAAATGACCTACGTAGCCTCTTAAATGGGCCTTCCCTTCTTCTGCCTTCACTGCCATCTTTCCTGGATCCCCTGTCCTCAAGAAGTCGGGTCTGCATGGGTCATCAGGAACTCTCTTGCCCCATCTGGCTCTTATGATACAGAATTTTCTAGTGCTCACTGCCAGCCCTACAACTTTTTCTCAAAGTTCAGTTGCTGCTAGGCTCAGATTTTCCCTACCTGAAAAACAGGGGTAGTGAAATCCATAACACACGTCTAAACAGAACATTTTGGAAACACAGAAAGATGACTAATACTGCCTGGGAGGGGGGAAGACTTCACAAGGAAGCTAATTTTAGAGTTAAGTCCTAAAAGTGAAGGAGGTGTTGCCAGCAGGTAAAGGGTTGGAAGGAACCCTGCTCCCTGTCCCCCAGTAGAGGTAACAGCCTGTGCTTTGGACAAAGGCCTCAAAGAGCTTGCTGTGCTCATGAAGCAGCAGGTAATGGTCCTGCTGGAGTGAGGGCTACGTGGGGGTTGGGGGAGGGGCCTGGTAGTGCTGAAGCGGAAGGGGTTCGGGGGAAAGGGTCCCCTGGAGTCTGGCCATGTGAGCCTGCGACCCCAACCACCTCCTACCCACCATTTCTCCCACAGCTGCAAAGAGGCATCACTTTTTTGTCCCAAATGGAAGGTAATTTTGTTAGATGCATTTTTCAGCCAACCTCTGATAAGAGTTAAAAATAACTTCCAAGGTGAGCCCCCTGATCAGTCTCCTCTTTTATCTCCTCCTTTTCTTTAAACCTCGGCATCTATTATGAGCCCTCCCCCATCTTCCTCCCTGGGGACAGAGGGCCTCTCATGCAAATAAGACTCTGGTGGCCAGCTGTGACAGCCCAGAGTCACCAAGGTCAGTATTCCGATCAGGGTTTCAATTCTCCAATACTGTGTGTCGGTGGTAATCTGGAACCAGTTACTTCATTTCTCCTGCCTCAGTTTCCACATTGATTAAAGGGCTGTTGGGGATAAATTAGATGATGTATGGGCTTCTCTGTTCCTAAATCCTGGTTCTTTTTTTTGGAGATGGAGTCTCACTCTGTCGTTCAGGCTGGAGGCAGTGATGTGATCTCGGCTCACTGCAACCTCGGCCTCCCAGGTTCAAGCAATTCTCCTTCCTCAGCCTCCTGAGTATCTGGGATTACAGGTGTACACCACCATGCCTGGCTAATTTTTGTGTTTTTAGTAGAGATGGGGTTTCACCATCTTGGCCAGGCTGGTTTTGAACTCCTGACCTCAAGTGATCCGCCCACCTTAGCCTCCCAAAGTGCTGGAATTACAGGCATGAGCCACCATGCAATGCCTGCTTCTTTCATGCCTCAAGACCTTTGCCCTTTCCATTCCCTCTGTCAGAAATACTCTTCTCCTGGCTTTTCATGTATCTGGCTCCTTCTTAGCTGAAATATCCCCTTTTTGGGTTGCCTTTCCTGTCTAATGTAGTTTCCTCCATCGTTCTCTATCACAACACTCCTTTCCTCATAGACGAATTGCAGCTTATCATTATCTATTTGAGGACTTGCTGTCTTATATCAGGCTTTCTAAGAATGGATCCTGAGATGAGGATACATGGGCAAGTGATTTATTAAGGAGGGGCAGCCAGTAAGGGAGTGGGGGAGCAGGACAGGGGTAGGCAAGGAGGAAAGTGCGGGTGGGATTTGAGGCAGAGTCTCAGCTTAAACCTGATCCCACAGGGGAGCTCTGCAGTATAAATTCTGCCTTGGAGTTTATCCCAACTTGAAGCAAATAAACTGTGTTTTTATTCCTGTAGCAGTCAGTCAGTGGCTAAGGGCCACTGGGGTAGGGTTTAGAGTGGGATAGACTCCCATGCACTTCCATCTTCCTCCAGCTGCCCAAGAACATGTCTCTGGAAAGTTGCAGGTGCGGCCATCGCAGAAAACACACACAGGAGCTGGGGGAGAGGCACAGAGAAACAGTGTAGGATCCAGCCAACAGGACCAGGACAGCACTGGCTACACTGGCTTATCGATTACATCCCACAATAGAAAGTAAGCTCCCCAGGGCAGATACCTTATCTTCCTGTTTACTGATATATCCCTAATGCCATTTGCGTAGTACCTGCCCCATAGCTGGCAATCAATTACTTTCTTAAATGAATGAAGGAAGCTCTTAGTGCAGTGTGTGGCATATAGGAAGTGTTCACTTAATGTTGTTGGAAACATGAGTCTGTATACTTTTTCACCCTTCTCATGCTTCTATCCATAACATAGGGATGCTCAGGCATATGGCCTCAGAAACATGGGCTATTGAGACAGAGAAAAAGACAACTCTGGAAGGAGAGAGCCTGGCCTTACAGAAGACATCTGAACTATCAATCAACAGAAATCTCACGTATAGTTGAAGGCAAGTCATAAGAGTGGGGTGGGAGATGGATAAGTCAATCCTACAGTTAAAAGAGGGGATGTCTAACCACTAGACAATTGTCCAACTCAGGAAGTAACAGCTTCAGGGTCCTAGACAACATAGGATTTGACCTCATGTGCGAGAAGGCAGGATCTTAGGGCCTCAGAGGAAAGGGCTGGGATTCAGGACAAATATTTGGTCCTGGCAGGGCTGAGGAGTACTGAACAAAGATAACATGGCAAAAGCCTAGGCCGATGGAGTGGCTAGCCTACAGTGAGCATTAGGCACTAAAGAAAAACTCTTTTGCCCTTCTCATACAACACTTCTGATACCAAATGTGTGGAGTTTTTCCACACAAGCAATTCTCCAATTCACTGCTGTCACCAACTGGGTGTCCAACAATCCCATCCCATCCCATCCCATCCCATCCCACCCCATCCCATCCCATCCCATCCCATCCCATCCCATCCCACCCCATCCCATCCCATCCCATCCCATCCAATCCCATCCAATCCCATCCAATCCAATCCAGTCCAATCCAATCCCATCCAGACACTATCTACCTGGAGTTAGTGTCAGATCCCAGAAGGTAAAGGGCTCAATCCCACAAGACTGCCCTACTTCAGATGCCCAAATCAAAAGTCTGGGCCACCTGTACTTACTTCTTTTTTTTTTTTTTTTTTTTTTTTTTTTTGAGATGGAGTCTCCCTCTATCACCCAGGCTGGAGTTAAGTAGCACAATCTTGGCTCACTGCAACTTCCATCTCCCAGGTTCAAGCCTCAGCCTCCTGAGTAGCTGGGACTACAGGTGTGTGCCACCACACCCAGCTAATTTTTTGTTATTTTTTAGTAGAGACAGGGTTTTACTCTATGTTGGCCAGGCTGGTCTCAAACTCCTGACCTCAGGTTGGCCACCTGTACTTCTAACCAACTAGCTTACAAATTGGGGGCTCCCATGCCTCCCTCCTCAGGTTTGACAATTTGCTAGAATGGCTCACAGAACTCAGGAAGGCACTTTACTTACATTTACTGGTTTATTATAAAGGCTACCACTCAGGAACAGTCAATGGAAGGGATGCACAGGGCAAGACATGGGATGGGGAGGGGAGGGGTATGCAGAGCTCCCATGGCCTTCCAGGCACACCATCCTCCCTGCACCTCAATGTGTTCACCAAGCTGGAAGCTCATCACATCTCATGCAGAACTTTTGTAGAGCTCTATCTCCAGCCCCTCTACTCCTTCCAGGAGGTCAGAGGGTAGGGTTGAAAATGACAACCCTCCCTTGGCCAGGTGCGGTGGCTCACGCCTGTAATGCCAGCACTTTGGGGGGCCGAGGAGGGGGAATCACAAGGTCAGAAGTTCGAGACCAGCCTGACCAACATGGTGAAACCCATCTCTACTAAAAATACAACAAATTAGCTGGGCATAGTGGTGCGTGCCTGTAATCCCAGCTACTCAGGAGGCTGAGGCAGGAGAATCGCTTGAACCTAAGAGGCAGAGATTGCAGTGAGCAGAGATCACGCCACTGCACTCCAGCCTGGGCGACAGAGTGAGACTCCGTCTCAGAAAAAAAAGAAAATGACAACCCTCCCAACACTTGGTCTTTCTGGTAACCAGCCCCCATCCTGATGCTATCTGGAGGCCCCACCCTAAGTTACCTTGCTAGCATAAACTCAGGTGTTATCAAAAGGAGCTTGTGGCCGGGCACGGTGGCTCACACCTGTAATCCCAGCACTTTGGGAGGCCGAGGCGGGTGGATCACCTGAGGTCAGGGGTTCTAGACTAGCCTGGCCAACGTGGTGAAACCCCATCTCTACTAAAAATACAAAAATTAGCTGGGCATGGTGGCAAGTGCCTGTAATCCCAGCTACTCGGGGGGCCAAGGCAGGAGAATTGCTTGAACCCGGGAGGCGGAGGTTGCAATGAGCCAAGATCGTGCCATCGCACTCCAGCCTGGGGAACAAGAGTGAGACTTCATCTCAAAAAAAAAGGAGCTTGTCATGGGTAACAAAAGACATTCCCATCATTCAGGAAATGCCAAAAGTTTTAAAAGCTCTGTGCCAGGCAGTGGGGCAAAGACCAAATATATTTTTATTTACATCACAGACTCCTCAAAGGGTGATAAACAGTGACACTTTTTGGTCACCCAAGCTATTGAGAGTTATATCTCTTAGAATTCTTGGTTGCAAGGTGGGCAATCATCTTATCTCAAGAACTCCCTCAGTCCTGGGCATACCAGGACAATTGATCACCCTTTTGCAAGGAAGAGAAACTGTCACAGTTTGGATTGCTTGGGAACCAGGCTCTAAAATGGAGAACAGGCCGGGTGTGGTGGCTCATGCCTGTAATCCTAGCACTTTGGGAGGCTGAGGCAGGCAGATCACTTGAGGTCAGGAGTTCCGGACCAACCTGGCCAACATAGTGAGACCCCATCTCTACTAAAAATACAAATATTAGCCAGGTGTGGTGGCAGGTGCCTGTAATCCCAGCTAGTCGGGAGGCTGAGGCAGGCGAATCGCTTGAACCTGGGAGGCGGAGGTTGCAGTGAATTCATATTGCACCACTGCACTCCAGCCTGGGTGACAGAGCGAGATGCCATCTCAAAAAAAAAATTAAATAAATAAAATGGAGAACAGCTTGCAGCAGGTACGTTAGGAAGTGCTCCTGGGATCACCACCTAAGAAAGAAAAAAAAGAGATGGAAGCAGGAGTGGGCAGAAGGAGGAGAGGGGCTGCAATGAAGTCTCAGTGTAGGCCTCAGCCAGTCCCATGGATGCTCAAGGCTACCATGGCCAGAGTTGTCGTGAGCGTAGCGTTGCCAGAATTAGCAGATAAAAATACAGGAAGTCCAGTTAAATTTGAATTTCAGATAAACAATGAATAATTTTTTTTTTTTTTTGAGACGGAGTCTTGCTCTGTCCCCAGGCTGGAGTGCAGTGGCACGATGTCGACTCACTGCAAGCTCTGCCTCCCAGGTTCACGCCATTCTCCTGCCTCAGCCTCCCAAGCAGCTGGGACTACAGCTGCCTGCCACCGCACCTGGCTAATTTCTTTTTGTATTTTTAGTAGAGACGGGGTTTCACTGTGTTAGCCAGGATGGTCTGGATCTCCTGACCTCATGATCCACCTGCCTCAGCCTCCGAAAGTGCTGGGACTACAGGTGTGAGCCACCGCGCCCGGCCAACAATGAATAATTTTTAATATGTGTGCTCCGTGTAATACTTTCAACATACATATATCTTTTTCACTGTTTATCTGAAATTTAAATTAACTGAGTATCATGTTATCTGACAACCCCTCTTGAGTGGGAAAGGGGGCCTTATGACCTATGTTGACCAGCCTCTGGATTCAGATTGCTCCAGTGAGGGGGTGTAACCTTAGGTAAAGAGACCCTCTTCACTGAGGCCATGCTGAAGAGGGCTGACAGCTGAGGGCTGTCTGCCAGCAGCCCACTCAACAGCTGAGAGAATAAGTCCTTCAGACTGGAAGGGAACCGTGGAGAGCCCATCACAGTGTCTGCTGCCGAAACTGACTCTCGGCTGGAATGTACTGGGAGGATATTGTATTGCACAGAATCAATGGGAGGGATAGAGAATCTGCCTCAGAAAATAGACATAAGAGGCTGGGCGTGGTGGTTCACGCCTGTAATCCCAGAACTTTGGGAGGCCGAGGTGGGTGGATCACCTGAGGTCAGGAGTTCAAGACTAGCTGGGCCAACATGGTGAAACCTCATTTCTACTAAAAATATAAAAATAAGCTGGGCGTGGTGGCACATGCCTGTAATCTCAGCTACTTGGGAGGCTGAGGCAGGAGAATCGCTTGAACCCGGGAGGTGGAGGTTGCAGTGACCTGAGATGGCGCCACTGCACTACAGACTGGGCGACAGAGTGAGACTCTGTCTCGGGGGAAAAAAAAGACATAAGAGCTAAGCAGCAGGAATAAAGTCAAACCACAGTCACAATCTGGCTGAGTTGCTGTTGCAGGTACTAGAACCTCTGCTCACCACCCAGTAGACCCTCAGCCTGCTGCTGCCCTATTGAAAAATACCCCTCCCTCCACTATTGCATCAAGAGGCCAAGTCCTGCTGTGAGTATCTGATTGATTGATTTAGCATGACCATCCTCCAGCTTCCATGGTGGCAGGAAGTGTCCTGCCTCTCATCTAGTCTTCCAAAATGAGAATTCCCCTCAAAGATTAAAAGGGCCTTGTGCTAGGGACAACGTTAGAAACTTGTGATGTCTTTAAAAGCACCTCACTGCACGCTGAATCATGGTCTGATTAATCTTCTTCAACTGGCCTCAAGGAGTGGGATCATGAGACTTGGGAGAGAAAATCATGTGTGATTACAGATCTGATTCTCTTAAATATAGTATAAAAATACCAGTGGGTAACTCCAGGAGCAGGAATGAGTCTAATTATGTAGGTATTTTACCCGAACACAAATGTTACTTTCCAATGCAGAGAAAAGTGACTTTGTCTTGTGGAATTTGATTTCTGTGGTTATAGTGACTAGCATTGCTGTATTTTACATCTGAATCTCTACAGAGAAGGAAGAGTAGGCAGACCACTCCTCCAAATGATAGATGATACCCATCCCACATATAAGAAATGTTCTTAGGTTTGTAGGCTAATCTTGTATATCAATAAGAAATATAGATGTTTACTACAATTGTTTAAACAAATTTGAAAACATATCATAGCAAAGGTATATTGGAACTGTTTCACGATAGGTCTCAGTGGGTAGATGTGACATAGTGGAATCACCAGTCATCATAGATCTTCAGTTCTGTAGGTTCAGAAACTTTTTTTTTTCTCCCTGAGATGAGTCTTGTTCTGTCACCAGGCTGGAGTGCAGTGGTGAAATCTCAGCTCACTGCAACCTCCACCTCCCAGGTTCAAGCAATTCTCCTGCCTCAGCCTCCCAAGTAGCTGGGATTACAGGCACCTGCCACCACACCCGGCTAATTTTTGTATTTTTAGTAGAGATGAGGTTTCACCATGTTGGCCAGGCTGGTCTCGAGCTCCTGACCTCGTGATCTGCCTGCCTCTGCCTCCCAAAGTGCTGGAATTACAGGCGTGAGCCACCGCTCCCAGCCCAGAAATCTTATTTTTTATCACTTTTCCATCTGTTCATCCTTCCATCCATCCATCCTTACATTATCTATGCATCCATCCCACCATCTAGTCAACAAATATTTATTAAGCATCTAATATGTGCTGTGTACTGAGTGTAGGTACTGGGGATACAACGGTGAATAGGAGAGTCATGGCTGTACTTGTATAGCCAATATTCACTGGAGAAACAGACAAAACACAAGTAAACAGACAAATTAATTGTAAGTTTCTATCAGCAAAGAAGGAAATAAATAAGAGACTGAAGTAGGAAATAAAGGGTGAGAGAGAAGATACTTGTATTAGTCAGTTCTCACACTGCTATAAAGAAATATCTGAAACTGGGTAATTTATAAAGAAAGGAGGTTTAATTGGCTCATGGTTCCACTGGCTGTACAGGAACAAATGGCTTGGGAGGCCTCAGGAAACTTACAACCATGGTGGAAGGCAAAGGGGAGGCAGACATGTCTTACATGGCTGGAGCAGGAGGAAGAGAGTGAGGAGGAGGTGCTACACACTTTTAAATAACCAGTTCTCACAATAATTCACTCACTATCACAAGAACTGCACCAAAGGGAAAATCCCACCCCTCATGACCCAATCACCTCCCAACAGGCCCACCTCCAACTTTGGGGATTACAATTTGACATGAGATTTGGGCAGAGACACAGATCCAAACCATATCAATACTTATTTTAGATAGGATGGTAGAAACTAGTTCTCACTAAATAAAACCAGTTTGTAAACCAATGTGTCTCTCTCCAAGGATAGAGGGGCTTAATTTAAAAAACAAAACGAAACCAAAATCCAGCTTTCAGAAAGGCAAGCCTTCATCATTTTCTGCATCTTGATAGCCTTATAAACATTTGTGTTACACCTGTCCCATAAAGGCATTTGAATTTTAAATCCTGGACTAGAGTCTTCCAACCAGGCTGCTCCCTTCCTGACTTAGTAAACAGAAGGTTGCTAGATTGGCTGGGAATTAGAACATAAATTGGACATTCCTATAGGATAATATTCTTTAAATTTTGAGTCTCAGTCTACTCATGGATATGAAACCACCCCCAACTTGTTATTTACTATTATTTAAAAAAAATAGAATAGACATATCAGAGTATATGGCACATGGATTGGGTGCCACTACTGCTTTGTGAAAATTTTGCTTGTTTTATTTATATGAGAACATATACTGGGCTGGAATTCAAATCTATTTCTTACTGTGGGACATATAAATTTCTAGAACTCTAATATTTTTTAGAAAAAGAAGATGGAAATATGCAAGAAATATACGAGTGTTATTAAAAGTGCAGCATGTCTATGCATCAGAAATATACATGATTCTGAAAGCCAGAGTGTCATAGAGAGCAAGACATAGAAGTTAAATATACCCATGTTCAAATCCTAGCTCCTTATGAGCTTAGTGGCAAAGTTGGACAAGTTACTAGTAATGATTATAGCTAACATTTATGAACATTTACTCTGTTTCAAGCACTGGGTTGAATGATTTGCAGTATTAAGATATTTAATTCTCAAAATCACCTTTCTGAGTTAGGTATTATCAGCTCCATTTTTTACACGAAGACACTTTGGCCCAGACAGGACAAGAACCTTACCTAAAACCACACTGTTGGGTGTTGAGCTGGGATTGGAACCAGGTAGACTGGCTTTTGCACACACACACTTAACTACTATGCCACACCACTTCTTATACAAAACCTCTCTATGTCGGATTCCTTGTCCATGAAGGAAGACCAGCATTTGCCTCATAGGTTGCTGGTTCTTTCTGCCCCTCTCTTTCCTGCTAGTTGATGACACCCAACTGATCAACAGAATTTGTCCTGAGTTAATGCCCACCTCCACCACACTTCCTGGGCATCACATCTCCATGCCTTTGCTCATGCTTTTCCTTCTACCTGGAATGTTCTCCACATTCCCTCCTTTCCAGCTGCCACCTGCTTTCTCTAGCTAACACCTACTCAAACGTAAAGGTTCAGTTCAGATGTTACTACCTCCATAAAACCCTTGGATTCTCTCATCCCTTTTCCCCTTCCCTGTCTGGCCTGGCACAGGGCCCCATCTGCATGCTACCCTAGCACCAAGGCATATACCTACCACAACATTAGCTACAAGACAGTGAACCCAACTGTTCACCCATCAGTCTCCCCTGAAAGGTACTAATGAAATTCACATCGGCTAGGCCATGTCCTTGTGTCAGTAGCCTAAGCCTTAGCACAAGCAGAACCTGGTACAGAGTAGGAACTCAGTAAGGGCTGGTAAAGTGAATTTAATCAGAGTCACGCATAACCCTGTTTCTTGTGTCTGTAGAATCACCCTAAAATGCTTTAAGCTTCTCTACAGAAAATAACTTCCTGGCTGGGCGCGGTGGCTCACATCCGTAATCCCAGCACTTTGAGAGGCCAAGGCGGGCAGATCACCTGAGGTCAGGAGTTTAAGACCAGCCTGACCAACATGGAGAAACCCTGTCTCTACTAAAAATACAAAATTAGCTGGGCGTGGTGGTGCATGCCTGTAATCCCAGCTACTCAGGAGGCTGAGGCAGGAGAATTGCTTGAACCTGGGAGGCGGAGGTTGTGGTGAGCCGAGGTTGCACCGTTGCACTCCAGCCTGGGTGACAAGAGAGAAACTCCATCTCAAAAAAAAAAAAAAAAAGAAAGAAAGAAAATAACTTCCCTATAAACATAACAAGAAAAAGTCTGTCCCTAATACATGGAATCAAATTTATTCATTCAATGACTTTTTATTGAATAACTACTATGTCCCAAACACTGTTGTAGGCAGTAAAACAAACAAACAAAAAAATCCACGTCCTCAGGGAGCTTACATTTTTATAATTGCATGGAGAAGACAGACAAAATAAATAAGCAAACTGCAAACTACACAGTGTATTAGTGTGTATGTGTATATATATGTATATATGTTAGTGTGTGTGTGTGTGTGTGTGTATATATATATATATACACACACTTTTTTGTGTGTGTGTGTGTGACAGAGTCTCACTCTGCTGCCCAGGCTGAAGTGCAGTGGCACGATCTCGGCTCACTGCAACCTCTGCCTCCCAGGTTTAAGCGATTCTCCTGCCTCAGCCCCTCGAGTAGCTGGGACTACAGGTGTGCACCACCACGCCCCGCTAATTTTTGTATTTTTAGCAGCGATGGGGTTTCACTGTGTTGGCCAGGCTGGTCTTGAACTCCTGACCTGAAGCGATCTGCCTGCTTCAGCCTACCAAAGTGTTGGGATTACAGGCGTGAGCTACCAAGCTCAGCCTATTGTTTTTTTTTTTTTTTTGCCAGTCAAATTTAACATTGTGGGGGTGTTGTATACCAACTTTAGTGACACTAATGTTAATAAGCTGTGATAACCCACCACCATTGGACCAGCCTGGTTTTTTTTTTTTTTGAGACAGGGTCTTGCTATGTTGCCCAGGCTGGAGTGCAGTGGCGCAGTCATAGCTCACTGTAGCCTTGACCTCCTAGGCACAAGCAATCCTCTTGTCTCAGCCTCCTGAGTAACTGGGACTACAGGCACATGCCACAGTGCCAGGCTGATTTTTAATTTTTTTGTAGAGTTAGGGTCTTGCTACATTGCCCAGGCTGGTCTTAAAGTCCTGGGTTCAAGCAACCCTCTTGCCTCAGCTTCCCAAGGAACCGGGATCACAGGTATGAGCCACTGCATCTAGCCTGTATTAGTATTTTTGATGGTGTTAAGTGATATAGACAAAAATCAATGAGGGAAAGGGAAAATAGACTATGCCAGCAATAGGTGGGTCACCATTTAAATAGTACGGTCAGAGAAAGTCTTTCTGAAAAGATGATAGTTGAACAAACACCCCCCCAGAAGTGAAACAGCCACAGTGGGAGCTGGGAGGAAGACCTTCTGAGCAGAAGAACAGCAAGTACAGAAGCCCCCAGTTGAGAGTGTGCCCAGCATCCTTACAGAACAGCAAGTGGGCCATTGGGCTGGATAGAAGAGGCTAAAGGTAAAATTAGCTGGGCATGGTGGTGAGCACCTGTAGTCCTAGCTACTCAGGAAACTGAGGCAGGAGGATCACTCGAGCCCAAGATTATGAGGCTGCAGTGAGCTATGATTAACCCACTGAACTTCAGCCTAAGCAACAGAACAAGACACTGTCTCAAAAAAAAAAGGTGAGAGTTATAGGTGGCCAGGTTAGAGAGGTAATGGAAATGGAGGCTGAGAGGGGGAGTAAATTGAGGAGGGCCTTGTCGGCCATTAAGGATTGTGGCTTTCAAAATTGAACAGATTAAGAGTTTAGGATAAGGATTAACAATACTTGAGTTTCAAGACAAAACGTTTGGGCATCTAAGTCCTAAAAGGTTATTGCAGTTATTTTTACAAAATCAAATGAGACTCCATTATTTAAAAGACAAGCATAGAAACCTGTCTAGTTTCAATATTAAATATATTAAAGGAGACCTAAGCACATTTTTTTTCTAGAAACATACCCTACATGTATTTCTCTGCTACTCTTAATAAATTATCAAGCCTGGCTGTATCAGCATATCAAACAGTGGCAAGTGTTCATCTAGCCAGGATGCTTGGCATGACATGAAGTGAATTAAATACACACAGTCCCCGGCCCTCTCCCTTCCCCTTCCCAATTTAAATTCCAACAGAAAATTCTGATAGGAATCTTGTAGTGACTAAACTGGAAGCACAGCAGTAGTACCTGAACACCACAGGGTGCTCCTGCCTAAGCTTCCAGTTTCTTCTCAATGCCAATGAACTCTGCTAATCATGCACTTCTAGGGTTTCTATCAGTTGGCCACCTTTCTATCCCCTCAAACCTGAATCAGTCATTAAAACCACGCTTGGGCCAGGTGCAGTGGCTCACGCTTATAATCCCAGCACTTTGGGATGCCAAAGTGCTGAGTGGATCACTTGATCCCAGGAGCTCGAGACCAGCCTGGGCAATGTAGTGAGACTTCATCTCTATTTTTATAAAGAAGCTAAAATATATATATTTTTAAAAACCAGGCTGGGGCTTGGTGCAGTGGCTCTGCACTTTGGGAGGCCAAGGCAGGAGGATCGCTTGAGCCCAGGAGTTCAAGACCAGCTTGGGCAACATAGAGGGACTCTGTCTCTTAAAAATAAAATAAATAAAAATTTAAAAATTAGCAAGGTGGCACATACCAGTGGTCCTAGCTACTTAGGAGGCTGAGGCAAGAGGATTGCTTGAGTCTGGGAGGTCGAGGCCGCAGTAAGCCATGATTGTGTTATTGCCCTCCAGCCTGAGCAGCAGAGCAAGACTCTGTCTCAAAACACAAAGCAAAAGAAAACAAAAACAGGCTTGTATTTGGCCTCCAGGCAAGAAAACCTACTCATCCCTTATCCCACCATTCTCTGGTTTTCGAGTTGCTGTAGAAGTCATCTCTGCTCTTCATCAAGCATCACGTACTTTCACTCTTGCCTTCCGTTCTTCTCTACATGTACTCTGTTCTTGAAGAATCCATCAATTCCTTCTGCTTTTTATAGATAACTCCAAAATCTATACCCTTATCTTGTGTGAGCCAATCCTTCCTTTCCGATGTTCTGATAAACATTTCTGAGTAGATATGGGCTATTAAACTTCGCATTTACTAGTGCTCTTTCTGTTCCTATATTCTATGTATCATGTTCTTCCATTCAACAAAGTTTCAGAAAAGAAATACCGTTTCTTCCTCCCTTCCCTCATATTTCATCAGTCACTAAATTCTAACATGAAGTTACCACTTTTTATTTTCATGGCCCCCACACTGCCTCAGACCCTCATCCCCTTATGCTTGGAGTAACTCAGCGGCCCCCAGTCTCTCCTTCAACCCAGTTGGAGAAACCAGGCTAAAACGTCCCTTTGTTTTGTCACCGTCTTTTAAGGAGTACTAAATTAAGACATACCTCATTTTGGATAACCCCACACATTGATCGGATCCTCAAGAGACAAAAGACAATCCAAGTTACCCAAGCCGTTTACTCCCTATTAAATGCTAGGGTTAGAACACCTCGCCTGGCCTCTGATCCTTTTCTTTCTTTCCCTGGAGCAAAAAGTTGATGAAATTTAATTACAAACTTTGCCTGATACAGTTATGACCTCCACACTTAAAATTCCATTATGAACATCCTGTACAGAATTTCAAATAATTTATATAAATACTCCACCCTAAAGGAAGACTGTACATCATGACTTCCTTCTAATGAGTACAATGTAGAAAGGAGAGGAAAGTAACTGTACAGTGAAGAAACTTGACAAACACTACTTCAGCCAGGTGATCAATATCAACAGTCAGAAATCATGTTGATGGTATGTACCCTTGATATGATGTGATAAAGATGGTGATTTGCCTCTGTGACCTTCCTCCCAAAAATCCATATCCCCAGTATATATGTAAGAATAACATCAAACAAGTTCCAATAGAGGGGTGTCTTACAACCTACCTGACCAGAACTCCTCAAAATTGTCAAGGTCATCAAAAATAAGAAAAGACTGAGAAACTGCCACAGAGGAGCCTGAGGACACATGATGATTAAATGTGAGATCCAGGATGGGATCCTGGAACAGAAAAAAGAAATTGGGTAAAAACTAAGGAAATCTGAATAAACTAGGACTTGAATTAATAATATATATATATTTCTTTTTTTCTCAGACAGGGTCTTACTCTGTCGCCTAGGCTAGAGTGCAGTGGAGCAATCTTGGCTCACTGCAACCACCACCTCCCAGGCAAGTGATCCTCCCACCTCAGCCTCCCGAGTAGCTGGGACTACAGGCATGCAGCCACCACACCCAGCTAATTTTTGTATTTTTAGCAGAGACGGGGCTTTGCCATGTTGGCAAGGCTGGTCTTGAACTCCTGACCTCAGGTGATCCACCTGCCTCAGCCTCCCAAATTGCTGGGATTACAGGCATGAGCCACTGTGCCCAGCCTCATTTTTTTTTTTTTAAGACCAAGTCTTGCTGTGACGTCCAGGCTGGAGTACAACAGCATGATCTTGCCTCACTGCAACCTCCTCTTCCTGGGTTCAAGTGATTCTCCTGCTTCAGCCTCCTGAGTAGCTAGGAAAGACTACAGGCATGCACCACCACACCTGGCTAATTTTTGTATATTTAGGAGAGACAGGGTTTCACCATGTTGGCCAGGCTGGTGTCGAACTCCTGACCTTAAGTGATCTGCCCACCTCGTCCTCCCAAAGTGCTGGGATTACAGGTGTGAGCCACAATGCCCGGCCTCATTTTGGTTTTAATTACACTTCCCTGATGATTAGTGATGTTGAGTATTTTTTTCATATACCTGTTGGCCATTTGTATGTCTTCTTTTGAGAAATCTCTTTTCAGGTCCTCTGTTCATTTTTAATCAGGTTGTGTTCATGCATTTGAGTTGTTCGAGTTCCTTATATATTTAAGAGATGTTATTAATCTCTTAATATGTACTTAATTAATTATAAAAATTACAAGTTATGGCCAGCCGCAGTGGCTCATGTCTGTAACCTCAGCCCTTTGAGAGGCCGAAGTGGGCGGATCACCTGAGGTCAGGAGTTCAAGACCAGCCTGGCAAACATGGTGAAACCCCGTCTCTACTAATAATACAGCTTTCTCCTTTCACATTCCTATTTCTTGGAGACAGTTTTTGAGGAGCATGTACAAAGAAATCTTCTGTTGGTTAACGGCCTTGAAATTGTGTGTGGATTAACAATTAGTCTGAGTCCAGAGATGGAGGAAATGCTCTCCTGATTGGCTAGCGTTGCACTCCAGGAATTAACTAGAAGAGATAGACTGTCCCTCCAGGTGGACAAGGAATGCTCTGGAATCTGTCAGCCTGAGTCTTTTGAAACCCCTTTTGGGTAAAACTGAAAAGGGAGACACACAACAAGATGCTATGCTGACATTTTATCCCTAACTTCACCTTTTTTTTTTTTTTTTTTTTTTTGAGACGGAGTTTCACTCTGTCACCCAGGCTGGAGTGTAGTAGTGTGATCTCAGCTCACTACAACCTCTGCCTCCAACCTCTGCCTTTTGGGTTCAAGTGATTCTCCTGCCTCAGCCTCCCGAGTAGCTTGGATTACAGGTGTGCGCCACCACACCTGGCTAATTTTTGTATTTTTAGTAGAGACAGGGTTTTGCTATGTTGGCCAGGCTGGTCTTGAACTCCTGACCTCTAGAGATCTGCTCACCTTGGCCTCCCAAAGTGCTGGGATTACAGCTGTGAGCCATTGCACCCAGCCACTTCTCCATCTTTTGCTATAAGATTAAGAATGTCTTCACCTATTTCAGTTAGGATGAAAGATTAAAAATACGCTTTACTTTTAAATACTTTTGTCTGCCTGTTACCGGCAGATTGCCAAGTGTTTATCACCCTAAACCTATCTAAGATTTTATATAAGATTAGGAAGATCCCAATAATAAATATAAGATTTATATTGATATATTATGTAATATATTACATAATATATAAGATTGATTATATTCAATCTTATATTGAATACAAATATGCATGAACCTTAAATATGTTAAAATGAGGGGCTGGGCATGGTGGCTCATGCCTGTAATACCAGCACTTTGGAAGATCGAGGGGGGTGGATCACAGGATCAGGAGCTCAAGACCAGCCTGGCCAACATAGTGAAACCCTGTCTCTACTAAAAATACAAAAATTAGCCAGGCATAGTGGTGCACGCCTGTAGTCCCAGCTACTTGGGAGGCTGAGGCAGGAGAATTGCTTGAACCCGGGAGGCGGAGGTTGTGGTGAGCCAAGATTGTGCCACTGCACTCCAGCCTGGGCAACAGAGCGAGACTCCGTCTTAAAAAAAAAAAGGAAAAAAAAAAAAGGCCGGGCGCTGTGGCTCATGCCTGTAATCCCAGCACTTTGGGAGGCCGAGGCGGGTGGATCACAAGGCCAGGAGATTGAGACCATCCTGGCTAACACGGTGAAACCCCGTCTCTACTAAAAATACAAAAAATTAGCCAGGCGTTGTGGCAGGCGCCTGTAGTCCCAGCTACTCGGGAGGCTGAGACAGGAGAATGGGGTGAACCAGGAAGGCAGAGCTTGCAGTGAGCTGAGATTGAGCCACTGCCCTCCAGCCTGGGTGACAGAGCGAGACTCTGTCTCAAAAAAAAAAAAAAAAAAATGATACTAGCGGGTTCTATGGGAAAAAGTTTTACTTCCTATTTCCTTGTCCCCAGAAATAGAAGATGAAAAGTCATCTCAAGGAAATTATCTTATTGTAGCCCTAATTTCCATAGGAGAAAAGTCTTCTTCCCCTAAATGTAGGGTGTCTACCTTTGAGATTCGAGTAATCTGACAGTGACTGAAAGCTAATAACTCTACCCCAAATTTCACCCTGCAGCTGAAAGCCCATACAGAATGGAGGTCCCAGGAGGTCATAAAACGATAGTAGTTAATAGTGTACGGAGAGTGGGGTGGCTTTTAAGGGCTAAGGAAACTCAGCTGGAAACACTCCTGGATTAGTCCATATCCAATCAGGTATCAGCCTCTTTTTTCTTTTTTTGAGATGGAGTCTTGCTCTGTCACCCAGGCTGGAGTGCAATGGCATGATCTTCGCTCACTGCAGCCTCTGCCTCCTGGGTTCATGCTTTATGTCTCTATAGAATTGAGGAAGAAGGTTTTTGTGGCCAGAAGCTTGGGTGCTGGTTTCAAAACGTGGGACCCTCCCACCCCAGCTAGCCCTTTTACTCTTTCTCCTCTCTGAGTCTTGGTTTCCTCATCTGCCAGATGGGTGTTCTCAGTCTTGGCTGCACATAAGAATCAGTCAGGGAACTTTGAACACTGATGCTCAGGCCCTACTTCCAGAGATTCTAATTCACTTGATCTGGGTGGGGCTTAGGCATTGCAAATTTTATTTTATTTTATTTTGTTTTTTCGAATTATGAAAGACTTTTTATTATTATTATTATACTTTAAGTTCTAGGGTACCGGTGTACAACATGCAGGTTTGTTACACATGTACACATGTGCCATGTTGGTGTGCTGCACCCATTAACTCATCATTTACATTAGGTATATTTCCTAATGGTTTCCCTCCCCCCACCCCCCACCCCATGACAGGCCCCGGTGTGTGACGTTCCCCATCCTGTGTCCAAGTGTTCTCATTGTTCAGTTCCCACCTATGAGTGAGAACATGCAGTGTTTGGTTTTCTGTCCTTGTAGTAGTTTGCCCAGAATGTTTCCAGCTTCATCCATGTCCCTACAAAGTACATGAACTCATCCTCTTTTATGGCTGCATAGTATTCCATAGTGTGTATGTGCCCCATTTTCTTAATCCAGTCTATCATTGATGGACATTTGGGTTGGTTCCAAGTCTTTGATATTGTGAATAGTACCGCAATAAACATATGTGTGCATGTGTCTTTATAGCATCATGATTTATAATCCTTTGGGTATATCCCCAGTAATGGGATGGCTGGATCAAATGGTATTTCTAGTTCTAGATCCTTGAGGAATCACCACACTGTCTTCCACAATGGTTGAACTAGTTTACAGTCCCACCAACAGTGTAAAAGTGTTCCTATTTCTCCACATCCTCTCCAGCACCTGTTGTTTCCTGACTTTTTAATGATGGCCATTCTAACTGGTCTGAGATGGTATCTCATTGTGGTTTTGATTTGCGTTTCTCTGATGGCCAGTGATGATGAGCATTTTTTCATGTGTCTGTTGGCTGCATATTGTCTTCTTTTGAGAAGTGTCTGTTCACGTCCTTTGCCCACTTTAATGGGGTTGTTTGATTTTTTCTTGTAAATTTGTTTAAGTTCTTTGTAGATTCTGGATATTAGCCCTTTGTCAGATAAGTAGATTGCAAAAATTTTCTCCCATTCTGTAGGTTGCCTGTTCACTCTGATGGTAGTTTCTTTTGCTGTGCAGAAGCTCTTTAGTTTAATTAGATCCCATTTGTCAATTTTGGCTTTTGTTGCCATTGCTTTTGTTGTTTTAGACATGAAGTCCTTGCCTAAGGCATTGCAAATTTTAAAAAGCTGTGTAAACCAGATTTCTCCAAGGCTTTGCTATCCCAATGTGGTCCCTGGACTGGCAGAATTGGCTCCACCTGGGAGGTTGTTAAAACTGCAAACTCGACCAGGCACGGTGGCTCATGCCTGTGATCCCAGCACTTTGGGAGGCCAAGGCAGGCAGATCACAAGGTCAGGAGTTCGAGACCAGCCTGGCCAATATGGTGAAACCCCTGTCTCTACTAAAAATACAAAAAAAATTAGCTAGGTGTGGTGGCGGGCACCTGTAGTCCCAGCTACTCGGGAGACTGAGGCAGGAGAATTGCTTGAACCCGGGAGGCGGAGGTTGCAGTGAGCCGAGATCGCACCACTGCACTCCAGCCTGGGTGACAGAGCGAGACTCCGTCTCAAAACAAACAAACAAAAACAAAATGCAGACTCTCAGGCCCTTCCCCAGACCTACCGAATCAGCATCTGGGTATTAACAAGACCCCTGCCCACCACCACCAGGTGATTCATGTGCACGTTAAAATTTGGAAAGCTCTGCTCCAAGCCTCCCAGCCTCTCTAGCAGACTAGTTTTGTGACCTCTGTTCTTTCCTTCCTGGGCCACCAGGTGATTGTAGTAATCAGTGTCCATGAACCAAGGTTTACCCCACACTGGAAAACTGGCTCTCAGTTAGTGGCTGAACAGGATATTGGAAAATACCGCTGCAAAGTCTTACAAGAAGTTTGTTTGGCGATAGTTAATTACACAGTAATTTGGAAGAACATCAGGTCATTTTAGAGTTGTTTTACCTACTGTCCAGAAGCAAAAAAAAAAAAAGGTATTTAGGTCTTAACCTACAGCCAATTCTGAAACATTCTGTACTTTGCAAAAACCACGTCAGGCAAGCCATGCAGTTTACATTTAAAGCAGTCATACTGCAGAGAAGCTGCTCATGAGAATCACCTGGGAAGGTTTTAAAACTCCTGATATGCAGGTCCCCAACACAGGCCAAATCAATCAGCATCTTGGTAGCTTTTTAAGCTCCCCAGGTGATTCTAATAGCCAAAGTTGAGTGTCGCTGGTATAGCGATTTTACTATTGTTATCATGTTTCAGATGTACCAAAAAAAATCCTGTTTTTGGGCCAGGCACGGTGGCTCACGCCTGTAATCCCAACACTTTGGGAGGCCAAGGCAGGTGGATCACAAGGTCAGGAGATCAAGACCATCCTGGCTAACACTGAGAAACCCCGTCTCTATTAAAAATACAAAAAATTAGCCGGGCTTGGTGGCACGTGCCTGTAGTCCCAGCTACTCGGGAGGCTGAGGCAGGAGAATGGCATGAACCCAGGAGGCGGAGGTTGTAGTGAGTTGAGATTGCACCACTGCACTCCAGCCTGGGCGACAGAGTGAGACTTTGTCTCCTCAAAAAAAAAAAAAAAAAAAAAATCCTGTTTTTGTATCTTGTTAAAGTCAGGCAATGTTTCCTATGCATTGTCATTGATAGAGTAGCCCTGTGCTGAGTATCTTAATGTTTCAAGCACCAATAGCAGGATTCGAGAGAAGTTGCCTACCCATGAAAGAAACCTAGACACAGGCCAGGGACAGCATGCCCCTTAATGCTGTGCTTGACTATGCTCAGGACAGTGGCAAACCTGACACTTGGTATTATTTCTCCAGGGTTCTACATGCGCAGGAAAACCTACACTGACATTTTATTTTATTATTTATTTATTTTTTTGAGACAGAGTCTTGCTTTGTCACCCAGGCTGGAGTGTAGTGGAGCGATCTCGGCTCACTGCAACCTCAGCCTCCTGGGTTCAAGCAATTCTCCTGCCTCAGCCTCCCAAGTAACTGGGATTACACGCACCTCCACCACACCTGGCTAATTTTTGTATTTTTAGTAGAGATGGGGTGTTGCCATGTTGGCCAGGCTGGTCTCAAACTCCTGACCTCAGGTGGTCCACCGGCCTCAGCCTCCCAAAGTGCCGGGATTACAGGCATGAGCCACCACACCCAGCCTACAGTAACATTTTAAACAGGACCTTTTTTCCCTGCCGGTAGATTTCAAGAAGTAGGTCATTGGATAGGTAGGTTTGACTTTTTCTCTTGGCCCACAAATCCATGACAATGGCACTAATAAGTTAGGCAACAGATATCTACTGATAGTGGTGCCCAGCAGTTAAGGGAGGAGCTGGAGAAGAAGCCCAAGGCCTCCAGGTTTTGACCAATGAGAAAAGGCATCCATAAATGGGATAGTTAACAAACAGTGCAGGGCAGAGTATAATCAAGGTTCCTGTGGTGGTAAGATCAGCAAGGACTGCAGAAATTCAGAGGAAGGAAAAATCAGTGCCCGCTGGAATAGGACAGAGAAGCTTTGCAACAAAGATGGTGGATGGAGGGGGTAAGGAGGGTCTTGGAGGAGGTAAACAATTTATATAATGTTCTTATCACTATTTAATACGTAGAATACTATTTATTACATTTACCAGGCATTGTGCTGATTTCCATGTATTGTCTTATTTACTCCACTCAACATCATAAGGTAAAGACTACAATTATCCCCATTCTGTAGAAGATGATTACTGAGGCGCAGAGAAGTTAAATAACTTGCCCAAGGTCACAATGCAGGCAAGTGACAGAGGAGGGTTTGAACCTGGTCTGTGTGCCTCCCAAGGCCATGCATATACTATACTATACTATACTATACTATACTGTACTGTACTGTACTGTACTGTACTGTACTTTGCTGTGCTGTGCTGTGCTGTGCTGTACTATACTATACTATACTATACTATACTATACTATACTATACTATACTATACTATACTGAATATCCACCATACTATGTTGAATATCCACTTAACACTTATCAAATGTGTGCCTGCAGGCACTTCCCTAACATTCTACATTATCCCATTTAATCCTCAAGACAACACTTTCAGGTAGGCAGTGCAATTATTTTCAAGTTCTGGATAAGGAAATGTGGGCCTAGAGGGGTAAAGTAACTTGCCTGAGGTCTAGGTTGCCAGGTAAAATACTAGACACCCAGATAAATGTAATAAATAATAAATAATCTCTTAGTAGAAATATTGCATGGGATGTACTCATACTAAAATTCATTGTTTATCTGCCATTCAGATTTAAATAGGTATCCAGTTTGCATTTGTTTGTTTTTGCTAAATTTGGCAATCTTACCAAGGTCACCCTGCAAAGCGAGGTTTGAATCAGGTGGTCTGACTGAGGGCCCACACTCATAACCACCGCATTCCAGATTGGCTGGAGAAGAAGGGTCAGCGCTAATACCAGCATGTGTGGGAGGAAGTGAGTGGACCTTTCCTCCTAGGATTTGCGCTTAGATTGAGGAAACCTGAGAAGGAGCAATGGATTCCTTCCCTCCCCTCCCCTGCTCTCCCCAGCTCCCTTGATACTGCGGCTACACCCACCTGCTGGTGGCGATAGAGTTAAAGGCCCTGGGCTATGCAGTCCCAGCCTTTAGTAACAAGTGCTTGGTTCTGACACCAAGAACAGAAGGAAGAGGAAAACAGGAAAAAATGAGTCAGTATGGGATCTGCAGACACTATCACATGCACATCTTCCTGTATAAATTGCAGGACCTCCCACGGGTAGATGCCTGTACCTACAAAACGATCACAGAAACCTGCAGCAAAACCACAGCAGCTGCACTTATGTGACCATCTTGTGGGCTGCTATTAGCAAGGGAACTAGAACGAGGTCAGGGAGGCTTTAGACCAGTCAGCTAATGTAGACCCAGGGCCCATCAACCACGTGGCCATGCCGCCAGTGTCAAATACAGAAGCAGGAGACCTGAGAAACTGTGGCACCTCCAAGGTAAATGTTGCACTCAGTTCCAATGCTTCGGCCATGGAAATCTGGCTTGGCATGCAAGCAGCAGGGCACTGCAGCTGCAGAAACAAACGTTCCTGTGGTTAAAGGGGGTGAGCACTTACATAATTGAACATCAAGCAAATACAGAACAGATCTGAGAGCTTAATAGGACCAGTGTTATTCTCAGGAACAAGCAAGAAGAATTAGCAATAAGAAGCAGAAGCGGAGAAATATTCCCTGTTGTGGAGGAACAGGGATTCATAAAAGAATTCACCATATAAAAAGGTACACATACACATTTATGCTTGGTAAAGCTATGCAGTACATTGTATAGTTTATATTTACTGGTATTTTTTAGTTATTTTTATTGTTTCCTTTCTTTGTTCTCTAAAGGCCTGAGTGAAAGAACCCCTTGAGGTGGGATATACACACCCTGTGAAATGCTGAGTTGTGTCCCAAAGATGCCAAACATTGTCAGCCTAGATCTTTATTTTGAAAATTTGTTTATTTATTTTTGAGACGGAGTCTCACTCTGTCACCTAGGCTAGAGTGCAGTGGCGTGATCTCAGTCTCCTGAGTTCAAGCGATTCCCCTTCCTCTGCCTCCAGAGTAGCTGGGATCAGAGGCTACTGATCCACCACGCCTGGCTAATTTTGTATTTTTTTTTAGTGGAGATGGGGTTTTCCATGTTGGCTAGGCTGGTCTCGTATTCCTGACCTCAAGTGATCCACCTGCCTCGGCCTCCCAAAGTGTTGGGATTACTGGCGTAAGCCACTGCGCCCAGCCTGAAAATTTATTAACTAGTCATTTTACTCCCAGTCTTTCTGCCCTCTGGTTAATCCTCTATACTGCCACTAGAATTATTTCTTTTCTTTTGAGAGACAAGGTCTCACTCTGTCACCCAGGCTGGAGTGGAGTGGCAAAACCTTGGCTTACTGCAGCATCAACCTCCCTGGCTCAGGTGATCCACCCGCCTCAGTCTCCACAGTAGCCGGGACTACAGGTGCACACCACCATGTCAGGCTAATTTTATATATATATATTTTTCTTTTGTAGAGATAGGGGTTTCACCATGTTGCCTAGGCTGGTCTCAAACTCCTGGGCTCAGGTGATCCTCCCACCTCGGACTCCCAACGTGCTGAGATTACAGGCGTGAGCCACTATGCCTGGCCTAGAGTTATTTCTTTTCATTTTTCTTTCTTTCTTTTTTTTTTTTGGAAACGGAGTCTTGCTCTGTTGCCCAGGCTGGAGTACAGTGGCGTGATCTCAGCTCACTGCAACCTCTGCCTCCTGGGTTCAAGGGATTCTCCTGCCTCAGCCTCCCGAGTAGCTGGGATTACAGGCTCCCACCACCACGCCTGGCTAATTTTTGTACTTTTAGTAGAGATGGGGTTTCGCCATGTTGCCCAGGCTGGTCTTGAACTCTTGACCTCAAGTGATCCACTCGCCTCAGCCTCCCAAAGTGCTGGGATTACAGGCACATGCCACCATGCCTGGCTAATTTTTGTATTTTTAGTAGAGACAAGGCTTCACCATGTTGGCCAGGCTGGTCTTGAACTCCTGTTCTCGTGATCCCCCCGCCTCGGCCTCCCAAAGTGCTGGGATTACAGGCGTGAGCCACCGCGCCTGGCTGAGTTATTTCTTTAAAACATGGATTGTTTAGATCATGATTAGTTGCATAGAACATAAAATTACAAAAGTTCACTGCGTTTTGTGATCTATTTCTGAACTGTTTTCCAAATTCTTCTTTCCTGACCTGTTTCTCCCATCACAGGCTATACCTGCTTTTCTCTTTGCAGATTCTGGTTTAGACTGTGCATGCTTCTCTATTTTCATCTCTCTCCCAGCCCCTCTCTCACACTATGTGGGACAATAGCCAACTCATCACCAGATGTTTTCAGTTCACGGGCTGTTTCTTTCATCTGGTCTCCCTATGGTGTGCTGGAGCTGCTCTAACTAGCTTAGACACTTCTAGTCCCAACTCCGTGTTCAGTGACATCATGTTGGTAGCTTGAGATTTGCTGCAGGAGGAGTATTTACACCATGGAAATTGGCAAGTGATACAATCACGGCTTTTGTCCCCCTCCTGGAATGCCAGTTGAACATTCACCAGCACACCATTGTCATCTCCAGCTCTTTGCTTGGAAGATTTCTACTTATCCTCCAAGACAGAGTGCTTCTCTCTGAAGCTTTCTTGGACTCCTACAGAGGAACAGGGAGAAGAAAGCAATTCCTCTGTGCTAAGCATCTGGGCTGGGTGCTTTACATACATAATTCTCATGCTTCTATTAGAGCAGTTGCATCATATTACAAGTATTTGTGATTGTCTCTCTGCTAAGTTCTAAGGGCAAATATTGCAATCTATATTCACCTTTAAAACCCTATGTGCCTTCAAGATATCTTGTAAATTGTGAGTTCTTAGTGAATGTCACAGTGTTTAAGCAGGAACTAGGAGGAAAAGCTGCATTGCTTTGTTTCATCTGTCTCTAGCCTCCCAGAGAGTACCCCTTACACCATGAGCAATGCTAAATATTTTCCCAAGGTCTTCTGATAGGTGATTTTAAAAAAAATCTACAACAAATCCATTCATACAAGGGTATTACCAGTATAATACTTCTGGAGTTTTTACAGATGTTAAAGGGGCTGTAGGAACAGATGTATAAAGATGGAAATTTTAGGTCTCTGAAAGCCATGGGAGAAAGACATGTTGGTAAAAGGGGCTTTTCAGTGACCACGTTTTTTTTTCCTTTTTTTGAGACAGGGTCTCGCTCTGTCACCTAGGCTGGTATGCAGTGGCGTGATCACGGCTCACTGCAGGCTTGATCTCCCAGCCTCAAGCGATCCTTCCACATCAGCTACCAAGTAGCTGGAATGACAGGCATGCGCCACGGCATCTAGCTGATTTTTTTTTTACTTTTAGTAGAGATGAGGTCTTGCTATGATGCCCGGACTAGGTGGCCACTCTTTTAAACCTATGAAGTAGGTGAGGTACTTAACATAGTACTGGTCCTGAAATCTGGAATTTACGTATTTATTTATTTATTTATTTTTGAGGCGGAATCTCCCTCTGTCACCCAGGCTGAAGTGCAGTGGCACAATCTTGGCTCACTGCAGCCTCCGCCTCCCGGGTTCAAGTGATTCTCCTGCTTCAGCCTCCTGAGTAGATGGGACTACAGGCATGCACCACCATGCCTGGCTAATTTTTGTATTTTTAGTAGAGACGGGGTTTCACCATGTTGGCCAGGCTTGTCTTGAACTCCTGGCCTCAGGTGATCCACCTGCCTCAGCCTCCCAAAGTGCTGGTATTACAGGTGTGAGCCACTGCGCCTGGCCTGGAATTTATAAAGGTAGTTGCCTCCTCCTTGTTGTTCTTCTCCTTCATCTCCCTCACCCTCCTTGTTGTTCATCATCATCATCATCATTGAATCCTGGTGTAGAGCAGGGCTAGGCAAAGCTAAGAAACCATTCAACTGACTTAAAGCTGTTTTGGGAAGCGTATAATTGTCCTTGTTTCACCTTCTCACTTTTCCTTAAATGTATTAAAGCATCAAAACATTATGAAAAAAGCTGTTTTCTGTTGTTTGGGATGCTTTGTAAATATGACTCTTTCACCCTCACCTCAGACAGTATTAATTTAACCTGATTTGAATAGATGCTGTGAAATGATTGGCTGAAAGGTCCTTCCATGTAATTTATTCAAGTCAACATCACCAAAAGTTAAGGTAGAGATAAAAAACTGTGTCGCCCTCATCCTTAAGAAAGCAATAGCAGATACAGAAGCAACAGTAGAGTATGTCTGCTGTATTCTGAACCTCCTGCTGCACTAATACATTTCTGCAGCAACAGTAAAATACTCTGATCTTACTGCTTATTGGCCAAAGAGTTGCAGCAATAAGATGAGAATAGAGATGATTATGGGCTGCAGAGGGGGTTTCCTGGAAGAGAGGAGACCTGGAGGACAGGTGGAATGGAGTACTGAGGCTGTCTTGAGAGAAGAAAGTAACTGGGGTAAACGGTGAGGGCAGCATTTCCCAATCTGTGTTTTGCAAAACAGCATTTGCCAAAAATAGTTCCAAGGCCAAAGAAGTTTGGGAAATACTGTGTATACCCATCATAAATTAGACTGTTACAGACTCTGAGGAGATCTGAAGTGAAGAAACTTGTTTAACTTTGTTTAACCTAAGTTTCCCTAATGTACAGGATCATGGAATCTGCTTTTTGGTAACACGCGTTAGCATCTTTCAGAATGTTCATGCTCTATGACTGGAACACTGCTGGGAAGCACTAATTTATGATTTTTTTTTTTGAGACAAGGTCTCGCTCTGTCACTCAGGCTGGAGTGTGGTGGTGCCATCACGGCTCACTGAAGCCTTGACTTTGCAGGCTCAGGTGATCCTCCCACCTCAGCCTCCCGAGTAGCTGGGACTAGAGACATGCCACCACGCCTGGCTAATTTTTGTATTTTTTGTAGAGACAATTTTAACCATGTTGTCCAGGCTTATTTGTGCAGTTTTTGAGACTTCAAAAGAGTTAATCATACTACTCAGTTCATGCTACCTTATCATCACATTTTTGGGAAGGTTTCTCTTATTTTATTTTATTTTACCCCTAACCCCTACCCCTGACCATAAGTTACTACTTTCACATTTTCATATATTTTCTTAAATATGCCTTTGTCTTATAAAGTGTATTGTGTTAGTGTATGTGCTATAAATGTTGTTTTTTGCTATTTTTTCTCAGTACTATATTTTAAAGAACTAAAATTATTGCCGTGCATGCATTTCATTTGTTGTTTTTATCACTGCACAAGACTCCATAGTATGCAATCCACCCATTTTATTCATCCTTTCCTCCACTACTGGAAACCGAGGTTGATAGCAAATAGTCACATGTACTAGATAATCATTTGAATATTTTACCTCTAGCCAATAAATAATAAACCTGGCCAATTGTGGCAAGCTGACCTGATCAAGTCCTAGCAGTGATGAAGAGTGAATTTCAGAAGAAGCAGCCTTCGGATAATTTGCTAGAGCAGAAGCTGAAAATCACTTAGCTCAACCCAAATCTGCCTCTGAAACTGTCATCTTTACGCAGTTTTCAAAATTGTGCTCTTGACATTAAAGTATGACTGTTAAAACATTTTCTTTAAAATGCAGAAAGGAATAGAAATGATTTATTATTGACCTATGGCAAGTGGCCTTGAGCTAAGACTCAGGCAGTCTGTCCAGTTGAGCAGGTCAGGGAAGGAGGTGGGATGGAAATAAGGCCAGATGAGTCTCCTGAGAGGCTCCTAAGGAGACAGGTTGACTTTCTCTCAGTTACCCACCCCCAGGACCATATACTTCCTGTTTGTAGGGCTAACCAAAGTATTTAATGCTAGGAATCTCAGACTTCAGGTAGTAACTAGGGAAGAGAATTATGTCAATTTGGGGGAGTCAAGAGGAATGCCAAACTCAGAGGAAACAGCTAATGATGTTGAGCAGGAAGTTTCATAGAGTCCAAGAACTTCTGAGCAAAGAGGAGACTCCTCCAGGTAATGAAAGTACCTGGAACTTGTTCTCAACTTGGAAGTTCTTCACTTCCTTAAGAGTGTGTGATTGTGAAAACCCTCCTAATACTATCCTGCGCTTCAGGTGGACGGTGGTGAGCTGTGTTTCCAGGCAAAGGGGAGGACAGGACGCCTTGTGGCAGCCCAAGCTGTGAAAAATAGGTATTGAAAAAGAAGACATTTTTTACTTTTTCTTTCTTTCTTTTTTTTGAGACAGCATCTTGCTTTGTCGCCCAGGCTAGAATGCAATGGCACGATCATGGCTCACTGCAGCCATAACTTCCTGAGCTCAAGCGATCCTCCCATTTCAGCCTCCTGAGTAGCTTGGACTACAGGCCTGTGCCACCACACCATGCTAATTTTTTCTATTTTTCGTAGAGATGAGGTCTCACTATATTGCCCAGGCTGGTCTTGAACTCCTGGGCTCAAGTGATTCTCCCATCTCAGCTTCCCAAAGTGCTGGGATTACAGGCCTGAGCCACCATGCCCAGCTCTTTTCTTATATTCTAGCATTATATGAATTCCCACCATAACCAACATACATGAATATTGACAAAGAGACAGCTGAACTTAGAGAATGAACTTGGTGTATGTATAAATGGAGAGACTTTGAATTTTCTGTAATTGGGGTGGAAAACCAGACAGCACAAACACTTGAGAGGATGAAAAGGGTTGCTGGACAACAGAAGAAAAGCAGCTGAGTTGAGCAACAGACAGCCTTCTGGATAACAATGTCTAAGGGTTTTTACCAGTTCACTGGTGACGATTGCATAGAGTTCATTTTATTACTTACATCTAGAAAGCTCTAAGTCAAAAAACCTCTTTAGATACCCATAATGTAGAAGTCACTACACCTACAAATTGTAGCCCAGACTAAAGACCAGAGTGAAAAGGTCAGGTGAGCAGCCAAGTTACAGATGGAGGTCTTAACAAAGCTTATTTTTGGTGGGGTCTGTTGCATGTTGGATTATTCTAGGAAGAAAAAGCTAAATATTGGGCCTAGTACAAATGTTTATTGGATTAGATTTCATTTGGTGTTGCTTAAATCAGAGAAAAAAACATCCCTCTGTCTCAAGTGTGAGATTTCTGTGTTCATGCCTTTGGTTCTGGGTCTTTAGCTCTGTCCCAGAATGATATAGTCAAATGAAGCTGTGCTGAGGCGGGCCTCTGGTATAATGCAGCACCCAGCCACACGCATGAATCTAGCCAAACACATCCAGGCTTGCCAGATGTTTCAGCAGAACACACAATCCATCTGTTCATTTGGCACTTTGCTGATGCATGTGGGAAAGCTCACAGATGCCAGGGCCTGGCTTCCAGCACTAGCGACAATAGTAATGACTTAAGAGAGATATTTATTTTGTGTATTTACTCAGATGTTTGGAAATGAGCTTTGGAAAAATCAATAAAGATAACAAACTGCAGGGAAACTTCAAGATAATCAGTTCCTTCTCCTTGGTGTTGAACAATAATTATCCTGTAATTCTCCCATTTTGAAGGAAAAAAAGTTTTTTCTTAAGCGTTTCTAGTCAGACCTGAGTCTAAAATGCAATCAACCCCTCTCTCTCCTTTCTTACTATATATCTACAAATATGTATCTATATGCATATACCTATATCTATATACATACCTATATACACATACATATATATTAATATACGACATATATGTGCGTGAGTGTATACACATCTTATTGGTTATATGGGGAGGTAGAGAAAATATAAGTTATGATCTTTGTCTATTTCTGAGAAAGATTTTTTTGATCTAAGTTCTTAGGAAGTTCTACTAATTACCCCTTCCTACTAGGGTTTCTTTTTGTTGTTGTTTTTTTGGTTTTTTGTTTTTTTTTGAGATGGAGCCTCACTCTGTTGCCCAGGCTGGAGTGAAGTGGCATGATCTCAGCTCACTGCAACCTTCGCCCCTTGGGTTCAAGTGATTCTCCTGCCTCAGCCTCCCAAGTAGCTGGGACTACAGGTGCATGCCACCACACCCAGCTAATTTTTGTATTTTTAATAGAGACGGGGTTTCACCATGTTGGCCAGGATGGTCTCCATCTCTTGATCTCTTGATCTGCCTACCTCGACCTCCCAAAGTGCTGGGATTACAGGCATGAGCCATGAGCCACTGTGCCCCACCCCTACTAGGGTTTCTTAGTGGAGTGGTCTGCAATGAGGGATCAGGATGCCTGAATCTTTCTCCCCATAGTGCTAGAAAGAAGCTGTAACCTTGCGGAAGTGATTAATTTCTCTGGATTCAGTTTCTTCAGTTACACAATGGACTAGAGGACACTCAAGGATGTGGCTACTGCAGACTTTCTGGGGCTCTGACTCCCTTCTTGATCAATCTCTCTTTTCCCCCCAACCCCCACCGCCTTTCCACTTAGAGCCCTCTGAGTGAAAAATGTGTGAACATTGGTGGTCTTCTTCCCATCTGTCATTCTGTGTGAGGAAGGAGTATAGAGACCACCCAGCAGCCATGCCCCCTTCTAGTGTAGCGGCACTCTGCATTCCTTTAGGGGAATGCACTCTCTGTCCATGTGCTTGGGGTGGGGGAGCTCTGACTCAGACTCCAGGCCAGGACAATCAGTGACCCCAACACCCAGGACCCATAACTGGCCCAATCAAAGTGAATCCCAAAACTTCTGCTCTCCCAAGAAGAGACTGCCTTTCCACCTGCAGCTGGGGGGCTGTGGAGCTAGTGGTGCTATAGTCAGTTTATCACCAAAGGAGAGGGAATGTCTATCTCAGAAAGGAGCCAACAAAGACAAGAGCTGGAGAAACATAAACAGATTTGATGACATAATTTGAGTGCCTGAAGTCTTGGACTTTTCAGGCTTTTTGGTTTGTTTGTTTTTGAGACAGGGTCCCACTCTGTCGCCCAGGCTGGAGTACAGTGGCTCGATCATGGCTCACTGCAGCATCATCCTCCCTGGGCTCAGAAGATCCTCCTGCCTCAGCCTCCCGAGTAGCTGGGACTACAAGGTGCACCACCACGCATGGCAAATTTTTAAGTTGTTTGCAGAGACGGGGTTTCATGATGTTGCCCAGGCTGATCTTGAACTCCTGGGCTCAAGCGATCCTCCTGCCTTGACCTCCCAAAGTACTGGGATTACAGGTGTGATACAGGTGTGAGCTACTGCACCTGGCCCAGACTTTTCAGTTATTAAACCATCAGGCTTTCTTCTTGGCTTAACTTAGGTTGGGTTTTCTGTCACATGCAGAAAGAGCCCTAATTTTCCAGATTTTGTTTTAATAGCACCTAATTTTATTAAAAAGGACACAATAATCTCAAATGTTCATATTAATTGTTATATCCTGATGTAACAAGCCAGTTTCTCTTCATTCACTGAGGGTCTATCTGAGCTTCTTCAGGTATTTTGAATCTTTTATCAATGTATGTGTAAGAAGATGGTAAAAAAAAAATACAAAAAAGGTAACTCAAAAATCTGTCAAACATCACAATAAAACCTGAAGAAATGAATTAAATCAGTGTTGGCGTTGCCCTACAGAACCACTGTAAGGAACAAGCAACCCAGGAGCCCACTGAAAGAACTAGGGAAGTCTTGAAAGCCAAAGAGGAACCAATGATGGCTGCTGTCTTGTGACACTCAGTCGCTTAAGAAGCGTTTCCAAATATTCTTAAGTAAGCAGCATCTCATCTTAATCTTGTTTTGCAGTCATTATTGTAATAAAGGCTAAGTCAAAGAACCTGGGGAAAAAAACCAGTGTTCCTTGGCTGGGCATGGTGGCTTACACCTATAATCTCAACACTTTGGAAAGAGGCCGAGGCAGGCTATCACTTGAGGTCAGGAGTTTGAGACCAGCCTGGCCGACATGGTGAAACCCTGTTTCCACTACAAATCCAAAAATTAGCTGGGCATGGTGGCATGCGCCTATAATCCCACCTGCTTGGGTGGCTGAGGCACGAGAATTGCTTGAACCCAGGAGGCAGAGGTTATAGTGAGCCAAGATCATGCCACTGCACTGCAGCCTGAGCTACAGAGCTGGACTCTGTCTGAAAAACAAAATAAAACAGTGTTCCTCTATTCCTTCTTATTGTTTTCTTTTATGTTTAATTGTTTTTTGTAGTGTACTGTTTTGATTCTTTTCTTATTTCCTTTTCTGTATTTTGTTAGTTACATTATTATTGGTTATCCTGGAGGTTACAATTCAACTCTTAAACATACAACAATCAATTTTGAATTCACATCACTTAGCTTCAAACATATACAAAAACTCTGCTCCTATAGCTCCATCCCCTTTTTAGGTTATTAGTATTGTCACAATTTTTTTTTTTTTTTGAGACAGAGTGTCGCTCTATCCCCCAGGCTGGAGTGCAGTGGCGCGATCTCGGCTCACTGCAAGCTCCGCCTCCTGGGTTTATGTCATTCTCCTGCCTCAGCCTCCCAGGTAGCTGGGACTACAGGCGCCCACCACCACGCCCGGCTAATTTTTTGTATTTTTATTAGAGATGGGGTTTCACCGTGTTAGCCAGAATGGCCTTGATCTCCTGACCTCGTGATCCGCCTGCCTCGGCTTCCCAAAGTGCTGGGATTACAGGCGTGAGCCACTACGCCCGGCTATATTGTCACAAATTACATCTTTAGACATTATGTGGCTATTAATATAGACCTATGATTATTATTTATGCACTTGTGTTTGAAATCATACAGGGAAGAAAAGGAATTACAAACTAAAAGTATAATAACACTGGCTTTGTTTTTACCTAGGTAGTTACATTTACCAGTGCTCTTTATTTCCTCACATGGTTTCAAGTTACTGTCTAGTGCCCTTTCATTTCCACTTAAAGGACTCTCTTGTAGGGTAGGTCTACCAGCTGCACATGTCAGGACAAGGAGGTGGAACCAACTTACGGGTGTCTGGGGAAGACACTTGGCAGCCCTTTCCTAGAAGCCAAAATCAGAGCCAAACTCCGCCAAGCACCCCATTTTGAACTGGACTCACAGGGAAGCTGTCATCTCTTCTGCCTCATTCGGCCTTTGAACTGGGAGTCAAGGCATCTAAAGCAGGCCAGTGTGACTCTAAAACCTTTGCTATGTTTTCTCCATCTCACATCATATATATATATATATATATATATTTTTTTTTTTGAGATGGGATCTTGCTCTGTTGCCCAGGCTGGAGTGCAATGGCACAATCTTGGCTCACTGCAACCTCCACCTCCTTGTTTCAAGCAATTATCCTGCCTCAGCCTCCTGAGTAGCTGGGATCACAGGCACCCACCACCACACCTGGCTAATTTTTGTATTTTTAGTAGAGACAGGGTTTCACCATGTTGGCCAGGCTGGTCTGGAACTGCTGACCTCAGGTGATCCACTCGCCTCCGCCTCCCAAAGTGCTGGGATTACAGGTGTGAGCCACCGTGCCTGGCCTGATTAAAGAATTTTTTAAAAGCACAGTAGAGAATCCAATTGTCTTGACAGGGAGAAAATCAAACCTTAAATACACTAAAGATTAAGTGACAAAAATTCTACACCAAACTTTTTTTTTTTTTTGAGATGAGGGGCTTACTGTGTTTCCTAGGGTAGAGTCAAACTCCTGGGTGTAACAAACTTTCCTCCTCAGTCTCCTGAGGAGCTGGGACTACAAGCACTCCAGGCAGATGCCTGGCTCCGCACAGACTATTTTTAAATTATAAATACCTCAAGTGATTAGTTGCCCTCTTAAAAATGCTATCTTTCAAAATGCAAAGTCAGCAAAAGAACCTGTTGATGCTCTCAAAGAACTTGCCATCTGTTTGGCAAGACATATGTAATAACTAGTGAACAAAAATACAGTCCCAGAGTAATTGCAGAAGTGCTTTTCAATTACCCTTCACTTACTCCAGCTGCCAGACAGATGAACACGTTCCCTCAGTACCACACTGCACTCTGAGTGCCTCTTGAGAACAGGACATTTGGGTACTGTATTAAGTTTCCTTTGGCTGCTGTGGCAAATTATCACAAACATAATAGCTTAAAACATGGATTTATCACATTACAGTTCTGGAGCTCAGAAGTCAAAAATCAGGTTTAGCAGGCTAAAGTCAGGGTCTTGGACAGGCTGTTTCTTTCTAGAGGTCTGAGGGAAAAATTGGTTTCCTTGCCTTTTTCAGCTTCAAGAGGCTGCCAGCATTCCTTGGCTCATGGCTGTTTCTTGGTGTCACTCCAACCTCTTGCTTCTATCATCATTGCTATGGTTTGGATATTTGTCCCATCCAAACCTCATGTTAAATTTAATCCCCAATGTTGGAGGTGAGGCCTAATAGGAGTTGTCTGGGTCATGAAGGCGGATCCCTCATGAATACATTAATGGCCTCCCTCAGAGGCAAGTGAATTCTTACTCTATTAATTCCCATCAGAGCTGGTTGTTTAAAAAGAGTCTGGATACCAGGCATGGTGGCATGCACCTGTAGTCCCAGCTACTTGGGAGGCTGAGGCAGGAGGATCACTTGAGTCCAGGCGTTTGAGATTGCAGTGAGCTGTGATGGCACCGCTGCACTCCAGCCTGGGCAACAGAGCAATACCCTGTCTCCAAAAAAAAAAAAAAAAAAATGGTCCTGGTACCTCCCCCACCTTTCCACTTCCTCTCTCACCATGGGATCTCTGCATAGGCCAGCTCCCCTTTTCTTCCCACCGTGAATAGAAGCAGCCTGAGACCCTCACCAGGTGCAGATGCCCAATCGTTAACTTTCCAGCCATCTGAATTGTAAGCCAAATAAATCGCTTTAAAAAAAATGATTTCAATAGTTTTTGGGGAACAGGTGGTTTTTGGTTCCATAGATAAGTTCTTTAGCGGTGATTTCTGAGATTTTGGTGCACGTGTCACCCAAACAGTATACACTGTATGCAATGTGTAGTCTTTTATTCTTCACCTCCTTCCCACCCTTCCTCCCGAGTCCCCAAAGTCCATTATTATCATTCTTATGCATTTGCATCCTCAGAGCTTAGCACCCACTCATAAGTGAGAACATATGATATTTGGTTTTCCATTCCTGAGTTACTTCACTTAGAATAATTAAACTTCTTTTTCTTTATAAATTACCCAGCCCTGAGTATATACCTTTATAGCAACACAAAAAGGTTAAGATAGTCACCTCTACTACTTACTGACCCTCCTGCCTGCCTCTTACAAAGACTCTTGGAAGTACATTGGGCCCATCCAGATAATTCGGGAAAGATTCTTAACTTCATCACACCCTGAAAAATCCCTTTTGCCATATAAGAAACATTTGTAAGTTTCTGGAATTAGGACACGAACATCTTTGAGGTGCCATTATTCAGCCCACCACAGATACTATCCCCCATCTTCTCCTCCCACAGTTGAGCTGTATGCCTAAGAATAGTTGGCTGTGTTTGTTTTTGGACTTGATTTGTGTTCGCTTTTGTAACTAATTTTAAAAATTAAGAAACCAGTGAAATCTGAGGGCAAAAAGAAAGACTTGCAGTGTGTATGAAAACAAGTAAAATGAACTAAGGTAAGTCACTAAAGAAATATGGTCACATAGGGTATGTAGCATGTGCCTGTAGTTCCAGCTACTCAGGAGACTGAGGAGGAAGGATCACTTGATCCCAGGCATTCAAGTGCAGCCTGGACAACATAGCAAGGAACTATCTCAAAAAAAAAAAAAAAAAAAAAAAAAAAAAAGTGGTCAAATTAGGTGTGGCCAGGAAATCTATGAAAGTTTTAGACAATAATTCACAACTCAAGAAGGATTAATCAATATATATAGGGATGGCTTGCGTAAGAAAGAAGAGGCAGAATATTTCTCAAGGGAGGTCTACTCAAACAAAAGGACTAGGCCCCATGTCAAAAAACTGGCCAACAAATGCACATTTAAACGCTGTTAAACGTTTAAAGTAGGTATGTTTAAATTATGATTTGCCTGCCTTAACCAACTTTTCAGGTTAACTAACCAACCTCTTACCAATCCTGATAAGAGGAATCCAATTAAATTTGATTCAGCGTTTTAGAGATAATACTAATCTATTAAGATAATAATTTGGCAGAAAGGTTTAATCAAGAGAGTGGAGCATAAACTGTATCGTGGATGTTATGTGGGATCTGAATGGATGGTTGGGGGTCAAAGCAAGGCACACGAGATGAAACAAACAGCATACAACTGTAGGGTTAGAAATGAGTAGGAATAGTCATTTCAACCTATGAGGTAGAACCCTGATAACTCCGAGTGTGGATCTCATTCCAGCAGTATCAGCAACACCTGGGAGCTTGTTAGAACTGCACATAGGGTGAGAGGAAGGAGAGGATCAGAAAAAATAGTGAATAGGTACTAGGCTTAATGCTTGGGTGATGAAATAATCTGTACAACAAACCCTCATGACACAAGTTTACTTATGTAACAAATCTGCACATGTACCTGTGAGCTTAAAAGTTAAAAAAAAAAAAAAAGAAAAGAAAAAAGAAAGAAATGCATCTTTCTGAGTGCTGTGGCTCACTCCTGTAATCCCAGCACTTTGGGAGGCTGAGGCAGAAGGATTGCTTGAGCCCAGGAGTTCAAGACCCGCCTGGGCAACATAATGAGACCCTGTCTTTACAAAAAATACAAAAACTTAGCCAGGTCTGGTGGCACATACCTGTAGTCCCAGCTGCTTGGGAAGCTGAGGCGGCAGGATCAATTGAGCCTGGGAGGTTGAGGCTTCAGTGAGCTATGATTGTGCCACTGCACTCCAGCCTGGGCAACAGAATGAGACCCTGTCTCAAAAAAAAAAAAAAAAAAAAGCATCTTTCAGGCCTCAGCCCAGACCCACTGAATCAGAATCTGCAATTTAACAAAACTCCAGGTAATTTAATTTCACATTAACCTGTGAGAAAGGCTGGTTTAGAGAGAGTGAGAGTCTTCCTAAACTGCACTGTAGAGTTAATATGGCACATATAAAACATAATGACAACTGAGTTATTAAGCACCTTCTATATGCCAGGCAAACTACCAGGTGCTTTGCAAACCTTGTCTTACTTATCTGAAAGATCCCAGTTTTGTAAAATAGAATTGATCTTTATTCTCAATAATGAAACAGTCTTTTCTGCTTTCTGCCATCCCTTTGGTTGAAGTTGGTATAAAGAATACATTAGTGTCTCAAAAATCTCAAATAATTGCTTTTTGAAATTCAGTATGTAAAATATTTTGACATAATTTTTTTTACTCCCTTCGTTGGCTGGGTTGCAAACTCTTACAGGTAGGAAGATCTCAAACTCCTTGATAATTTCAACCTATGAGAGAGAGGAAAAAAAAAACACAAGGGGAAACTCAAAAGCATTCTGGTTAGGACAGGGTAAAAAATAAATAAAATAAAATCAGCAAGAAATACACTCTATTAAGTGGAATTTGGAAATGATAAATCAGATTGAACCAAATCTTAGAGAGTTTGCAATAAAGTCTGGGTATTCTTACAGTGCTGCGTGTCTAAGCAGTTTATGCAAAAAGGGAGGGCCAAACCCTCTCTTTCCAAAGAAGGCAGTAAGACAGTCTGCCCTTTCCTTGCCCAGACTGGAAAACATGAAGTCCTTGTACCTTCTTGCCCCTCCCTGAGCTCAGCGTACAGCCCATACCGAACAGGGTAGAAGGAGTACCAGCAGCAACCCCGATGCTGGGATGTTGGGCAATAGTGGAGCACGATTAGTATGCCCATGCCTCACTCACTAGGGTGGTTTTCAGTAGACCTCCAGTTCTGACTAAGCTCCTCTCAACAAGATTCAGCCAGGCACTGTGGCACACGCCTGTAGTCCCAGCTACTTAGGAGGCTGCTGCAAGAGGATCGCCTGAACCCAGGAATTCGAGGCTGCAGTGAGCTGTGAGTGTGCCACTCCAGCCTGAACGACATTGCAAGACACCAGCCTCTAAAAAAAAAAAAAAATTTAAAAAACAAGAAAGATTCAGTGGTTCTTCACCCACTTGCAGACAGAGGGTCCCTAAAACGGTCAAGTGCGGGGTCCTAGTGCTCATTGCCATTGTGCTTAATTGTGACAGGAGTGGGGGCTGAGGGGATAGGAGGGCTGGGATAGGGGTGGGAGGGCATTCCTTTCCCTCAGGCTTTCACAGTGTACGTTTTGTATTCCAGAATCAGAAATCTGAGCGTAGGAAGAAGTGGGTTAGCCCTGGAGAAAGGAAAAGGAGGATCATGGTTCTCTGCAAAGAGCTGGAAGCTAAAAAGCAGGCTGTGTTTACTTACCAACCAGGACTCAGTGGGATCTTTGCCAGCTTCCAATATGGCCTTAAAAGTATATGAAATCCAAGAAATATTTCTGCAAAGCAAGAGATCTTCACTGCTTTATTTTCCACCACCTGAATCCTTGCAGTGAGTGTAGTGTGTATCTAATCAATCTATTAAAAAATACTTCAAAAGTTCTATATATGTATCAATATTTAATATTGTTTTTACATTATTTAAATGTTTTTCTAAATAATATTATAGTATATATATTCTGAAGCATTCTATTCAGTGACAAAGAATGATGTTTAGACAATTTACATTTATATAGGAAAACTCATAACCTGAATATGTCCTGTGGGATCAAACCACTGACCCTTCCAGGGTGGAAGAGACCTAAGGTAGTCAGCTTCCATCAAGCGGCCAGTTGGTCTCATTGAGGAATGGTGTCACATCAAGGGCTCAGTGTTGGTCTCTGTTGCAGATATATCAGACATTTGATAATGGCAGCAGCTGGATCAGTCTTGGTAAGGGTTGGAAGTATAGTTAGTCCTCACTTTGCATGGTCCCAATATGCACAAATCCTAGTTACCACCATTTAGTTAAATCACACCAGAACCCCAACAACATGGTTCAAATTTCAGCTACAACGTTATTAACTGTGCACAATTACACAAAGTACAAACCTCACTGTCAGCTCTTTAGTCCACAAATCACTATGTAAATAACAGATGCATAGCATGATCAATAACCAATCACACCTCTCCTTTCAAAGTCCACTAATGATTGGCCACTGCACATATGTTCAGTTCCTACACAGCAAAGCGTGTAGTTGTGTTGCTGATTTTCCTGTGAATGAAGCCACATGATGGTTTACAATAATGGATACTCAAAAGAGGAAATTGGCCAACAAAGATGAAAGCGCAGAAAAAAGTCCAAAAAGTAGTAATGCTAGAAATGAACTCCAAATTGAATGAGTTACAGAAAAACAGTTCACTGTGAGAATGTGGCCACTGCATCATTCAAGAGGATATGCAGCCAGAGGAACTTAGCAAAGGCAAACTTAACATAAATGAGGAAGGAAGTGTGGCAAAAAGCATGCTGTCTCAGAGGAAGCGGTCCTGGCAGAAACTTCACATTGAAGCAACTCTGGGAAATTTTTCATGACGCTGAAAACACAAAGGATAAAATGTTGGGAGCTGATCCAGTCTTAGAAAGGAGAACAATTCATCACGTCAGAGAAAAGATGCTCTCTCCATGTCGTAAGTTACACAAGAAGGTAAGCACTATCCAAATGACTCTTGTTGTTTCATTTACAATTTATTTACTCTTGCTATTTGTTTTCTTTTTCTTTTTTTGAGAGGGACTCTCACTCTGTAGCCCAGGCTGGAGTGCAGTGGCGCAATCTCGACTCACTGCAAACTCTGCCTCCAGGTTCAAGCAATTCTCCTGCCTCAGCCTCTCAAGTAGCTGGAATTACAGGTGTACACCACCATGCCCAGCTAATTTTTGTATTTTTAGTGGAGACGAGGTTTCACCATGTTGGCCAGGCTGGTCTCAAACTCCTGACCTCAGGTGATCCACCTGCCTTGGCCTCCCAAATTGCTGGGATTGCAGCCGTGAGCCACCGTGCCCGGTCTACTCTTGCTATTTATTTTCTATGTTGTTTATTTACGTAGAAATTTAATATTTCTAATGTTTAAATTACTAACGTTTAAAAACCTTAGATAATATACATTTAATAGTTTATTTTGAGCAAAGAACAATTCATGAATTGGTAGTTCTCAGAATCAAAAGAAATTCAGAATGCTTTGTTGCAGCAGCATGGGCAGTGAGCTTTTACACAAAGGGAAGATGAAAGTGTACTTCATTGGATTAGGTGGAAAGACCCTAGTTAGAGGTTAGCTGGTGTTTTCTTATTGGTAGTCTTTAGTTTTGTTTTACTCTTTACACTGGGCTCCAGTCTGCTTACATATAGGAACCTAAAGTGGTAGGGTTGCCTCCGTCTTGTTAAAAGAAAAACTTCAGCTGAATTAAATTTAAAGGAGTTTAATTGAGCAATGAATGATTCACGAATTGGGCAGTCCCCAGAATCACAGCAGATTCGGGGACTCCAGAGAAGGCTTGTGGTTAGAACAAATTTATAAACAAAAAAAGGGAAGTGATGTACAGAAATCAGCAGTGAGGTACAGAAACAGCTGGATTGGTTACAGGCTGGCATTTGCTTTATTTGAACATGGTTTCAACACTTAGCAGGCTATGAGTGGCTGAAATATGGCTGCTGGGATTGGCCAAAAATGCAGCTATTGTTACAGGTGCATGCTTCTAAATTAGGATTTCAATTTTGTATGCCTATTAAGCTAAGTTACAGTTTGTCCACAAGGACTCAAATATAGAAGCACGAAGTCCTTCTCAGGCCATATTTAGTTTGCTTTAACAGTCTAATGCCCTCCCTGTTAGAATTTTTGTTAAAAACAATTATTCTCTGCTTTTGGTCAGCCTCTTATGAGAGACTGAACAATACTTAGGCATAGGCACCCCTCCCTGTCACCATCACAGGTAAGTTGTCTTTGTCTCTGTGGAACTCACAAGTCATGATGTTAGGCTCATTGAAGAAAGATTCCCTTTGTTGTTCACATCATTATTGTCACTCTGATCAAGGTGAGAGCATCTAATGTACCACTGATGGCTGAGAGCATGCATTTAAGACTCTTGACAGAATACAGCAAACAGGGTGATTACAATGATGACCATCAGGAGGATAATACCAAGAGACTAGAGTATGCTCCTTAGCCAAGGTCCTCATGAATCAAACCAGCTAAAATTGAATAAATCAAGGAATGAACCAGAGGGGGATTCAACTTGTTTTAACCAGGTGGCCTGTTTGTTAATTTCTTGTGATTGAGTTTCTAATACAAGAGGTATTTATCCAGGCACAACAGGAGGAATAGGATAAAATGAGCATATTGCATAGACTCTTCCTTGTTCAGCCAATAGTCCAATGCAAGTCTATTATCTAAAACTACTCAAGTAAGGGAATTTAGAGATTTTTGTTGGATAGCTATAGCCTTAGCTGTAGAACCCGCAATAGTAACTAATGTCAAAGAAAAATTTTTGACCTTTATTTCATTTGTAGTCATCCCAAGCCATGGAAAAATGGACCTAACATATGATGCCCCCTTGGCAGGGTTGTCATCTGCTGGTCAGTTTCTTTTTAATCTATGATGCAGGTTTAGAGGGGTGTACTGATGTTTAGCTTCTGACTGGTTATGTAGTGACAATGGCACCATTAAAATCCCTAGTCCCCATTGGTCTTTCATTCTCCATCTGTCAAGGTATGGGGTGGTCCAAGCATATGGCTGACAGTTAAATTCTCTGCTTATAAAGATGTACCTAGGACATTCCTGAAAGCCTGGTTGTGGGGTGGCGGAGGGCAGTGGTAGGAAGGATGTACCTAGGGTGAACAAGCCTCCTCCTTGGGAGACTTCAGTTATGGAGTAATTAGTTGGCATCAGCAGTTTCTAACCAAGAGACTGATACTGAGTTATTACGTCCTAGAAGGCTACCAAAATACGTATGTAGATAGGCATTCTTGTAAATAGCTCTGTTAATGTTCTCCTTTTTTGTGCATAGCCTCCTTGCAATATGGTCAGCAGACCTGGCCATCCTATTCTATGGTTGGGTTAAACAAGAAGTAAGAATAAAGGGGTCTAGAAGTTTAACTCTATAAAGGGACCAACAGTATAATCTAAACAGATTGTTGCATTTGAGATTCTGGCAAATTGAGTCACAAGATATACTAATGGGTCTCTAAAAAGCCATGCAAGTATTTTGACTTAGCATGGAAAATCCAGAATTTAGCTAAATTTTCTGCAGAAGCTATAGACTGTGAGATTCTAATTATGGCATTATCGTGCCATACACAGAAAGGAAGAGTAAGAAACAGGAGATGAAAAGAACAGGGGTTCCATGATAGGAAGAGGAGGTACTTTTTTTTTTTTTTTTTTGAGATGGAGTCTTGCTCTGTCACCCAGGCTGGATTGCAGTGGCACTATCTCGGCTCACTGCAAGCTCCACCTCCCAGGTTCACGCCACTCACCTGCCTCAGCCTCCCGAGTAGCTGGGACTACAGGCACCCGCCACCATGCCCGACTAATTTTTTGTATTTTTAGTAGAGACGGGGTTTCACTGTGTTAGCCAGGATGGTCTTGATCTTCTGACCTCGTGATCTGCCCTCCTCGGCCTCCCAAAGTGCTGGGATTACAGGCGTGAGCCACTGCACCCACCCCAGGAAGAGGAGGTTCTTGATCTCTGATCTTGGGAAGGCTGTCTACATTCAAGATGCCATCTGCTTTGGGGAGAGATGTTCCTGGCCAACTTTACCTTGAGATCCTTAACTGGTGGTCAGTTCTGAGAGTCTGGAAGGGCCCTCTTGAGTTGAGAAACATTGGTCCAAAACTCAAGGCTTTACTGTAGTGTAAGTGGTGAGAAGTTGGTGTGGTCCCTTCCAGTGAGACTCAAGGGCAGACTTTCTTTGATATAAATTCCAAAAGACCCAGTTTCCAAGTTCTAGACCATGAGGATTCTGATAATCAGTCAGTGGGTCACAGAAAGCTACTATTACCAGATAGAAATACAGTAAGTCCTCAATTGATGTCGTCGTTGATAGTTTTATGGAAACAATGATTTTAAGCAAAACAGTGTTCCTTGAATAATGTATTTCATTCAATGTTGTTTCATTTTAACGTTGATGAGAAAAATTAAATTTGTTTTATTATACATTGTTTTGCTTAAAATCACACTTTCCAAGAGCTGATCAATGATGTTGTGAGAACTTATTGCATGCTTCAGCATAATTTATCAAGGTCTGGCAATATTGAGTCATACCACAGGTTACAAATATGGGAGGTACATGAAGCTGTATTATTACGGGCATAGGTCTTTCAGTACTATTTCATGAGGTGTCATCTTGTGCTTTCCAGCATGGGTAGATATAATTGCCATTAAGCCCAGTGTTCAAACTTTTGGCCAGGCAATCCAGAAGATTCCATCATTTTGGCCAATTTTAGTTTTAGGTTGCCATTTGCCTATTCAACCTTTCCAGAAGACTAGGGATAAGGACAATGGTCATGCTATTTTGTTTGTAAACCTTTAAAAAAATTGTTTAATAATTTGTCCAGTAGGCCAGGCGTGGTGGCTAATGCCTGTAATTCCAGCACTTTGGGAGGCTAAGGCAGGCGGATCACCTGAGGTCAAGAGTTTGAGATCAGCCTGGCCAACATGGTGAAACTTTGTCTCTACTAAAAGTACAAAAATTAGCCAGATGGTGGTACATGCCTGTAATCCCAGCTACTTGGGAGCCTGAGGCAGGAGAATCACTTGAACACAGGAGGCGAAGGTTGCAGTGAGCCGAGACCATGCCACTGCACCCCAGCCTGGATAACAGAGCAAGACTCTGCCTCAAAAATAACAATAACAATAATAATAATAATAATAATAATAATAATAATAATAATAATAAATTTGTCCAGTAAAATGAGTTCCTCTATCACTGGAAATCTTTCTAGGGATATCCCATAAAGGAAACATATGCTCTGTTTTTTGTATTTTTTTGTGTTGTTTTTTTTTTGCTACTGTTGTGGCATCAGCCTTCCTGCATGGCAAGGCCTCAATCCACCCTGAGAACAGGCATACAGTTACAGGAACATACTGGTAGCCCATTGAGGGTAGCAACTAAATGAAGTTCTTTTGTAGGTGTTCACATGGTCCAGCAGGTGGTAGAAATGTACCGTTTGAAACCTTAATGGTTTTCACAGAATTATGAATCTGATAAATCAGACTTGGGTTATGAACCATTTTTGCAACTTTAGAACAATTACTCCACCAATACTTTTTCATAATTTGAACCATTTTGTCTACACTCTGGTGAGCTGTGGAGTGCAGAGCCTTTAATACTGGTAGTTTTAAGGACTTAGGGAGGACTAGGTGGCTGTCAGGGCCCTCAGTGAGTTCACATTTGGTATTAAATTTGCATCCTTTTAAGTGCCAATTTTGGTTTTCTAATTCAGGTGCATAGAATCGTTTATTTAACAAATTATCATAGGTGATTTGATCTGAATTAATGTTATAGAGTTCAACCAAATTATATATCCTAACATGTTTAGTGACAGCTACCTTAGCATGGAAGTCCACTAAGGCATTGTCTTGATATTTAGGTTCAGTTTTACAAGTGAGCTTCAATTTTAATAATAGCAACTTGTGAGGGCAGCAAAATAGCAGAAGGAAGTTCATTTGCCTGGGGCTCATTTTCGGTGGTGGACCCACTTGAAATGAGGACCCCTCTTTGCTTCTAATACATGCCAAAATCATGGACTACCCCCAAAGGCTTATCTACTGTCTGTATAAATGTTGTCTGATTTGCCCTGAGATATTTGACAGGCCTGAGTGAGAGCATGTACCTCTGCTGGTTGGGCTGACTTCAACTGGGGAAGAGCTCCCTTTTCTGTTAATTCATTCTGGGTAGTCCAGGCATGCCCTCCTTGGTATTTTACTTCCGCATTTTTAGCATAAAATCCATCAGCAAAATGTATTATCTCAAGGTGTTTAATGGGGCATCTTATAAATCAGTTGAGGAGTCAATAGCTGTGATATGAGATTTACATAGTTGTGGTCCTCACCTTTGTCAAGTAAGGGTAGTAGGGTAGAAGGGTTAAGTAGATTGCAGCATTATTTTATTTATTTATTTATTTATTTATTTATTTATTTTGTTTTATTTTGAGACGGAGCCTCTGTCGCTCAAGCTGGAGTGCAGTGGCACAATCTCGGGTCACTGCAACCTCCGCCTCCCAGATTCAAGCAGTTCTCCTGCCTCAGCCTCCCAAATAGCTGGGATTACAGGCACCTGCCACCATGTCTGGCTAAATTTTTGTATTTTTTTAGTAGAGATGGGGTTTCACCATGTTGGCCAGGCTGGTCTCAAACTCCTGACCTCAACTGATCCGTCCACCTCAGGCTCCCAAAGTGCTGGGATTACAGGTGTGAGCCACCATGCCCAGCCAAGATTGCAGCATTTTATATGAGATTAGAAGGAGACAGGAGAAGAATTTCAAAAGATGTTAGTCTACTTGCTGAGAAATGTTGAGTTTGACTGGAATTTAATAGACTTTCCAAAGCGTGTGGAGCTTGCGAATAAAATTCATTTCCTAAAATCAGCTCAGATGAGACCTCAACCAATCTGGATGCTTCTGCTACTACCTTTAAACAATTGGGATCCACCTTAGCTACTGGGTCTAATTGCAGCCTATTAAGTGATGGGCCTATGTTTTCCTCTGTGTTCTTAAGTAAGAATTTCTAAAGCCTCGTTGTTATGTTCATGAATGAATGAAGTGAAAGTGATACAGGTTTGCTATAATTTCAGAGTCCTAAGGCTGGAGGTTGTGGTAGGGCCAGTTTTGGTTGGCTGAAGCCTGTTCATGATTATCCTCCCACGCTAAAGGCTCTGGGTCAGAGTTTTGTGCAAGTTCATACAAGCGAGATGCCAACAAGGAAAGATTTGGGACCTAAGACCTACAATATCCTGCAAATTCAAAGGAACCTCTTAGTTGTCTTTTAGACATGGATCAAGAGAAACTTTGAATAATTTTCATTCTTTCAGGTGACAGGAAAGTTTCTTCTGCAGGCAACAGTGGACATTTCCTCTAGAAAATTGGAGTCTTTCCATGGAAGCCTATGGCTTTTGTAAGCTAATTGTTGTAAGACGTAGATTGAGGCCAGGTGCGGTGGCTCACGCCTGTAATCCCAGCAATTTGGAAGGCCGAGGTGGGCGGACCACGAGGTCAGGAGATCGAGACCATCCTGGCTAACATGGTGAAACCCCGTCTCTACTAAAAATACAAAAAAATTAGTCAGGCATGGTGGCGGGCGCCTGTGGTCCCAGCTGCTCGGGAGGCTGAGGCAGGAGAACAGCGTGAACCTGGGAGGCGGAGCTTGCAGTGAGCTGAGGTCGCGGCACTGCACTCCAGCCTGGGCAACAGAGCGAGACTCCGTCTAAAAAAAAAACACACACACACACAAAAAATAATAATAATAATAAAAAGAAGTAGATTGGGGACCAGGGGCCATAGCTCATGCCTGTAATCCCAGCAATTTGGGAGGCTGAGGCAGGTGGATCACTAGAGGTCAGGAGTTTGAAATCAGCCTGGCCAATGTGGTGAAACCCCATTTCTACTAAAACTACAAAAAATTAGCTGGGTGTGATGGCATGCTCCTGTAGTCCCAGCTACTTGGGAGGCTGAGGCATGAGAATCGCTTGAGCTTGGGAGGTGGAGGTTGCAGTGAACCAAGATCATACCATCACACCCCAGCCTGGGCAACAGAGCAAGTCTCCATCACAAAAAAAAAAAAAAAAAAAGAAGTAAGTTGAATCTATTTCTGACTCTGCCTTAGTATGAGAAAGAACATAGCAGTAGGTTATCAACATATTGAATAAGAGCAGAATTCCTAGGAAATTGCAAATTTGGCAAATCGTGATGCAAAGTCTGAGAAAAATAAGATGGGCCTTGGTAAATCCCTTTGGCATTACAGTCCAATTATATTGTTGATTTTTTTCCAAGTAAAAGCAAATAAGTAGTGACTCTATCAGCTGGAATACTGTGTTTCATCCCTGTGAACCATTTTAAATTTGGGGGTACCTTATACAACAAGGTATTAGAATTTGGAACTACTGGTAACGTCAGTATTACAATCTAATTTACTGCATGTAGGTCTTGAACAAATCTCCAACCTTGTCCACTGGGTTTTTAAAGTGGTAGACTCGGGTGTTACAAGGACTAGTGTAAAACATTAGAAGTCCTTGTATAATTAATTCCTCTACAACTGGTGACAGCCCCTGAATACATCTGGTTTTAGTGGGTATTGAGGTAAATTAGGTAGCAGCTTAGAATGATTTATTTGGTTTTTTTCCTGTTTTGATTTTTGTGGGTTCAGCACTTTAAATATTTCCTATGTCATTTAAGGAGGAAGCCCACAAATATCTAGGTTCTTCAGAAAGAACAGGTTTTTATAGATTTGAGTTTCAGTGTTATCAGCTTCTACTAGTATGTAACAGAGCAGTTCAGGTTCAGGAGAGTTAGGAAATTATAAGATTATCTCTCCTTCTGAAGATAATTTTCTGTACATTCTTAGCAAGTCTTGTCCCCATAGATTCACTGGGGCAGCATCACAAAGTAAGAAGGCATGTTTTTCTGAAAATGGTCCAAGTATCATTTGAACAGGTTCAGACATGGAGACATTTGGACTTGATTTGAAACCTCCACCATGAAACTATTCTTTTTACTGCAAGGGAGTTGTTGATTTACGAAGGTGGGGTTTTAAAGTATATAAGGTGGGGTTTTAAAGTGTATAAGGTGGGCCAGGCGTGGTGGCTCACGCCTGTAATCCCAGCACTTTGGGAGGCCAAAGCAGGTGGATCACTTTGAGGTCAAGAGATCGAGACCAGCCTGGCCAACATGGTGAAACCCCATCTCTACTAAAAATACAAAAATTAGCTGGTATGGTGGCACATGCCTGTAGTCCCAGCTACTCAGAGGTTTAAGGAGGAGAATCGCTTGAACCTGGGAGGCAGAGGTTGCAGTGAGCCGAGATTGTGCCACCGCACTCCAGCCTGGGCAACAGAGAGAGACTGCATCTCAAAAAAAATGAAAATAAAAAAATTAAAGAAGTACATAACGTGGCCGGGCACAGTGGCTCATACCTGTAATCATTACACTTGGGAGAGGCCAGGGAAGGGAAGATCACTTGAGGCCAGGAGTTTGAGATCATCCTGGGCAATCTAGCAGGACTCCATCTCTACAAAAAAGTTTTTAAAAAATTATCCAGGCACAGTGGCATGCACCTGTAGTCCTAGCTCCTCGAGAGGCTGAGGTGGGAGGATCCCTTGAGCCCAGGAGGTCAAGATTGCAGTGAGCTGTGATCACGCCACTACACTCCAGCCTGGGTGACAGTGTGAGACCCTGCCTCTTAAAAAAAGGAGTAATGGGAAGTCTTATACAGTTTTGGTAAATACGGGAGCCACTTTATCTATTTTTTTTTTTTTTCCTTTTGAGACAGGGTCTCCCTCTGTCACCCAGGCTCAAGTGCAGTGATGCAATCATAGCTTACTGCAGCCTCGAACTCCTGGGTTTGAGTGATCTTCCCACCTCAGCTTCCCAGATAGCTGGGATTACAGGCATGAATCACCCTGCCTGTTTCCCATTAATCTTAATTTTAGTTTCCCTTTGTTCATTTAAAGGTATTATGGAAAAAAACCCTGGGAGCCTCATTAGTGTTATTATTCCAGGAGTCAAACCCTCAGGGGCTTCATCTGGAGGGGAAAATGTCTGGGTCAAAAGAAATGGGTTCCTCACATGCCTAGTGCGAGACTGGATGATTTTGGCCAGGCACGGTGGCTCATGCCTGTAATCCCAGCACTTCGGGAGGCCGAGGCGGGTGGATCACCTGAGGTCAGGAGTTTGAGACCACCATGGCCAACATGGAGAAACCCCGTCTCTACTAAAAATACAAAAATTAGACGGGCATGGTGGTGTGTGCCTGCAGTCCCAGCTACTCAGGAGGCTGAGGCAGTGAGCTAAGATTGCACCACTGCACTCCAGCCTGGGAGAAAGAGTGATACTCTGTCTCAAAAAAAAAAAAAAAAAAAGACTGGACAATTTTGATTCCAGTGGCCTGGCTGTTTACAATAAAGAAGGACATCTTGAGGCAGAAGTTTCTTTGGTCCTCCTCCAGTATATTCATGTATTTGAAATCAATACTAAGAGGTCCAAACTAAAGAAACTGGTGCCTCGAGATGTCTGCCTTTATTGTAGTTGCTGTGACTATTACTTAAACCAGCCCAATCATCCCATATAAATGATGTTTATAGTTTCTTTTGAATAAACATAGAAATTAACCCTCGCAGGCCAGGCATGGTGGCTCATGCTTGTAATCTCAGCACTGTGGGAGGCCGAGGTGAGTGGATCTCTTGAGGCCAGGAGTTTGAGAACAGCCTGGCCAACATGGCAAAACCCGTCTCTACTAAAAACACACACACACACACACACACACACAAACACACACACACACACACACACACACAAATTAGCTGGGCATGGTGGCATGCACCTGTAATCCCAGCTTCTGGGGTGGCTGAGGCAAGAGAATCGCTTGAACCTGGGAGGTGGAGGTTGCAGTGAGCCAAGATCATGCCACTACACTCCAGCCTGGGCAACAGAGTGAGACTCTGTCTCAAAAAAAAAAAAAAAAAAAAGGAAGAAAGAAAAAGAAAAAGAAATTGACCCTCCAGTCTTGAAACTTGAGAAAGTTTCATTTGTCTTATCTGAGTTCTTTTTTCAGGAAATCAAACATCAGCCCTCCCCAATAGTATTAAGGAGCTGAAACTTACCAGATTACCACATCTGGACAATGAAATGCCAGATCCTTTGCTCATGATGATTGCCTACTAAGGGGTCCCCAATCCCCAGACCATGGACTGGGATCCATGGCCTGTTAAGAACTGGGCTGCACAGCAGGGAGTGAGTGGAGGGTGAGTGAGCATTACCAACTGAGCTGCATCAGCAACACCATTAGATTCTCACAGGATCAGGAACGCTGTTGTGAATGTGCATGCAAGGGATCCAGATTGTGCACTTGTTATGGGAATCCAACTAATGCCTAATCATCTGAGGTGGAACAGCTTCATCCCGAAACCATCCCCCATCTCACACCCCTACCACCATGTGTGGAAGAATTGTCTTCCACAAAACTGGTCCTTGGTGCCAAAAAGGTTGGGGACTGCTGGCTTAACTGACCACCTGCTTCCTATTGACCAACTCCTCCTCCTTACCCTTTCTAAATTCCTGTTTTTCCACACATGGCTACGTTGCTTCCCTGCTATATAAACTCCCAATTTTATTTGGTCAGGGAGATGGATTTGAGACTAGTCTCCCATCTTCTCCGCTGTGGCACCTGATGAAGGCCTTCTTCTCTGGCAATACTCACTGTCTCAGTGATTGGCTTTCTGTGCAGCGAGCAGCAAGACCTAAACCAAACCCCTGGCATTTTGGTAACATAAAGACATGAGCCTATTTGCCTCTGTTGTTGTTGTTGTTGTTGTTGTTGTTTCTGAGACAAGGTCTTGCTCTATCACCCAGCTTGGAGTGCAGTGGCACAATCACGGCCCATTGCAGCCTCAACCTCCTGGACTGAAGTGATCCTCCCACCTCAGTCTCCTGAGTAGCTGGGACTACAGGCACATGTCACAATGCCTGGCTAATTTTTTCATTTATTTTTGTAGAGATGGGGTCTCTCTCTGTGTTGCCCTTTATTTGTCTTTTGATTTTTCTCTTGCTTTAGAATCCTCTCAGAATTTTCAACTAGGGCCACCAATTCAATCATATCTATAACTTTCCGTCCTGGTGTATGTTTTCTAATTAAATCACTAAATTTAGGATGAAGTCCATTTACAAATACAGAAGCTAATGCCATTTCAGTCTCTGCAGGAAGCGCCCCTTATGGTATTTCAAGTCCAGCATGTTTTATAAATAGTGTTTCTAAATGGGCTCTGTAATTTGAAATTGGTTCATCTTTTTTTGTCTATAAGATTGTATGATGGACCAATCAACTTTTTGTGGAAAAATCTTAGGAACTGAATTTGAAAGGTCTTGGCAATTCTTCCAGCTTCTTTCTGCCTTTCTTTTAAGGAGGTTTTGGAGGGTCTTTCACATCCTCCCCAGGTTGGTCCCATTCCACTCCTGCTATCCGTCTTCAAGCATCACCAGGTCCCAATAGCATATGAATAAATTGGTAAAGATCAGGGAGTACTGGATCAAATGCTCCAATAAGGTTTCTGAATTCCTTAGTACATTTCCAGGAGGTTTTCTTGGGGCTAGGGAAGTCATTTACAATGGCCCTAAGCTCAATTTTAGACCATGGAGTAAAGGTGATTATGGCAGGCATGCCTGCCTGATCAGAGGGTCTCATTTTGCAAGCATTTGCCTAACTTCCCTTTTTTCATTGTCTTCAGGGTGAAAGGGTAGCTGGGCAAAAGGGTTAGAGAACTCAGAACATTGAGGTAAGGACAGATAAAGAGAAGGAGCAGTCAGAGTTAATTCAGTCAAGGTACAGTCCTTTTTTTTTAATGTCCTGAGTTTGTTGCTTAAGATTTTCCTTTGCCTCCTGTAAGGAATTTTTTAGGGAGGCAATTTTTAATTCATTTTATCTTCTAGATGTTTCTTTGTACCAATTAAAAAATGCATCCCGTTGCATTTTGGATTCTTCCTTTTCCAATGTGCCTCACAGGCGAACGATTTTATTTAGGTTGAAAGTTCCCCATAGTGACCACTCTAATTCTAAGTTATCTTTGTAAGATTAACCCATTTTTCTAAAAATGTGCAAGTCCTGAGTCTATAATTCTTATACATAAAATTTGCTGGAGTTCCAGAAGATAGAGTGCCAGACTCATTTGATTCAGATGAACCTATTGTCAACAGGTACCTAGCCAAGGACTGTATCTGGATCTGATCTGGTTAATCATCAAATCCAATTTGATCCTGGACCCTGTTTGCTCAAATGAAGTCTGGAGAGCTCAAAATATAATTCATGAAGCTCAGTCTGAGAGGAAATTAATCACGGCCTCCAGTTACAAACAAGAGAACAGTGAGCACAGTGTGGTCTGTGGGTACCTCCCCTGGTAGCTCTGTGTTCCCGGGGCTGCCATAGAATGCCTTGGATCCCATTTCTGACACCAAATCTGTTAAAAATAACACCTTTAGACAAAATAAAAGTAATAGAGTTTATTTTAAACAAAGAACAATTCATGATTTAGGTAGCACTCAGAATCAAAAGAGATTGGGAGTGCTTGGCTGCAGCAGCATGAGCTGTGAGCTTTTACAAGGAGGGAAGACAATGAAAATGTACCTGATTGGTTTAGTGTGGGAAGGCCCTGGTTAGAGGTCAGTTGGTGTTAGTTTTGTTTTATTGTTTTATATTGGGCTCTGTTTACCTAGAAGCTAAAATACTGGCCTGTCTCTGTTTAATGCCCTCCCTATTATGATTTTTTTAAACAATTAATAAGAGTGTACTAAGTAGGCCAGGCATGGTGGCTCGCGCCTGAAATCCCAGCAATTTGGGAGGCCAAGGTGAGCGGATCACTTGAGGTCAGGAGTTCGAGACCAGCCTGGCCAACATGGTGAAAATCCATCTCTACTAAAGATACAAAAATTAGTGAGGCATGATGGCGGGCACCTGTAATCCCTGATACTTGGGAGGCTGAGACAGGAGAATCACTTGAACCCAGGAGGCGGAAGTTGCAGTGAGCTGAGATCATCCCACTGCACTCCAGCCTTGGTGACAGGGTAAGACTCCATCTCAAAAAAGAAAAATATATATATATATATATACTAAGCAAATATTAGTTTTAGTATGATTTTTTCATTTCTTCTTTCATAACTGACAGAGAGTTTTTAATATTTTGACAAAACTTCTTAAAAGTTGCAGAATAATCATAATTCTTCCCACTGAGTATTAAGATTGCTTTGCAGTATTCACGATAGACAAGATATGGAATCAATCTGTAACCATCAACAAATGAATAAAGACGCTGTGATGTATACACAAAATGGAATACTCTACAGCAGTCCATTGTGAAAGAGAAGGAATTCCTGTCATTTATCACAACATGGGTGAATCTATAGGACACGTAAGTGAAATAAGCCAGGCACAGAAACGGAAATTCTTTCAAACGTGGAAAAAGAAAAAAAAGAAAAAAGACAAATTCTGCATGATTTCACTTGTATGTGGAATGTATAACAGAGTTAAACTCATAAAGAGTAGAGTGGTGGTTACTGGAGTCTGGGGGATAAGGGTTGGATTGGGGAGATGTTGGTTAAAGAGTACGACATTTTAGTCAGGGCTGAGCACAGTGGCTCACGCCTGTAATCCCAACACTTTGGGAGGCTGAGGCAGTAGGATTGCTTGAGTTCAGGAGTTCGAGACTAGCCTGGGCAACATAGGGAGACCCAGTCTCTACAAAAAATAAATAAATAAGCCAGCATGGTGGCGCGTGCCTGTGGTCCCAGGTATTGGCTTGGTGCAAAAGTTATTGCAGTTTTTGCCATTATTACTTTTAAGGGCAAACCTGCAATAACTTTTGCATCAACATAATACTTGAGAGGCTTAGATGGGAGGATCACCTGAGCCTGGGAGGTTGAGGCTGCAGTGAGCCATGATCATGCCAGTGCACTTCAGCCTGGGCGACAGAGTGAGACTGTGTCTCAAAAAAAATAAAAAAATAAAATTTTAGTCAGACAGGAGGAAAAAGTTCAGGAGATCTATTGTACAACATTGTGACTATAGTCAATACCAATGTATCATAGCTTAAAAATTGCTAAGATAGTAGATTTTAAATCTTTTCACCACAAAGTGAGATAGTAGGTATGGTAGCTTGATTTAGACATTCCACAAGATATACATATATCAAATCATCATGTTGTATGCCATAGATCAAGAATCCCCAAGTCCATGGCCTGTTAGGAACCAGGCTGCACAGCAGGAGGTGAGCAGCAGGCGAACAAGCAAAGCTTCATCTGTACTTACAGCTGTTCCCCATCGCTTGCATTACCATGGGAGTTCTGTTGCCTGTCAGATCAACAGCCGCATTAGATTCTCATGGGACCATGAACCCTATTGTGAACTGTGCATGTGAGGGATCTAGGTTGTGTGCTCTTTATGAGAATCTAATGCCTGATGATCTGACACTGTCTCCCATCACCCCCACATAGCACCATCTAGTTGCAGGAAAACAAGCTTAGGGCTCCTGCTGATTCTACATTATGGTGAGTTGTATAATTATTTCATTATATATTACAATATAATAATAATAGAAGTAAAGTGCACAATAAATGTAATGCACTTGAATCATCCCAAAACCATCCCCTCCCTGGTCCATGGAAAAATCGTCTTCCATGAAATCGGTCACTGGTGCCAAAAAGGTTGGGGACCACTGCCATAGATACACCTAATTTTTATTTGTCAGTTAAAAATAAATTTTTTTAATTTGCATTAAAAAGAGATTTCTGCATAGTTTCAGGTTGAACAGTTATTTTTACCATCCTACACTACTATGCAAGGTGAGGACTGCTTTTTTTTTTTTTTTTTTTTTTTGAGATGGAGTGTCACTCTGTCTTCCAGGTTGGAGTGCAGTGGCGCGATCTCAGCTCACTGCAAGCTCCGCCTCCTGGGTTCACACCATTCTCCTGCCTCAGTCTCCCGAGTAGCTGGGACTACAGGAGTCTCATTCTGTTGCCCAGGCTGGAATGCAGTGGCGCGATCTCGGCTCACTGCAAGCTCCGCCTCCCGGGTTCACGCCATTCTGCCTCAGCCTCTCGAGTAGCTGGGACTACAGGCACCCGCCACCACGCCCGGCTAATTTTTTGTATTTTTAGTAGAGACGGGGTTTCACCATGTTAGCCAGGATGGTCTCGATCTCCTGACCTCGTGATCCACCCCGCCTCGGCCTCCCAAAGTGCTGGGATTACAGGCGTGAGCCACAGCGCCTGGCCGAGGAGTGCTTTTATATGCTCTTGGAAGTATATGGGGACTCCATTTCTGTCACTGTGGCGATTCCACTTATGCATTCACCATGCCAATCCAAGGCAGCTGATGGCTTAGGAAAGTCAGAGACTGAGATGTTAAAATCCTTGGGGCTATCTACCAACATGTCTCCATTCCACCTGTTAGGGTTAAAGGTTTTTCTAACCTGGGCCCTGACCTTAGCACAGATCTGCCTATATTTTTTTGAAGTTCAGCCACTTGGACTATTAGCCCTAAACTTTTTCTGTACTGCCACTGCAGGGCTGAAGGAGCTTTGCATGCATCCACCAAGTCTGGCTTTCACACCTGAATTTCACACCTCGCTTTCACCCTTAGCTATTCCATCTTTCTGTGGAACATCAGTGTCACTTAGCAATAGCCATACAATCCCATTATCCTTATACCTACCTTTCCCTTCAAAGTCTCGGATGCCTGATACATTGCACCTGCTAGTGCATTCACTCCCATTAGTACACTCCCAAGTCCTTCCAGTGAAAGATGTAACAATTGAATGGCCACTGTGCCAAAGGTGCCTGGGCTCTACCTGCCACCAGTGATGGGGTCCTCACAGCCAACCCAGTGGTGTATCATCCATTTCCAAAACCATCTCACTGCCTGTTTTCTTGGACCACTCCTGGCATCAACTGTTTCAGGTTAGAGTGACTGAAAATTTGGGTTATAAGATATTTATTAGAGATCAATATCTATTAAAAATGTGAAAGGAAGCAGGATTGTGCTGAGGAAGAAGATAAACAACAAAGATAACCACAATGTCAGCCCATCAAAGCCTTTGGCCAACCCAGCAGAAAAATCTGGAGCAGGTGTATCTTTTCAGAGTCTCCCCAGTTAGGTCAAAATGGCTGCGCCTTTACACCCGCACTTCCCTCAATCACGGGCTTCAGGCTGTCCTGGGCATGACCTCAGATGAAGCGGCTCACACAGCTGAGGCTAACGTTGTCGGAGCTGACAGCTGAAAGCCGTTTGCTGACCACACTCCCACAGCCGAGCAGCATGCCCTTGCTTGGAGGAGGATTTGGATGACACAGCTCTATGTCTGCCGTATTTTGGGGGTCACATTCCTCACACCCAGCTCTGCCTCAAATGGCAACATTGACAAAAATTCATTCCAGTTGCAAACCAATTGTAGAATACTATAAAACCAGAGTACAAGTCTAATAGCATAAATCTCATCCTAAGTGGAAAAGAAAGGGTCATTTATTCACACATTTTTGGGGAAAAAAAAAACAACCTTTGCTATGTCTTTATTACAACACGGATACTCACAAAAAATAGTCATATATATTTTCCTCTTTTAAATCTTACAGGAAAAAAGGCTGGGCGTGGTGGATCACTTCTGTAATCCTAGCACTTTGGGAGGCTGAGGCAAGTAGATTTCTTGAGTTCAGGAGTTTGAGACCAGACTGGGCAACAGGACAAAACCCTGTCTCTACTAAAAATAAAAAAAAAAATTAAAAAAGCCAAGCGTTGTGGCGGGCACCTGCAATCCCAGCTACTCAGGAGGCTGAGGCAGGAGAATTACTTGAACCCGGTTGGCAGAGGTTGCAGTGAGCCGAGATCGCACCACTGCACTCCAGCCTGGGCAACAGAGAAAGACTCTGTCTCCAAAAATAAAAAAGTTAAATTTAAAATAAATCTTCTAGAAAAAAAGGAATAATTTTTCCTTTTCAGTATCACTGGAAAAGCAGAGTCATCTAGTAAACCCTGTTACTAACATGCAGTTACACTGTACAAAATTAAACACATCTCACATGACTGTCATGGGTTCCCTCTGCAGAGCTGAATCACATCTACAAAAGTAAACTCCCCTAGGAGAATAATAGAAACATGGAAAATGGGAGGAAGGCCCACCATTACAGATGTAGCGGGAAAGGAGCTCAGAGGTTAACCACAGCATGAATTCCTAACATGCTGAAATAATAAAATGATTTCAGTCCACCAACAAGTTTACTTAGTGTCTTCAGCATTGCCTCTGAGGCTCCAGAGGTCCTGAGTGGCTGCTGAGGACCACAGGGACTAAATGACTTCCCCAAGGTCATGTTGCTCATTTCTGGCAAAATTGGGACCAAAACCCAGCCCTCCTGACACAGGATGGTGCTTGTTTCTCTCTTCAGGTTTCTCTTCAGCGCTGAATGGTATGTGTGGTATACGTAAGGTTATAAAACAAAGCGAGGTAACAGCTTTGCTTCTTTTTATATATATATACTTTTAAGTTCTAGGGTACATGTGCACAACGTGCAGGTTTGTTACATATGTATACATGTGCCATGTTGGTGTGCTGCACCCATTAAACTCGTCATTTATATTAGATACATCTCCTAATGCTATCCCTCTGCCCAGCTTTGCTTCTTTTCATGATGCTACTCCAGTTTCAAGATCACTGTAGCAGATGCCATCAGTGCGCACTGGCTCTGGGCATGTCTTCCTCCCACCCTGAACCTTCTCTGCCAGAGCCCACATTACCTATGATCATAAGAGAGCCCTGTGTGCCTGGAGATTATCCCTCTCCCCATCCCCTAAAGCAGCCCTTAATCAATGACTGACAGGTATGAAATAGAAATATTTCCATTCCTGGACCAGGCACTGTGGCTCACGCATGTAATCCCAGCACTTTGGGAGGCCGAAGTGGGCAGATCACCTGAGGTCAGGAGTTCAAGACCAGCCTGGCCAACATGGTGAAACCCTGTCTCTACTAAAAATACAAAAATTAGCCGGGCATGATAGTGGGTACCTATAATCCCAGCTACTCGGGAGGCTGAGGCGGGAGAATCGCTTGAACCTGGGAGGCGGGAGTTGCAGTGAGCCAAGACCTCACCATTTCACTCCAGCCTGGGTGGTAGAGGGAGACTCCGTCTCAAAAAAAAAAAAGTTTCCATTCTTTTTCCTCTGAGGGGACAACTCTGAGATGAGACCTACCCCATCCCTGAGACAACTCTGCTTGCTTATTTGGCCTCTTCCCTTTCCTGCTCCCTTTTCTTATTTACTTAATGATTTTTCCTGAGAATGCTCTCTATTTAAGCCATTTTCATATGCATTATCCTCGTCTCAGAATCTGCTTCTGAGGAATCCAAATGAAAAATACTACCAACTCTGGAATTATTATTACTATTACAACCACGTTTTCTTTTAAATTTTATTTTGGTTTTTTATTGCAATATCATGGTTGTACATATTTGTGGGGTACAGGTGCTATTTTGATACAGACATACAATGTGTCATGATAAAAGCAGGGTAAATGGGATATCCATCACCTCCAACATTTATCATTTCTTTGTGTTGGGAACATTCTAAACCTTCTAGCTATTTTGAAATGTATAATAAATGACAGTTAACTGTGATTACCCTGCTGTACTATCAAATACTAGTACTTATTCTATTTAACTGTATGTTTGTACCCCTTAACCAATTTCTCTTCATCCTCCACCCCCTTCCCTTCTCAGCCTCTTGTAACTACCATTCTACTCTCTGTCTCCATGAGATCCACTTTTTTAGCTCCCACATGTGAGTGAGAACATACAATATTAGTCTTTCTGTGCCTGGCTTATTTCACTTAACATAATGACCTCCAGTTTTATCCATGTTGCTGCAAATGGTAGGATTTCATTTTTTAATGACTGAATACTATTCCATTGTGTATATATACCACATTTTCTTTCTCTTCTTTTTTTTTTTTTTTTTTTTTTCTGGTGATGGAGTTTTGCTCTTGTTGTCCAGGCTGGAGTCCAGTGGTGTGATCTCGGCTCACTGCAAACTCTACCTCCTGGGTTCAAGCGATTCTCCTGCCTCAGCCTCCTGCGTAGCTGGGATTACAGGCATGCACCACCATACCCAGCTAATTTTGTATTTTTAGTAGAGACAGGGTTTCTCCATGTTGGTCAGGCTGGTCTCGAACTCCCAACCTCAGGTGATCTGCCCACCTCGGCCTCCCAAAGTGCTGGGATTACAGGCATGAGCCACCGTGCCCAGCCACACATTTTCTTCATTCATGCATCAGTGGGCATTTAGGTTGATTCCCTATCTTGGCTATTGTGCCTACTGCTGCAATAAACCTGGGAGTGCAGAGATCTCTTTGACATACTGATTTCCTTTCCTTCAGATATATACCCAGCAATGGGATTGCTGGATCATATGGTGGTTCTATTTTTAATGTTTTGAGGAACCTCCATACTGTTTTCCATAGTGGCTGTACTACTTTACATTCCCACCAACAGTGTATGAGCATTTCCCTTTCTGACAACCACCCCTTCTTGAGCACTTACCGTATGGATCTGGGTATCAGAGAACCTTGGTTAAAATCCTGGATCTGTTACTGACTCATTGTTTGACTTTGGACATGTTATTGAGTCTCTTATATCTAAATTCCTTTGTAAAACATGGAAAATAATCTCTCTAAAGGATAGTAAGGACCTGTTTTATGTGGGTGTGTGTTGAGGGTACTCAATTAGACAGTGGGCTGGGCTGCAGCCTTGGCACACAGTGAGGCTGCAGCTAAATAACTTTCCAAAGTGTCTATCACTGACATCTGTGGCCACGGAGTAAGTAAATTATTTCCAAGCTTTCTGATCACTGGGGCAAGAGAAATAGTGATTTTTCTGTATCCCATGGGATTAGACCACTGAAGGGTTTTTTTATTGTTGTTGTTTGTTATTTTGAGATGGAGTTTTGCTCTTGTTGCCCAGGCTGGAGTGCAATGGTGTGATCTCGACTCACTGCAACCTCCGCCTCCCGGGTGCAAGCAATTCTCCTGCCTCAGCCTCCCAAGGAGCTGGGATTATAGGCATGCACCGCCACGTCAGGCTAACTTCATATTTTTAGTAGAGACGGGGTTGCTCCATGTTGGTTGGGCTGGTCTCGAACTCCCGACCTCAGGTGATCCACCCGCCTCGGCCTCCTAAAATGCTGGGATTATAGGCATGAGCCACCGCGCCCAGCCACTGAAGGGTTTTGTAAGCATTTATTGACAGACTGGTGACCGTAGCCAGATAAGCTCCCCAAGGGGATAAGAGTATTCTTGAGACACAGGGGGAAGAAGAAACTGAAGGGGAGGGAGTGGACCAGGCACGAACTGGAGCATCAAGCTTGTATATCAATATCAAAGGGAAAGTGGGGCCTGGTCCACGGAGGTCCCTCCGGAGCAGCTGAAGATTTCAAAACAAGATAATGGTGATGGGGGTGGGATGGCCTGGGGGCACAAAAGGAATAGGTGAAACTGGATGTAAAGTGTGCGAGTCTGTATTTTTAACAAGCACCCAGGTGATTTGGGGATAAAGCCTAAGTAGAAGATCTTGCTTATATGAGAATATTGGGCTAGAAGAAAACGCTGTAGTTTTCCAGTGAAAACCTCAGCTGCCCTTGACATGCTAATTTGTATCTGAATTTCCAAGAAATGATTATTGCAACCCCTGTGGGGTTATAATCCAGTCCCCTACCGCGGCAGGTGGACCTTCCACCTCCAGGAATTTTAATTCCTGTGTCATTCATGAATGTATGCTGCCATATTTTTCAAAGCCCTAGGATGGGGCTCTCCTTGGACTAGATGAATCTTTTAAAATAGGTCTGAGCTCTTACTACACTTCCCATCCCTGTTTTATAAAAGTAAGGTATTTACTTATTAATTAATACTTATGTAAATCACAACATTCTAACATTAGTTTAACTGAATACAGTTTTTTCTTTTTTTTTATTTTTTAGAAGCTCTGAGGAGTGAATCCACAATACAGTTCAAAGAGAGATTTAAATTGCTAATTTCCCGGCACTGGAATGTGGGGAAAGATTGTCACAGATTTAGCATGAAAGCCATGTATTTAACATTCCTATGTAATAACCCTCTCTTAAATTGCATTTTGGTTTGAGAAACAGCAAGAACAAATTCAGCATTAGGGGGAAACTTTGCTGTTGATCTCAAAGGGAATGAGAATTTAGGGAGCACCTCTGCCCACCAGGAAGGAGCTTTCTCTTGAGTCTCCCACATGACTGTGTACTATGGATCACATTGGAAGAACTTCTCTTTTTCCTAATGCTGTCTGAGTTTTGCATTTTGGTGCCAGAACAGGGAAGTGAAGGGATACATAAGAGACACACATAATAGAAATGTAAAAGACAAGCAATACCACCAGACGATAGATGTAATTTGGAACAAAGATATTTTTATTTGCCTAAGGCTCAGAAAGTCGTGCCAGGCAATGCTGGAAGGAATTGGTTGGCTTCCTCTCCCAAACCACTTCCTCAGTGCTCATCCTCTTTCAGGTGGACAAGATATGGCATTTTGACTGCTAGCAAATGTCACTGTGACATTTCAATGGCACAATTGGTGACAATTCAGCCAATTTTTGTTGGGCACCCTCCACATGCCCCAGGGTCTGGGCTCAGCCCTTTACGTACGTGGGCTCATTGATTCTTCCATGTTTTCTAGAATGTGATTTTACCCTGGCTGGCACAGAGTAAATGCCCAAAGAATGGTAGCTATTGTTTTTAATCATCATTATTAATTTTATAAATAACTTCCATATCAGGTGATGGGAAAATTTCAGACTTTGATTTGGGCCTTGGAAAACAGGTTCAGTTTCAGTAGATGGAGGTAAAAGGAGGCAAAGAGCGACCTTACGTAAATCCAAGGCTGAAGGAAGGAGGCTCTAAGGGGTGTGTGGGTGATTAGGAGTAAAGTATCTTGTCTGAAATGAAGAGTTTCTATACAGCATGCTTATTTGGAGTCATGCCTAACAAGATTACTTTGGGTCTAATTTTGGAAGCTTGGTACTCCAGGGAGCTTGGACATGAATTTAAAGACAATGGGAACTCACATTTAAGTTTCTGAAACAGCCAGGCGTGGTGGCTCATGCCTGTAATCCCAGCACTTCGGGAGGCTGAGGCAGGTGGATCACCTGAGATCAGGAGTTTGAGACCAGTCTAACCAACATGGAGAAACCCCATCTCTACTTAAAAGAAAAAAAAAATACAAAATTAGCCGGGTATGGTGGTGCATGCCTGCAAGGGAGGAGACCACCCCTTATATTGTCTTATGCCCAATTTCTGCCTCCAAAGAAAGAAGAAGTAAAAACTAAAAGTCAGAAATGGAATTCACAAGCAGACAGCCTGGCGCCACACTCTGGGTCTGGTAGTTAAAGATCAACCCCTGACCTAATTGGTTATTTGCATAAGAAAAAGCACTGTGAAGATCCCTGTCCTGTTCTGTTCCATTCTAATTACCGGTACATGCAGCCCCCAGTCATGTACCCCCTGCTTGCTCAATCGATCACGACCCTCTCACGTGGACCCCGTTAGAGTTGTGAGCCCTTAAAAGGGACAGGAATTGCTTATTCAGGGAGCTCGGTTGTTGGAGACATGAGTCTTGCCGAAGCTCCTGGCCAAATAAAGCCCTTCCTTCTTTAACTCGGTGTCTGAGGGGTTTTGTCAGTAGCTTGTCCTGCTACACCTGTAATCCCAGCTACTCGGGAGGCTGAGGTGGGAGAATTGCTTGAACCCAGGAGGCAGAGGTTACAGTGAGCCGAGATTATGCCATTGCACTCCAGTCTGGGTAACAAGAGCAAAACTCCATCTCGAAGAAAAAAAAGTTTCTGAATGGGGAGCTGTTCTGGAGTATGCAGGAAGGATTGGGGTGGGAGGAGAACAAGAAGAGGAATACGTTTTAGCGATATTGCAGTTATTTCAGGTTAAAAGTGATAGAGTCAGGGGCTGAACCAGGATATCGGCCATAGAAGCAGAAAGGAAGGGGTATGTGTGAAAGAAATTAAGAAAGAAGATGTCAGGCCTCTGAGCCCAAGCTAAGCCATCATATCCCCTGTGACCTGCACGTATACATCCAGATGGCCTGAAGCAACTGAAGAATCACAAAAGAAGTGAAAATGGCTGATTCCTGCCTTAACTGATGACATTACCTTGTGAAATTCCTTCTCCTGGCTCAGAAGCTCCCCTACTGAGCACCTTGTGACACCCCACCCCTGCCTGCCAGAGAACAACCCCCTTTGACTGTAATTTTCCACTACCTACCCAAATCCTATAAAATGGCCTTATCCCTATTTCCCTTTGCTGACTCTCTTTTCAGACTCAGCCCACCTGCACCCAGATGATTAAAAATTTTTATTGCTCACATAAAGCCTGTTTGGTGGTCTCTTCACATGGACACGCGTGACATTTGGTGCCAAAACCCAGGATTATCCCTGATACCACACCTGACCCCTATGACTGTATATCTCTAATCCACCTGGCATTCACTCGATTTCCCCATATTTCCTTCTTTCCTGTTCCTCACCCTGATCATACTTGGTTTATTGATGGCAGTTCCACCATGCCTAATCACCATTCACCAGCAAAGGCAGGCTATGCTATAGTATCTTCGACACCTATCATTGAGGTTACTGCTCTGCCCCCCTTCACTACTGCTCAACAAGCCAAACTCATTTCCTTAACTTGAGCCCTCACTCTTGTAAAAGGACTACGCGTCAATATTTATACTGACTTTAAATATGCCTTCCATATCCTGCACCACCATGCTGTTATATGGGCGAAAAGAAGTTTCCTCACTACACAAGGGTCCTCCATCGTTAATGCCTCTTCAATAAAAACTCTTCTCAAGGTCGCTTTACTTCCAAAAAAAACTAGAGTCATTCACTGCAAGGGCCATCAAAAGGCATCAGATCCCATTGCTCAGGGCAGCACTTATGCTGATAAGGTAGCTAAAAAAGCAGCTAGTGTTCCAACTTCTATCCCTCATGGCAGTTTTTCTCCTTCTCATCAGTCACTCCCACTTACTTCCCCACTGAAACTTCCACCTATCAATCTCTTCCCACACAAGGCAAATGGTTCTTGGACCAAGGAAAATATCTTCTTCCAGCCTCACAGGCCCATTCTATTCCATCGTCATTTCATAACCTCTTCCATGTAGGTTACAAGCCGCTAGCCTGCCTCTTAGAACCTCTCAATTCCTTTCCATTGTGGAAATCTATCCTCAAGAAAATCACTTCTCAGTGTTCCATCTGCTATTCTACTACTCCTCAGGGATTGTTCAGGCCCCCTCCCTTCCCTACACATCAAGCTCGGGGATTTGCCCCCACCCAGGACTGGCAAATTGGCTTACTCACATGCCCCAAGTCAGGAAACTAAAATACCTCATGGTCTAGGTAGACATTTTCACTGGCTGGGTAGAGGCCTTTCCCACAGGGTCTGAAAATGCCACCGTGGTCATTTCTTCCCTTCTGTAAGACATAATCCCTCGGTTTGGCCTTCCCACCTCTATACAGTCCCAGCTGTATACAATAACGGACCAGCCTTTATTAGTCAAATCACCCAAGCAGTTTCTCAGGCTCTTGGTATTCAGTGGAACCTTCATACCCCTTACTGTCCTCAATCTTCAGGAAAGGTAGAATGGACCAATGGTCTTTTAAAAACACACCTCACCAAGCTCAGCCTCCAACTTAAAAACGAGGACTCTGTCAAGGATAGAGACCAAAAACTCACCAATCAAGGAAGTAATTATGCTGAACCCCCTTGGGCACTCTCTAATTGGATGTTCTGGGTTCTCCCAATTCTTAGTCCTTTAATACCTGTTTTTCTCCTTCTCTTATTCAGACCTTGTGTCTTCTGTTTAGTTTCTTAATTCATACAAAACGGCATCCAGGCCATCACCAATCATTCTATATGACAAATGCTCCTTTTAACAACCCCACAATATTGCCCCTTACCACAAAATCTTCCTTCAGCTAAATCTCTCCCACTCTAGGTTCCCACACTGCCCCTAATCCCGCTCGAAGCAGCCCTGAGAAACATCGCCCATTATCTCTCCATACCACCCCCCAAAATTTTCACCACCCCAACACTTCAACACTATTTTGTTTTATTTTTCTTATTAATATAAGAAGACAGGAATGTCAGGCCTCTGAGCCCAAGCCAAGCCATCATATCCCCTGTGACCTGCATGTATACATCCAGATGGCCTGAAGCAACTGAAGAATCACGAAAGAAGTGAAAATGGCTGGTTTCTGCCTTAACTGATAACATTACCTTGTGAAATTCCTTCTCCTGGCTCAGAAGTTCCCCCACTGAGCACCTTGTGAGCCCCACCACTGCCCGCCAGAGAACGACCCCCTTTGACTGTAATTTTTCTTTACTTACCCAAATCCTATAAAATAGCCCCATCCCTATCTCCCTTCACTGACTCTCTTTTCGGATTCAGCCCACCTGCACCCAGGTGATTCAAAAGCTTTATTGCTCACATAAAGCCTGTCTGGTGGTCTCTTCACATGGACACGCATGACAGAGAACTTGTTAGGACTTAACATCAGGTGAAAATTATGAGGAAGATGGAAAAATTAAAGAGGGTATAAAGGTCTTAATCTGGAAAGTATGGTAGTATCATTTCCAGAAAAGGGAGATGATTTTTAGATATAAATTGGTAACCTGACTTTGAACACATTGATTTCAATTAGAGTGGACCATCTCAGTGAAACTGTCTACTAAGCAGTTGCAAGTGGAGGATGGGTAAATAGTGTAAACTCTAGGGGAACAGAAGAATGCAGAATCTTTTGTGTGGAAAGACTCATCTTTTGTGGGTAAAGGAGGAAGGGAGCCATTGAAGGAGAAGGAGGAGAGGTTTGATATGTGGGAAGAGAAGTGACATAGAAAGTAGCATCACATAAGTCAAGAGAGGAGATAGATTCAAGCCAGGGGATGGGAAGTGGTCAAAAATGAGGAGAAAAGCTTGAGGCAGTAGATATCTGTGGGGGGCACTCCTGCTCTCCTGACCTCCCTGCTTCTGGATGATATATCAGAAGGTACTACTTCTATGATTCTATGATACGTTTTTATAACACCACACTAATTCTGACACCAAATGTGTTTGTGGTTTATTCCCCAAACACCAACCAATTCTTCAACTCTCCAGATGCAAACTGGATGTCCTACCATTTAATTCAATTCTGATACTAATTACCAGGAGTTAGTACAGGCCCCACAGGTTAAGGACTCATTCCCAAAAGACTGCCCTCACTTTAGATTCCAGTCAAAAGCCTGGGTAACCTGTACTTCTGTCAATGAAAAGAGTCAAACTCTGTAAAATATTGGAAGAGATTTATTCTGAGCCAAATGTGAGTGACCAATGGCCTGTGACACAGCCCCAGGAGACCTTGAGAACATGTGCCCAAGGTGATCAGGCTACAGCTTGGTTTTATACATTTTAGGGAGATGTAAGACATCCCTCAGTACATGCAAGATGTACATTGGTTCAGTCTGGAAAGGCGGGGCTACTTGAAGTCGGGGGGAAGTGGGGAGGGGATTCCAGCTTATAGGTAGATTCAAAGATTTCCTGATTGGCAATTGGCTGAAAGAGTTAAATTATTGTCTAAACACCTAGAATCAATAGAAGGGAATGTCTGGGTTAGGATAGGGGTTATGGAGACTGATATTTCTACTATGCAGAGGAAGCCTCTAGGTAGCAGGCTTCAGAGAGAATAGATCATAAATGTTTCTTATCAGAGTTGATTCTCTCCTGGATCAGGAAAAAGAAGGAATGGGGATTCTCTACAAAATGTAGATTTTTTCCTCACAAGAGACAGCTTTACAGGGCCATTTCAAAATACGTCAAAAAATATAATTTTGGGGGTAAAATACTTCAATTTCTTTCAGGCTGCTATTTGTCATGTGATGCTATACTACAGTCAGGCTGAAATTTGGTGTCTTATTGCTACAAAGAGTCTGTTTTGTCTGGCTTGTCTGTCTTAAGATCTGTTTTAATGTTAATGCTGGTCAGCTGTGCCTGAATTCCAAAAGGGAGGATGGTATAATGAGGCAAGTCCAACTCCCTCTTCGCATCATGGCCTGAACTAGTTTTTCAGGTTAACTTTGGGTAATGCCCTTGGCTGAGAGGAAGGGTCCATTCAGATGGTTGAGGGGCTTTGAATTTTATTTTTGGTTTGCATAACCAACCACTTATAAAGTCAGGGGGTTCCCACAATTCCCCTTTGGATTGTATAATTTGCTAGAAAGTCTCACAGAACTCAGGAAGACACATTACTACTACTGGTTTGTTATAAAGGATATTATAAAAGATACACATGAACAACCAGATGAAGAGGTACATAGGGTAAGGTTGGGAAGGGTTCTGAGCATAGATGCTTCTGTCCCTGTGGAGTTTGGGGTGTGCCACCCTCCCAGCACATGGATATATTTACCAACCCAGAAGCTTTCTGGATCCACAAACCCCACTTATGGTTTTTATGGAGGTTTATTGGGGCATGATTGATTAAAGCATTGGACATTGGAGATAAACTTAATCTCTAGCCCCTCTGCCTCCCCATAGGTTGGGACTAGGGGTGGTGCTGAAAGTTGCAACCCTCTAATCACTTGGTCTTTCTGCTGACTCACCCCCAACCTGAAGTTATCTAAGAGCCCCAGCCACCAGTCATCTCATTGGCATAAACTCAGGTATGATTAAAAGGAGCTTATTATGAATGATGAAGATGCTCTTCTTATACCTATCCTTCAGGAATTTACAAGGGTTTTAAGAGCTCAATGCCAGGAACCAGAGATGAAGACCAAATATGTATTTCTTAGTGTATCATCATATCACAAAGTGTTCTAGGGTCTTAGAGAAAGAGGGTAGCTCTGTGGAGTCAAGATTGTAGGTCTTGGATTGATAACTTTACTCAAAACCTCACAAATAAATCTTAATCATGGTCAGTAGCAACATCCTTGAAGATGGCAATTCTATCATTTTATTTTTCACATCATTGTCAGCATCATCTGGAACCGATATTTACTGACCCTCAGTTGGGTGCAAATACAGAAACACAGTCTTGGCCAGGTGCTGTGGCTCATTTCTGTAATCTTAGCACTTTGGGAGGCCAAGGCAAGAAGATTACTTGAGCGCAGGAGTTCAAGACCAGCCTGGGCAATATAGTGAGATCTCATCTCTACAACAAATTTACAAATTAACTGGGCATAGTGGTGAGCACCTGTAGTCCCAGCTACTCAGGAGGCTGAGGTGGGAGGATCACTTGAGTCTTGGGGGAGGAGGTTGCAGTGAGCTGAGATCATGCCACTGCACTCCAGCCTGAGCAACAGAGCGAGACCCTGTCTCAAAAAAAAAAAAAAAAAAAGGAGGGGGGTAATTAAGGACTCACTTTTTTTTCCATTTCTCCAGTGGAAGCCATCCCCAGTGGAAGCTTCATTCTCAGGGAGGTAGCAAGATGGCTGTAGCACTTCCAGATCGCAACAGAAGCATGACTATTTTGAGGAAAAAGAGAGACCACCTCGTCCTGTAGGTCTCTCCTAAGAGCAAGAGAACTTCATGGAAGCTTTCCAGCACATTTCCCCTCATGCCTCATCTGCCAGAATTAGGTCACATGCAAATACCTGAAGCAATCATTTAGAACCATTCCTGACAGTTTCCTCCAACATACTTGGCTAAACAGATGGGTCCCTGAACAAAACTGTGGTTCTGTTAGGAAGCAAAAAGAGGGAATTGGACTCTGGGTGGGACCCTGGGTGGAGGGTACATTGCTTATCAGTTTCTAGGACTACAAAGACATGTTTACTTAGGATCCCTATTTGAAAGAGGCTTTTAATCTAGTTGTGGGTAGACACACCAAAAAATGACAAAAGAATGTTTAGTAAGGTTCTAAACACACAGTAGGCACCTAAAAATATTCACTGAATGAATGAACACATACTAATATTACACCTTGGGTGCTAAGTGAATAACACAGCTATGCCACAGAGGCTCAGAAGAATGACTGCTCAAGAAGTTCTAGTGCAATGATTCATCAAATTTCACGAGGTCTTGTGACAATGCAGATACCCAGGCCACAACCTCCAAAACTTGGATTCAGTGTTTTCATGGACTGCAGATTTAACAAGAATTTCAGTACAACCTCCATTAGTGTTAGGGAAGGTAGCTGCAGCGTGTGGTTAGGGTAAATAGGTATTGTTTCCCCACTCCCAAAATCATTTAATAAATCATCAAATTAAAGACCTACGAGTTTACCTTCTGATATTTGTAAAGTGATTGCTAAGATCCAAAAAATAGTGTTTGGCTGGGTGCGGTGGCTCACGCCTGTAATCCCAGCACTTTGGAAGGCTGAGGCGGGCAGATCACAAGGTCAGGAGCTCGAGACCAGCCTGACCAACATGGTGAAACCCCGTCTCTACTAAAAATATAAAAATTAGCTGGGCGTGGTGGTGCGCACCTGTAATCCCAGCTACTCAGGAGGCTGAAGTAGGAGAATCGCTTGAACCCGGGAGGGGGAGGTTGCAGTGAGCTGAGATCATGCCACTGCACTCCAGCCTGGGTGACACAGAGAGACTCTATCTCAAAAAAAAAAAAAAAAAGTGTTTAATAGTTCTTTTTTTTTTTTCTTTTTTGAGATGGAGTCTCACTCTGTCGCCCAAGCTGGAGTTCAGTGGCTCAATCTCGGCTCACTGCAACCTCCGTCTCCTGGGTTCAAGTGATTCTCCCACCTCAGCCTCTTGAGTAGCTGGGATTACTGGTGCCCGCTACCATGCCCAGCTAATTGTTGTATTTTTAGTAGAGACGAGATTTCACTGTGTTGGCCAGGCTGGTCTTGAACTCCTGACTTCAGGTGATCCACCTGCCTTGGCCTCCCAAAGTGTTGGGATTACATAGGTGAGCCACCACGTCCAGCCTGTATTTAGTAGTTCTTATCAAAGAACCATATGTACAAAGGATTGTACAACTTTTCCCTTCTGGGCCTAAATAGTTATTGACTGATGAAAAGGTGAATTATATCTGAATAATGAAACAATATTTTCAGGTTTGAAGGTATTTGCTTTATTTTAGAATACAATCCCTTAAAATTATCAAGTTGCTCTTTGATAACAAATGGAAAACATTTTCTCATATTTATTGTTCCCTAACACCAATTTATTCCATTGGATTTCTTCATAGTTTATAGTACCCAGCAACCTTATAGCTGTAGAGAGAGACTATTCTTTCCTCCTGGATTGCCAAATTTTTGTTTATTGACAGAAAACTGGCCAGGCACAGTGGCTCACCCTCCTTTTTACACTGTCTTGCTTCTGGTGAAGTTTCCCATAGATATGCCACTGGCATTCTCCAATTAACCCAGCTGACAAAGACTGGGACCAAGTCTGTTTAATTTGTCAAATATGGCCTTATTAAGGTGACTATAAACAAGAATCCACAAAGCAGGAGGAAGCTATTTGTGGCACTGACCTCAAATATGCCTGTCAGAGTCTCAGAATCAACTCCTTGAACAAATTCAAGAAGCCACCAAGGCTTCATTTAAGAAGAGTCAGGGAGTGGGATCTTTCCTTAAGTTTCTGTACTGACCTTTTCCCTCAGTCCAAGACATTAATGTAGGCATGACAGAATGTATTAATAATTGTACAGACCCCTCCGCCTTGACCCACAAGGAAGAAGTTTAAAGCAATTGTATTACGTATAACACACCTGGCTACTCAGTTGAGGCAAATGCGAATACTTCAAGGGCAAAGCTGGTATCACTGATCACTTCAGCTAAAGTCAGGGGCAAATTTTGTTCTGCTTCTTCTAATGGGATGACTTCCACTGCAGCAACAAGTGGCCACTGATAGTGGATAAATAACAAGCCTGTTATCACTTTGGGGAGTTCCTCCAGGTAATCAAAGGAAGCTTCATTTTGGAGAAATCTCCACAATCATCTGAGGGCTATGTGAGCTACTAGTGGTGTACACTTGAAGGTTTTTTATGATGACTTACAAGGTATAAGTCACTATATTTTGGGGAGAGAGTCAAGATAATGCCTGCCTTCCATACTGTCCTGGGATGCACAGGGCAGCTCTGGGAACAAAGTGTTGTTTAAAGGTCCGGGCACGGTGGCTTGTGCCTGTAATTCCAGCATTTTGGGAAGCCAAGGTGGGAGGATTGCTTGAGGTCAGGAGTTTGAGACCAGCCTGGGCAACATAGTGAGACTCCATCTCTACCAAAAAAATAAAAATAAAAATCAGCCGGGTGTGGTGGTGCATGTTATAGCTCCTCAGGTGGCTCAGGGGAGAGGACCCCATGAGCACAGGAGTTTGAGGCTACAGTGAGCTATGATGGCACCAGTGCACTCCAGCCTGGCTGACAGAGTGAGACCCCATCTCTAAAACAATTTAAAATTAAAATTAAAAAAAAGAAAATGTTGTTTACAATTCTTAGCATCCCCCAAATGAGACTTATACCATTCGGTGGGCACAGATCGACAGTAACACCAACATGACCTCTGGGTCAGCTGTTAAATCAAAAGTTCTAAGGTCACTTTAAATAACTGAATCTAATCCTTATTTATGGAGGAACTGCCTGAGGGCAGTCAGCCCAGACTCTCCTGTTTGTTCATGTCACCAGCAGGGTGACATTGTCAACCCCATGGAATGACTGAGCAATAGCGATAGGAATAAGGCTGAGGAAGACATCTGGAGGTATTGACAGGGATTTGCATGGGAGGTGCAGGAGCTGGGGCTATCCCCTGCTGTTTTGGATAGGCTTCTTGGTAAGATTAAGAGGAGTGATGATCAAACTGTGGTCACAGCCATCTGGCAAGAGATGGCTGACCCAGCAGTGAGTTAAATTTAAGGTGCTTCTCCTAAGGTGCAAGTTTAGGAGAATCACACTAAGATGTTTTCCTTCCTGAAGAAAGCTCTGGTGATGATTTCAAAAGACAATGATCATTAAGGTCTCCCTCCCCAGTCCTGGCTGAGGTCTAAGGTGTTGTTTTCCAGATGCTGGGGTTGTTGTTCTCAAACTGTGCTTAAGATGAGTATTCATTATTTCTGTTGGTAATTTTTTTTTTTTCAAGATAGGCTCTCACTTTGTCACCCAGGCTGGAGTGCACTGCCAGGAACACGGCTCACTGCAGCCTCAACCTCCTGGGCTCCAGTGATGCTCCCACCTCAGTCCCCAAGTTGCTGGGACTATAGGTGCCTACCACCACACAAGGTTTATTTTATTTTATTTAGTTTAGTTTAGTTTGGTTTTTTGAGATGGAGTCTCACTCAGTCACCCAGGCTGGAGTGCAGTGGCGCAATCTCGGCTCACTGCAAGCTCCACCTCCCAGGTTCACATCATTCTCCTGCCTCAGCCTCTCGAGTAGCTGGGACTACAGGCACCCGCCACCGTGCCCGGCTAATTTTTTGTATTTTTTTTTTTTTAGTAGAGACGGGGTTTCACCATGTTAGCCAGGATGGTCTCCATCTTCTGACCTCGTGATCCGCCCACCTCAGCCTCCCAAAGTGCTGGGATTACAGGCGTGAGCCACCGCGCCAGCTAAAGGTTAATTTTTATATTTTTTTGTAGACACATTGTTTCACCATGTTGCCCAGGCTGATCTTGAACTCCTGAGCTCAAGTGATCAGCCTGCCTCAGCCTCCCAAAGTGCTGGGATTACAGGCATGAGCCATCAAGCCTGGCCTCCTGTTGATAATTTTTTAACCACACCCTCCCCTTTAGTAAATCAGTTGCCCTATGTATCGTTAACTATTTTGAAAGACATATGTTTGTACATTCAGGAATTAGGTGTAACAACACATGGGGGACTAAAGGGATGCTGCTTATAATCATTAAATACAGTGCATCAGTGTTTTGTGTTTTTTTTTCTAGAGACAAGTTCTCACTCTGTCACCCAGGGTGGAGTGCAGTGATACAGTCATAGCTCACTGCCACCCCCACCTCCTGGGCTCAAGTGATCCTCCTGCCTCAGCCTCTGTAATAGCTGAAACTATAGGTGTGCACCACTATGTCTGGCTAATTTTTTAATTTTTAGTAGAGACAAGGTCTTGCTATGTTTCCCAGACTGGTCTCAAACTCCTGGGCTCAATCTTCCCATTTTGTTCTCCCAAAGTGCTGGGATTACAGGCGTGAACCATCTTGCCCTGTCAGTTTTTTTCTTTTCATTTCTTTTTTCTAATCAGATTGGTACATTATAACTACTAAATACTAACTTCCAGTTCTGTCACTTTTAGACTATTTGGTGTAAATAAGATGAAAATTAGATTTAGTCCAGAGGCGACTACTTCTTAGTATAGCACAGTACTAAGAATTGTTCAAAATCTTTCTCACTGTGTCATTTAAGCAAAGTAAAAAGTAGTAATAAAGGGAACAAAATCCTGAAATGAAGGCGGGAGAGCAGAACTAATTTTTTAAGAAAATAACTTCCTATTTCTATGAACATTTGCTGCTCCTAAGATTTCATACCATTTCTAAGGATGCAATGACAAAAATGATGATTTCTATTAGTTCAAGGACCGACACTATGAGGACCAGAGGAAAGGAACTGACAGGTTTAACCACTCAGACAACACAGTACCTCTTCCCTTCCTCATCCTCTGTCATAAAATGTTTGAAATCTGGTCTTTCATTTGGTTGTGAAATCTATTCAGCTACCCTTACTGAATGCTTACCAGGTACAATGCATATTCAGGACTCTCTGGTACAGGGTGGTCTTGATGAGGCTGATAAAATATAATGCAAGTGGAATTAGCTAAATGCCAAAACATGCCATGAAAATTCAGAGTATAAAAGGAGTATGTCTGAGAGACAATAAAATAAATAAATGAATAAATAAGAAAAAGAAAAAGAAAAAAAAGGAGGCCGGGCACGGTGGCTCATGCCTGTAATCCCAGCACTTTTGGAGGCCAAGGTGGGTGAATCACTTGAGGCCAGGAGCTTGAGACCAGCCTGGCCAACATGGTGAAACCCCGTATCTACTAAAAATACAAAAAAAAAAAAAAAAAAAAAAGAAAGAAGTGAGAAGAGGCTTTACATCACAGAGGACATGGGGTCATGCTAAAGCATGGCCCAAGGGACCCAGACAGCCTTGGTTTAGAATTCATACCTGCCACTTACTAACTTACTGAGCCCATAGCACAGGTTGCATAAGTGCATGAACATGAATAGAAATATTCTAGAAGAGGCCGGGCGCGGTGGCTCACACCTGTAATCCCAGCACCTTGGGAGGCCGAGGTGGGTGGATCACCTGAGGTCAGGAGTTTGAGACCAGCCTGACCAATATGGTGAAACCCTGTCTCTACTAAAAATGCAAAAATTAAGACCGGGTGTGGTGGCGTGTGCCTATAATCTGAGCTACTCGGGAGGTTGAGACAGGAGAACTGCTTGAACCCGGGAGGTGGAGGTTGTAGTGAGCTGAGATCGTGCCACTGCACTCCACTCTGGGCCAAAGAACGAGACTCCGTCCCAAAAAAAAAAAAAAAATTCTAGAAGGATGTGCCCAAGTGATTTTTCCTGAGTGGTAGAATAATGAGTGATGTTTATATCTTCTTTTTGCTTGTCTATACTTTCCAATTATTAAACAGTTAATAAGTATTAATTGTTAAAACAAGAATAAAGAAAAACATTGTTTAAAAAGCTGGTATTCACTGCTTGAACCAGGCAGGTGGAGGTTGTAGTGAGCTGAGATCGTGCCACTGCACTCCAGTCTGGGCCACAGAACGAGACTCTGTCCCAAAAAAAAAAAAAAAAAAAATTCTAGAAGGATGTGCCCAAGTGATTTTTCCTGAGTGGTGGAATAATGAGTGATGTTTATATCTTCTTTTTGCTTGTCTATACTTTCCAATTATTAACCAGTTAATAAGTATTAATTGTTAAAACAAGAATAAAGAAAAACATTGCTTAAAAAGCTGGTATTCACTGCTTGAACCAGGCAGGCGGAAGTCGCAGTGAGCCAAGATCTCGCCACCACACTCCAGCCTGGGAGACAGAGCGAGACTCCATTTCCAAAACAAAACAACACAAAACAAGACAAAACAAAAAAAGCTGGTATTCACTAAATACTTGACATTTATTGATATAACAATTTCTGTTTCTAGTCTTCTCGGCAAGGGACTCAATCTGTAGAAACGTGTGACCATGTCAAGTCAGAAATTCACTATGAGGCTGGCATATAGGAGCGGATCTCCTAGCTAGTGAGTGAACCTGAGGTGGGAGGCGGGACTCGACTCCAGAGGCAGGGCTCCGAATCGGATGGAGGACTACCTAAACCAGGGCAGGGGCAAAAGCAGCTTTCAGTCAGACACACCTACCAGTGTGCCATGTCAATTTACCACTGCCATGGGAACAGCCGGGAGTTACCACCTCTTTCCACGGCAATGACCTAATGACCTAACAGTTACTACCCTTTCCCTAGAAATTTCCTCAAAAACTGTTCCTTAATCTGAATGCCATTAAAAGTGGGTATAAATATGACCCAAACTGCCCTACTCTGTCTACTGGGTAGCCTCACTCTGCAGGAGTAGTCACCAAACTGTAACAATGCCTCTTCAATAAAGCTGTTTTCTTCTACCTCTGGCTTGCCCTTGAATTCTTTCCTGGGAAAAGCCAAGAATCCTCATGGGCTAAGCTCCACTTTGGAGCTTGCCTGCCCTGCATCAAACCTAGCTGACATCTCAAAGTGGCGATGTGACTACAATTTATTATATGATTCAATTTTATTCTCATAACAATAGAGGTAGATATTATTGTCTCACCTTACAGATTAAAAAACTGAGGGTATTATACATTATGCAGTAAGTCATGAATTTGGGAATCTGAGAGTGTTATAAGTCAAGTACCAGGTTTCTCAGCATGAGCACGGTTGACATTTTGGATCAGATAATTCTGTTTGGGGTCTGTCCTGTGCATTTTAAGACGTTTAGCATCATTCCTGGCCTTTACCCACCAGGTACTAGTGGCATCCCTACCCTTAGGCTGTGACAACCAAAAATGTCTCAGACATTGCCAAATGTCCTCAGGTTGAGAATCATGGGTCTAGTATATTCTATTCATTACCCTTGAGCAATGAACTCCGAAAATTCAAGATATAAACCTCAATACCATTTTCAACACTTCACCTTCACAGGGGCTTAGTTCTTAATGAAATCTTTAATAAATGGTGTTGATGATGAAAACAAACATAAATAATGATGTAATAAACATATTTTGCATAAATACTTTTCTATCTTTTGCATGATTAACATTCTAATGACAGTCAAATGGAACAAACATTTTAAAGGCCTCTCATTCATACTGTTAATTGCTGACCAAAGAGTTGTACCAATTTACATTTCTACTAGTAGTGTAAGAGTCTATCTTACCACACCCTCACCAGCATTGGCTATTATGTGTATATTTCTATCTTTGCTAATATGAGTTATTTCTATTTATTTTAATATTTGTGTTTATAAAATTTTGTATTGTTCTTATTTATATTTTTGAGCACTAGTAAGAGTGAATATTCCCCGTATGTTATAGCCAATAGCACTTCTTTTTTTCTTAACTGTTTTGTGCTTTTTGCTCATTTGTCTTTTGGATGGTCTTAGTATTGTTCCTTTTTTTTTGAGACAGAGTCTTGCTCTGTCACCCAGGCTGGAGTGCAGTGTCGCTATCTTGGCTCATTGCAACCTCTGCCTCCCAGGTTCAAGCAATTCTCATCCCTCAGCCTCCTGAGTAGCTGGGATGACAGGCATACACCACCACACCTTAATAATTTTTGTATTTTTTAGTAGAGACAAGGTTTTGCAATGTTGGCCTGGCTGGTCTTAAACTCCCGGCCTCAAGTGATCCGTCTTCCTTGGCCTCCCAAAGTGCTGGGATTACAGGCATGAGCCACCGTGCTCAGCCCTTAGTATTGCTTTTATCAATTTGTTCAAGCTCTCTGTATATTATAACCTGGATAGCATATATGTCTACAAAAGAATTTTGCATAAAGGCATTTGAGCGTAGACTTTATTAAAGCTCTGGGAAGATGGCAAAGGATTTAAATCACAGCAACTGAAGTAAGCTCAAATTGAGTTCTAAATATTCCTCTTTTTATAAGTCCCTTGTCATTTGTCTTTCTCTTTTCTCTTTCTTTCCTTCTCTTCCCTATGCCTCTCTCCCATCTCTTCATTCTCCAATTTCTGTTGCTTTTCAGTGGAAACTAGCTCAAGTTATTTCTTTGGTCTTTGCCTCCATTTAACCATACTCTCAGTTTTTCTTCCACCCTAGTGGAAGATATTAGTTTATCAAGGTATTTTCTTAAACAAGGACACTTAGTTTCCTAAGGGAAATGCCAGTAACAACTTTCAAGATATCTTGACTATTATACCAGAGTGAAAAAGAGTTCTGAATCCTGTTGCCCTATTTGCTTCAAATACTTTCTCCACTTTGTTTAACTAATGGATACTAGGCTTAATACCTGGGTGATGAAATAATCTGTACAACAAACCTCCTTGACACAAGTTTACCTATGTAACAAACCTGCGCACGTACCCCTGAACTTAAAATAAAAGTTAAAAAATATTTAAAAAATTAAAAAAAGAAAACAGTAATCAAAAAACAAAATAATTGGTTGCTGGTATGATTCCATCCTGCACAGCTGTTCTCTGGAGCGTGGTTGTTTACCTCTGCCTGGCTTCTCTCCTACCTAAGTGCTTGCCGCCACCCATGGAAGATTTGACGGACATGGACATCAGCCTCCTGAGGCCCCAGAACTATCTTTTTGGTTGTGACTAGAGGCCAACAAAGATTATCACTTTAAGGTGGATAATGATGAAAATGAGCACAAGTTATCTTTAAGAATGGTCAGTTTAGGGGCTGGTAGAAAGGATGGATTTTATATTGTTGAAGCAGAAGTAATGAACTATGAAGGCAGTCCAATTAAAGTAATACTAGCAACTTTAAAAAGGTATGTACAGTCAATGGTTTATCTTGGGGGCTTTGAAATAACATTGCCTGTGGCCTTACACTCAGTGTGTTTCAGGGCCTGGGCATATGAGTACACAGCACTTAACAGGTATGAAGGAAGATACAAAGCAGGACATGAAGAGGAGGGAGATGTGAGACTTTTCAGTATATCTGGAAAGTGATCTGCCCCTGGAAGTGGGTACATTTCTACAAGAAAAAAATAAAACTTCTTGCTGATGAAAATCATGATGATGATGAAGAGGAAGAACATTTTGATGAAGGGAAAACTGAAGAAAAAGCTCTAGTGATGAAATTTATACAGGATACTCCATCCAAAAAATGCACAAAGATCAAACCAAAATAAAAAAGACTCAGAACTATCAAGATTAAGACCAAAAGGTCAAGAATCCTTCAAAAACAGGGGGAAAAAACCTCTTAAAACACCAAAAGGACCTAGTTTTGTAGAATATATTAAAAGCAAAAATGCAAGCAAGTATAGAAAAAGTTGGTTCTCTTCCCAAAGCTAAGTGCATCAATTATGTGAAGAATTACTTCTGGATGACCAACTAGGAGGCTATTCACCATCTCTGGCAGTGGAAGAAGTCTCTTTAAGAACACAGTTTAGGCCAAGCGTGGTGGCTCATGCCTGTAACCCTAGCACTTTGGGAGGCCAAGGTGGGCAGATCACTTGAGGTCAGGAGTTCAAAACCAGCCTGGCCAACATGGTGAAACCTTGTCTCTCCAAAAATAAATAAATAAATAAATAAAAATACAAAAAATTTGCCAGGCGTGGTGGTGGATGCCTGTATTCCCAGCTACTTGGGAGGCTGAGACAGGAGAATCGCTTGAACCTGGGAGGCAGAGGTTGCAGTGAGCAGAGATCACGCCATTGCATTCCAGCATGGGCAACAGAGTGAGACTCTGTCTCAAAAAAAAAAAAAAATAGTTTAAACAGCTTGTTAAAATTTTCTTTCTTCTTTTTTTTTTTAAATCTTTTAACCCAATAGTTCTTTTAGAGAAAAAAATTACCTGTCATTTCGTTAATAGTTCTTTTAGAGAAAAAAATTATCTGTCATTTCATTTCTGTAACAGTTGATATCTAACTGTCCTTTTTACAATTCAGAGTGAGAAGTTCCCTAGCACGTTGGATAAATATTGTCCAGGTTCCATTGCCAAAAATGTGTTGTCCAAAATGCCCCTGTAGTTTTTAAAGATGAAACTCCATCGTTTGCTTGTTTTTTTTTTTGAGACAGAGTCTTGCTCTGTCACTCAGGCTGGAGGGCAGTGGCACTATCTTGGCTCACTGCAGCCTCTGGCTCCCAGGCTCAAGCAATTCTCCTGCCTCAGCCTCCCAAGCAGCTGGGATTACAGGCATGCACCACCACACCCAGCTAATTTTTGTATTTTTAGTAGAGATGGCATTTTGCCATGTTGGTCAGGAAGGTGTCAAACTCCTGGCCTCAAGTGATCTGCCCACCTCAGCCTCCCAAAGTGCTGGGATTACAGGTGTGAGCCACCACGCCTGGCTCTTTGCTTGGTTTTCAGTATATATGTATGTATGGAATATTATGATAGGACATAGTAGTAGCTGTGGTCAGACAAATGGAAATGGTGGGAAGACAAAAATATGTAACTGAAATAAGCTCAATATTTTAATAAAGGAAAAAATAAATTTTTTCCCCGGAAAAAGTTGTAAGAAAAAAATAAATCTTCTCCCATGCATCTTAGGAGTGCTTTAAACTTAGATGTTTGGAGATGAGTAGTCTTTAGATAGGTGGAAATGGAGGAAAAGGTGTGACATGCCCATGGCTACCTAGTATGCTTCTATGCATAGTACAGTTTTTAAAAAGTGAGTTGCTTCTCTGTAAAAACATATTACTTTACTATTAGAAACCACTGGAGAGCAATCATGCCCTGCTTATATTAAACATCTTTGCTAGATTTTTATTTGATTTTTTGAGATGGGGTCTTGCTCTGTTGCCCAGGCTGGAGTGTATGGTGCAATTTTAGCTCACTGCAGCCTCGAACTCCTGGGCTCAAGGGGTCCTCCCACCTCAGCCTCCCGAGTAGCTGGGACTATAGGCATGCACCACCATGCCCAGCTATGTTTCCTAAATTTTTAAGTGAGATACATTAAACCTCATAAAAATTAGAGCTAACATTTATTGAACACTCTGTTGTACTGCCTCCCAAGTATAACATGGTAATTAAAACACTGGAGGCCAGGCACGATGGCTCACCCCTGTAATCCCAGCACTTTGGGAGGGCCAAGTGGGCAGATCACTTGACCTCAGGACTTGGAGACCAGCTTGGCCAACATGAGGAAAACCCGTCTCTACTAAAAATACAAAAATTAGTTGGGTGTGATGGTGCACGCCTGTAGTCCCAGCTACTTAGGAGGGCAAGGCACAAGAATCGCTTGAACCCGGGAGGTGGAGTTTGCAGTGAGCTGAGATCGCACCACTGCTCTCCAACCTGGGCGACAGGGCGAGACTCCATCTCAAAAAAAACCCCAAAACTAAAAAAAAAACCCCAAATGTTGGAAAGTTGCGCGAGGTATAATTCAGTTTAGAAATTAAGAATCCAAGACAAAAAGTCTGCCTCAGGACCACACACAAGCACGAAGAAACCAAGATAGTTCAAGCATGGACCTTAAAACTGCACTGTCTAAGGCTGTTGTCACTGGTCTCATGTGGCTATTTAAATTTTAATTAAAGTGAAATAAATTTTAAAATTCAGTTACTAAGTCACACTAACCATATTTCAAGTGCTCAATGGCTCCATGTAGCTAGTGGGTACTGTACAGACAGCACAGGATAACATTTGCATCATGGCAGAAAGTTTTAGTGGACCTAACCAAAAAAAAAATGCCTTTAGGCTCATTTCGTGATGGCAGATAAAAGCCTCTGGAATTCTGATAAGTTTCTGAAGCCATGTTATAGAACTGGTTATTGTAATTGCATGAACTTCATCCAAAACTGGTGAAAGCGTCAGGTTGGGGATAGTCTGGTGGTTGTTACTTTCTGTCCAACCTAATACTGAGGCTCTGAGAAATTCTGTGGTGAATTTCTGTAGGGGGACACAGCAGAAAAGGCATAGTATAGGTCAGAAAACCTGGGTCCTATAATACATAGTAATAATGACGACCATTTACTGGTTGTTTCCTATGTACCAGGCACTGTGCTAACCACAGGCTTCATTTAATCCTCACAATACCTGTGTAAGGTATTATTACCACCACTTTGCATGTGAACAGGCTGAAATTCAGAGGAGTAAGGTCACACAACTAGTAAGTAGGAGAGCCTGGATTCAACACCTGGTATCTATTCCCTTGCGCTGAACAACTCCGTGCCCTCACTTTCTTCATCTGTAGATCTAAAAGGATTAAATTAGAACATCTCAAAATTTCTACTACTTCTAAAACTCTGTGTTCTAAATTAGGACATTACTATCTATCTCCCCAAGCTAATGAAATAAGCAGGGTTCCTGGGAGGAGCTTGTTACCTATTTTTCTCCAAAGGAGATGCTTTCCCCTGTCTATGCCTCTGTCCTAAAACCTTTGGTTTCCCACTATCTAATGTGGTTTCAACTATCTATGAGGCGCTTTCGTGGCAAGGAGTGATTCTCTCCAGTAGGCAATCCTAAGAACGAGCGCAGTGCTTGGCGCACAGTAAATGCTCCATGGACCATTTATGAAATTAAGTCTAAGTGGACTTCAGGAAAATGTGAATCTGCTAAAATGAACTACTAGCCAGTATACTAGGTAGAAAACCCAGCTGACGAAGAAAACCCCAAGTGGAGAAGCCCTTGTAGGGGGTTGGAGACAATTTCTGACCCGCAGAAACCTGCAGTGGCGCTGACGTTTACAAGTGGTGGACAAAACGCCACTTGCAACACTGGAAGAAGCGGAAAACCCCACCCACTCTGGAACAACAGCGATCAGCCCCGAATATAGGGTCCCCTTGCCGCCCCGTAGCCTCCTAGTCCCGCCCCTCTCCCAAGGCCCGGCAGTGGCAGCGGCTGCGGCTGCGCAGTGGCGCGGGCGTAGGCGGAGCAGCGCGCGCCGCGGTCAGCTGACTGCTGGGCTGGCACGTGACTTGTTCTGTGTTCGCTTGGGTAGAGGAAGCCGTGAGGCCGGAGCTTAGGTCGGGAAGGGATGGATCGCTGAGCCGATAGCGTCCGCTAGGCTGTCTGCCTCGGTACCTGTTACTGCTGCTACTTCCTCGTTTGACACCTTCCTGGGTCAGTGAGCGATGGCTCTCCCCGGATGGGGAGTCCTGGTCAGGCCGAAGCATGAGCTCCGGTCGCTGCCTGGGAGGGACGCGGGTGGGTGCGGGGGCAGAGACCGTGGCGTTGGAGCTGGAGCTGGCTGGGTGGCTGTGTCTGGTTTCTCGGCGCCAATTCACCGTCTTGGGCCTAGGTTCCGTCTCTAAGGAAGAGAAGGAGGGAAAAAGAGAAAGAGCTCTCGTGGGTAGTTAATGACAGGCAGAAAGGAGAGATACAGCGGTCTGGGATCTTTCTTCTTGGGTAGGAATGCACGCCGCCTGATTGATTGAGGGGAATGAAGTGATAGGTCCAGGTGAGGCTATGGAGTGGTGTGTGTGAGGTCACAGCTAGCGCAAGTGCCTTCACTGGGTGTGTGTTGGGGGGGGCGCGGGTGTCGGGGGTCGGGGGTGGTGGGATGACAGTTTAAAGGCCTAGGAGCCCCTAACTGCAGGCAAGGAACCCTCACAGAGTACACAAGGTCCCTCTAGGAATGAGAAAGAACAGGAATCCAGAGAACTCAACTATTTTTTAGTAGAATGGGGGAGGGTAGGCAAACAAAACAGAACAAAACAAAACAAACCCCTAGAAAAGAACTTGGTGAGAGTCACATAAGGCATATTGAATCACTTGAGAAACAGGAGTAAGGGGGAAGCTAGTATTCTTTTCAGAGGAAAATTCTGGTATGTTAGGGAAAAATCACATGCTTCAGTGCGAGCCCAGTACTTAGCGCCGCTCTGGGAATGGAACGGGTGGGATGTGAACAGTCTATCCTTAGGAGTTAGCACTAACGTTGGAGAGAAAAGTCTACACACAGGACACGTTAAAATACGATGCAGTTTATGTATACTTACCAAAAAGAGAATGCGAAGTGCTTTGAAAGTGTGGAGCAACGACACATGTGTAAACTGGCACTATGGGAAGATATTCTGGAGGAAAGAAAACTTGAGTCTTGGCAAGCCCTCAGGATTTGAACAGGTTGAGAGAAATGGGGATAATTTTACAGGCAGGGAAAGCCACAGGATTTGAAAGCCTGAAGATGGGGGTAGGGAATGCTTCTGGTGGAGTCAGAAGTAGCTTTTACAGTGGATTGCACTGCGGAGAAGTGGGAAAGAAAGTTGGGAGTCAGGTAACGAGGACTTTTGAATGGTAGTCGTTTACTTATTCATGCAAATAATGTGTACTGAATACATGCTGTATGCAGGTACAGTGCTGATGGTAGGGTTTAGAAAATTGTCTTTATAGAGCTTACAGGCAAGCAGAGGGGATGGATTTTAAAAATCAAGCAAGCGTGAAATGTGCTTTGAAGGAATAACAGTGGTATGAAAGAGTGTAGTAGGGGCATGTGTATTATGGAAGATTTTAAAAAGGCATTGCTAAGAATATGACTTTTTAAAGATTAAAACAATTTTATTTATATTCTTCATACCCTCTCGCTCTGAGAGGGTATGACTTTTGACCTGAGATCTGAAAAGAGACTGAAAAGGGAATGTGAAGGTGTGAGTGAAAAGAACATTCCAGGCCTGGCAGGGTGGCTCGTGACTATAATCCCAACATTTTGGGAGGCTGAGGTGGGAGGATTGCCTGAGGCCAGGAGTTCAGGACCAGCCTGGGCAACATAGTGAGACCACCGTCTCTACCAAAAATAAAAAAATAACTAGCTGGGAGTGGTGGTGTGTGCTTGTAGTCCTAGCTGCTCGGGAGGCTGAGGCGAGAGGATCATTTGAGCCCAGTAGTTCGAGGCTGCAGTGAGCTGTGATCATGCCACTGCACTCCCTCCTGGGAAACAGAGCTAGACCCTGTCTCTGAAAAACGAAAAAGGAACATTTCAGGCTGAAGCAACAGCGTATGTCAAGGCCCTGAAATGTGAAGAGGAAGAAAGCTTTTCAGCCTTTTTGAAAGGCTAGCATGGCTGAAACGGGGAGGGAGAGAGGCAGGTGGAGAAAGCTGGGGTCACGCCAAGCAGAGCTTTTATTCTAAAAACAGAGGGAAGCCAGTGAAGATTACAGGCAGTGGATTGAGACAGGTTGTGGCTTTTTTTTTTTTTTTTTGGTGGGGGGGAGATAATGTGGAGGGTGGCAAAAGTGAATGAGGGGAGACCCGCTCAGGGGAACATTGTTGTAATCCACTGAAGGATTTGAAGACAAGATACCTTCTCTCTCCACTGAGGACTTCAGAATGTTTAACTGTATTCACTTTTAGAGGGTTCAGGACTTGGGGAAGGGAAAGAATGATTCGATTCTATTTGTACCCTTCACAGGGTAGTCGTAACTACCCTCGAGGCAGTCCTGAAGTACATAGCAGAGGCTCTTTTGCAAAAATTTGTTTTGGCTTTTCAAATTTATCCTTTTGTAAGGTCATCTATTTCAGAATATCTTTTATTGAAATATAGTTACAGGGAGGGATCACTTTCATATTTATTTTGTTCTCACAGTTCTTTGAAAGACAGTGGATGAAAATGCTATTCATTGTATAGATGGGAACCTGGAGCTAGAGAAACACGTAAAGTGATTTGGCTGAGTCCGGAGTAACTGCCACAGTTTTCTGACTGCTGATGTATTCCTGCTGATTACCTACACAGTACTAACCACAGTCACATCTAGAGAAAAGGGCGAGTTTTTTGAAGTGCACAGTAGTCTTTGATTCAGCATTTTTTTTTGGGGGGGGGGAACTTCTCCCTGAAGAGTCAGCACTTTTGATGAACTTTTTCTAGTAGAACAGCTTCAAAGGAATTGGCAGTGGTGGGCTATGTCTTATCTATAATCTTGGATAGAGCTGTTCAATTTACAGTTCATCTGGAGGAAATAATGAACAATAAGGTGAACTGAAAGTGCTCAGGTTGTCAATCACAGTTCTTTGGCAAAAAGTGAGTCTCAAATTATGCTGAAGACTGAGCCTCAGGGTTCTGTCTCAGAAGTCCTGGATCTTTTTCTCTTTTGGTATACCTTGTAGGGACTAGATAAAATCTAAAGAAACAGTACTCAGGATCTAACTAAATGCTGAGAGCTAGATAGTGTAATTCAGCTTTTAAAACTTGGCACAAAATACTCATTTTTATTTTTTTGGTATATTAGTCTTAGGAGCCTCATGTACATTAGTTTTTTCAACCTAAAAAGAAACTTCAGGGCTTCAAAAATCTGATTTTGTGATTATTTCCACAACTCACGAGATAATACCATTGGCCAACTGGAATGCCAAAGTAAACCTTTGCCAAAGGTCTCCATGTAGTTTACCCGTCCCTAAGCAGCAAGTCTTCTTTTGAACTTGGTTCTGCTTAGGAGTACTACAGTTTTGACTGAGTACCTCCTACTTAAAATTTTGCTCTTGTACATATTTAAATCTGTCTACAGGTTACATCTTTTTCACTCTTTGGGTGTGGAATTATATATCATTTATAAATTAATTCATGTTAGATTTCCATTTTTCATCAATTTTTAAAGACAGACATAGTATAAACATTAGCATAGTGCCCTTGGGACGCTTAGGCAGTGAACCAAGGCAGTCTAAAATTTCCTATTGACATGAGTGATTCTTGGAACTAGAAATTTCAAACTATATTCTTGATGCTGAAACAAAATTTTTTATCCAGCAGGACATCTACTTCTAAGATTATACCATGTGCAAATGTACTATGCGTTTATTGAGTTAAAAAAATGAGCCAGGTAGGCAGTGGAGGAGAGGTGCTTTGGTTACTATGCATTTATTGAGTTAAAAAATGAGCCAGGTAGGCAGTGGAGGAGAAGTGCTTTGGTTACATCGGGGATAAAAGAGTATTAACTGTATATCTAAAATGTGGGGTGTGTGTGTGTGTGTCTGTGTGAGTATGTGTGTGTATTTGAAAATAAAATGCTAGGTAAGTGATGTTTTATAGAAAGGGATCGATGGATCTTCTAAGATATTTTAAACAGACTATCAATGAATAGGAAGTTGTAAATTAAGGCGTGTTAACAGGTGGTTTAACTTTACCATGAAAGGTTTTCCTTTTGAATCAGCCCATAGTTTAGTGTTTCTATGTGGGTGCTATTGGCAGTTTGGAGGTCTGTTTCGCCCCTACCCACTAAATGCTGATTAGCGATCTCCACATTGGGACAACCCAAAATGCTCCCATACATTTCCAGACTCCTCCTGGAGGAGAGAGGCACCATTTGGTGCAAAACATGCATGTGGTGTCAGTTTATTTGTTGGACAAATATTAAGATGTTGAGGTTACAGAGGTTAAAAGTAATATTTTAATAAACTGCATATAATGGAATTCAAGTAATTTAAAATCTAGTGTTTGATGTTTTAATGTAACTCCTTTAGTGTAAAATTACTGAAACTATATCCTAATATTTCTTTGAGGCACTTGTCTTTTGTAAAACTGCATGAATAACTCAAATAGAGTCCCCTTAATCCCAATAAAATGTAGTCACTAAATGTCTTTGGGCAACTAATTTCACCAGCTGTTCCCTCATTTGCAAGTGGGGGTGGTGATAACACATCTTGTGAGGGAATTAAATACAAAATTGCTTTAGTAGATGCAAGTGCTTATCACTGGGCACAACATGTGGTACATATTCAGTGATAGTTGTTACCAGTAAACAGAATCTCAAGCTTACTTAGGGTCATGAGTTGGAGAAAACTAATCTTAAAGTCTTTAAGTTGGTGAATTTCAGGCCAAAATACATTGTATTGGAGATATCAGCACCTTCTAGCAGAATGTGGTACCGTGGTCCAGTCACTATTATAAATTGCCAGCCATGAAGAAAAGGGAAGTCATGTTTTGGGAGCCATGAGTGTAGATTCAGGGAATCCCCTGGCATGGAAGGAATTATTTGCCCACTGGGTCACCGCTGAGTTGCCTGTGCAGAGGAGGAGTCTCTAGAAGCTGAGAAGGTTTTGGTGATTACTTGCAGTAATGGGTGTACGACAGGGCCCTCCTGGCCATGTCTGCCAATTCAGTAGCTTTACCAGAAGTTACTAGAAATTTTCCAACATTGTATTATGTATTACATCCCCAGCCCCCACTCCACAATGTCACAGTGTGTTTCCAGTTTTTGTGATAGGTATCTGTGTGAAAGTAAGGCTTTGCTTTTACAGATTGCTTTCTAGGCAAATGTGGAATAAAAAAATTGTAGTTGATAAAATGAGTCTAATAAAGATTAAATTGCCTTTCATATTTAAGTATATTTATGGCAAGAAATTATGGTAGTTTTAATAGGATTATAGAGCATTTATGGGTATTGTTTCCATTGAAAACAAAACACGGAATATTTAAGATTTATTTAAGAAAGGCGGGGCTGGGTGTGGTGGCTCACGCCTGTAATCCCAGCACTTTGGGAAGCGGAGGCAAAGGGCGGGCGGATCACTTGATGTCAGGAGTTCAAGACCAGCCTGGCCAACATGGTGAAACCCTGTCTCTACTGAAAATACAAAAAATAGCTGGGCATGGTGGCTCGTGCCTATAATCCCGGCTACTCAGGAGGCTGAGGCAGAAGAATCGCTTAAACCCAGGAGGCAGAAGTTACAGTGAGCCGAGATCGCGCCAGTGCACTCCAGCCTGGGCAACAGAGTGAGACTCCGTCTCCAAAAAAAATAAAAAGGCATATTTTCTGACAGTTTTAAAATCTCATTTCGTATGAATCATGGACGTATTCCTTGAAAGGTAAAATCCCCCTTCTAGTTACTGAAAATGTTTAAACAAGTTGTATTATGAGCAAGCCCCTCCCACAATCCCAATTAAGATGCTTCTGTTTCGAAGGATAGAATTTTTACATTCAAAGAGGAAGCAGTTATTTTTACTTTTTATATGTATGGTGTTAGTGATTTCTAGGGTAGGATGTGGCAACTTTTTAACTGAGTGGATTGTGGTAAATGTTTCGCACAGATCAATTCTGTTAAAAGTTGATGTGCACATTTGGAAGGCTATGTGATATTTCACTGATAGCTGAGGTATGCCTTCTTGTGCTTCTTAAAATAAGCTGCTTTAGTAAACTTGGTATTTTCAAGTACTGAAAAGGAAGTTGTTTTGCATGGAGACCACCTTCTAGGCTTAATTTATTGTGAAATTTAATTTACTGTGAAAGGTGATTGCATTTCAGAGACCACGGTTTGGTTTTCTTGAAAGCATTGAAATCAGTTAAGTGTCGGAGCACTTAGTGGAGTGCGGTACTGTTTTCTGTGGTTGCCCCTATCTTGGGTCAATCCCATACCTTCCATTCACAGAAGCAGTGCCAGCAGATGTCTTGTTCAGGCTTATAACCAACCCCCCCTCACCTTTTATGTTGTAATAGTTATTGTTTTATTGTCTTTATATGCAAATCAATTGTGGTAGGAAAATAATCCATAGCCTTCAAACTCTCAGAAGTGGGAGATAAAGTAAATAAAATTAACAGTCCCATAGCTTTGGATCTAGGGTTTTTTTTTTTTCTCCTTTCCTCCCACTTTTTTCCCTTCCATGTTGAAAAATAATTGTTACTTTTTTTTTTAAGCAGCACACTTATTGCAGTCAGACAAAATAGAAGTGCCTACAGAATTGACTAGTGTTTCCCTTGTGCCTCCCTATGTTCTTCAGTGTTTTTTTCTGTCTTGACATCTACATGAAGTCTTCCTCCCACCCTCCCTGCACACACACAGACCTGCCTGCTCGTAAGACCTGCCACCCTCTCCCACCCCCAATTGTAAGCTCCATGAGGACAGGGTCTACATTTTGTTTGTTTTGTTTCTCAGAGTCTATTACAGTTTTGGGAACTTAAGTACCCAAAATATTTTGTGAGATGAATAAGAGCTTTAATTGAGAACAGTTACAGTCAGATGAGATGTGTGACAAAACATAAAATAGATGTCTGCCTAATGCTGTTAATGACATGAGTGTAAGTAGACATGTGGGAGAAGTAGTGGGATTATAGTAACAGGTTTGGTGCATGGATGGACTTAGTTGGGAAAATCATTTTGTTAAGGGAGGCTTGGGTTGGCTTAAACTGGAAGAGAGAAATTTGTTTTGTGCGAAACGAGCAAAGGCAGGGTAGGAAAGGGAAGGAGGCCTGAGGTCAAGATGGATAAAGAGAGCTCAGGAGGAATGCGAGGATAAGGCAGAAAAACTCAGACAGGGATGCTAGTAGTGATGACAGTGAAGATTGGCAGATTTGAGTTTTGTTTCCAAGAAAGAAGCAGGACTAGGGGTGTCTGTTTTGGTGAGTTGTTCAGCCTTCTGTCCATAGCCTTCAAGAGTATTGCCATTTCTTGTAACATTAAATATACTGTATAATCATAGAAATGCCTGTCTTGTTACAGTGGTTCTGAAATTTGGGTGAATTACCTGAGGGACTTAAAATAGGAAAAAAGAATCCTGGGCCTCACCTAGTATAGGTTCAGGTAGTGAGTATAGGAGCAGAAGAGGATCCTGGATATTGTAATCCAATCCTCTCATTTTACAAGTGAAGACATTTATGCAGACAATTATATGCAGAACTGGGATTAGATTCCAAGTCTTCATATCCTCAGCGCAGTGCTCTGGCGATTACATTGTGCTTCCTGAAATTGACATTTGGGTTTTCTTTGACTATGATTCCCAGTGAGGTAAAAGGGCCGTTTACCAACTTTGATCACATCTTCAGAAGTAGCTACAATTAACCAGCTTTGCCCTTCTCTTTTGTATGAACTCCAGGGCTCTTTGTTATGATGCCATTTAATGGTCTCTAAACTTTTCAGTGTTTTCAAATATGAGGATACTGCCCTAATAAGGATGCGGTGGGACATTTTTTTGTTTGTGTTTACATGTAATAATTTATTATTTAAAAATTAGGAAAAAAATATACAGAAAGGATGAAAACAAACATTCATAATCACTCCCAAGAGATAATTGTTGACAGTTTTTTTTTTTATAATTTAATGTTTATACCTATGCATATCCTTATTTTCTTTCTTAAGATCGGCATAGCTAGGCCAAAGGATATGCACATTTTGTGGGTTTTGATAAATATTGCCAAATTGTGTTCCAGAAATTGTCTATCTTTTGTTCTTTCTTCCTTCCTTCCTTCTTTTCTCTCTCTCTCTCTTCTTTTTTTTTTTCAAGACCCTCTGTCACCCAGGCTGGAGTGAGAGGCGTGATCTTGGCTCACTGCAACCTCTGCCTCCTGGGTTCAAGCGATTCTCTTGCCTCAGCCTCCCAAGTAGCTGAGATTACAGATGCGTGCCACCGTGTCTTGCTAATTTTTGTATTTAGTAGAGAAGGGGTTTCACCCTGTTGCCCAGGCTGGTCTTGAATTCCTGACCTCAGGTGATCCACCCGCCTCAGCCTCCCAAAGTGTTGGGATTACAGGCATGAGCCACTGCACCCAGCCCATCTGTTGTTTCTCATCTGCAGAATTTTCTTGGGCTCCCATGTGATGTGTAATTATTTTAGATTATTTTAGAAATAGATGATGTAGTATATCTAAGATATATTTTAGATATTTTATTAATGATGACAAATTGTTACAGCTGTATTCATGCTTTATTTTATTTAAAAAAAATTTTTTTTTTTTGAGATGGAGTCTTGCTTTGTCGCCCAGGCTGGAGTGCAGTGGCACAATCTCGGCTCACCGCAACCTCTGCCTCCCGGGTTCAAGTGATTCTCCCACCTCAGCTTCCTGAGTAGCTGGGACTATAGGCATGCACCACCATGCCCAGCTGATTTTTGTATTTTTAGTAGAGACAGGGTTTTACTATGTTGGCCGTGGCTGGTCTTGAACTCCTGAGCTCAAGTGATCCACCTGTCTTGGCCTCCCAAAGTGCTGGGATTAAAGGTGTGAAGCCACTTCACCTAGCCTATTAATGCTTTTAAATAAATTCATGTTTTACTTATCAAGATAGCACGCCATACATTTGCAAATTAATGGCACATAAGTGAATGTTGGAGACATTTATTCAAGCTGCAGCTGTTTTTTTTTTTTAAACAAAAATGAACATTTTTCCTTGTTAGTACAAAAGCAATACATGTTCATTGTGTTCCATTTTTCACAAACACAGTAGTACTCCAGTCTTTTAGCCTAGATTTGGTAAATTTTTGGCATTTATTGTTGTCAGTCCTGTTTTCTGTTAAATGTTAAAACATGGGGCTGAGAGAGGCTGTGAGGTTGTGGCTGAATCCCTGCATAGAAACAATCAGAACAATTAGAAAAACCGAACACTCGTGAATAATACATACAACAAAACCAGATGAGACTTCAGTTTTTGTCTGCGATGGAGTAACTGGTACCATATTTGCTTTCCCACCATAAACAATTACAAATCTGGACAAGATATATTAAAAAACTGCTTCCAGACATCGGACAATAGGCAGTACAGGAGCTGAGCGAAAGGAAATGAGCTGTGTAATTCCTCCTGCTTTTTCCTGTAGACACTCTCTGCACCGTGTTTTAGGAAGGGAACACCCGTGCAGAGCATCTTGGTCTTGCTGAGTCGAGGAGACTGGACTTGGGGAAGGTTTATCTGGCTGGAATTTGCAGGTGGGATTGACAGAGAGAGGGAGCTAGGCAGAGAAATAAACACCAGAAACTTATGGGGGGGGTCTCTGCAGGAGATCTAACAAAGAATGACCAGAGAGCTTTAAACTGAAGAATTGCCAGAGCTTATGGTGCTGGGAGGCATTTGAATTCTGACCAGATATGGGAGAGAGAACTTATTGAATACCTGGGACATTCAATAGAATCCCCAAAAGGTTAGACCTTAGTATCAGAGACTAAGTTAGCCCTAGAGTAAGGCCTTAGATCTATCCTAACAATGTTTGAAAACAAGCCTTGGGTGGATCAAGCTGATCCTCCCCTAACTTACCTGCCCACCACAACAAAGTACAACACTCTTAAAAGGAAGACAGCAAAGTCCAGTGATACACAGTGCAGCATTTTTACAAATATGCTCAGTGTTTTAACAGAAAACATGAACATAATGAGGAAAGAAATGGAAGATATTTTAAAAATGGAACTTAAAGCAGAAAAATACATAAGAAGTGAAATATTCACTGGTGAGAAGAATAACAGATTAGATACTCCAAAGAAAAGGTCAGCAAACTACAAGATACAGCAAGAGACTGTGTTAGTCTTATTTGTTGCCATAAAGGAATCTGTGAGACTGGGTAATTTATAAAGAAAAGAGGTTTTTTTGGCTTACAGTTCTGTAGGCTGTGCAAGCATGGCATCCGGATCTCAGCTTCTCATGAGGCTTCAGGAAGCTCTTGAGTCATGGCAGAGGGGAAGGGGAGCAGGAGTGTCACATGGTGAGAGAAGGAGCAAGAGTCAGGGGGAAGGTAACAGTCAGATCTCATGATAACTTCTTACTATGGGGAGGGCATTCTCTTTTTAACAATCAGATTTCAAGGTAACGTTACTACAGGGAGGGCACCAAGCCGTTTATGAGGGATCTGCCCCATGACCCAGACACCTCCCACCAGGCCCCAGCTCCAACATTGGGGTTTATTCAACATGAGATCTGGGGAGGACAGACATCCAAACTATATCACTATCCAAAGTAAAACACAGTGAGAAAAACAACTGAGAAAAATGAATGAAAGCTCAGTGACCTGTGGAGCAGTATCAAGTGGTTTAACATACATGTGATCTTGTTTCAAAAGAAGGAAGTGAAGGCAAAAAAAATTGAGGAAAAATAATGGCTGAAAACATTTCAAATTTGATGAAAACTATGAATGGATCCAAGAAACTCAACAAACTCGAAGCAGAGTAAATACTTGTGACCTTGGGATAGGCAGGTTTTTCACATGCTACAGAAAGCATATATTGTAAAAAAAAAACAAAAAACAAAAAACAAAAAAAACCCAAAAACTGATAAATCGGACATTGGCAGAATTGCAAACTTCTTTTCAAAAGCATCATTAAGTCAAGCCACAGAATGAGAGAAAATATGTAAATATGTATATATATTTCACAAGGAAATTGTGTCAAGATCATATAAAAATTTTGTGCAACTCAATAAGTGAATCCAGTTTTTTAAAAACTGGGCAAAAGACTTGAATAGAAAATATACAAATGGCAAATAACATGAAGAGCTCCTGAACTTCATTAGTCCGCATGGAAATGCATCATGGAAATGCAACATAACCCTGCAACCCACTGGAATGGCTAAAAATGAAAAGGCCAAGAACACTAAGTGTTGGTGGAGCATCTGGAGGCTGAATACTTTGCTAATAGGAGTATAAAATGTTATATATCTGCTTTGGAAAACAGTTTGTCAGTCTCCCCTCTCCTCCCCTCCCCTTCCTTTTTTTCTTTTTCTTTTTCTTTTCTTTCTTTCCTCACTCTGCTGTCCAGGCTGGAGTGCAGTGGCATGGCTCACTGCAACCTCCACCTTTTGGGTTCAAGCAATTCTTGTGCCTCAGCCTCATATGTAGCTGGGATTACAGGCCTGCACCACCGCACCTGGCTAATTTTTGTAATTTTAGTAGAGACAGGGTTTCAGCATGTTGGCTAGACTGGTTTCGAACTCCTGGCCTCAAGTGATCCACCTGCCTCAGCCTCCCAAAGTGTTGGGATTACAGGTGTGAGCCACCACACCTGGCCAATTTCTTATAAAGGTAAATATACATTGATCATTCAACTTAGAAATTCTACTTTTAGAATTTTTTATCCAAGAGAAAAATATATCTTCACAAAAAGCTTTGTAGAGGAATGTTCATAGAATCTCTATTCTTAGTGGTCCCAAACCAGTAGTAACAATCCAAATGTTCATCAACTGGTGAATGTATGAACAGACTATAGTAGATGTATGTGGTAGAATACTAAGTAATAAAACAGATTGAACTACTAATACATACAACACGGACAGATATCAAAGACTTGCTGAGCAAAAGCCAGGTACAAAAGAGTATCTAATGCATGCTTCCATTTACAAGGAAATTCTAGATCAGGCAAAACTAATCTATAGTAACAGAAAGCAGACCAACATTTGCCCAGGGCTGGCAGTGAGATAGGGATTGACTGGACTGAGTGTGAGGGAAGGTTTGGGGATGATAGAAGTGTCCTTAATCTTGGTTTTGACAGTGCTCACACAGGTGTATACATTTGTCAAAAACTCATCAAACTCTTACAATGGGTGCATTTAATTCTATATAAATTATATTTTAATAAAGTTGATTTTATAGAAAAAACGGGAAGTGAGGGAAGCTAACCAACTATAATCCAGGTGCTTGATGTTATCTCATTTAATCCTCACAGTAATTTTTATTGAAGAATATTCAGCAAATATCTTCTGAGATTCTACCATGCTGGTCTCTGTGCCAGGTACTGAGGATAAAGTGGTGAGCAAAAACTATCATGATTTCCACTTACCGTCCTGGGCAGTTTATTTGAAAGACAGATACTAGTAAAAAGTGCTCCCCCACCCCCAGAGAAATACTACAAAGAAGGTTCTATGAGAGCATATAATACATTCATCCTTAGCATATAATATATGCTGTCATATGATATATAATGAGACACATACTACATAATATACCTTGTATAATATATAAGATGCTTTATGTGCCCTGGTTTCTTTGTAACTACTACCCCTCTAATGGGGTTTCTCTAACTACTAAGTGAGTTAATACACGTGAAGTGTTTTGACTTGTGCTAGTAGATAGGAAGTGCCCAGTAAGTGTTGGCTGCTATGAACATTTGACAGTTCTAATTGTCTAATACTGCAGGGGTACACCTATACTAACTCAGGGAACAGTGGAGTAGGACTACATATTGGGGAAGAGATGATAAGTTTGACTAGAAGTGTTGGGTTTTAGCTGCTTTTGAGACATTCAGGTGGAAAATGTCTTGTAGTCAGATGTGGATACTGGTTGAGTACAACTCTAGATGCTGCAGAGGGCCCTGGGCTGGAGACATACATTTCAGAAAGTGTCCAGCATCTAGACTAGAATTGCCTCAACTGTAGAGATCATCATCAAGAAAGGTGCTATACACACACATTCACACACACGCAGAAAGAGAAGAAGGACATAGACCTGGATCTGAGCCTTGAGAAACTACGATTTAATCAGGGTGCCTTTTTGATCATCATCTCCTCTGTTTAGCATATGATTTTGCTACATTTAGGCCTGACTTCCTTCGTATTCAAGATAAAATAAAGGGAAATAATTACGAGTAAAAACAAGCAGTGGAGAAGGTGGTGTCAGGTTCTTGGCAAGTTGATAACAAATGGCCACTAATTTTGACAATTTGTTTCCTTGCAGCTGAGAGAAAAAGGGAAATATGTTTAGCAATATGGATTCCATTTTCCGATGAATAAAGACATACATATTCATCTGCAAAGATAAATTTTGTTTGAAACTAAACTTAAATTGTTCTTAAATTTCAAGGATAATTTTTTTTTTTTTTTTTGAGATGAAGTCTTGGTCTGTCACCCAGGCTAGGGTGCAGTGGCTCCATCTTGGCTCACTGCAACCTTTGCCTCCAGGGTTCAAGTGATTCTCTTGCCTCAGCCTCCCGAGTAGCTGGGATTACAGGCGCATGCCACCATGCCTGGCTAATTTTTTTGTATTTTTAGTAAAGACATGGTTTTGTCATGTTGGGCAGGCAGGTCTTGAACTCTTGATCTCAGGTGATCTGCCTGCCTCAGCCTCCCAAAGTGCTGGGATTACAGGTGTGAGCCACTGTGCCTGGCCTCAAGGAGAAATTTTTTTACCTGACTTGTGTAAGTGACAAGTTGAGAGCGGTCATAGTTTAAAAATGGAAAAAACAGATTTTGCAAAATACTTATGATGTTAACTGTCATAGGAAGTTGTTACATTCCTCCTTAGGTACTTAAGTAGCTTGTCTTTCCTGTTAGGCTCTTTACTTAGAGTTAGTTTGCTTTGACGAGGGGTAGAAGAACTGAGGCCATGGCTTTGCCTGAAGTACAGATAGGTTCTTTATCAAACCCTCTTTTTTATATTTTTGACTTTATTCACCCTTGACATAAAAGACAAAGGCTTACTTAGGAACCTGCAACTCTACCAATTTTTAATTTTTACTGTAAAATAAGGGTTTTCTGGAAGACTAAAAAACACTTTTAAAAAACATGATTTTTTTTGCGTTTATCTCTAAATCAGACGTTTTGATTGGTTCCATCATTGTTGTATTTGAATTTGAATTTTATTTATTAATTCAACAGGCATTTATTAAGTCCCTGCTATTGCCAGGAATTTAGTGTATTCTGGCTCTCAGGGTTTCACAGAGAAGAAGATATGATTCTAGCTCTTCAGGATTTCTCAGTAAGGTGGAGAGGAAAATATGTTATAAAAATGAGGGAGAATACGATGAGTGCGTAGTAGGGGCATTTATAAAGTATAAGTAAGCAAAGGATATTTCTCATCTGGGATACGGGGGAGAGTCTTGGGAGGTAGGATGGGGTGGGGCAGCAGCTAATACAATCATCCGCAGGAAGGGCGGCCGCATGGAAAGGGGAAGGTCTAGGTACATTATTTTATTCATACTTTCCAACAGCTGGGTGAAAAGATGTGTCGTGTTCCCACTTTACAGATGAGGAAACTAGTAAGGGGGTAGAGTCAGAGTTTTAACTGTTGCAGGACTCCAAAGTTTGTGTTCCTTCCTCCATGATCTGGCAGGTCCATCGAATCTCTAGTATCTGATCTCTAGTCTCAAAGTATACTTTGAATCTCGAATTTTGTGTGTGTGTCCTTTCGTTTGGAGGAATCGTTGTTCCTTCTAGAAGGTAGGATAGTTTTGGATGCTGGGTGATGCTACTTTAGAAATTGTGATGATCCTGGACGAAGGGAACAAGGAAAGGAAGCTTGGATCCCTTTATCAGAATTCACTGGACCAACAGGGTGCCCTGAGCCTGGAACCAAACAGGGTGAAGGTGTTGAAGCTTACATGTGGATTTCTCTTCAAATAGGAGAGCCCAGGTGCACCAGAGCACAGAACATCTTTTCTCCTAGTGTGACACAATAGAGAGAACATGGTCTTTAGAGTCAAACACAACTAAATTTGAACCCCATCTGCCAGTCGTGCAGCCTTGGGTAAACTACTAACCTCTCTGTGTATTACTGCCTATCTCATGGGTTGTAGTGAGAATGGAATAAAATGATGTATGAGAAGTGAAAAGCACAACATCAGACTTAGAAGGCACCTTTTCCTTCCTTTCCTCCTCATCTTCCAACACCTAGGCTCTAGGGAGGTCTCAGTTAAAAGCTAGAATTATGAGCACAGTGGCTCACACTTGTAATCTCAACACTTTGGGAGGCTAAGGCAGGAGGATTGCTTGAGGCTGGGAGTTTGAGACCAACCTGAACAACATATCAAGACTCCATCTCTACAAAAAATAAATTTTTTAAAAGCTAAATTAGAGAACTTCTATCATATTTTTAGACTGTAGTTTTGATCAGAATTTATCATGACATTATTTCCTTTGATCCTAATAAAAGCTCAGTGAAGTAGATAGGGCAGGTATTATTTATAGATGAGAAATGGGGTCCTCTTTCCTATTCCTTGAAATCCTTTGGAAGCCTGTTAGAAGAAAAGATTTTCTGGAACTCTAAGTAGTATGATAGTGACATCTACTGTAATAGCTTGTATTATTACAATCTTTGAGGAAGCTGCAGTTTAGATAATTTAGCACAATCATCAGGAAGAATTTAACAGTTGATTTTATTACCTGCCATTTTGGGGGGAGAGGAGGTATAAAAATGTATCCTTTGATATACTAACAGAAAACCACTTGCATAAAATTATTATAATAAAATCTCAATTTTTCCAGAAACCACGATCGCTTAGATCTGGATTACAAAAAGAGGTTTAAAGATGCTATTAGATTTTCTAATAACTGAAAATGTTAAAGTTCGAGACAGTTTGTGCTAAAAAAGCTAGATTCGCTAAGTGCGAGAGTATTAACTGGAAGCAACCGGCGATAGGTGGTGATGTGATCCAGGTGTTGTGAAGAACAGAGACAGGATGACAAGAAGACAGGATATAGGTCCACGAGATTTCAGCAGGGATTTATTTTTAAAAGCAACTTCTTGAGATAGGTTCTGGAGTTAGTACAGGTGTAGCCTGAACTCCCACACTTGCAACATTATGCAGTTAGATTGTTGGACATATTGACCCCCGAAATACTTTTTTAAATTTATTTTTTAAAAATAAAAATAATTAAAAAAAAAGAGAGACAGGGTCTCGCTATGTTGACCAGGCTGATCTTGAACTCCAGAGCTCAAGTGATCCTCCTGCCTCAGGATCCAAAAATACTTTTAAAATAAATCCCAAACTCTAAAAGCATTGTCTGCAATGTATTATACTTGGTCATAAGAAGATATAAACAAACTAGTAAGCATTTCTACTAGGTGTAAAACAAAAAGGTTGTACTTTGAGGATTAATTTGGTATCTAGATTATTCTCTGAATATCCATTTTAAAGTTCACTAAAATTTTATTTTTAATAAATTTGCCATGCAATGTTATGTTTTAACTTGTAAATTAAATACATTCTCATAAAAATTTTAAAAATATTTAGTTTTGAAGTATTTCAGATATACAGAAAAATGTTAAATATTGCCAATTATGTCATCCATGCAGATTTAGCAAGTATGAATATTTTGCTCTATTTGCCTGATTTTTTAAATGAAATCTTACCTACAAAACTAAAGCTCCTTTCTCCTATGCATATTTTAGTATTTTCTGTAAGTATATATAACTCTGAACACTATATACTATTATGTGTTTTTCAGTTGTGGAAATAGAAACTCTTACTCTGCTGGCAGGAACTTAAGTTGGTAGGGGCTTTGGAGAACAATTTGGCAATACCCAAAAGAGTTGGCAGTGGTCTGTGTCAGTTGTCTCATGCTGCACAACAAACTACCCCAAACTTAGTGGCTTAAAACAGTGATTTCTTATTTCTCCTAATTCTGTGAGTTGCTGGGGTAGTCCCTCTGCTTGTTTTGCCTGGACTCATTGATGCAGCCGCATTCAGCTGGGAGATTGGCTGGGCTGGAGGGCTCAAAATGGCCTCAGTCACATGTCTGGTGGTTCATGCTGGTTGTTGGTTCTCTACATGTGGCCTTATCACTTGCAATAGACTTCCTTATGTGGTAGTCTGAGGGCAGTGGTCCAAGACGCAAGGCCTCTTGAGGTCTGAGCCCTGAACTCGCATAGTGTGGCTTCCATGCGTTTTGTTGGTCAAACCAAGTCACAAGGCCAGCTCCACCTTTTGATGGAAGGAGTGGCAAAGTCACACTGCATAGGAGCATGGAAAGACATCTCGCCTCCATCTTTGAAGACATATCCTGTAATTCAGCTATTTTACTTTTATCTATCCCAGAAAAAATCTTTCACAGATAGAGAGATATGTACACATTGTTCACAGCAGAATTGTTTATAATAGCAAAAAAGTAAAAACAATTTAAGTCATTCCAGGAAGAAGCAGATAATAAATTTTAGTTTATTCATATAATGGAATACCATATATCAATTAAAATTAATGATCACTGGATAATTCTAAAAATAGGTTGAATGAAAAAATCAGATTGGAAAAGAATATGATAGTATAATAGCCTTAAAGTTCAATATTTGAAGTTTCTTGGGTAGGCTAATGAAGATTTTGCTTTTGCTTCTGTTTTGAAATCAAAACTTATCTTTGGATGGCCTCATTAGAGCATGGTGCTTATGAGTAGCTTCCATCCTTGGATGGCCAGTTAAGCTGTGCTGTTCTCTGACCAGACGGGCTGTCACTAAAAAGCTTGTGTTTAGCTTGTTGGCCATTTGGGAAAGTGTAGCTCTTTCATTTGAGAAGGTGTAGGTAGAGCTGATAAAGGTTTAACTTCATCAGTAATGTTAGAAAAGTCCATATACAGTACAGTTTCTTTTTTAAAATTTTTTTTCTAGAATATAGTTTCTTAACATTCATTTAATACCACTGTCTGCATCTGTACCAGGTTTAACCTGCATTTCTTATCTGTAAATGGGAAGCATGATATTTACCTCGTAGAGGTGTTGGGAAGATGAATTGAGATAATAATGCATTTAAAGCAGTACCTTTTATATGGTAGATCCTCTATAAACAGTAGTTAGAAAAATTAACAAGTATATAGGATGGCATCTATGTTAAGTTCACTTTCAATGGTATTGTAGTGAGAAGGTAGCATTGATTACCTACTCATAGGTACTTTAAGTAGGTACTTTAATTAAATTTTAGGACTACTGTAATTATGAAAGTCCATTATTAACTATAATACTTTACATTTTAAAGGAAATTTACATTTATAAACTCTTTTCACATTAATTATCTGATTTTGTTCTCAGGACAACTTTGTAAGATAGTTATATTCAATTTAGAGACATTGAATATTAGTTTCAGGAGAGGTTAAATAAGCAGTGTTAGCAGAAAGCTTATGTTGGTTCTCATGAAGGCAGATTAAAATGGAAATAATGATACCATAATACTTTGATTTTTATCATTTGTGTTTATGTGCTTTACCTACCTAGATTCTGAATAGATTTGTCTCTGTACTTTTTTCCCCCTTCTGTGTGTGTGGGAAGGGGAAGGAGGAGGAGGAGGAAAAGAGATTATAGAAGAGGGTTAGGTGAATCTTAATGGGACTCTTTGGAAAGGGAGAACTGCAGCCTGCCTCTCAGATCCAAAAATGTTATATTAACGCCACCCTCTCAGCTCCCTATATTTTAAAATAGCCAAGCAGATTGGCAAGATTTTTTTTTTTTCAGATTTGTAAATGTTCGATGGCAACTAAGTCTATGCATCAAAGATTTGAGGAGATTTCTCTAGGTTGACTATGGATTAGAATTAACCACCAAATTTACTAGCCATGTAGGATTTGCTAAGCCAATGTGACAAATTTATTTGGTGACTTCTGTTTATAAATGCATTGATTCAATTAAATTCTTTCTCCAAGATAAAAGTTATGCTTTTTTTTTCTTTTTTTAAATTTCCTATTTTGGTTGTATGCTTTAAAAGTTTGAGATAGGTTGGGTGTGGTGGATCACTTGAGGCCAGGAGTTCAAGACCAGCCTGGCTAACATGGCAAAAACCTGTCTCTACTAAAAATACAAAAATTAGCTGGGTGTGATGGTGCATGGCTGTAATCCCAGCTACTCAGGAGGCTGAGGCACAAAAATCGCTTGAACCTGGGAGGCGGAGGTTGCAGTGAGCTGAGATTATGCCACTGTACTCCAGCCTGGGCGACAGAGTGAGACACTGTCTCAAAAAAAAAAAAAAGTTTAAGATAAACCTATAAATTTGTAACTCTCCAGCTTTGTTGGTTGAAGGAAACTATTGGTGGCTGGTATTTTGGGTAATCTCACTTCTTGGCTAACTCCCGTTAAGGATGTTTTATAATGAAAAAAAGTAGGTACTTCACATATTAGGTTTTTATCACCTCACTTTCCTAGTATCATAAATAAATCGTTTTTTCACCATTTGTGTAGATTTATTTCGAGGTAGGTAAATTTCACTTTGCTTGAGATCCTATGCCAACATTAGATTAGTTTTGAAACAGGTTATATGTTATAACTTCTCCTATGATTCTGAAACACTTTAGAAACAAATGATTTTAAATGTGATTTTTTTTATTTGTTTTACATTTCAGAATCTCTCTTGATTTTTGAGGAAATACCTAGTAACAAACATGACTGAGTTCTGGCTTATATCTGCTCCTGGGGAGAAAACCTGTCAGCAAACATGGGAGAAATTGCATGCGGCAACTTCAAAGAACAATAATCTTGCTGTCACTTCCAAGTTCAATATTCCTGACTTAAAGGTGAAGCTGCACTGTGCAAAATTATATATGAGTTCATCATCCAGGGGAGGGCCAGTTCTCTCTTTTAGTGGAAATGAGATACCCAGGTTCCTTCCAAAGAAAACCTCCTCTCCAGCCATTGGCATGATTTAAAATGTGTCTTCTTTGAAATTTTAGAAGTAAACTACCAAATTGAAATAATGTCTCTCTACTTAGGCTTTTTGTGCTCTTCTAAATTGCAATGAAAAATCTTATGAAAATGTTTGATGTGTTACATTCACAAATATGATTTTCAGAAATTAAAACTCTTAGTAATATATATTCTTAAATATCATAGTGAAGTTTTTGTTAGTAAATTTATATTATGCTGATTCTTACATTGTAAATGTGTTACCATGGCACCTACTTAATCACACTTGGCAAATCTAACCCAGTTATTTAATCCGGTTAATCTATGTAAGATTCACTCTTATCAAAGATCAGTCATCTAGCAGCCTCAAAGTAAAGCAGGTGTCCAGTAATCAGTTGATGGAACATTTGTAAAGAATGGAAAAGATCATGATACTGACATTTTGCTGGTTAACTGAATGAGGGAGTCGTAGGCAGCATTCATTTAAGAAATATTTAAAATGACTGATTCTTGGTGGGGCATCATGGCTCACACCTGTAAACCTAGCACTTTGGGAGGCTGAGGTGGGCGGATCACTTGAGGTCAGGAGTTTGAGACCAGCATGGCCAACATGGTGAAACCCAGTCTCTACTAAAAATACAAAAATTAGCCAGGCATGTTGGTGGGCACCTGTAATCCCAGCTACTTGGGAGGCTGAGGCAAGAGAATCGCTTGAATCTAGGAGGTGGAGGTTGCAGTGAGCCAAGATCATACCACTGCACTCCAGCCTGGGAGACAGAGTGAGACTCCGTCTCAAAAATATAAATAATAAATGCAATAAAATGACCGATTTTTAATATTTTTGGAGTTACGGATACCTTTGAGACAAGATGTTTCCTCCAAAACGTACTCACTTATGCACAGTTTTGCATGCAAATTTAATTACAGACCCTCTAGCGCACATCCGTGGACCTCCTACTTAAGAGCCTGTGTTGTAAACTAAGACTTCAAATGATCCAGTGTCATTGAATAGTACAAGCACAGACCTGTCTTTGAGGAGTCTTCAAGTCTTAAGTGGTGCTTATAACCATGAATTAAAGGATTATCTTGTACATATAAATAGCTTTGAAATGTCTGGCAAACATCTTTTAACTGTACTTACACATTATGAAATAAAATAGGGAGAATTTAAGATTTGTGAGAACTTTAGGTCAAGATGAATCATCTTGTTTTTTTTTTTTAAAAAAGCATGCCACCTAAATAACAATATATTTTCCTTTTAGGTTGGCACGTTGGATGTCTTGGTTGGCTTGTCAGATGAACTGGCTAAACTGGATGCATTTGTAGAAGGGTAATGTACTTATATGCATGGAGTAGAGCAAAATGGGAGACACTATTATCAGGCTTCATGGACACTGGGTTTATTATCACATGTATACTCTGCTTATTGGAATGGTTTTAGAAAACGACTTTTTTCCCTTCGTATATCAATTTTATGAAGGTACAATTTACATAAAATGCACCTGTTTGAAATATGAAAATGCTGATTCTCTTTTTACTATCTTTAATGGGATATAGTTTACATGCCATGCATTTCACCTATTTCAGGTGTACAATTCAGTGATTCTTAGTGTATTCAGACTTGTGTAACCATTGCCACAATCAGTTTTAAATATTTCATCATCCTCTATTCCTGTTCCCATTAGCAGTCACTTACCGTCCCCACCACCCACAAATTGTTCTGCCACTATAGATTTGCTTGGTCTGGACATTTCTTGTAAATGGAATACAATACGTGGTCTTTTGTGACTGTCTTCTTTTGCTTAGCATAATGTTTTGAAGTTTATCCCAGCAGTTGCATGTATCAGTATTTCATTTCTTTTTATTACTAATATTCCACTATATATGTATACATATATATCACATTAATCCGTTCATCAGTTGATGGGCGTTTATTTTGTTTCCACTTTTTGGCTTATAAGAATAATGCTGCTGTGCATATTTGTGTAGAAGTTTGTGTTCTTAAATGTTTTCATTTTTCTTGGGTATGTACCTAAGAGTGGAATTTCTGGGTCATATGGTAACTCTATGCTTTGCTTTTTGAGGAACTGACAAACTGTTTCCCAGAGTGGCTGTACCGTGTAATATTCCCGCCGGCAGTGTATGAAGATTCTCATTTCTCTACATCCTTGCCAGCACTTGTTATTATTTTTATTATTTGTCTTTTTGATTATAGCCATCCCAGGGGGTATGAGATAATATCTTTGTTTTTTTTGTTTTTTTTGAGACGGAGTCTCGCTCTGTCGCCCAGGCTGGAGTGCAGTGGCATGATCTCGTCTCACTGCAACCTCCACCTCCTGGGTTCAAGCAATTCTCCTCCCTCAGCCTCCTGAGTAGCTGGGATTACAGGCACCCACCACCACGCCCAGCTAATTTTTTTTTTTTTTTGTATTTTTAGTAGAGACGGGGTTTCACCATGTTGGTCAGGCTGATCTCAAACCCCTGACCTCGTGATCCACCCACCTTGGCCTCCCAAAGTGCTGGGATTACAGGCGTGAGCCACCGCGCCCGGCTGATAATATCTCATTTTTAAAAATTTGTGTTTCCCTGTTGGCTGATGTGATGTGATGTGTTGAGTATCTTTTCATGTGTTTTTTTGCCATTTGTTTTTCTTCCTTGGAGAAATGTCTATTCAGATCCTTTGCCCATTTTTAATTGGCTAGCCTTTTTATTATTGAATTGTAGAAGTTCTTTATACAGAATATGCAAGAGATAAATCCCCTATCAGATATAACTTGCAAATATTTTCTCCTGTTCTGTGAGTTGTCTTCATTTTCTTTTTTTCTTCTTGAGACAGAGTCTCGCTCTGTTGCCCAGGCTGGAATGCAGTGGCCAGATGTTGGCTCACTGCAGCCTCCGCCTCCTGGGTTCAAATGATTCTCCTGCCTCAGCCTCCCGAGTAGCTGAGATTACAGGTCCCTGCCACAATGCGCAGCTAGTTTTTGTATTTTTAATAGAGATGGGGTTTCACCATGTTGGACAGGCTGGTCTCGAACTCCTGACATGATGCGCGTGCCTCAGCCTCCCAAAGTGCTGGGATTACAGGCGTGAGCCACCGCGCCTGGCCATGTCTTCGTTTTCTTGATTGTATCTGTGAAGCACAAAAGTTTTAAATTTTGATGAAGTCCAATTTATTTTTTTCTTTTGTTGCTTGTGTTTTTGGCATCATATCTAAGACACCATTGTCTAATCCAGGGTTGTAATGTTTTATGTCTATGTTTTCTTCTAAGAGATTTATAGTTTTAGCTTTCACAGTGAGGTCTTTGATTCATTTTGAGTTAAGTTTTATGTATGTTGTGAGGTAAGGGTCCAACTTGATTCTTTTGGATGTGAATATCTGGTTGTCCCAGCACCATTTGTTGAAAAGACTGTTTTTTCCCCTTTGAATTGTCCTGGCACCCTTACTGAAAATCAATTGAACATAAATATGAGGGTTTATTTCTGGACTCTCAGTTCTGTTTCACTGATCTATGTTTCTCTCCTATGCCAGTACCACATTGTCTTGATTATTGTAACTTTGTAGTAAGTTTTAAAATCAGAAAGTGTGAATTCTCCAACTTTTTTTTTTTTTTTTTCAAGATTGGCCATTCTGGGTTCTTTGTCTTTTTGTATGAATTTTAGGATCACAGTGTCAAATTTCTGCAAATAAGTCAGCTGGAATTTTGATGAGGATAGTGTTGAATCTATGTATCAGTTGGGGAGTAGTATCATCCTAATATTCTTGTCTTTATCCATGAACATCGGATGTTACTCCATTTATTTGAAGATGGTTATGCTTTTGTCTTCAAAATTCAGTTGGAAGAGTTTTTCTAAATTGCAGTTTTTATTACTTTTGAAATTCAGGTACATGTGTATTTGAGCTGAAAATGGTTATAGGCTCTTTGATAACTGCATTTTGATTAGTTGGCAGAATCAGTCTACAGTTCCTTCAACTCTGGGGATACAAAGATTTTATTTTAGAGTTTAGATACACAGGTGTAATTTGTAAAGTACAGAATTTGGAGACTCTCAGAAATGTACATTTGATTGAAGCTTTAAGGGAATAATAGGCTTGGATAGAAGGGAATTTTTTCTTGAAATCTATCCAGAAGATTTTCTCATTTCTGCTGTTAAAATGCTTTTCTGAATTGATAGAACCACCTGAAAGCGATGCTGTGGCAATAGAGACTGAGGTCAGGGTTACAGAGAGAGAGAGAGATCTTTTAATATAACACCATGTAGTGAGGAAGTAAACAGATCTAAGGATGTATTGATGTTCTTTAATATTGGAGTCAAGAAGGCCACTTAGCAGTTTCACAGTAGGTTAGTTAAGAGATAGTAAAAGCTCAGTTGGGACCAGACACTTGGCTCTTAGAATGGAAAGAGAAGATGAAAGGAAAAGCAACTTTTAGGATTATAATTCCATATATTCATATAGAGCAAATTATTATTATGAATTATTATAAATATAGTGAAAATAATTATGATGCACTCAAAGCACTAACTGATGGAAAGAATAGTCTCTTGGTTCCTTGCTTATACATTTTTAATTAAGAAAAAAATGGGCCGGGCATGGTGGCTCACGCCTGTAATCCCAGCACTTTGGGAGGCCAAGGTGGGCGGATCATGAGGTCAGGAGATCGAGACCATCCTGGCTAACACGATGAAACCCCGTCTCTACTAAAAATACAAAAAATTATCCAGGTGTGGTGGCGGGCGCCTGTAGTCCCAGCTACTCGGGAGGCTGAGGCAGGAGAATGGTGTGAACTCGGGAGGCGGAGCTTGCAGTGAGCTGAGGTAGCGCCACTGCACTCCAGCCTGGGTGACAGAGCGTGACTCCGTTTCAAAAAAAAAAGAAAAGAAAAAAATGTGAGGGAACTTTTTTTTTTAGTTGTCATCCCTGGAGTGAGTCTTCCCTGAGGTCTCATCTACCTCATTACAGTTACAAGTTATGACAACCAAAGAGACACTGAGAAAGGAGGTCCCTGAGAATATAATTATTAACATTTATTTATACCCTTATTAGTCACCTTGATGGCTTTATAGTTCTTTATCTTTAAATTGTTAATGGGATGTCCTGAATATAATTTAAAGTTTGCTCAGATTTTAAATTTTATTTATTTTTTTTTCAGAGACAGGGTCTTGGTGTCACCCAGGCTAGAGTGCAGTGGTGCAATCATAGCTCATTGCATCCTGGAACTCCTGGGCTCAAGCAGTCCTTTTACCTCAGTTTCCTGAGTAGCTAGGACTATAGGCTTGCACCACCACACCCAGCTAATTTTTTTATTTTTATTTTTGTGGACATGGAGTCTTGCTATGTTGCCCAGGCTGGTCTCAAACTCTTGGCCTCAAGCGATCCTCCCACCTCAGCCTCCCAAAATGCTGAGATTTCAGGCATGAGTCACTGTGCCTAGCCAGCTCAGATTTTTTAGGGAAGGAATCTGAAAAGTATTAAGGACAAATGTAGTTAGTTTGGTGAGTAGAATTTAAAGTTACCTAGGCAGTGTGTCAGCTGTTCTTTTCTTCATTGTTCGGCAAGCACATCTTCTTCAGTCCTCCTGAATGATAAGAGGAATTTAAAAATCATGTCGTTGTTAGACTTTGGTAGTATTGACAGATGATAGCTTAATGACTTAAATGCTCCAAGTGTTAAAGGCCAAATATTGTAGAATATGGTATATGTGGTAAATCATAGTTTGTACTTTCTTAAAAATGTAATCATTAGAGCAGATATTTTTGAGGTGACATTGTGTACATTGACACAGATCCTCTTGTAAATAGGCATACGGAGATCTTGAAGTTCTGGGTTATGCAACATTACGTTTATAAATTTGACACCAGGTGATTCTACACTCTGAAGTACTTCTATGGGTAAACATGCAACATTTTAGAATGTTCGTAGCAAATGGTTCTGTTTACAAGATGCTTGCCAAATTTTATGAGAATGATTTGTCCCTTTTGAAGGAATGGGTGAATTTTGGAGACATAGGCAAGTATATGTATAAACCTCAAGTTAAACATGTTGAAGATTTAGGACTTACATCATTATTTCTGAAATTGTTCTGATTTTTAGGTTTGAGACCACTCAGCATAGGATTGTCATTTAAATTTAGCTCTTCTGTCACCTTTCCTGGCTCATATTGGCTCTTGTTTAAACTGTTAACAAGCCAGGCTTGTGGCTCACACCTGTAATCCCTCCTGCTTGAGGGGCCAAGGCAAGAGGATCGCTTGAGCCCAGATGTTCAAAGCTGCAATGCACTGTGATTGCACCACTGCATTCCAACATGGGCAGTAGAGTGAGACTCTCTCTTAAAAAAAAAAAAAAAATGCGCGCGCACACACACACACACACACACACACACACACACATTTTTTTTTTAAGGAAAAAAAACCATTACAGGAATTTCTTAATTTGTCTTCCAGTTTCCCCTCCTAGCTGTTGAGCATGTAGTCATCAGAATACTTGTCCTGAGCCCTGTTTCGACTGTGTTATGTCCCTGTCTAGAGTGTGGCTTCAGAGGCTGTGTATCTGCAATCTGGCATCCCACTTTCCTAGCCTAAGCTCCCCTACTTCTCGGCCTGCTGCTTCCATCAGTCTGGACTTCTCACCATTCTCTGGATGCCTACTGCTTTTCCACCTCTTATCATGACTCATAATATGCCCCATGGCAACGATATGCTTTCTTCCCATGTAATCATCCTTGTAAAACCATTTCTGTCCTTCATCGCCCTACTCATGAGCCTTTGGGCTTTCTTGATTGGGTAGCTGCTAGTGATCCCTTTTTCCTTTCTCTCTCTCTGTCTGCAACCTGGCAATCTCAGCTGGCACTGACCTCAGATTGCTTTGTATTTAGTAATTTATATATTTTTGGATCTTTCCAATGAGATTTTAAGCAATGTGTGAAGGTAGTGATTTTGTCTTGTATGATTTTGAATCCCACCCAGGGCCTAGAGGCAGACATGGAATAAGGAAGAGAACGCTGGACTCCAAAGTCAGGACAACATGTTTCTAGTCACAGCTCTGCCGTTAACTGGTCTTGTGACTTTGAATAAGCCACTTATTCTTTTATACCTCAGTGTCTTATAAATGAAAGAACTGACAAGGTCATATGTAGGTGACTTGGTTTAGGTTGGTGCAAAAGTAATGGAGTTTTTGCCATTTTTTTCCCCCCTAAAGTAATGGCCAGAACCACAGTTACTTTTGCACCAACCTAATAGTTTTGGCATTATGGCTTCCTCTATAGCATAGCTCCTTGTAAATAGTAGATGCTCAATAAACAGTTAATGAATTAATAATGTAGGACTTAGTTTTTCATCATGACTATTGCTTACGTTCTCTTGCCTGTCAGGTCCCTTTCTTCCTAAGGGAAAGCACAGTGTCTTGCATGTCATAGGAACATAGTGAATGCTAGTTCTCAGCCTCCTCCTTTGTTCTCAGTCCTTAAATTGTCTAGTTTCTTGGCATATAAATATATGGCTATTTACAGACTCTTTCTCACTAGCTTCCCATGACTTACTTTCTAGACTAGGAGACACATTGCATGTAGTCTCCTTAAAACCCTACAGTTACTCTGTTGATTTTTGCATGTAACAAAGTCTTGGTCCATTTTATCCTTAAAACATTATAAGGTAAGATCCATTTATTGTGTATTATATGGATAGGTATAATGGGAACATATAGTCAAATTCATGTCTTTATGTAATATGTTCATTGTATAGAATGGAATTTAGATCTTTTTCCTGAGAATGGTTGTTGATATTTTTTCTTCCCCAGAGTGGTTAAGAAAGTAGCTCAATACATGGCTGATGTATTGGAAGATAGCAAAGACAAAGTTCAAGAGAATCTGTTGGCTAATGGAGGTAAGCTAATGCTCATGATTGATCATTATTAACTCATACAAAGCAAATAACTAAGCTACAGAAACAAAAAGTAATGTAAAAAAGTCTACAGAAAAGGACACTAAATACAATAGAAAGCCATTAAAATACAATTATTATTACTGAATTTGGTGATACTTCCAGGTACATCCTGTTCCCTGAAACATAATCTCATAGAAGACAGTCTTACATAATATGTAATATAGCTTATAATATGATGCCAAGTCTCCTGCAAGAGCAGTATTGTAAAGGTTTGTCTTAGTTCTTTCCAGGTTCTATTTATTCACTCATTTACAAGTAAGTTTCCAAGTTGTATATCTCAGCATTGTTCCAGTTGAATACCTGCTGTCTTATGTAGGTTTTTGTATTTAATAGTATGTAACTGTTAAAGCTTTAGAACAGAAATTATTAATTTTATTGCAGAATAGTGCCCCCTCAGTATGATTTTGGCATTTCTTTACTTAATACCCGTAAAATAGCCTACTGACTTCTCTGTAGCTAGAAGCCAGTATTTACATAGAGTTTGCTCTATGTAGTAATGACTTTAGAAAGATGATTCTGACCCCATTGTTGTCATTTGTACTTGCATTTCTTGTTTTCTTATGAAATGTCATTTTAGCATTTTGCTTCATTTAAAATCAGCCCATCTCTAGTGATACGTTTTTATAACAGGAAATAATGAGCTGGGCATGGTGGCTCATGCCTGTAATCCCAGCACATTGGGAGGCTGTGGCAGGAGGATCTCTTGAGTGCAGGAGTTCAAGACAAGCCTGGACAACACAGGGAGACCCTGTCTCTAAAAAACCCAAACAAAAATAAAGAAAAAGAAAAAAGTTACCTGGAAGTAGTGGCATATGCCTGTAGTCTCAGCTAGTCAGGAGGCTGAGGAGGGGGGATTGCTTGAGCCCAGGAGTTCAAGGCTGCAGTGAGCTACGATTGTACCACTGTACTCTAGTCTGGGTGACAGAGCAAGACCCTGTCTCAAAAAAAAAAGGAAGAAGGATATAACCCTTTATAACCTTTTCCTTTCATTCTCTACAGGATCACCTACTCTAATAAGGTTACTATATTTTAAATCCAGTGTTCCTGAAATCTCATTTCTTCTTGCAAATAATAGCTGCTCAATAAATTTTTAATCAGTTAAAAATGTAGTAACTTATTCTTGCTCTTTGTTATCAAGTAATTCTGATCTCATTGTTTGCTGTGTCTGTTAATTTGTGTTTTGAGAAACAACGAAGGTATGTTAGATATTAATAAGTTAATTTGTGTTGCCTTTACTGATCTTCTACGTATTTTATGAACTAGGGCAGTCAGTCTAGTAGGTGGAATGGTGGTTGACCAAGAGGGGCAGTGCATCTAGATAGAGTTGCTTTTGGAAATACCATCCGTGTTGTTGACTGACTGGTATTATGTAAGGAGATATTGAGAAGAGAAAGATATTTTTATATGAATTACTTCCGTCAGTTGGCGCTGCCATAATTACCATTTGGTTTCACCGTTCTTGATCCCTTTAGGGGTGAAGTCACTTTGACTACTAAACTTCCAAGGAATAAGTTGTTGAGTATTTTTTTAGCTCTACATGTTTTATTCTTTCCATTTGAAAGTGAAAGGGTCCATGTTTTGAAAATTGTTAAAATGTGGACTCCTGGAAACAATCATCACATGGTTTTAACAGACAAGTTTATTTTCAGTTTGTTTGGGTAAGTTATCAAAGAAAGAACATACTTTTATGAAATTCTACTTATTGAGGAGATAATTTGAAGTAGTTTCTTAATCTTTATGTCTCCTACATATGAGGCATATTAGGAATATGTACATATTTCATTTTTAAAGTAATCAAATTAGAAGGAGCATCTTAATATGTATTAAAGTTTGAGTAAGGAGAAGAGATTACAAGGTAGAAATTTTGATTAATCCATGTTACTTAATATAGTTCACATTTAATCAGGATTCTTCAGAAATGACATCTTTGCTGATTTCCTCAATGCCAATTTCAGCATTAAAATATATCGCTGTGTAAAAAACTGAACAATTCTATTGTTTTTCTTCAGTAATTAATTTATTCCCTTATTTCAGTGGACTTGGTTACTTATATAACAAGGTTCCAGTGGGACATGGCCAAATATCCAATCAAGCAGTCCCTGAAAAATATTTCTGAAATAATTGCCAAGGTAAGATAATACTTGAGACAAGTAGGACACATTGATTTGTAGTGGCTTTGCTTATTTTATAATTTCACTATGAAATACTTTTTAGGTTTTGATAAGGCAACTTAATTATATTTCACAGAAGAAATCCTTACAACTTAGACATTAAAAGATGTTAAAAAGTATAACACTTTAATGTGTAGATTATCTAAGTTGAATACTTAGTTATGTAATTAACTTAAATATTACATCAACAGTGTTTAAGAAAGTGTGAAAATTCTGTATTTATACAAATTTTAAGGGTACCCAAGATTGTGTAGAATAGGAAATTGGAGTCTATTAAGATTTCTTAGTCATTCAGGTAGGTGATAGTAGTCACTGAAGTATGTTTATGTGCATACAATACTTGTTCAAACATTAAACTCTATGGATTCTCTGACCCCTTCGGACTATTTAGTTTTGATCCTCTGCCTGGAAAAATTCCCGTATTCGTGTGCCACATAATTTTATGTAGTTTCAGGGAGTACATGGACCTTGAAGCCGATGCATGAACCCACCAAGTTAAGAGCTCCTTTTATATTGAGAAATCCTTGAACTTGAAAGGAAATCCTAGAACTTGAGAGGAAAAAAAAGTCTTTTTCCCCCCAAGATCTGTTTGTGGAATAAAAGTCTTAACAGTAACTATAATGAGACAAATAGACAAGGACCTGTTAATTGTTTGCCAGCATTTGACCTGGCTGGGGCAAGAAGTGTAGTTTAAATTATTGGACAGACTTTCCTTGGCTCCCAGTAACTTTAGTTATGCGGTGTGCTGTATAGTTAAATGTAAATAAATAGACTATCAAAGATTTTAACTAAAGTCATCATGTAATTTGATGACTATAGTTTAAGAAACTATTATTTACATTACTTGATAATATAAAGTGGTGTTCTTACTATGACTGAGCCTTTTTTTCTGTATCCTTAAGGATTTGATCATCTGCTTCCTGATGCTGTTGTAGATAGGAAAGCAGGCTTAGAGAGGTGAAGTGACTTACCCTCGTGCTACACAGCTAATAATGCTAGAGCTATGTTAAAGTCAGTTCTTCGAATGTTGTTTACTTCACATTTTCTCCCCATGTAGTTAGTTTAGTATTCTTCTGAGAAAAACAGCTTTTGTAACATTTATGAATAAATTCAACTATAATTTTAATTTCATAGAAAAATACTCTGTGTAATAGTGATGTTTGCAGTAGTCAAAACTCTTCATGTAATTTAGTTTACTTTGGAAAATATCCTTCAGTCTTGTGAATTGAAGCCTTGTAAATAGTAATCTCCAAACCCAGTGGCCTAGATTCCATTTCCATGGTTTAAGAAGTAATATAATTAAAATACATGTGGACTAAAACATTATTTTTAGTTGAAAAGATTTATGTGGAAATTATATTTAAAATGAAGTCGGCTGTTTTTTAAATGACCTCCTAAAGTCGTGCTTTTAAAATAATAGAATATTCTTACACTAGAAACTAGTGGGTTTTTTTGTAGAAGTTAAAGTTTAGCTACTTTGATAGTATTAGTAGAGGCAGATTTAGGAAAATTTTATCTATTTTTCTTCTTTTTCTTTTTCAAAGGGAGTAACTCAGATTGATAATGACCTGAAATCTCGAGCATCTGCATACAATAACCTGAAAGGAAATCTTCAGAATTTGGAACGAAAGAATGCGTAAGCAGATCAAGTATATTTGAGTACTAAGAACTGGGGAAGCATACTAGCATGCACCGAAGGAGATATTGTTGGGATTTAGTTAGTTTCAGTTTATGTTGTTCTGTAATCAAAATGGTATTTCTTTTACTTCATGGAGAAAAGCTCACTAAGGTAAGTTTATAGAATTCAGACTAGTCCAAACAGATGTGAGGCTGATTTATTATACTTGTTTTATAAATAATACTTGTGAACTGGGTCCTGGCTTATTCCTTTATCCATTTGATATTTCACTGAAAAATAGTCTAAAATTAATTGTTTTAAATGAAATCATAGTTTAACTGCATAGTAATTACCTATCACTTAACTATAGAATAATCCTTTTATGATGTAATAGTTATTCTCTTATCTGTTTTCAGAATTTAGGTTTTTCACTTGTTAGGTTTTTTAAAATAGGACTGAATTTTTTTGGTTGATCCCCTTGTACTATGACTACTTCAAGTGCAACTTTAAGCATGAAAGTATTCAAGTTGTGCCTTCATATCCTAGAGGGAAAGTTGGTTGGATACTGTGAGTGATACAAACAGGGCAAGACATATTTATTATGGGAAAGTGATTACTGGAAGACAAATGAGGACTGATTTGAAAGAGTTAATTATTGGGTTAGCTACCAAAATTGCCTAGTATCAAATGATACCCAAGGGAGGGAAGAACACTAAAGGTATTGTGCTTAGATGACATAGTTTCATAATTATATGATGGAATAGACTTTAATTGATATCTAATGAGTAGATAGTTTTCCAGTCAAGATATTATATATGTAGGCAAGAGAAGAGCTGAGTTATAATAATTAAAGCAAACACAAAACACTAGAGGCAAATTTTGGTAGAAGATATTTCGTTGGTTGCAAGGGTAGGATATATTCAGCTAAATGGTGACTTCTTACAAAGTAAAAATGTTGACTAAGACTAATCCCTCTCAATGTATATATAGTATATGTGAAAATGATTAGCCTGCTGTTTCTTTACTTGTGTTACAGAAGCACATAATTATCAGCCTAATGATTTGTTTTAATTCCTCAGAGGAAGTTTGCTAACTAGAAGTCTAGCAGAAATTGTGAAGAAGGATGACTTTGTTCTTGATTCAGAGTATCTCGTCACATTACTGGTAGTAGTTCCCAAGTAAGTCTTTCTATTATAAAAGGTTTTACTTGTTAAAATACAAGAAAAATGTTAGTATCTAGTATTGTAGTTTGAAGTTTTCCATAAAATCCAAGCGTAAAAGGAATATAACCTTGCCATTCATTCTGTCATCAACATTTGCTCATGTGGCACATAAAGTAGAAATTAGATCATAACCTGGCAATGGAGACTTCAGTTATAAATTGAGTTTCCAAATCAAATTTAGCAGCTTGGTAGAATTGGCTCATTCAAACATAAGTAATGCTAAATTATTGATTGTTTAAAAAATACAGATTTTAGATTTCTCAAAATAGGAAGGTCTTTGCGTTTTTTTCCTGAAAAAATCTTTATGACTGGTTAGGTTTAATTAAGCACTGTAAGAAGCAAAGAATGGATTAGATCAGAGATTAGCAATTTTTTTCTATAAAGGGCTAGATAGTAAGTATTGTAGGCTTTGTAAACAATGTGATCTTTGTCACAACTACTCCACTGTGGCAACTTTGTGGTTATAGCTGAAGTAGCCATAGATGATATGTGAACGAATGAATGTGGCTGTTTCAATAAAACTTTATTTACAAAACAGGCTTGGCTATGGGCATAGTTTGCTAACCCCTGGACTAGATAACCTTTGAAATCTCCTTAGGATTAGGCCTTCTATGTTATTTAATATTTGATCATAGTTAATCTTAAATGAAATGAAACCTTTGGGTACTTGTAGGAAGACCTGGACTTTGTGTGTGTCTGTGTAGCACTATTAATGGTTTCACTTTTGACTTACACTGAGTCTTGCTATCAGGGAATGTTTGGGGGATCCAAACTCAGGTGGGAGATTTGGGTCTTTTTCAGAGTATCATTGTGTGAAGACTTCCTTGCTGTGCTCTGCATTTTTATCTGGTTCAGAGATTTGGAGTACTAGAAAATGATGCCTCCATGGAATTTACAGTGGCTACAGTAGTATCTCAATTCTGCATTTTTTTCCCCTTTATTGCAGTATGCTAGAAAAAATTTTGGATTTTTCTTTGCACAGGGAGAAGGCCTTAAATCTAAGGATTTCACTCCAGAAATTTTATTTTGTGTTCTAGTTACATAACTCCCGTCTGCTACACTGAAACACTGATTATTTATAACAAATTCTGTGTATCTGTGCTTTTATACTATGTAGGAAAATAACTTTTGCCCAGATGAAATATTTGACTCACTCAACCTTTATTTAAAACTTGGGTTCAAAACCAGAAATTTTTACAGTTTTCTGTACCTTGTAATTGAAACATAGGACCTAGGACATCTTACATGATGAATTATTCTCTATTCTGGCCTATACACACTATAATTCTTTGTTTTCAATCTCAAACGTAGTTGTCTCTCCCCACACCCCTGGAAGCCAGTGGCCTCTAGAGAAGGTTGTTGCACAATGTTTTGTGGCAACATAGTTTACTGTCACTTCATTTACTTACTACCTCATGGTACTCTGTGCTTTCCATAAATATAGTTTTTTTTCAGTCCTTCATAATGGCCACTGAGCAGGAATGATAGTGATTTTAGCATGACCATTTTTAAAAAATGAGGCACAATACATATGAACTATGCAGCTTGAAAACAATTTAGAATCTATACTGTGCTTTACTTCCTTTCCGAACATAGTTCTAGGATGTGCCTCTTTTGCAATGGTTACTGGAGGTAGGGTGGTGATCTGTTTTTCCTGCATTACTCAGTGTATTTGAAATTCATTCTCAGTAGGAAACCCGAATTTTTTTTGTTAAATAGAGTTGAAGTATACTTACTATAGCCAGATTTCCTATTTGTCTCATAATTTTTTCTCTTCCTGGATATGGCAGGAAATAGGACTTGTTTTTCTTTTCCAATGTGTATTGTACCTTTTCTGCAGGTTAAACCACAACGACTGGATTAAGCAGTATGAAACACTAGCCGAAATGGTAGTTCCAAGGTCTAGCAAGTAAGTAGAAGTCTTTGTAAAACCATTTGTTTCCTAGAATTCCTTTTAGAGTTTGGATGTTGGCTTAGGAAATATGTTTGCTGTCTTGCCTTTGTGATAAATTAACCTCATGAGTGAGTTCTATGAACTCTAGTTGTAATAATTTTAGACCTAGAAGGGACTTGGCACAGTCTGTTTGACAACCTCCTGTTTATAGACTTAGAAGTTTGAGGCCAGTGAGGTATTAATAGTTTGCCCAGGATCACACATCTCATTTGTGGCAGGGCTAGAACTAGAACCTAGGTCTTTGGTGTGGTACTTTTTCTGCCTCACTGTGCTGCCTTTTGAAAATTCTTTATTCATTATTGCATACCTACTATGTGTCTATAATTCCTCATTTTACTTGGCAAAGGAAGTGTACCAGAATGGCTACTGGACTGCCGTGTTGATCTCCAGATGTTCACCATCACTTTGAGCTTAGATTTTACCTAATTTGTGTGTTCCTTTTATTTAAAAAACAAACCTGTTTTTATTAAGCACTTTTTAAATTTATAGATTTAACATGCATTGTCTAATTTGAAATTTACAACAAGTCTGTGAAGAAGTATGGACAGTTATCATTCTTATTCTCAAGGAAGAAGAAGTTAAAATGCTTAAATAGTTGCCTGAGGCATATGGCTGTGTAAAGTGTCCAATGGCAGAGTTAGGGCTAGAACTCACATCTTTTAGCTCCAGGTCCTGTACCCTTTTAACACTATTCCATGTCATTTTTCTGTGTTCTGCCATTGCCACACCAGATATTCTTTGAGAAAATATAAATACAGTGTATCTCCACCCCAAAGGATTCTTATAGATATATATGTGCTTCAAGGGGAGGCAGCAGGGTGGAAGATATAGGAGGCAGTAAAGAAGTGGAATTAGTAAGGTCAGGCCCATGAAATATTTTCTTTTCCAGTTTCATTGTGTCATGTGGGAAGTAGCTTAGTATGATGGAAAGAGTCCTGGACTCAGGGATCTGAGTTCTATTGCTGGTTCTGTCACCAGTAGAGTCTGTCACTGGTAGGGTCCGTCACTGGTAGGGTTGTGACTTCGAGTTGTCCAGGTTCTTGGTGTTTTGAACAAAAAATTGGACAAAATGCCCAGCAAAGCAAAATAAGAATGAAGCAACAAAAGAACGAAAGCAGGGATTTATTAAAAATGAAAGAAAGTACACTCCACAGTGTAGGAGCAGACCTGAGCAGTGGCTCAAGGGCCTGGATACAGAATCTTCTTGGGTCCAAATAACTCCTACAAGTTTCCCATTGGCCACTTCATGCTCACCTCATGTAAATGACGTGGTAGCCTGCAGTGAGCCTCATTGGTTGCAGAAAGCAGCCAACCAGAGGCTGAAGTGAAGTTACAAAGGTCACACTCCTGTGCAAATATCTGATTGGTTGCAGAAGGCAACTAATCAGAGGCTAGGGTGAAGTTACAAAGTTATACTTCTATGCGAATGAAGACTCGGCCTCCCAATCAGTCTGATTTGTTGCAGACAGCCAATTTCCCATCTGCCATGCAGGAAAGGTCAAAAGGAGTAGCCTCTGGTCCTTTTGTTACTTAGGCGTGGAAAGTTAGGGTTTTCCTTTCAATTTAGTTCTAGGAAACCGGGGTGAAACAACCTTAGGTTCCCTGCCTCCAGACCCTATTTCCTGCCTCAGTTCTGCTACCAACTTGCTGTGTGACCTGGGGTAAGTCTTTTAACTTCTCTGGGCCTCATTTTCTTTGTCTGTAAATGGAGCATAGCACCTTCCTTGTATATATTATGAAGTTATTTTAAGACTTAATGGAGTATTCAAAATACAAGATAATGTTACTGTATTTTCACAAATGTTGATCTTTTAGGAACTTAACAACAAACTTGTGCTCATCATGAATGTTTTTTTTTTCATTTGGAGGAATATCTTTCCTTCATACCAGCTCTTCACATGGTAAACTGAAGACTACAGTTGTGTCTTGATATTGATGGCTCACTTAGGCTGTTGATACTGACAGATCTTTAGGGCATTAGAGCCGTAGAGGTTGACTCTGTGTCTAGGAGGCAGGTAGAGGAGGAGAGTGAGGACGTGGTGCACCCAGAATGTCCTCCAGAGATGGACATACGCCAACCCAGATGTCCAGGGGGATGGTCTGTAGGCTCATTAAGTAAGCTCAGATTTACTCTGATAGAAAGACTTTAAAAATATTCCATCAGAGATTTAGATCTTTGGACAGTCACTTTAGTAGTTTAAAGGGCAAATTTCAGGAAGGGAACAGTTTAATGCAGTCAAGACTTGTTTGCAAGTGACTTGTAAGTGCACACTAATCTTCCGAGAGCTTCCAGCCTTTCCTTGCTCAGTGAAAACATCTTTTCTACCTATTTCTCAGTTCAAAGTACATTTGGAATCACTGACTCAAAAACTTACCTGTTTAAATTTAGTCAGAGAGAACATAGCACTAGCTCAAATAGCACCATCAAGAGTATGTGCAGTTCATGTAGGGGCAAATAGGCTTTTTTGAGTGAGCCTGGAATATTGTCTGCCATTTAGGAAAGATCTCTATGACCTGATGCTGAATTTTTGGCTTATCATCACAACCAGCATTTTTGAGTAATTACTGTGAGCTAGTCTTTGTTCTATGTGCTTTACACAAGTTAATTAATTATAGGTAGTAACACATTACTTTTTGGTATGATAACTTGAGTGATTATTGTTGGGAGCAGTGAAGATGAAAGTGGAATTTTGAGGTAGATTGAAAAATATTCACTTTAATATTCAATCTAATATTTTTCAATCTATTCTTCTAACTGTCCTCAAACCTGAAAGAATTTTAAAGTTCACAAAATATAACTATTTATAAAATATTCTACAAAGATTGGACGGTTTTGAAATACTACCATTGCTGTGAGGCTAAATGCAGCAATGTGTATAAATGCCATGCCAAGGCTGTGGCCAAAGAAGTGGAGGCTGTGCTGCTGTTCTGCTTTTTTTTGTTGAAACACTGTTCAGAAAGAGGTGCTTTTCACTTGTCCTTTCAGAATTACCACTTTCCTATTTTTTTTTTTTTTGTCTGCTTTTGCTTGTTAAAATAGTCTGATTGAGTCAGATCACTGGTTAACTTTTGCCTTTTCTCTGTCATTGGAAGCAACATCACAAACTCATGGATGCTTCACAGAGGTTTTTCTTTAGGGATCTGGAGTCCCCAGTGAAGCAGAGGAGCCTAGCTAAGAAGTGCAGGAAGAATGATACTGGCCACTGTCCAGAAGTTTCTCTATGTTTCAGAGTTTCTGAGGGAGATGGTCTGTTCTCCTGTCAGTACCACTTCAACCACACCCATGGCTCTAGCCTCACCTGCAGTTTTCGGACTGCTAAATCTTCGTCTGTAGCCAGCCTTCCCCCCAACCACATACCTGGTTCCTACTGGACCACTCCATGTGGTATTTCCTAGGTAACTGACACTATCACCCCAATCTCAGACTCAAACTCTCTAGTTGCCCTGTAGTATATGGCAGCAACATCTGCCCAGTGATCCAAACCGCAAGTGTGGTAGTCAGTGATTTTGGAATCTTCCTTTGCCCTTGCACCCCCCTCCCCCCACCGGCCCCCCACCTGAAATAGTCTAATCAGTTATGTCATTTCCACCTTCCATAGTATTTGGTTGAACCGTTAAAAATTGATGTTTTGTAGGTCAGAAAATGGTCAAATATCTACAATTTCATAGGGTTAAATCTACTCTCCCCACTCCCCCAAGACCCACTGCCACTGCTCCAGCTCTGACTCCCTCATCCCTTGCCTGGACCATGGTAATTGACCCTAGCTGGTCTCCTTTTCTCCTCTCATCAGTCCTCCACATTGCTGCTGTTTTCATCTTTGTGACATACAAATGTGTTGCTTTCCCGTCTAAAACCCTGCTTGTCCCTCCCCATTTTGACTGCCTGCCCCCAGCACGCACACACACACACACACACCCACACACCCACACACCCTCTTCTTGTACCCTATGTCCCAGCCATATATGTATATATATATTGTTTTTCTTTCTTTCTTTTTTTTTTTTTTTGAGACACAGTCTCTCTCACCCAGGCTGGAGTGCAGAGGTGTGATCTTGGCTCACCGCAACCTCTGCCTCCCGGGTTCAAGTGAGTCTCCTTCCCCAGCTTCCCAAGTAGCTGGGATTACAGGCATGTGCCACCACACTCAGCTGATTTTTGTATTTTTAGTAGAGGTGAGGTTTCACTATGTCGGCCAGACTGGTCTCGAGCTCCTGACCTCTAAGTGATCTGCCTACCTTGGCCTCCCAAAGTGCTGGGATTACAGGCATGAGCTACCATGCTGAGCCCCGGTTATACTTATTTCTGGCAATTCCTCAGATGCACCATGTTATTCCACATCTATATTCATTTGCATATGGGGTTCTGTCTGGAACGTTCTTCTCTTTTTTGTCTTTCTTTCAAACTTCCACCTGGTATCACCACTTTGGTGAAACTCCTTTGAATCCCCTCAGATAAAGTTACTAATTCCCCAGTGTATCATGTATATTTTCTATTGCAGCACTTACAACTCTATATTGCAGTTACTTGTGTATGCCTGTTTCCTTTACTAAACCCATACCTGGAGATCAGGAAATGCTGTCTTAGTTTTATACTAATATCTAGCAAGTGCTTGCATTACAGAGTCTCAGTACATGTTAAATGACTACAAGTCTGTTATAGTAAGGACTCGTGGTTTATTTTTTAAACAGTTTTAAGAAATACCTTTCCTTAGGGGAAAGAGGGAAAGCAAGTGGCTTTTATTTGTTTTTCATAATAAGGTGGCATAGTAGGATTTAGTTATAAGATAAGATGGAGGTTTTATCTTGGCTTTTTTCACCATCAGGATTTTGAGTAAGCCATAGGAATTTGCTGTGTCCCAGATCTCTGCACAATAGCTAGGAACCTGCTTAATAGGTAACCTGTTCATTGACACAGGGCCATGTCAAGCACCAAATGCTTTTGGAAGGGTCTTCAAAACAGCAAAGTGTTGGATAAGTTTAAAAGATTACTATGATAACAGTAAAACATTATTTGTGGCCCTGAAATAGCCTGTCAAGTTAGATTTGGATTTGTTTTGATCTCAAGCAGTTCACACATCACTGAGTAAATCTTGGCAAAGCAGAAGATCCTTAAACGGTTTTTTAAATCGAGCTCTGTCCACTTGGTAGCTGCCCTTCATTGGGTTTGATGGACACCAGGAGCAAGAATTAAGGGTAATCATTTTGAGAAGATACAGTTTAACAGGAGGTTCTAAATCCAGAGTACTTGAGTTTTCTCTGCATGTCAGCGATTACAGTGATCAGTACTCCTGGAGGTGTCTGCTGGTCATACACTAGGGAGGTGCCCCTGCTGGCTGGCTGACGAGGAGTAGGGTAGATTCAGTACTTAAAGCCATTCTGTGATTAACACTGTAATTGCCTCCTGAATTTACTTGGCTAAACAGGTGGTTCTTAGGCTTCAGGAAAAACTACACTTGCTTTAAACATTTTTTTAATATAGTATCTTTAAATTCCCCAGCATTCCTCCATTTTGTAAAATTTCCTTTTTCTGATTTCAGAAGTACCACATTGTAAAACTGAACATTAAAAAACAAAGAAAACAACCAACAAAAGGGCACAAGGACCCTTTTGGTAGTGAGGGGTATGTTTATTGTCTAGATTGTGGTGATGGTTTCATGGGTATATGCGTATGTCCACACTTCAGATTATAGACATTAAATGCGTACAGTTTTCTGTATAACGATTATATCTCAGTAAAGCTGTTTAAAAAACACTAAACATTAGAAGAACTCCAGTATGTGAAAGACAGAAAGGAGAAGAGATTCCCCTCAGTAACATTCCCCTGCCCCAAGGTTATCGCTGTGGAACAGCTGCCTGTGCAGCCTTGTGGACCTCACATAAGGACTTCTATACAGGAGGCACTATAGGTAAATTCTGAAAGCCAAATTTGGACCATACTATCACAAGCGATACCATTCACCTTTCAAACAGTGGACTTTCACCCAAGGTATTACAGATTTAAATGACCATTAAAATTACCTGGCAGTTGTGTCTGGAAAGGTCTTTCTAGTGATGTCCATGGAGCTGTGACTGAATGGAAGTTCTGACCTCACTGGGACCTTCTAAAGCCTAAAATGGAGCCATGAGATGCATACAGGCACTTTTATTCAGAGATTATTTAGACAGTTGTGTTCATCAGGGTTTTTTTTTTTTTTTTTTTTTTTTTTTTTGACAGGGACTCACTCTGTCACCCAGGCTGGAGTGCAGTGGTGCAATCTCAGCTCACTGTAGCCTCAACCTCCCCAGCTCCAGTGATCCTCCCACCTCAGCCTCCCGAGTAGCTAGGACTACAGGCATGCACCATCACGCCTGGCTAGTTTTTGTATTTTTTGTACAGACACAGTCTTGCCATGTTGCCCAGGCTGGTCTCAAAGTCCTGAACTCAAGCAATCACCCACCTCAGCCTGCCAAAGTGTTGGGATTACAGACATAAGCCACTGCACCCAGCCTGTCAGTTTTTGATTGAGAGATGTCATGGGAGCAAAGGAAAGATCCAAGGTTTAAGGTACTGGCAATGCAGAGAGGCTAGGCTGGGCATCAGTGGGGCTGAGTTGGCCTGGAGAAAGGAAGAAAGAATTAGGCTTCCAGAAAAGAAGAGTGTGCTTATCAAGGAGACACTGGAAACAAAGCAGCTTGGCGCTGATGTTGATTGAAAAGTGTGGTTCTTAGCGTTTGGATGCTTTACTGGAGTTAATGTCTAATTTTGTTGGTTAGTAAGAAATAAATGTAGAGTGTTAAGGTATCATAAGCAAAATAAATCATAAACATTCAGTATCTTCGGTGTTTGAGGCAATCCAGATTGAAAAGCATTGAGGTGATTTGGGAAGGGCTATTATACCCTACTTTTCTCTTCCACCTGTTTCTGAATTTTGCCCTTAATATGAAAGACAGCAATACGTATAAATCTTTAAATGGACTTTTTTTTTTTCCATAGTGTTCTTTCAGAGGACCAAGACAGTTACCTGTGTAATGTCACCTTGTTTAGGAAGGCAGTTGATGACTTCAGACACAAAGCCAGAGAAAACAAGTAAGATTATTGTTTTTTTGTTTATTTACTTTGTTAGATCAGCTGTATACAATGTGAACAATTTTGTTTTTTTTCCCCCAAATTTAGATTCATTGTTCGTGACTTCCAGTATAATGAAGAGGAGATGAAAGCAGATAAAGAAGAAATGAACAGGCTTTCTACTGATAAGAAAAAACAATTTGTATGTGTTTTTAATATTTAGTATTATCAGTACTAAGCAGAAGAAAAAGTGGTATTGCTTTCCTTTGATTTAAAAGAAAGTAAAAATCTGCTTTGGTTTTAAGACATTTGATTTTAGTTTTTTTTTTTAATTGAATAATCAGAATGAATTTCCTCTAAAGCTTAACTGTTCTAGAGATAACTATTCTATTTCTAAGAAAGCTTTCTTCTAAAGCTTATGTCTATCTGAGATAGAATAGAGTAGATAGAATAGTTATCCTAAAATACATACTTAAAAAGAAATTACTCCACCTAAATCCATATCAGACATTAATTTTAAATGCAGTATTCTGGTTAACATCCTTGTAGGTGAAGGGTGATTTTAGTTAAGTAACGAAGTTCTTTTCAGTAAGACTTTTCACTTTCTTGAGGCAGATTTTTTCAATGCCTCAATCTTTTATTGAAGCAATTTGTATTTAAGCTATTGGAGAATTGGTGTGTTCTAGGTGTAATGGGAAACGAGTGGAATTGTGAAAATCAAAGATGGTGTTAACTTTCTTGCCATCTTCAAGTGTGGGATTACTGTGAAGACTAAAAGCTTGTTTGGAAAGGGAAACATAATGAGTGAAAATGTGTTTCTCTTAATAATGTAAGAGGAAATTAAGGGAAATATTGAAAATTATTTCCAAGTACTTTATAAGCCATATCATCTCAACTAGGAGGAAACTCATTCTAACCAAGTAATGTCAAAATAACCAGCTTTTTAGGGCAAACCCAAAATCCTTTTAAAAAATAGATATTTTGACAAGATTTTCACTTGTTTTGCTATCCTTTTGCTTAAATTAATTGTTTGGTACATCCAAATGAGCCTAATAATGTTATCCAAGGAAGTGTTAGCTGAATCTTTTAAGTATGGAGAGAGGAGGTATTTGAAATCCGCTTAATCCTACTAAATATTTGAAGTTTAAAAAGAACTTAACGCTATACAATTTAGAATGTAAAGAGGTTTTAGATGTCTAGACCAACTCCCTTTTTTACAGATGGGAAAACTAAGAGCTAGTGCTGTTAAATGACTTGCCTACATAACTGTTTATCTTTGTTACTAAGAAGTTGTTTGTAAGTTGAATTTCATTTTACATGTATTAAATGTTTTAGAGTGTTGTGTAGTAAATTCAGATCTTTATATTTTGATTTTCCAACCTAAGGCATTTCTATATTTTGTACCATTTTAACTACTTTTATTAAAATATATACCTTTTTCTGTGTTAGTGAATTGGTTCAATGCATTTTAGTGTCTGTTGAGATCTCTCTGTAGTGGCGAACCTTTTAATCTAATTTAAGATAAGGTATCTGAGATAATGAGAATAATAGTGAAACATGTAGAAAGTGAATTATGCGACTTAATTCTTCTATAGATTCCTAATAGGTAGTCACTTAAAAAAATATTTGGTCTATCTAATTGCTATTTCTAAGACCAAATTTGTGGTAATTTTTTTTCTTTTTATAGGGACCACTTGTACGGTGGCTGAAAGTGAATTTTAGTGAAGCATTTATTGCATGGATTCACGTGAAAGCATTACGGGTTTTCGTTGAGTCTGTTTTAAGGTAAAGCAAGTTAATTGCCAAACTTGGAACTGAAGAGTTCATAGATTCCTTACATTGGACCTCTTTATTATAACACAGTCCAGCAATAGGAAATTGATTTGGAGAAATCAAAGGGCCAATCATGAGACAGAGATTATCAGTATCATCATACAGCTTATAAAATGCATATTAGTCTTGTTCTTTAGCACCAGGTTTAGAAAAAGAGATTTATGCTGCCATACCCTCAGGTTCTTTTTCTTGTGTAGGTACTTAAAAGTAGATTAAATATTAACCAATATTTGTTTAAAAGGAAGATCCTTCAGGTGTTTTATATGTCATTGGATACATAGTATGCTAATGACTTATTGAAATCATTTCATATTAACCTAAAGTATTTTAATATTTTGAGATATTTAAAAAATCATATTCTGGTCCAATGTATGGGTTGCTCATATTAGAAATAGTTTTAAAAAACCCAAAACTTGGCCGGGTGCAGTGGCTCACGCCTGTAATCCCAGCACTTTGGGAGGCTGAGGCAGGCAGATCACGAGGTCCGATTGAGACCATCCTGGCTAACAGGGTGAAATCCTGTCTCTACTAAAAATATAAAAAAATTAGCCAAGTGTGGTGGCACGCGCCTGTAGTGCTGGCTACTTGGGAGACTGAGGCAGAGAATCACTTGAACCCAGGAGGTGGAGGTTGCAGTGAGCCGAGATTGTGCCACTGCACTATTGCACCACTGCACTCCAGCCTGGGCAACAGAGCGAGACTCCGCCTGAAAAAACAAAACACAAAACAAACAAAAAAACACCCCAAAACTTACATGTAACCATGCTCACTATTTTTAAATTTTTTCAAATTTTCAAACTATATGTGGGTAACCTCATGCTATTACCATAAAAGTATCTGCTGACCTTACTTCTTCTTATTTCCTGAGGATATTCATATATTACCTTAAAAATTGAATGGTAAGCCAGGCGTGGTGGCTCATGCCTGTAGTCCCAGCACTTTGGGAGGCCAAGGCGGGCAGATCATGAGGTCAAGAGATTGAGACCATGCTGGCCAACATGGTGAAACCCCGTCTCTACTAAAAATAGAAAAATCAGCTGGGCATGGTGGTATGTGCCTGTAATCCCAGCTACTCAGGAGGCTGAGGCAGGAGAATGGCTTGAACCCAGGAGGCGGAGATTGCAGTGAGCCAGGATTGCACCACTGCACTCCAGCCTGGCAACAGTAAGAATCCGTCTCAAAAGAAAAAAAAAATGAATGGTAATTGAAGTAATTCCTAGTAATTGGCGTAGAGATTTCTAGTGGACAGTGGGGACCAAAGGTTTGCGTTTCTGTTTATATTGAAGTTTTTTGTGTATATTAGTTTCAGTTTCTATATATATTAGTTGAACTTGTAAAGGTAAAGGGAGATATTCTCTCCCCGTTAACCATGATTAAAGAGTATGAGAATATTTGCTTTGAAAAGAAAATCTCTTTACATGTTTGCTTGTATTGCGTACTGTATTTCTGCTTTTTTGTAAGGTATGGCTTGCCAGTGAACTTCCAAGCAATGCTACTTCAGCCCAATAAGAAAACTTTGAAGAAACTGAGAGAAGTATTACATGAATTGTATAAACATCTAGACAGCAGTGCAGCAGCTATTATTGATGTAAGTACTTATTAGCCCAGTAGAGTAAGAATTGAAGTGAATTTCAGAAAAAAAATGATTGAAAGAAGATAGACAGAAAAGGGAGGGTAAGTATGAAACTTAATCATTTTTTATTACTTTGAGGTTCTCAATTTGTTATGTAAACATAGTAATTTACATTGTTTACCCTGTTTTATACTAATTATATCTGTGTTTTGCTTCTTGGCATTTCTACAAGCTAGTAATTATCTTGCTGTGTATCAGATGTTTATAGCTGCAGAAATACAGAAACCAGTGATACTAGTTATTTACAAAAACTATAAATTGCAGAGAGGAAGAAAATAAGCAGTTATTTTAATTTTATTTGGTAGAAGCGATAGAGTCAATAGATGAGTATTTTCAAGGTAGGTTCATTTTTCTAAAATGGCGTAGCTGGGCGTGGTGGGACATGTTGGTAGTCCCAGCAACTGAGGAGGCTGAGGCGGGAGGATCACTTGAGCCCAGGCCTTCGAGACCAACCTGGGTAACATAGTAAGATCCCATCTGAAAAAAGAAAAAAAAAAACAGACCAAAAAATGTATTATGTGTTTATATCTTCTTTTAAACAAAACTGTTATTTTTTAAACAAAAGAAGATATAAACAGAGTTACTTGTGTTTTTTTGTTGTTGCTGTTTAAAATTGTAGTGGGCCGCTGGGCGTGGTGGCTCACGCCTGTAATCCCAGCACTTTGGGAGGCCGAGGCGGGGGGATCACCTTAAGTCAGGAGTTTGAGACCGGCCTGGCCAACATGGTGAAACCCCGTCTCTACTAGAAATACAATAATTAGCTGGGCGTGGCAGCGGTCACCTATAATCCCAGCTACTCGGGAGCCTGAGGCAGGAGAATCGCTTGAACCTCGGGGGGTGGTTGCAGTGAGCCAAGATTGCGCCACTGCACTCCAGCCTGGGTGACAGAGGGAGACTCCGTCCCAAAAAAAAAAAAAAAAAAAATTGTAGTGGGCTTTTACTTTATATTTCTGGTTTTAAATATCTTGCTGATTTTTTTTTTTCTCTTTAAAAGTTTAGGGTAGATGGTAGCATCTCACATAGGCATTAATTAGAACTATGAAAAATCAGTTTTTCTTGATAGAAGGAAATGCGGGAAATGACTTGCTACACTTTTTTTCTTTTTCTTTTTTTTTTTTTTTTTTTCGAGATGGAGTTTCGCTCTTTTGCCCAGGCTGGAGTGAAGTGGCGTGATCTTGGCTCACTGCAGTCTCTGCCTCCTGGGTTCAGGCAGTTCTCCTGCCTCAGCCTCCTGAGTAGCTGGGATTATGCCTGGCTAATTTTTGTATTTTTAGTAGAGCTGCGGTTTCACCATGTTGGCCAGGCTGGTCTTGAACTCCTGACCTCAGGTGATCCGCCCACCTCGGCCTCCCAAAGTGCTAAGATTACAGGCGTGAGCCACCTTGCCCCCGGCCAACTTGCTCCACTTTCATGCAATTGTGGATAAAATGAGAGGTATAATTATTTGATACATAAATGTTCTAGCAGTAAATTCTTATAACATGCATTTATAATAAGTGTTATCCTTGCTTGTTTTTTGGCTCTGTTGCTCAGGCTAGAATGCAGTGGCATGGTTTTGGCTCACTGCAGCCTCAACCTCTATGCTCAAGTGATCCTCCCACCTCAGCCTTCCAAGTAGTTGGGACTATAGGCACGCAGTACCACTGCTGGTTAATGTTTTTATTTTTATTTTTTGTAGCGATAGAGTCTCACTATGTTGCCCAGACTGGTCTTGAACTCCTGGGCTCAAGGCCTTGGCCTCTCAAAGTGCTGATATTACAGAATAAGTATTACTTATAAATCATACTTGCTTTATTTTTACTCCATATTTTGTAAGTCTTGTATCCCATCAACTCAGTATTCTAAGTCCAAGATTTAAAAAGTTAATTTTTACAGTATACATAAAAAAGGTTGGTGGGATCATGCTAAATACATATGCAGTCAGAATGCTTGAACCTGGCTTTACCACTCACTGTCTGTGTTTCCTAGGAGAAGTCAGTCTTTCAGAGATTGTTTTCTCATTTGCAAAATGGGAATAATGTCTAACTCAGATAAATTAGCCTTAAGTGCATACATTTAGCCCAGAGTAGATGTTCAATAAAAAGGTAAATGTTAATACTTGCTTTCTTTTTTTGAGTTCTGTAAATACAAAATTGAATAATTGTCTGTTTTTTCCATAGGCTCCTATGGATATTCCAGGTTTAAACCTGAGTCAACAAGAATACTACCCCTATGTGTACTACAAGATTGATTGCAACTTGCTGGAATTCAAGTGAAAATGGGCTCCTCCCCCGACAATCCTGTCCTTGTGTTTGTGTGTGCTAACAGAAATAAGTTGCAGTATGGTCGTACTTTTAACTCTAGTATCCTTTGCTTGCTTCTTACGCCCTTTCCTAGGTGAATTCTCCCACAGTGGTCTGTATCTCAACATTTTCTTTTTAAAGGAAAAAATATATATATATAGTTTCTTTTTATTGATCAGGTCTGTAAATGTGTACTAAAAAAATCAGAGTTTATTTATAAACAAAATAGTTTATTTAAAGAGAAGGTCTCTTCCTTATTGATATCATGGTATGCATTAATTCCATTTGTTACTATTGTGCACAAAAGCCCTGTTCACAGGGGAATGGTGTAAACATTTATACTGTTTTGTTCACTGTATTTAGTAGACATAACTGTTGAATAGTTACTGAATCATGATGTAAAGAATATGTGACCATCTTCAGGTATGGGATTTCTGAACGTTTCAAATTTCAATCAATGAGCACTGTCAACACCCACAGGAGAGAATAAAATTACCTGTGCAAAGGTGTATTGTGGTGTGTGTAACTTAAGATTACAGTTCTGTTTGAGAGTTAAATGATGTCATAGCTCACTTGCTATGCTGCTTCCAGGATTTTGTTATATGCTGAGGTGTAACCATTTGTGTTGTCTGACTTTCGTATGATTTAATTGAGCCAAATTTGGGTCAGAACACAAATTTGAAGATGACTTTTCAGTATATGATGGGTATTTACATTTGAACACTAGAATTTTAGGTCTCTCAAATAATTAAGAATAGAGCCAGTTTTGAATAAAGTCTAGCAGAACTATGCAGCTTTAGTCATTTGTTTTGTCTAAGTCTGTATTTTATGTGTTGTCTTCTTAAGATCTATAATTTTGGCATTTATGTCATTTGTGACATAGTCTGAAAATAGAGACATTGTTGGCCTTTAAAATCTCAGAAATGAATGACTTAATTTAGTGTCCTGAAAGAGCTTTTAAAAGAGGATTTTGTGGCAATGTTTCTCTTACTACGTACTCACAGGTTTGCAAATGGGAAAAAAGTTTACATTTCAGTTTAGGGGCATATCTAAGCTATGCTATTCCCTTTAGAAAATTAGCCTCCAAAATCTTTTGTTTCAAAATATTATATTATTTCATAAATAATTTCAAGCAAATACAGACATCCACAATGTAGAACATGAGAGACCCCCTCCCTCAATTTCCACCTCCCAAGGGAAGTTTATGTATTTTTCTAGGCCCTTTTCTATGTCTTTACATCTCTGTCTCACACACACACACGTATACACACACACAGTTTATTTTTAATAAAATAGGATTATACCACACACATCCTGTCACTTGCTTTTTTGCTTAAGAGTATATCTAAGAGAATCCTTTGTGTCAGTGAAGCTGGAGCTACCTCATTCTTTTAACTGGCTGCGTGGCGTTCCATTGAGTGTCTGTCATCATGTGTTTAGCCGAGTGGATGGATAGTCTGCTTGTTTTTAGTTTTTGCTCTTAACAAACACTGCTGCAGTCAGCATCCTTGCACAGATTTCTTTGTATACTTGTATTAGTATTTCTGTAAGATCTGAGAAGTGGAATTTGTAGGGTCATAGGTTATGTACACTTAAGTTTTTGACACTCACTGCCAAGTCATCTGTCAGAATTCTAAACTAAAGACATGTTTGGAGTGTGGATTTATCTTCAGTTTTTCTTTGGACAAGAGGAAGCTGTGAAAGATTTTGCTATCAGAAAATTTTGGTTCTTTGTCTTTTGCACATGTTCTTTGAGTCTTAGTATCTGTAACGTGGCGCTACTCTCTCTATCATGGGGGGGCATGTTTTGACATTAAATTGACTTTTAAGAAAAACATGTCACTAACCTGAAGCTCAGCCACACAGTGACTTTTAAGGTTTTATTTAGACTTTACTGTTGTTCTCATGAGAGTAGGTACAGACTGCATAAGGTTTAGAATCCCAGCATATGTCTGAAACGACGGGACTTTCACTGTGATTTCCACCAGAGAAATTATAGCAGAGTGGCTGAGCATGTGCTCTGAGGCCAGGCCCCAGCTCTGCTGCTGACGAGCTGTGTGGTCCTGGGCAGAGTGGTCTCCGAGTTCCAGTCCCTCCTCTGTAAAATGGGCATGATTAGAGTGCCCACCGCATTAGGGATGTTGGGGTGAGTCAGTGTGACCCCACGTGCACAGAAAGTGCTGCGAGTGGTGCATGGTGAGAGGTTGATGCAGGTACTTAGCCCTTGGGGAACACAGGTAGTTCCTTTTCACTGTGTTTAATTTGGGAAAATCCAGATCCACATCATTGTAGAGTCTGAGGGTTAGAAGGAAGTCATTGTGTCTAACATAACAACAGAGCAGTTTGTGTCACTGAGCTCCAGTCTGTGCTGGATTATTGATATTGTTGGTGGCGGTCACCATTCCTGGAAAGGGACTGTCCCAAGCCACTTACCTTCCCGAGGAGTCTGCTGGTTCTCCTTGAGGATAGTGCTTAGATAACAGACTCATTAAACATTTACTGAGTGTCTGTCAGGGATCATTCACATCCACATCATCCTCCCGGCCCCTCCCCGTGTTGTTCATGGAGGGAGTACTGGCGGTCCCCATTTTCATGTATGGAGACTTCAGGTGAAAGAAGTTAAGTGAATTCTTTGTTGAGTCACAAATCTTGAGCCAGTCAGAATTTGAACCTAAGATTTTTGACTGCTGGTTGTCACACTTCCCGCCCCACACTCAACTGTTGTGTGAATGAGCCAGACACATTGCTTAACCTGAGTCCGAGATGGACAATGGTATAGGAAAGATATTCGGTATGGAGAATCAGATGTTAACTTGTGTTGCTATTTTTGTTTTGTTTTGTTTTGTTTTGTTTTTGAGACAAGGTCTTGCTCTGTCACCCAGGCTAGAGTGCAGTGGCATGATCAGGGCTTACTGCAGCCTCACCCTCGATTTCCTGGGCTCAAGCAATCCTCCCACCTCAGCCCCCAAGTAGCTGGGCCTACAGGTGCGTGCTACCACGCCTGGCCAATTTTTTAAATTTTAGCACAGATGAGGTCTCACTATGTTGCCCGGGCTGGTCTCGAACTCCTGAGCTCAAGGGATCCTCCCGCCTCAGCCTCCCAAAGTGCTGGTGTTACAGGCATAAGCCACCACGCCTGGCCTGTGTTGCTATTATATTTGGCAGGAACCCAGAGTCCAGAACATTTCATCTATGATGGGTTAGATAATGTGTCTAGTTGTTTGCATGCCAATTTCAGTAGCCTCAGTTATTCAACCTAGGAGATTTTTCTACCTCTTTACTACCCTGCTGAAGTTGCTCTTCAGCAGAAAATCTTTGTGGAACACATTCCACACTTTGAAATCTTCGTGGAACAAAAGATATTTGTGGAACCAATCTTTGTGGAACATATTCCAGCTTTTTGAATGAGTGCATATCCAGTAGTACCTTTAAAGTAACACTTTGTACATAACAAATACTCAGCAAATGTGAAACTTTATTTGCTCTTACTTCAAAATTAGTCCAAAATGTTGGAAATAAAATATAAGACATTGATCTAGATATGAGGTTTTTCTCCTTCATTCTCAGCTGTCGAAGAAATCAAAGTAGCATATGCACAAGGTTAAAAACCACATATACAAATACTATAGAACAGCTTATAATGAAAACCTTGCCTGCCTTTATAAAAAATGTGATTATCTTCTTCTGTTAATGTCAATAAAAGATGGTTTGTCCTAGAAGGTCTATAAATGGTATTATGTTCTGGAGGAAACCTAGCAAAAACTTTGCTAGTTTAGTACTTGTCTCTAAATTGATGTTCACCCATTTCAATATTGCACTTATTAATGGTCTTTATTTTTCTAGCATAGATAACAATTGATTCTTTAGATTCATATATGGAGGTAATTCTTGCTTTCTAAAGAAAGGAATATGGCACATTGGAACCATTTTATTCACCAGTGGATTTACCCTTAGAGTATTTTTAGATCTGAGCTGATGACTTGTGAGAGAAAAAGGGAACAGAGTAAAGCCATGGAAGCCATGAACAGTAAGAGACTGCCGCCTGGCATGGTTTCTTCTTCTGCAGAAGATGAAACTGAGGAGAAACAAGACAACATCCTTCATACCAGGAATGGTCAAGATAATGCAAGAAGAAAAAAGCTTTCAAACAAATCAGAAGGCAGTCAACAAACAGAAAGGGGGACATTCCTTCCCTGGCAGTTACTCAAAACTGAAATTGCTTATTGTGTACACCGGGGCTTGTACTTGGGGAATTTAATAAAAATGCTCATTACCAAGCTCCAGAGAGATGTGGTTTAAAGTCTTAAGTAGATCCAAGGAATAACCTACATTTTAAACAAATACCCAGGAGAATCAGAGGCTAGGGGTTAGTTGTAATCGGATACTACCTTTTAATGATTCTTCCTCTGAACCCTCAGATTGGGGTGTTGATTTAGAATTTGTAAGCATCTTGAGGTCTCATTCAAATAGTGATTCTTCTCTATTGACAGAGACCACACTTAATAGAATCATCATGGGTAAATCAGCTTTTTCTACTGTCACTTGAAGAAATATTCCACGTCGTTAAATCAGTAGAACTGGAGAGTTCTGTCTCAGCAGAAATTGATCAATAAAGATGTCTTTTGCCCTTGGAAGGCCATAGAATATCAAGTTGAAATTTGCAAAAACTCTAAAATGATCAAGGTCACATTTTCATCTTTTAATTGAGAACTCATTGTGGACATAATTTGTCACTGCTTGTAAAGTGTAAAAAGAAACAACCAAAACAGACTTTGAAAGAATGGTTTATATGAGGAAGCCCTCCTCCCCCCCAGAAAAGGGCTATTAAGATGAAAGTGAAAGAAGGAGTTGGAGGCAGCAAAGGTTATTGTTGATGTTGGACAAAGGAAGGAATAAACTGTATGACACCACCTTGAACTTGAAAGTCATTTGTTTTTTAACCAGAAGATGAACAGGAACTATTTAGAATATCAAATCCCAAGAGCAGCTTTCATGTATTTTGCTGTTTCCTAGGTATGTGGGTGGCCTCACCGCATAGTCCTGTGACAAATCTTAATTATTTTTTTCACCAACACAACTTGCCATATTTTATATAAACTACTTAGATACATATTTAGACTGTTTCTCAAGAGTGCTTTATAGTTGAGTACAGGTTTTATGCATTGTTAGAAGCATAAAGACGCTTGTTTTTTAAATAGAAATTGTGATTATGCAGATACCATGTTTTACCACAAGAGGGCACTCTGGTGCCATTGAAAAGCAAACAGGTAGTTTCTCCTCCCTGCATTTTTGGTTCTGACTTGTACAGTCAGTTTAGAGAAACCTACACTCTGCATTCTGGTTTGGTATATTTTGTTACAAGCGTTTATTAATATAAAGTTCTCAAAAAATGTTAGATGACTTATTTTGTGACACTCTAGCCTCTGTGTGTGTGTGTGCATAAAACCCACACATCTTTGAGCAGACCAGTGCCAGCCAGTGACAGTTTTCACTGAAGATCAAATTAAAAAGGTAAGGATATATGTATGTGTGTGCATGTGCGTGTGCATATATAATCACTGACTCAGTTGCTGAGCATGCGCTATGAACCAGGCGTGTTAGGCGCTGGGGATTTAATGCAAGCAGTCAGATGGGCACAGTGCCTACCTACCTTGATGGGGCGTGCAGCCTGGTGATCTGGTGGCAATCTTACTGGACAAAACACAAACCCGGCAGCCCTAAGTTAGGAAAAGGATTTTACTGATCTGTGAAACCCACAGTCTGAAAACAAACTGATTTAAGGGTATCTGTCCAGAAAAGTCAACCTATGTTATCAGTCAGTGGGTAAAGAATAGACACATCATTTTATCACGTTTGACCACCTAGTCGGCCTGGCTTAGCAGTGTCCAAAAGAATTTCTTATGATGATGGACATTCTATACCTGTGCTACCCAATGTGGTGCCCCTAGTCACATGTGACTGAAGATCACTTGAAATGTGGCTAGTGTGACTGAGGAACTGAATTTTTTTATCTAATTTTTTTTTGAGACAAGGTCTGGCATTGTCGCCCAGGCTGCCTTCTGGGCTCAAGCCATCCTCCCTTCTCAGCCTCCCAAGTAACTGGGACCACAGGCACATGCCACCACATCCGGCTATTTTTTTTTCCCGGTAGAGACTGCTCACCATGTTGTTTAGGCTGATCTCAAGTTCCTGAGCTCAAGCAATTGGCCTGACTTGGCCTCCCAAAGTGCTGGGATTACAGGTGAAAGCCACTGCACCTGACCAATCTTATTTAACTAATTAAATAGCTACATGTGGCTGGTGGCTACTGCGCTGGACATAGAGGTCTAGTTGGTCACACCTGGCTAATGAGCCTTTTTGACCTTGAGTTTCCAATATATCCCATATCCTTTGGCTTTTTTTGTTTGTTTTTTTATGACTGGAAGAGCCAGCCTTGCTTCTGTTTACTTTGATTGCTAGATTTAACATCCCCACAAGCCTGAGAAAAAGAGAGGAAAGGATTGCTCTTGGAATCATTGTTGGTGTGCCTCAGATTGCTACGCAGGACAGCATTCTCTTTGATCACAAAAGACAACTACATATACTTTGTGCATTGATGTGCACGAGAGTAAACTGGTTGTCATACTGAAAGACCAGAAGCTGTTTCTGATGGGAAATATTGAATCAGCAGAATTGAAAACACAGCTGTGTGGTTCTAATGGGAATATAATTTCTTCTGTCAATCAGTGCTCACTTAGTATCCATTGTGTGCAGAGCATTCACTATTCCAGCCTCTGCAGGGAGACATCAGGGAGATGCTCACCACGTGCTTTTGAATGATATTATTTGTCTTTATTGACTCTAAGAAATGTAAGAGGTTCATAAAACATTGAAGCCATTAAGGCCTTATTTGAGAAGTCTAGCAACTCACAGTTGCCCTTGGAAAGAGGCAAATAGGAAGGGGAGAGCCCTCTGTCAGACTTGTTTTCCATCGGTGACATGTGGCATGGATTTTACCTCCTACCGTTAGCTGGCCACCCTCTGCATTCAGGCTTGTGAAGCATTCTGGAGGCCCCCCCGCCCCATCCTCCACTCCCGGCTCTTCCTTTGGCATCCCCACTGGCCATATTTCTTTCCTAGTCTGTTCTGACAGCCTCCTAACTGGCCACTTGTCCCCAGTCTCTGGTCACCTTCAGCTCACCCCAGTTCTGGGACCAGAGGACTGGCAAGTCACTTCTCACAAATTCCGAATTGCTGCTCACTTGCCCTCGGGATAGAGGCTCTATTCAAACTGGACTTTCTTCCCTTTTAGAATTGGCTTCTCTATGTGTTCTCTGAAAGAAGAATATCGTTTACTGTTGTTGATTTGATGGGGGCCGCTTTGGAGGAGGAATTTAGACCATAGATGGTTCCTAGGGATGCTCCAGCAGTCTCCTCTCCTTTCCTACCTCCTCCAAGCAGGCCACATGAGCCAACTTCACATCTGTGCTCTCTCAGGATGTAAAATCGTGGGCAGACTAGCATCCCAGGGTCTGAATCATTCCTTCCTCTGTAGAAGAAGGATAATGAGGATAACACTACAGGACTATTGTGAGAATGAGGATTAAACCGCAGGTCCAAATTTTCTAGCATGGTACATGGTGCAGAGGAGGGGCTCAACATATTAACTGCTGTTGTTATTGTGTACTACCCTTTTCCATGCTGCATGATTTGTGTTTCTTTTTTGCCTACTGCCTCATATCTTATGTGAGATGAAATTAGTTCCTCTTTAACTGCATCTGTTTAGAAGGCAGATTTCCCATTAAAAACCTGCTGGCATCACATGACCAGCAAGTTCACACCAACGTGTAAACCCAAGAAAACTGAAACCATATATTCACACAAAAACCTGTACATGAAAGTTGATAACTGCATTATTCATAATAGCTAAAATTGGAAACAACCCAAGTGTGCATCAACTGATGAATGAATGGATGAACAAAATCCGGTTTATCCACACAGTGGAATATTAGCCATAAAAAGAAATGGAAGTACTGACCCACGCCACAACATGGATGAACCTAGAAGACATCGTGCCAAGTGCAAGAAGCCAGACACAAAAGGTCACAGATGACTTCATTTATGGGAAATGTCATGCATAGTCAAATAAATCGGTATAGAAAGAAGATTCGTGGTTGCCAGGAACCAGGATGGGAAGGGATTTAGTAGTGGCTGCTAATGGGTACAGGGTTTCTTTAGGGGCAATCACGTTCTGGAGTTAAGATAGTGCTGATGATCACGCAACTTTATGAATATATTAAAAATCACCGAATTGTATACTTTAGAAGGTGAATTTTGTGGTATATGAATTGTTTCTCAATTTAAAAAACCTACCGGGAATTAGCTCAGATTTTCTACAAATTCTCTTAATTCTTTGCTTATCTGTTTATATCGATAGAATTTTTAAAAATTAATTTGAATTTCCTTTTACGAATGGTAAGGAGATTTGCCCTTTGGGGTTTCACTCCGTCCAGTGCTCTTGCTGTCGATTCTGTCTGTTTGCCTTTTTTGTTGTTTTCGTTTGTCCACTCAGCATCTCAGTTGGCCTTAGCTGCAGCCGTCTGCAGCCGCCTCCTCCACTTGGGGGTTAGGTTGCACATCTGTCCCAGAGTAGCTCATCTCACTGGTTATCACATTAGCAGTCACTCATGTCAGCAGTCCCCGAAGAAAAGATAGCTGGTTGGCTGGGGATAAAGCATCTGAAACTTTGCTGGTCTGATGATATCTTTCTGTTGTTTCAGTACATGTGTCACTGACAACTTGCTTAGGTAAAAGTGCCCATAGTTCCTTCATTTGTTCAACAACCATTTACTGAGGGCAGAATCCTCATTCACTTAGTGAATACTTAGTAATTGTTGAATACCTGGGTACTAGGGCAGGAGCAGCCAAATGAGAAAAAGGACTCTGTCCACATGGAGCCTACCTGCTGGTGGACGATACACAATAAACATAGCGAACAAGGTAAGACTTTTCGCCCTCTGCACCTGTAAGGCCATTGAGGACTAACCTGGCTGGGAATGGGTAGGAAGAGCTGCTTCAGAGGGGTGTCTAGATATACCCCAGAGGATGCCAGCCATGTGAAGACCTAGGGGAAGGAAGTGTCTCATAGAGGTTGGGTAATAGAGGATCAGCGTGGCAATAGCTGAGTGAGTGAGTGAAGGGTGTGGTATGTGCAGCAGATGCACCTAGGTGGGGTCTTCAGAACATGGTGAAGAACTCAGACTTTTTTCTTCTAGCAAAGGGAACCCATTTTAGGGACTCATGTGCATGTTTCAAGGATCACTGCAGCAGTGGTCATACTTGTGTGTTTGTAGCCCCTATTTCTTACGTCGTGCTTGGCGCATTCATAGCAGGCACTGGGTTCTGGTTCAGAACTGAAGTGGATGAATGCATGGAGAATGTACTAAACCCGGAAGTGTGCCAGACTCTGCACCCGAAAGTTCTCTGCAGCTTCTCCAACTTTAAGAGTGTTCTGCAAACACACTGAATGCTTTGCCTGGATCTTCCTGTGAAGATCCAGGCAGAATTTAGTAATAGAAATTTGTAAAATTTATTCTTAAATTCTTTTGCAACTGTCTTGATTTCTTCACAAACATAGTCATCATCTGTTTATCAAATGGGCATTTTAAATAATATTTGACACATAACTGGCTGACTCCACAGCTCCAAATTAGTCACACGGTAGTCTTTTGATAATAGCCAACATGTGACAACAGGGATTTTTTGCACGAGGTGGGGAGCATTCTGGTTTCCTTTTCATTTTTCCAATATGTCATATTTCTCACTTCCACTTTTCTTAGAGGGGAGGGTTGTCTTTTTGCTTCAAACTATTATAGGCTTTTACTGAGAGACAAGAGGCTATGAGCCCCACTCAGTAGAAGAAGGGTTTAAGTCTATCATATAAATTATTGCCGCTCTAACTTCTCTCTGTCCCTGCCTCTTAAGTCATTTACGGTATTTGTTTGGGTAGCTATATTGGATTTCTTCCGTTTTTCCAGGGGAAATACAGCAACTTTGGAGAGACGTGAACATGGGAATATATGAATTGATTGCTTGAGAAGTGTTAGTGTTAGTTCTGGAATGAAGTCCTGTGTCATTAGGTGCTTACGTTGAAAGGAAATGTAGAATTTTCCATAGTCGCAGCTTTCCAGATTTTAATTGGCTGCTTGCCCTCGTGTCACTTTCTTTTCTAAAATAAATGTTTTGGATGGCTCTTATCTTTACAACCAGGCACACAGCTTCATTTCCTCCTAACTAGGAAAGTTAACTCTTCAGCTACATGGTGGTACACAATGTTGTCCCTGCTCAGCAGCCCTTGAACACTCATTAAATCCCACATTAGAGCTGCAAGGAGATAGTAACATTTATTAGGTGCCTCATTTTTTTTTTTTTTCTCTGAGAGCGGATCTCGCTCTGTTGCCCAGGCTATAGTGCAGTGGTACCATCAGGGCTCACTACAGCCTCAACCTCCCAGGCCCAAGTGGTCCTCCTGCCTCAGCCTCCTGAGTAGGTGGGACCACAGGCACACTCAGATATTTTAAAAAATTTTTGTAGAGACTATGTTGCCCGGGCTGCCATTGTTTATCCATTGATTTTTTATTTTATTTACTTATTTTTCTTTTGTCTTTTTTGTTGCCTAGTTTCCCCCCTGTTCTTTGCTTCTTAATTTTGGTTGGTCAAAATCTTTCTTTTAACATTTTGTTTCCTCTTCAACCTTGGGAATTCTTCTGTTTCTATTCTTTCTTGCCTTTTCCTTGCTTCATTTCAGGACTCCTTTCCAATGAACCTGCCATTTTTTCCTGCAAAGATTGTAGTTTAAAAGAAAGCCCACTGGCCTGAAACTTTATGTAGCTAAGCAGCTATTTCAAATTCTTTCTGAGGTTGAGGGCAATAAATGATAAAATCACGCAGTCAGGCAGTGTGTTAGTTCTCTAAAGACAAGAGTTCAGAGTTCTGAGTTCTCCAAAGACAAGAACTAGTATATGAAGAGGTTTATTATAAGAAACTGGCTCACATGATTACAGAGGCTGGCAACTCCAAAATCTGCTGAGTAGATGTCCTGGTTTGAGTCTGAAAGCTGGAAGCTGCTGTAGAACCCAGAAGAGCTGATGTCCCAGTGCAAAGGCATCAGGCAGGAGAGTTCAGTCTTACCAGGGTCAGTCTTTTATTCTATTCAGCCCTTCAACTGATTGGGTGAGGCCCACCCACATTATGTCTGCTTTACTCAAGACAACTACTAATTTAAATGTTAATTTCATGTAAAACACTGATATGGCTGGGCTGTGACCCCACCCAAATCTCATCTTGAATTGTAGCTTCCATAATTCCTTCGTGCTGTGGGAGGGACTCAGTGGGAGATAATTGAATCATGGAGGTGGTTTCCACCATACTGTTCTCATGGTAGTGAATAAGTCTCACAAGGTCTGATGGCTTTATAAGGGGAAACCCCTTTCACTTGGCTCTCATTCTTCTTGTCTGCTGCCATATGAGATGTACCTTTCACCCTCCACCATGATTGTGAGGCCTCTCCAGCCACATGGAACTGTGAGTTCATTAAATCTCTTTCTTTTGTAAATTGCTTAGTCTTGGGTATGTCTTTATCAGCAGCCTGAAAACGGACTAACACACCCTCACAAAAACACCCAGAATAATGTTTGACTGACCATCTGGGCACCTTGAGGCCCTGTCAACTTGATGCATAAAATGAACATCTCAGGCAGCTCTTGCTTTCTCAGTTACAACAGGCCCCGATCCTGGCCTTTGGGTTATTTGTTGTTTGATATATACAGAAATTAAACCCAAATTTAAAAAAAAAGGGACTGAAATCTCAATTCCTAACCATGGCATTATTTTTACATTTATACCATTCTGATGCCTGTTTACCACATTTTGTGTGCATTCTTTTTACTGGTCTCTGGTCATCTGTCTCCCATTCTTCACAAGAATTGTTCCAAATCTTCTCCCCTTTTCACAGGGTCCCTTTCCAAAACTCCAGCTCTTTTGTGCTTTGCTTAAGATCTGGCCTCTTCCCAGATAGGAGAGGTTGTTTACCTTGCTAAGGTCACACAGCTACTGTATGGTAAGACTGGGATTTAATTTGAAGCAGTTGGTCTTGGTAGTCATGGGAGCCCACTGGGTGCTGGGTGCTGGGCACTGTGCCACGTGCTAAATGCCCCAGACTTCCCCATGCTGGGTCCTCCTCGTGCTGGGAGGGTGTGTACTCTTCCAGCCAGCATGCCCTGCCCCTTCTGCATGCCACACTCTGCTCTGATCTTCAGCCCAGCACCCGTCCCTCTGCACACAGGCCTTTGGCGCTTTGTTTGCTCCTATGATTTTCTGCTATTTTCTGTTTAATTCTCTCCTTTTTATTTGCATTATATAAACAGTTCTGTTTCTTTCATTAAGAAAACACCTCTCACAGGCACAGTGGCTCACATCTATAATCTTAGCACTTTGGGAGGCTGAGGTGGGAGGATTGCTTGAGCCCAGGAGTTCAAGACCAGTCTGAGTAACATAGTGAGACCCCATCTCTATTAAAAAAAAAAATTAGCCAGGCGTAGTGGTGCACACCTGTAGTCTCAGCTACTCAAGAGGCTGAGACAGGAGGATGGTTTGAGCCCAGGAGGTTGAGGCTGCAGTGAGCCAGGATCACATCACTGCACTCCAGCCTGGGTGACAGAACCAGACCCTGTCTCAAAAAAAAAAAAAAAGACAGCCCTTTTCTCTGACCCCTATGTCCCTCTCATTTGAGGAACTATCTATCTTTTCATTTTCCTCCACATTCTTTATTCTTTTTAACCTCCAAAGAGGCCCTCCACCTGCATTACGTGCCTTGCCCCATTAATAATGTACTAGTGCTATGTATGCTTGATTTTACATAAATGTTTTATTGTGCATTAAGGTCCATTCCCCATGCATATGCGCACATAAATTGCACTAATTAGAGTGCACAGCATGTTATATTGCAAGATTACATAAAATAGATTCAACACTTGGATATTGTCCAGTACATTAATTCCTTTCTTTTACATAGGACATAATATCATTGATTGTGCATGGCACATTAAGTCACATCAAGTCACATCAATCCTTAACAACATGCTTATCACTTCCAATAGGATTTCTTTACCACCAAGCTTTGAGAAACCAGCAACCTACTCAGGAAATGTCCTTCTTGCTTTGGGCCCATAAAACCTAGGGGCTTCTAGACTTGAAACTATACCTAGCATCTGGTTCTTACTTCAGGGCCATAGATTTGAAACCACTCATTTGTTCCCCCTAAATAAGACATCTCAGTGACTAATGACTAACTAGCACAAGATGACATGGAACTGTGGGGTCATGCATTTGGTATTTTTTAATTTTGGAGGGTGCTGTGATCCAACATGGCTGTCAATGCCTTGACACAGTCAGCTAGATCGTAGCTGCGCTTAAATGGAATATTCTTTACTCACATAAAATCATTTGGTGCTAATTGATTCATCTCAATGGACGTAATAAAAACAAGATATAGACACAGACACATACAAGCAGTTCTTCCTGCCATGTATGATTAACTTTGTAAACCCCTCTACCCTCCTTAAGCTCTTATAGTATCTGAGTAAGTCTTTTATTCTTGCCAACCCTGCCCAAATAAGAAACCTTGTATCTATTGACTGCTAACTAAGGCTCCTATATATACTCACATGCTATTAAATTTAGTTATAAGTTCATCTAGCATTAACCCAACTCCTAATTAAAGCATTTTTCAAAAATCCAAACATCAATTAAAAATTAGGCTTTCTAGGCTAAAAGTTTTTTTCTTACTAAGATTACCAAAAGAGCCCCCAATGCTAACATAGCACATAATTTAGCAGTTTTTTTCCCCAGGACAGAATTTTCTAGATATAAGTCGATGTAGCTCAGTCCACTAAAGTAAGGCACTGAAAATGCCTAGATGAGTTCATGTAACTGCATAAACACACAGGTTTGGTTCTGGCCCTTCTATTAATTCTTAGTAAGATTACATGTGCAAGTATCTGCATTGCATGTGTAATCAGCAAAAGAGCAAAAGGAGCAGGCGTCAAGCACACTAATTGGTAGCAACTAACGTCTTGCTCAGCCACACTCCTACAGGAAATAGCAATAATAAAAAGCAATAAACAAAAAGTTTGACTAAACTATGCTAATTTTCCTTAGGGTCAGTAAATTTTGTGTCAGCCACCACAGTCATAAACCCAAATTAATAAAATCTGAAAAGCACGTTTGTGTTTAGGATAATACAAATAAACTACAAAAATGACTTTAATATGATCTGAATACACAATAGCTAAGACCTAAACTGGGATTAAATACCCCACTATGTTTAGCCATAAACTTAAAGTTATTCACTAGAGTACTATCAGCAACAGCTTAAAACTCAAAGGACTTGGTGGTATGGTGTTTCCATCCCCCCTAGAGGAGCCTGGTTCATAATTAATAAGCAATGATAAACCTCACTATTTCTTGTCAATTCAGCCTGTATACTACCATCTTCAGCAAGCCCTAAAAAGGTCATAAAGTAAGCACAAGTACTTACATGGAAACATTAGGTCAACATGTAGCTTATGAGATGGAAAGAAATGACTTACATTGTCTGATTAAAGTACACCCAACCCATGATAAGCCTTATGAAACTACAGGCCAAAGGAGGATTTAGTAGTAAATTAAGAATAGAGAGCTTAATTGAATAAGGTTGTGAAGCACACATAGACCGCCCATTACCTTCCTCAAATGCTTCAATAAACTCAAGTTTATAATTAACACAGACCCATCTATAAGAGGAGATGTCAGAACAAAGAATACTGGAAGGTGTGCTTGGACAAACCAAAGTGTAGTTTAACTCAAGGCACCTGGCTTATGCCTGGAAGATTTCATATTAATCTGACCACTTTGAACTAAAACTAACAAAATTTAACAACTACATACACATTTTAACCAAAACATTATTTACAACAGGGAGGATAGGAGATGATAGAAATTTATTTAGATGCTATAGAAAAAGTACTGTAAGGGAAAGATGAAAGAATAAACTGAAAAAAAAAAAAAAAACAAAGCTTACCCCTTATGCCTTTTGCATAATGAATTAACTAGAACAATTTTACAAAGAAAACTTTAGCTAAAAACCCCAAAACCAGATGAGCTACTCATGGACAGTTACAAGAACAAACTTGTTCATGTGGTGAAATTGTGAGAATATCCTTGAGTAGAGGTAAAATGCCAGTCGAGCTGGGTGAGCGCTGAATTTCAATTCAACCTTAAATTTACCTAAAGAAATATTTAACCTTAATGTAAATTTAAACGTTAATCTAAAGAGGGACAACACTTTAGAAACAGGAAACAACCTTTTATAGAATGTAAACTATTAAATTCTCATAATTGGCCTAAAAGCAGCCACCAATTAAGAAAGGGTTCAAGCTCAACAATCAATATCTTAATTCCAACTATTTATATAAACTCCTAATATTTTACTGGACTAACCTATGTATAAATAGAGGTGATTCTGTTTATATAAGTAACAAGAAAAAATGTATCGTTGCATAAGCTTATATTGGATACAATAGCATTCCTAATGTTAGCTGATAGTTACCAACTCAATAAATTAAACCGATCAATTGACTGTTTATCCAAACAAATATTGCAGGGTTCAGTGGCTCACACCTATAATTCCAATGTTTTAGGAGTCCAAGGTGGGAGGATTGTTTGAGGCCAGGAGTTCCAGACCCCATCTTTACAAAAAATAAGCCAAATAGCCAGGTGTGGTGGCATGTGCCTGTAGTCTTCACTACTTGGGAAACTGAGGTAGGAGGATCCCTTGGGCCCAGAGTTGGAGGTTGCAGTGAGCCATGATCATGCCACTTGCACTCCATTCTGGGTGACAGAGTGGGACCTTTTCTCTAAAAAACAAAAAAGACCAATTGTTAATCCTACACAGGCATCCACTACTGCACTACTTAAGGAAAGATTAAAGAAACTAAAAGGAGCTCAGCAAATACAAACCCTGCCTATTTACCAAAAACATTACCTCTCATATAACTAGTATCAGACTAGTATGTCACCTGCCTTGTGACACATGTTTAACAGCTGCAGTATTGTGACCAGTGCAAAGGTAGCATAATCATTTGTTCCCTAAATAGGGACTTGTATGAATGACCACAAGAGGGTTCAAGTTTCTCTTACTTCCAATTAGTGAAATTGACCTTCCTGCCCCTGCGGAAAGGCAGGGATATTAAAATAAAACAAGAAGACCCTATGGAACGTAAATGAATTAGTCTACATAACACAACTTTAACCTAACTATTCAAAGGAATAACACCTAATCTACCAGACTAAAAATTTTGGTTGAGGTGACTTCAGAGTACAACACAACATCCAAATGATTAAAATCTAGACTAGACCAGTCAAAGTAACATAATCGCTTATTAACCTAAGCAATTTAATCAATGGAACAAATTACCCTAGGGATAACAACACAACCCTATTTTAGAGTTTGTTATCAACAACAGGGTTTGCAACCTCAATGTTGGATCAGGACATTCCAAAGGTGTAACTACTATTAATGAATGGTTCGTTTGTTCAATAATTAAAGTCCTATGTGGTCTGAGTTCAGACCGGAGCAATCCAGATCTATTTCTACCTATTCAGTATTTCTCTTAGTACAAAAGAATAAGAGAAATAGAGCCCATTTCAAAAAACTTCCTCAATTTTAATAGGTTATATATAATCTCAACCTAATATACTATTAAATGTCCTGCCAAGAACAAGGGCTTATTAAGATGGCAGAGCCCAGTTATTGCATAAAACTTAAAACTTTACAATCAGCTCAACTCCTTCTTAACAGCATGTTTATAGTTAATCTTCTACCTATTAGCCCCCCTCTCCTTGCAATAGCATTGCTAACAGCTGAATAAAAAGTATTAGATTATATACAGTTTCATAAAGGACCTAATACTGTAGGCCCCTATGGCCCACTTCACTTCTTCACTAATGCCATAAAACTATTCACTAAAGAACCATTACGACCACCAACATCTTCTATACTATCATATGCCATTGCACCCACACTGGCCCTGGCCCTTGCACTTACTATGTGAATTCTACTAATCTTACTGTACCCACTAATTAACATGAATATAGGAACACTATTCATTTTAACCACATGAAGCCTACCCATATATTCCATCCTTCAATCAGGATGAACATCAGTTTTAAAATGTGTGTTAATTGGTGCACTATGAGCAGTAGCACAAACAAATTTATATGAAGTTATCCCAGCCACCATTATTAGTTCTCTCAATAAGCAAATCATTTACATTAACAACTTTAATTGATACCTGAGAATATGTACGACTATTTTTTTCATCATGATCCTTAGCCATAATATGATTTACTTCAACAGTAGCAAAAACTAATGGAGCCTCATTCAACTTGACACAAGGTGTTGAAACTTGTGTCAGGCTTTAACATCCAATATGCTGCAGGCCAATTTGTCCTATTTTTTTTATATAGCAGAGTACACCAACATCATTATAATAAATGCCCTAACCATTATCCATTGCCTAGAAGAACTCCATGATATTCACATACCAGAAATTTATATACTCAACTTCATCATGAACACCATTTTCCTATCTTACAGTTCTTGACTTTGAGCATTATACCCATGATTCCAGTATGATGAACTCATGTACCTTCTATGAAAAAATTTCTAACCACTCAAATTAGCCTTATGCATATGACACATCTCAGTACCTATTTTACTACTGCATATTCCACCACACACATAAGAAATTTGTCTGATAAAATAGTTAAAGAGAGTAAATGATAGAGATTTAAGTCCTCTTATTTCCAGAATGTTACGAATTGAACCTACTCTAAAGAATTCAAAAATCAGCTGGGCATGGTGGCTCCCACCTGCAATCTCAGCACTTTGGGAGGCCAAGGCGGGTGGATCACCTGAAGTCAGGAGTTCGAGACCAGCCTGGCCAACATGGTGAAACCCCGTCTCTACCAACAATACAAAAATTAGCTGGGTGTGGTGGCACATGCCTATAATCCCAGCTACTCTGGAGGCTAAGATAGGAGAATCGCTTGAACCTGGGAGGCAAAGGTTGCAGTAGGCCGAGATCTGGCCACTGCACTCCAGCCTGGGAGACAGAGAGAGACTCCATCTCAAAAAAAACAAAAAACATTCAAAAATCTCTGTGCTGCCTAATATACCATATTCTATAGTAAGGTCAGCTAAATAAGCTACCAGGCCCATATCCCCAAAAACATTGGTTTATATTCTTTCCATACTAATTAATCCCCTATTTTTTCTACCATTCTATTTACTGTCTTCATAGGAAAACAATCACAATATTTAGCTCACATTGACTAATAATCTAAATGGGATTAGAAATAAATGTATTAGCCATGATTCCCATTTTAATGAAAAAAGCAAATCCATGATCCACAGAAGCAGCTACCAAATATTTCTTAACACAAGCAACCATATTTATACCCCTAATGATAGACAGCATCATTAACATATTGTATTCTGGGCAATTAACAGTCATAAAAATTCCCAAACAAACAGCATCCCCGGTAGTTACCATAGATAGCACTAATGATAAAACTTGGACTCTCCCCATTCCATTTCTGAGTCCCAGAAGTAACACAAAGAATTTCACTAATATCGAGCATAATCCTATTAACATGACAAAAACTGGGACCAAGTTCAATTATATTTTCAGTATCATATCATCGATTAATCCATCAATTAATCTAAATATAATACAAATAATTGCCATATTATCTATTCTAATAAGACGATGAGGAGAATTTAATCAAACGCAACCATGAAAACTCTTAGCCTATTTATTCACCAGTTGCACATATAGGCTGAATAATAACTATCCTTATTTATAATCCCCCACAATAATCATAAACCTTCTAAGTTATATCATTCCAATGATTACCATATTCATAATATTTAGTTAAAACATAAATACCACAACACTATCACTATTGCACACATGAAATGAACTACCAATAATAACTTCTATAATCCTTATAACTATTATTCTTAGGAGGCCTACCCCTACTTACAGGATTTCTACCCAAGTAAATTAACATTCAAAAATGTTATTATGCCAACATTCATAATTATTTTCTTTTTTTCTTGCCCCCCATTCGTAACTATTATAGTATTTCTCAACTTATATTTTTATGTATGACTATTCTTTATTATTAACTATATTTTCAACAACCAATAACAAAAACAAAATGACAATTGAAAAATATAAAATGGCTTGGGTAACATAGTGAGACTTCATCTCTACTAAAAATTAAAAAAAAAAAAGTAGCTGGGCATGGTGGCATGCACCTGTAATCCCAGCTACAAGGAGACTGAGGCGGGAGGATCACTTGATCCTGGGAGATCAAGGCTGCAGTGAGCTGTGATCATGCCACTGCACTCCAGCCTGGGTGACAGAGGGAGACCCTGTCTCAATAAAAAAATTAAAATATATATGTATAAAACAAATATTCTTTCTCCCATCACTTGTTTTACTATCAGCTCTTTTCCTCCCACTTTCACCAATATTTCCAACATCAAACTAGCGATTTAGGTTAGATAGACTAAGAGACTTCAAAGCTCTAAGCAAGTACCCTATACTTAATTCTTGAAACATAAGGATTCCAAGACTCTTACATCAATTGAATGAAAAAAAAAAACTTTAATTAAGTGAAATCCGTACTAGATTGGTGAGCTCCAACGTCACAAAAACTTAGTTAACAGCTAAAGCATTCTAATCAGTTAGCTTCCATCTACTTCTCCCGCTGTCGAGAGAAAAAAGGCAGAAGAAGCCCGGGCAGAATTGAAGCTGCTCCTTTGAATTGGCAATTCAGTGTGAACATTCACCTCAAGACAGGGTCGAAAGAGGGTTCAACCTCTGTCTTTAAATTTACAATCCAATGCTTATTCAGCTACTTTATCCTCTACCTGTGCTCGTTAACCCTTCATCAGTCTCAACAAACAACACAGGATAGTGACACTATAATTTTCTACGTGGTGTTTGAGCCAGAATAGTAGGGACTGCCCTAAATCTTGTAATCTGAGCAGAGTTAGGTCAACCAGGAGTCCTATTCAGTGACAATCAAATTTATTTATTTATTTATTTATTTATTTATTTATTTATTTATTTATAGACAGAGCCTCGCTCTGTTGCCCAGGCTGGAGTGCAGTAGTGCAATCTCAGCTCACTGCAACCTCCGCCCCCTGGGCTCAAGCGATTCTCCTGCCTCAGCCTTCTGAGTAGGTGGGACTACAGGTGTGCGCCACCACCACATCTGGCTAATTTTTGTAGTTTTAGTTGAGACAGGGTTTTGCCGTGTTGGGTAGGCTGGTCTTGAACTCCTGACCTCAGATGATCCACCCGCCTTGGCCTCACAAAGTGCTGGGATTATAGGTGTGAGCCACCGCACCTGGCCAAGTGACAATCAAATTTATAATGTCATCAGCACTATATCTTTATGGCATACCTATTCCAATTAGGCTTTCAATATGTAATATCACCTATGATAGAAGAACTTCTACACTTCCATGATTACACTTTAATCAGTTCTTGTGTCCATAATAATCGTTTTAATAGTTATGCCTATTTTAGTGAGAGGACTTGGCAACTGATTAGTCCCCTTATTAATCAGAGACCCTGATGTAGCATCTCCCTGAATAAATAACATATGATTCTGACTTCTCCCACCATCATTTCTACTCCTGCTTCCTCAACAGTGGAAACCAGCACTGGCACAGGATAAGCCACCTTTAGGCAGAAATCTTGAGCACGCAGGAGCCTCTGTAGATTTTGCCATTTTCTCATTACACCTAGTAGGTGTCTCATCAACCTTAGAAGCTATTAATTTATTACAATTATTAACATTAAACCACCAGCCGTGTCCCAATCTCAGGCACCACTATTTGTCTGATAAATGCTAATCACAGCTGTATTATCTCTTCTCTCCCACTCTGTTCTAACAGCCATATTCTTAAAAGACTGAAACCCTAATATCACTTTTTAAAAAAATCTAGCTGCAAGAGATCTAATTTTATATCAACATTTATTCTTATTTTTTTGCCACCTGGAAGTGTATATTCTTATCTTCCCTGGCTTTGAAATAATCTCACATATTATAACCTATAATCCTGGGGAAAAAGAACCATTTGGTTATATAGGAATGGTGTGAGCCGTGATATTAATTGGTTTTCTAGGCTTTATCATATGGGCTCATCGTATATTTACAATAGGGATAGACATTGACATTCAAGCATATTTTACACCGGCCACTATAATCACTGCTATTCCCATAGGAGTTAGGGTTCAGCCAACTGGCAACCCCGTGCAGAAGTAACATTAAATGATCTCCAGCTATATTATGAGCTTTAGGCTTTATCTTCTTATTTACAGTTGGAGGCCTCATAGAAATGGCATCAGCTGACTCATTGCTAGACATTGCTCTTCACAAAACATATTATGTGGCAGCACATTTCCACTATGTTCTATCAATAGGAGCAGCCTTTGCCATTATAAGAGGATTTGTTCACTGATTCCCACTATTTTCAGGTTACACACTCAATTCAACCCAAGCCAAAATTTATTTTAGCATTTTATTTGTAGGTATTAATTTAGCTTGCTTTCCACAATAATTCCTTAATTTATCAAGAATTCTCTGAGTTACTCCAATTACCCTGATGCATATAAAACATGCAATTCCATCTCATTGATAGGCTTATATATTTCATCAATGACAGTAATATTAATAATCTTCACAATCTGAGAGACTTTCATGGTAGTGGAAGGAAGCCAAGAACTGCCAAGAAAGTACCGAGAATTATCAGTAGTGGAACTTTCAACTACAACTTGAATGGCCTCCTGGCTGCCCATTAGCATATCAGACATTTGAAGAGCCTGCTTATGCAAGAGCTTAAAATAAGAAACAAAGGGGCCTGGCACAGTGGCTCACGCCTGTAATCTCAGCACTTTGGGAGGCCGAGGCGGGCGGATCACCTGAGGTCAGGAGTTTGAGACCAGACTGGCTAACATGGTGAAACCCTGTTTCTACTAAAAATACACAAAATTAGCCAGGAATGGTGGCGCATGCCTGTAATCCCAGCTACTCTGGAGGCTGAGGCAGGAGAATCGCTTGAATCTGGGAGGCAGAGGTTGCAGTGAGTGGAGATGGCGCCATTGCACTCCAGCTTGGGCAACAAGAGTAAAACTCAAAAAAAAAAAAAAAAAGAAACGAAAGAAAAAGGAAGGAAGGAAGGAAGGAAAGAAGGAAGGAAACGTACTTCTTAACTGGTTTCAAGCCGATTTCATCACAATTATGACTTTTTCAACAAGTAAGACATTAGGAAAAATAATTACATAACTTTGGCAAAGTTAATTTATAGGTTAAAATTCTTTATATCTTTATGGCATACCCATTCCAATTAGGCTTTCAAGATGCAACATCACCTGTGATAGAACTTCTACACTTCCATGATTACACTTTAATCATCATTTTCTTAATTAGCTCTTCAGTCCTTTGTATCATTTCATTAATAGTAACAACTAAACTAGCCCACATGAGTACTGTAGATACTCAAGAAGTAAAAACTGCATGAACTACCCTACTGATATTTTAATCCTAACTGCTTTACCACCTTTACAAATCCTATATAGGCATACCTCAGAAATATTATGGGTTTGGTTCCAGACCACTGCAATAAAGTGAGTCACATGAATTTTTTGGTTCCCCAGTGCATATAAAAGTTATGTTGGCCGGGCGCGGTGGCTCACGCCTGTAATCCCAGCACTTTGGGAGGCCGAGGCGGGCGGATCACGAGGTCAGGAGATCGAGACCATCCCGGCTAAAACGGTGAAACCCCGTCTCTACTAAAAATACAAAAAATTAGCCGGGCGTAGTGGCGGGCGCCTGTAGTCCCAGCTACTTGGGAGGCTGAGGCAGGAGAATGGCGTGAACCCGGGAGGCGGAGCTTGCAGTGAGCCGAGATCCCGCCACTGCACTCCAGCCTGGGCGACAGAGCGAGACTCCGTCTCAAAAAAAAAAAAAAAAAAAAAAAAGTTATGTTTACATAGTCTTTAAAAGACTTAAAGTCTGCAATAGCATTATGTCTTTAAAAAGTACGCACCTTAATTTAAAAATACTTTATTGCTAAAAAATACTAACCATCATCCGAGCCTTCAGTGAGTCATAATCTTTTTGCTGATGGAGGGTCTTGGCTCAGTGTTGAAGTGTTGGTGGCTACTGACCAATCAGGATGGTAGTTGCTGAAGGCTGGGGTGGCTGTGGCAATTTATTAAAATAAGAGAACAATGAAATTGGCCACATTGACTCTTTCCTTCACAAAAGATTTCCGTAGCATGTGATGCTATTTGATAGCATTATATCCATAGTAGACAGTCTTTCAAAATTGGAGTCAAAGCCTGCTGCTGTTTTATCAACTAAGTTATGTAATATTCTAAATCCTTTGTTGTCATTTCAACATTGTTCACAGCATCTTCACCAGGAGTAGATTCCATCATAAGAAACACTTTCTCTACTCAACCATAAGAAGCAACTCCTCATCCGTTCAAGTTTGGTCATAAGATTGCAGCAATTCAGTCACATCTTCAGGCTTTACTTCTATCTAATGCTAGTTCTCTTGCAATTTCTACTACATCTATAGTTACTTCCTCCACTGAAGTCTTGAACCCCTCAAAGTCACCCATGAGGGTTAGAATCAATTTCTTTCAAACTCCTGTTAATGTTGATATTCTTTTTTCTTTTTTGAGACAGGGTCTCACTCTGTCACCCAGGCTGGAGTGCAGTGGTGTGATTTCAGCTCACTGCAACCTCCACCTCCCAGGCTCAAGCAATCCTCCCACCTCAGCCCCACAAATAGCTGGGACTACAGGCTCACGCCATCATGCCCAGCTAATTTTTGTGTTTTTTTGTAAAGATGGGGTTTCACCATGTTGGCCAGGCTAGTCTTGAGCTCCTGGCTCAAGTGATCCCCCCGCCTTGGCCTCCCAATGTGCTGGGATTACAGGCATGAGCCACCACACCTGGACTTGGTATTTTGAACTCCTTCCATGAATCACAAATGTTCTTAATGGCATCTAGCATGGTAAATCCTTTCCAGAAAGTTTTCAATTTACTTGGCCCAGATCCATCAGATGCATCACTCTCTATGGCAGCTGTAGTCTTACAAAATGTATTTCTTAAATAATAAGACTAGAAAGTTGAAATTACTCCTTGATCCATGGGCTGCAGAATGGATATTGTATTAGTAGGCACAAAAACAACATTTAATCTCCTTGTACATGCCCATCAGAGCTCTTGGGTGACCAGATGCATTGTCAATAAACAGTAATATTTTGAAAGGAATTTTTTTTTCTGAGCAGTAGGTCTCAACAGGGGGCTTAAAATATTCAGTAAACAATGGTGTAAACAGATGTGCTGTCATCCAATTTTTGTTCCATTTGTGGAGCACAGGCAGAAATAATTTAGCATAATTTTTTAAATTATTTATTTATTTTTGAGACAAGATCTCACTGTGTCGCCCAGGCTGGGGTGCAGTGGTGTGATCAAAGCTCACTGCAACCTCAAACTCCTAGTCTCAAGGAAGCCTCCCTCCTCAGCCTCCTAAGTAGCTAGGACTACAGGTGTGTGCCACCATGCCAAGCTAATTGTTTTTTTAAAAAAATTTTTGCAGACATAGGGTCTTGTTATGTTGCCCAGGCTGGTCTTAAATATCTGGCCTCAAGTGATCCTCCTGCCTCAGCATCCCAAAGTGCTGAGATTACAGGTATAAGCCACTGTGCCCAGCCTATATAATACATATATGTGTGTGTGTGTATATATATATATGTGTGTGTGTGTGTGTGTGTGTGTGTGTGTGTATTTTTTTTTGACATGTAGTCTTGCTATGTTGCCTAGGTTGGTCTTGAACTCTTGGGCTCAAGCAATCCTCCCACCTCAGCCTCTCAGGTAGTTGCAATTACAGTAGCTAGAATTACAGGCATGCACCACTGTGCCTGGCTCTTTGATTTAGCATAGTTCTTAAGGACTCTAGGATTTTTGGAATAATAAATGAGCATTGACTTCATCTTAAAGTCAACAGCTGCATTAGCCCCTAACAAGTAGGTCAGCCTGTCCTTTGAAGCTTTGAAGCCAGACATTGTCTTCTTCTGTCTAGCTATGAAAGTTCTAGATGGCATCCTCTTCCAATAGAAGGCCATGTTGTCTACACTGAAAAATCTGTTGTTTAGTGTAGCCACCCTCATCAATGATCTTAGCTAGATTTTCTGGATAACTTGCTGCAGTTTCTCTATCAGCACTTGCTACTTCACCTTGCACTTTTACATTATGAAGATGGCTTCTTTCCTTATACCCCATGAACCAACCTTTGCTGGCTTCCAACTTTTCTTCTGCAGTTTCCTTACCTCTCTCAACTTCATAGAATTGAAGAGAGTTAGGACTTTGCCCTGGATCAGGCTTTGGCTTAAGGGAATGTTGTGGCTGGTTTGATCTTTATCCAGACCCCTCAAACTTTCTCCATATGAGCAATAAGGCTCCCTTCCTTCCCTCCCACCTTCCCTCCCTTCCCCCTCCCTCCCTCCCTCCCTTCCTTCCTTCACTCCTTCCTTCTTTTCTCCCTCCCTCCCTTCCCGACCCCCACATTTCTCTTATGTGAAGTGAAGCAGTGGGAGTGGAGAAGGAACAAAGAATAACTGGTTTTAAGTAATTAGTTATAAGCATGAGCATACTTAGATCAGCCTGGTTTCCTTTCTTATTATTCATGTATTCACTGGAGTAGCACCTTAAATTTTTTAAAAAACTTCTTTTGCATTCCCAACTTGGCTAACTGATGCAAGAGGCCTTGCTTTCAGCTTCAACATACCTTTGTCACTAAGCTCAATCATTTCTGGCTTTTGATTTAAAGTGAGAGATGTGCAACTTTTCCTTTCACTTGAACACTTGTAGGCTTATAAGTTAGTAACCCTTATTGTAGGGTTACTAACTGATGTAATTTTAATATTGTGCCTCAGGGAATAGGGAGGCCGGAGCAGGGGAAGAGGGATGGGGAAACAGCTGGTTGGTGGAGTAGTCAGAACATACAACGTTGATCAATTAAGTTTGCCATCTTATAGGGTGCAGTTTGTGGCACCCCAAAACAATTACAACAACAACATCAAAGATCACTGATCACAGATCACCATGATAGATATAATTATATGAAAAAGTTTGAAATATTGTGAGAATTACCAAAATGTGACACAGAGACGTGAAGTAAGCACGTGCTGTTGGAAAATGGACTTGATCAATGCAGGGTTTTCACACACCCCCAATTTATTAAAATCACAATATTTGCACAGCACAATAAAATGAAGTACAATAAAATGGGGTATGTTTATACATAAGAGATCAAATTAATAACTTCCAACTGCAACAGCCATAGGCCACCAATGATGTTGAAGTTATTAACATATAGAGTGTAAGGAATTGAACTTTGATTCTTACATAATTCCTGCAACAGACCTAATGGTAATGAACTGGGGGAAATCCAGCAAGCCCTGTTCAGATTCATTTCTGTGTCCCCTTGTCTTCAGGGATGAGAACGTTCCTTTCCTCTGGGTATAGGGAGGGCATCTCTTTTGTGTCCTACTTCAGGGGGAGGTCAGAAAATCCTTCCTAGGTTTTATGGCCTGCTTCATGGGAGAAGGGTGGAGGAAGGTGAGAGTGACCTTCCTGCTCCTGCTGTTTTCTCAAGTGCCAAGATGCCATAATTCAGGGTAGCGTATCCTGATTCTCATCAGCTATTTATTAAAACATAGAGCAAAACTTCATCTTTCTAAATAGACCTATGTGTATGTAAATGCCTAGGAAAGGCCTAGAAAGCACTCTCTGCTGGGAAGGGACCCAGGGTGGGAGTGAAGAGTGGGCCACAAGGACTTCTACTTGACCTCTATGGTGGGCATTTTTTATAGTGAGACTCTATTTGAGTGTAGTATTATTTTCTTAATCAAAACTTTTTTTCTTAAGTAAAGAAAGAAGGAATAAAATATTACAAAGCCTGCTATTATAATATACTCTATAACATGGAAATTTGTTTTATTCTCCTTAGCACAATTCAATTATTATAACTGACTTAAAAATATCCTTTGTATTAATCCTTATTAATTTATAATTACCATTTAATCCAGTGTTTTTTAAGTTGAAGACTAAGATTTATTAGGAGTTTGTGAAACCAGCATATGGAGTTTCCGTCAGTACTTTCTTAACGAAAAAGAAAAGAAAAAAAAGAAAGAGACCAGGCATGGTGGCTCACCACCTCATGGAGGCCAAGGCGGGAGGATCACTTGAGGCCAGGAGTCTGAGACCAGCCTGGGAAATACAGGGAGACTCTGTTTCTGCAAAATTAAAAATAAAAATGTAGGCTGGCATAGTGGTGTGTCCCTGTGGTCTGAGTTACTCAGAGGGTGAGATGGGAGGATTGTTTGAGCCCAGGAGTTCGAGGCCGCAGTGAGCTAGGATCGAGCCACTGCATTTCATGAAAAACAAAACAAAACAAAACAAAACAAAAGCAAGTGAAGGAGGGAAGGAGGGAGTAAGACCCAGAGTAGAACAGAATAGGATAAAATAAAAAGCATTATTGTGCTATGCAAGCCGTAAGAGGAAATATTGTTTTGCAAAACCTTGCAATGTAAAATGTATTTCTTGCTGTGGGCTGTGGCCACGAAATTTTGAAACTCACAGACAAACCACTTTCTGCTTGACTTTGCGAGGTGGCTAAACAAGACTGAATCTGTTCTTTCGTGTAGTTGTAGTGTACATTATCCTGAATAATCAAACACTGAAAAAAAAACAAGCACTGCAGTTTTATTCTTGTTCATTCTTGCCATTTTCTCATTAAGTTCCCCTTCGAAAAGCAGAACTAGGAGAGACTGTAGATGTTGATGGATGAACTTTTCTGCTCCTTACCTGGGCTCATTAGCACAGTCAAAGAATCTCTCAAAGTGAGGCATTTAAGAGACTTCTTCTGGGTTCCAAAGTGCACCATTTTTTTTTTTTTTACATTCTTTTTAACTTAATGAGGAAACTAGCCAGCAACTAGATGATCAGTCAAGAATTTCTTTTGGCCTAGATTTCCTATTGCAAAATATCAAAGAGATGCATTTAGAATCATGAGTATTTCAGATTTGCCAATAAAGAACCCAGAAGTCATACTATTATCATTTCTTAAAGAACGGATGCCTTCTTTTGCCTTCCATTTACCTTTTTAAAATTTACTTTTAGGCTGGGCGCGGTGGCTCATGCCTGTAATCCCAACACTTTGGGAGGTCCAGGCTGGTGGGTAACTTAAGGCCAGGAGTTCGAGGCCAGCCTGGCCAACACAGTGAAACCCCGTCTCTATTAAAAATAGAAAAAATTAGCCGGGCATGGTGGTGTGCACCTGTAATCCCAGCTACTGGGGAGGCTGAGGCATGAGAATTGCTTGAACCCAGGAGGTGGAGGTTGCAGTGAGCCAAGATCATGCCACTGTACTCCAGCCCGGGCAACACAGTGAGACTCTGTCTCAAATAAAAAATAAATAAATAAAATTTACTTTTATATTCAAACTGTTACTTCCAAATGGATCCTTTATTTTTATTTATGCATGATTCCCCCCTTTTATTTTATTATTTGTATAAATGTATGGGTTACAAATGCAATTTTGTTACAAGCATAAATTGTGTAGTGGTGCCATCAGGGCTTTTAGGGTATCCATTACCCAAATAATGCACATCATACCCATTAAGTACCTTCTCATCATCCATGCCCCTCCCACCCCCTCACCCTTAGAAGTCATGTTAATCTAGATGGAGGAATTTAGAAGGTGGATTTTCTGAAGTCATGTTTTCTAGGATAAGGCATATATTGTCTTTGCTGTGCAATGATGCAGTTATATTTATCCATGTAAACCTAGTGAATTGTATTAATCACATGGAATATGTTCAATAAGAGAAGTTTCTGAGCTGAACACACCACATACCTTTAAACATGGAAACGTAACTGTCTCTTCTCTTCTTTCCCTGATTCCAAGCACCTCACCTTACCCATCCGCCCTTGAAGCTGGACCACATTAGCAGTTGAAGCATGTGCTGCAGTACAGGGCTCTTAATCAGAGCCTGGAGAAGTCTCAGTGTGACGGAGTGAATGAGGCACTGAGACAATCTCGCTTCAATATGGCTAATGCCTAATTAATTTAGTTCTCTGTCATTTCTATTTCCCGCAAAAGAGAACAATTCAAATAATCCATAATCCCACATAATTATGTTATTTTTATAATGCATTACATTATGTATGTATGTAGTATGTGTGTGTGTGTAAATATATATATAGTGTGTGTGTGTGTGTGTGTATATATATATATATAATAGTTGTGATTTTTTTAAAATGTCCTATTTGGTAATCTGTTTTCACTTATCTAGCACATTCTTATTTAGTGTGTCTGATTACCCACTCTTAATTTTAATGCAAGTGTTCAGGCTATTTCCTTTTAATAGAAAAGGAAATGGAACAAGTTATAGATGATCCTGTTATTTAAATCTATATTTATCTATAGAAGCAGGGTGCCTGCTGACTTAGCTCTAAGAAACAGCAAGTCTTAAATAGAAAAGCAACAACCAGCTTTGCCTTATTTACTACTGAACTAAATTCCACCTACCAGCATTCTCAGAATCAAGTTCTATTTCCAATCTGCAGTGTTTCTTGGGCTATTCTACGTAGACTTGCGATGGGGAAATCAGTTCTAAATTCACACTTTATATGGTATTTTGCTAGTGATCATTCTGGTGGCAGGGCCTGAAGTGGCTATGAGCCTTTGATATTCTAGTATGATTGTTTGCTTGTATGATGGGGGCTGTAGAGTGCCCCACTGTCTTGGCTTGAGGAGTAGCAAAGAGTTGAATCCAGAGCAAATCCTCCAGCTAATCGTGTCCAAGGGCAAGTGTGAGATGTTTCCCTTCCCCATGCTATCGCCCTGATGGGTTCTAGGGACCTCTTCTCCTCAGAGAGGCTTTATGCATGTCCTGCAACATTAAAAGTAAGTAGAAAGGGACCAAGTCTTGGGCGCAGGCAGGTGCCACTCTTGGAGGACGGCTAGTGGATGACAGACAACCTATCAGAGAGGTCGTGGCATATACTGATGGTTTTCTCCTTAACAGAGTAGCTCCATATTCCTTTTCCATTCATCCCTGTGGATGAGCTACAGAGTAACTCCATATTCCTTTTCCATTCATCACTTTCCCCTATAGAGATAGAATATGCCAGATATTCCTAGGCTCTATTGCAGCTAGGGGAGGGCACATGTGACCCAGTTCTAACCAATGAGATGTAAGGGGAAATCAGTTGAGAGTTTCTAGGAAAGATTTTCCTCCTTGCTAAAAGGAAAGATGCACAAGAATAGCACTCCTTCTCTGCCTTCTGGGGTTCTGTCTGTGGATGAAGTTACATGAGGGTGTGATGCTTGGAGCTGTGGCAGCCACTTGCATCCATGAGGTAACAGCCTAGGAGAAAGCTCATCCCTCTGAGACAGCAGGAGCTAGAGCCTGGGTTCTTGATGGCAGTAAGCTGCTGAACCAACCTTAAGACCTCTTTTTCACAACTTCTTATGAGATAAGTGTCTCTGTTAAGCTGTCTTTAGACAGAAGTGTTACTTGCAGCCAAAAGCATTGTAACAAGAAGTCAGTGGGAACGACCTTCAGAAAGCTCCTCTGCTCTGGTGGTGTTTGGTGCCCACCAGGATGGAGAATGAGGCTGCTGAGTTAGCTCCTGAACCCATGGATCTTTCAGGAATAAGGTCTCCTTGTCTTGGGCTCCATTAACCTCTCCCTTTCTCCCTTCATCCCTGCTGCCCTCCCAGTCTCTACTTCCAACAGCCTGGGAAATCTCTTTGTTGTCTGAGAGTATAGAAATCTGACTCATACTCATCATAATTTTTCTGTGCTCTGAATTTTCTCTGGGCCTAAGCTTTTGAAACTAAAAATTGACCTATTTTTGAGGGTTTTGTTTTTGTTTTTGTTTTGAGGTGGAGTCTCACTCTGTTGCCCAGGATGGAGTGCAGTGGCACGATCTTGGCTCACTGAAACCTCTGCCTCCCGGTTTCAAGCAGTTCTCCTGCCTCAGACTCCCAAGTAGCTGGGATTACAGGTGCCTGCCACCATGCCCGGCTAATTTTTGTAGTTTTAGTAGATATAGAGTTTCACCATGTTGGCCAAGCTGGTCTCAAACTCTTGACCTCAGGTGATCTGCCCACCTCGGCTTCCCAAAGTGCTGGGATTATAGGCATGAGCCACTGCGTCCGGCCAATAGACACCTCTTTTTTTTTTTCTCTACCATAACGTCTTTCAATTTGCAGAATATTCTAGATGCTTAAATGGGAAGAAAGCTAAGAGGATGTGTGTGTATACGTTGTAGTGGAGAACAGGGGTGGGGTGGGGGAAGGCTATGGTGGTGGTGACAGAGGATGTGGCAGATAGAAGAAGAAAAACAGAAAGAAAACGGTGTTGAGGAATATTTTAATCCTTGTATCCGGTTTCAAACTCTAGCCTTTTTATTTATTTTTATTTTATGTTATTATATATATTTTTGAGACAGAGTCTCACTCCGTTGCCCAGGCTGGAGTGCAGTGGGGTGATCTCGGCTCACTGCAACCTCCACCACCCTGGTTCAAGAGATTCTCCTGCCTCAGCTTCCCAAGTAGCTGGGATTACAGGCACCCGCCACCACGCCCAGCTAATTTTTGTATTTTTAGTAGAGACGGGGTTTCACCGTGTTGGGCCAGGCTGGTCTTGAACTCCTGAACTCAAGTGATCCACCGGCGTTGGCCTCCCATAGTGAAACTCTAGCCTTTTTAGAGATGCTTGTCATGAACATTCACAGTCTTAATATTTAGAGGAGGACATGAGTAAAATCACAAATAACATTTTAAAACTTTTAAATTTTGCCCCTTTGTGATCTGTCAAAAAGGCAAAGCCATTTTCAAATCCGATAAATAACTTTCATTTTCTCCAGTCATTAAGAAAATAGTTTCAGAGCTTCTGTGTGCTAGGGTCTAGGTGCTAGGGATATAGCAGTGTATGAAACAGAAAGAAATCCTGCCATCAAGGAGTCTATAGTCTAGAGGGGCAAGGCAACTAACAAACAAATAAAGCAAAAGAAAGAGAGAGAGAGAGAATCACGAAGCCCTGGAAGACGCTGGGGGAGGGACTGTCATTTTGAATAGGATGTCAGGGTTCCTGAGAAAGTGAGAGATCTGAGCAAAGGAGATAAGGAGGAAGCCACGAAGATACCTGGGATAGGAGCTCTGGGGCAGAGGGAAGAGCAAGTACAAATACTAAAGGCAGGAGACCTCCGGGCATGGATGAAAACAGTTTATATTGGTGTGGCTGGAATGGAGCGGGCAAGGGGAAATTAGGAGGAGACCAGGTTTCCAGAGCTGATGGGCAGCCAGACTGAGGAGGGCCCTGCTTTGGGCAAGGGAAGCTTAGAAAAATGCCTCTTGGTTGACTTCCCTCTGAATGGCTGGCTAACTGATGCCACATCCTATACTGTTGGTTGTCAGAGGTCCCAACTTGCCTCTGGGTTTATTCTATGCTGTAGTAGACAACTTTAAAGTCACCTGCATATCATGCAGCTGATGTGTAGGAATTTCTGGAGAAGCCTGAAAATTCAGACGCCATTCCCTCAGGCACTAGGCAATCGAATTTTGTTTTACTTCTTTTGTACTCCATCTCTGGCACATTTCTCTCTCTCTGTCTCTCTCTTTTGAGACAGTCTCTCTCTGTCACCAAGGTGCCAGTGTAGTGGCCCGATCTTGGCTTACTGCAGCCTGGACCTCCGGAGCTCAAGCGATACTCCTACCTCAGCCTCCCGAGTAGCTGGAACCACAAGCACACACCACCACATCAGGCTAGTTTTTAATAGAGACAGGGTCTCACTATGTTCCCCAGTCTGGTCTTGAACTTCTGGGCTCAAGCAATCCTCCTACCTCAGCCTCCCAAAATGCTGGGGTTGCAGCCACCACTCCCCGTCCTTCTGGCACATTTCCGTTCGTGATATTTCTCCTTCCAGAGGCAACAGCAACATTGAATATCTGCCATGTATATATGTATATGTATATATTTGCTGTTGAAGATAAAAGGAAACCAAAGTTTGCATTTTAAAATCTTGGTAAAAGAGTATGTCATCAAAAGTATATATTTATCATCAATCCTTTAAAAAGTGTACCACTTCGGTTGGCTTCTGTAGCCCCTTCTCCTTGCTGTGTGTTGATATGGCATCTCTGTTATCTATGCGGATGTGGCTGTGGGTAATTTTTGTTCTTCTCTTGTGGAGGAACAGATTTAGCAGGAAATCCTGCTGCTCTCTACGTTGGTCCATCTCTCCCTTTGCATTTTGTCACGTTGGGTCTTTCCCCTGGTTGGTATGGTGGTGCAGCAGGGCGTCTGGCTGCAGAAGGTGGGTTGAAGGCTGGGAGGAGGCCACACTGGGGAATTCTGCAGGTTTGACGGGAACAACGGATAGAACTGAATTTCTTCTCCTGTTGTCTAATATTGACTCCACCTGTAGTGCCTCTGAAATTTTGACCTGGTATAAAATCTTTGAATGAACAGGGATTCTGAAGGACAGCCCATTTCTGCCTTTATCATCCATACATGGACTCAAACTGTTCTTAGCAGATGGGCAAAGGATTGAATAATTCCACCATGTTAATGTATTTGTTTTTCACAATCTCTCTGCTCAGTTAACATTTACTTAATTATTTGTACCGTGTTCTAGTTAGAAATGCCCACCAGCTGCTCATCAACTACATACCAAACCTTGGTGTTCTCGAAGGGAGATCTGAGTGTGCTGAGTGGGATGATCATGTCAGTCATTCCTCAATAGACATCTACTGAGCGCCTGCTGTGTGGGGGTCATTGTTAGCTGTAGGAGTTACAGAGAAAAGAAAATATTTTAACTCTGGAGAAGCTCATGGGTGTTTTCCTAGCAGTATTGAAAGGACTCAAAAGATGGTTCATCCTTCAGCCCCAAGGTCCATTTTGATCCTTTCCTTGTGGATTGAGGATTTTTTTTTTTTTTTTGGTGGAGTTTTGCTCTTGTTGCCCAGGCCGGAGTGCAATGGCGTGATCTCGGCTCACTGCAAACTCCACCTCCCAGGTTGAAGCGATTCTCCTGCCTCAGCCTCCCAAGTAGCTGAGATTACAGGCATGCACCACCACGCCCGGCTAATTTTGTATTTTTGGTAGAGATAGGGTTTCTTTATGTTGGTCAGGCTGGTCTCAAACTCCCAATCTCAGGTGATACGCCCACCTCAGCCTCCCAAAGTGCTGGGATTACAGGCTTGAGCCACTGTGCCCGGCCAGATTGAGGATCTTTATGTCCTACTGGGGCCAGAGGCTGGGAAGGCAGCTCCAGTTAGAGATGCTGATGATGATCTAGAAAGCGGTGAGGCTCACAGAAGGCAAATGCCACCCCAGGGTCACCTGGTGGTCTGGTGAAGATGTTGGGGAGGGATCCCAGTCATTGCACTAAAAAATATTTTGGAGACGCCTGAATTTGGAAGTAGGAGAAAAGCTTAATTGCTGTGATGCAGGAACGTCTCCAAGGAGGTGGGGAGGGCTTGAAGCCTGCAGATGTTCCAGAACAGAGAAAGCTCTCTCCTTTCCTTCCTCCTCTTACCTGGCATGCTTCCTCACCCCAGGATCTGGAAGGAGTTCAGATGCTCTCCATTCTGGGGCCTGAGGACAGAACTCAAGAGTTAATCAATGTAATGTGCTTAGAACCACACCTGGCACAGAGTAAGTGCTATGTAAATGTCTGTTTATTGTTGTTATGCTATGATGATAACTGGTCCCAATGATCTAACCAGGCTTTTCATCTGAGTGGCTCATCAGCAGTGGTGTTGCTGGGCTGAACCCTACGCAGGCCACCTTTTCACAGATGGCACATCTCTGCTGCAACCCTTGCTGGTAGCATGTGACTAGATCCCTCTGCAGCCTGCGATTAGTACTTACCTGGGAAGGATAGGAGCTGGGGGAGGCTTGCAGGCCCCACCCTCCTTAGAGCAGAACAGAGGGTTACAATGAGATGACTGCCATGGTCATTCTGGTTCTTTCCACATAGCAAAGAACCCCAGGACGCATTTTGTACAGAGGGCAGCAAGAGGATTCCAATCACTTTGTGAGGAGGATGGAGGTTCTTATTTGGGAAGGGGGACTCTAGAATACTCAAAAAGTGTCAAGAAATCCCAACATACCCTGCTGTTGGAGAGGATGCCCTGTAACTATGGAGTGGGCAGGTTTTCTCATGTCCTTGGTGGTGTGAGACCTGTTGGGTTATGTCCTGGTGGGTTAACCAATCCTCCCGAACCTCGCCAGGACTCTTCCTAGAAGGTGCTCAAGAATTTATCTGGAAACTGGATTTAAAAAACAAAATAACAAAACAAAACCTCCCCAAAACAGGTAATTAGGGCTTCCCTGACAGCAGGGGGCTCCAGTCACCCACATGATAAATGTAAAGCAAACATTTCCATTACAGATTTGTTTTGGTAGCTTGGTTAGACGTTGAGTTTAAGATACATGCTTAAAATTCTTTTACAGAGGAAATCTTAAGACTGCCATTATAGAAGCTGCCTAAAAAGTGAGACAAGAGTAATTACTTACAGTATCCAGTATCTACCAGATATGTGGCATGATAATTATTAAAAATTCATAATATCGCTATCACCCACATTTCTAGAAGGTTTGCTAAGTGGCAGGCTCCATGCTAAGAAGCGCTTTACAGTCATCATTTAATTGTCGTAACAATGCTGTGATGGTAACACATCACAGAAGAAACTAGATGCAGTATCACTGTGGCCTGCCCGAAGTCACCTTCCTCAGCCCTGTCTGGCCCCAAAGCTGTGTTCTTAGAACCACTAGGCCAGGCCATACTGCCTAATGCCTGGAAAGCCACTCTTTTCCTTACGAACGGTTATTTGAGTTCTGGAAACCAGCCAAGCCCTTATAGGAAGACTCTTGTTTTAGATTTTGAGGAGCAGGGAGAGAATATGTATCATGATCTGAAATACAAGGGGGAAAAAAGGGAAATGGTCTGATTTGTTCTGAAATCTGAAATTGAATGGAAGGTAGAATCTTTTCAGCCAAAGTGGGTTTTTGTCTCCTGCTGGGGTATTTTCCCAGAGGTCCATATTTTCAGACCCAAAGTCCTTTTTCCTCTCCTGTTGCTTCGGGATTAGGCCAGGAGGCAGGAAACTGGCTTCTAGCCCAGGCTTCTCTCCTTAGCTTGGGTCAAATCCTTAGCCTCCTAGGATGTTCAGGGGTTTTGTTTGCATGTAACGTGGGGATACTCACACTGCCCCTTTCAGAGCTCAGGTTGGCAATGCCGAGTGTTGCACAGACGTGCTGCATCACCGTGGTCAGGACGATGCAGGCAAAGAATCTAGGCACTCAGTATAGAAGATGCACGCAGACTTCCTTTTAAGGAGGGCCTGAGTGAGGGAATAGGCACGCTAGAGAGAGCAGAAAGCTTCGCAGAGGTATATTTTTGGGACTGATACAAAATTCCATGCAGTGACGTTCCAGTGACTCAGCCCAGTGGGTGGAAGTGATTTTAAATAATGACAGTATCATCATCTCCCTCCTCCTACGGTGTCACACACCACCAAACACACACTCACCGGCCCCAGCTCTCCACAGGGCTGAAATGAATGGAGCCAACACATGTGGTTCTCTGAGCAACAGTGTAAAATAATACGTTTTTTGTGCAAATGCTTTCTCTTCCCCGGAAACCAAATCCAGGTAAACAAAGGGTGATTTTTAAAAAGTCACCTTGCACATCCTCAAGTTTTAAACAGTCCTCTGGGAGTTAAGTGATTATAATTATAGCCACCACCATCAGGGAAGAAGCCACTTGAATTAATTAGAAAGGGAAGCCACCCAATTTCGGTTAAAAATATTTAGAAATTGGTAGCATTTTAGAAAAAAAAAACCGCAGTAATTGGACCAGGCAGCTTACAGATGCCTCTTTTCGACAGAACAATAGGGGAATCAGCCCAGGAAAGAGGGTGCAGGCCATGACCGGGTTTGGATCTAATAAGTGACCAGTGCACGGGGTGGCTCCTGGAACCAAAACAATGCCCGGCACAGTGGGGAGTCTTGTGTCCTCCCGGAACCCGGGGGCCTCCAGAGGGAAAGGGTCAGTTAAGGACGTTGCTGGGGCTTCTGAAGGAGTGCAGTGACCCCAACAAAAATTAAAGCCCTGGAGCTAGCAGTGGGGGAAACAAGAGTGGTTTCCTAGGAGCTGCCTCCTTGTGAATAAAAATGAGTCGGAGACAGAAAAGGTTGGATCGGAAAGGAAAAGAAATGCTGAGTGGCATCCACTGTGGGAGCCAGAGGTGGCGGGGAGGGGGGCAGGGTTGGAGCCTTCAGTTTCATCCTCACCTTTGCTCATCCCAGAGCCTAAGTCTCCAGATCGAGAGCTGGAACCAGACGTGATTTATTTTGTATGCATCATCTTAAGAAGCAGTTATTGTGTACTTTAAGGCCAAACATGAATTAAAAAATAAGAGGCTTAAGTCTCCTTGTTAAAAATAGGAGATTTCTCTCCCCTCCTTTTTCTTGGAGCATTTACTTCAGAAACCTTGTCATTGTAAATACTTTCTTCTCTCTTTGAAATGTATATAAACCCTTTCGAAGTCTAGATTGGCATTTCCCAGCTTTATAACCTAGGAATGTCTTTCTCAAGGATCAGGAGGCCATCTCTTTGCAATGTAAGCATTAAGGGAGGTAGTAAACCTAGGTCCCAGTTTCCGAGGGAAGTGAGGGGCCTAACCTCAGTGGGCACCTTGCTCCAAGTTGCAAAACCACCTTCTCTCATAAAGATAGGGGACGTTGGCCAGGCGCGGTGGCTCACGTCTGTAATCCCAGCACTTCAGGAGGCCGAGGTGGGTGGATCATGAGGTCAGGAATTCAAGACCAGCCTGGCCAACATGGTAAAACTCCGTCTCTACTGAAAATACAAAAATTAGCTGGGAATGATGGCATGTGCCTGTAATCCCAGCTACTCGGGAGGCTGAGGTGGGAGAATTGCTTGAACCAGGACCTGGGAGGCAGAGGTAGCAGTGAGCTGAGATCGAGCCACTGCACTCCAGCCTGGGCGACAGAGCAAGACTCCGTCTCAAAACACAAACAAACAAACAAACAAAAACAAAAACAAAAAAGTGGACGTTTGTTCTTCTTCTGAGTAAAGCCAATTAGCTAACACAGGCAAATAATTCTGTCTAGTCCTCTTACTTGACAACTAGTTATTGTTGATCTTGAAAACGTATGTATGGGTTATACCTACTTGACTATATAAAGGGATGAGATTTCTTTCTGTCTTTGCAATCTCTCAGCAGATTGCCTGCAATGTGCGCTACATTCTGGTTTAATGCTTATTCAATTCTCAAAGTGTTTTTGTTTTCTATTACTTTTGTGGGGAGGATTTCTGGGTTAGGAGAAGATATAGTTTTTGGTTATATTTCCCCAACATATCTTACCATATGTCTGGTCTGTGCCTGGCCTCCTGGACTCAATCCATATTTGGTAAGTACGATGTATGTCACCTTGGCTTTTTATAGCTAAAGTTCTCTTAAAGGACTCGAACATTTCCCAAGAGATTATCTTAAAGCTTGGTGAAGTAAGAATCAGATATTATTATTTTCATTTTGTGGTGGTCCCAGAAGGTAAGGGGCCTGTCCAAGCTCATGTAATCTGGAGAAAAGCAAGGAATTGTTAAATATTTGTACTGCAAGACACTGCATGCCTGCTGCCATATCTCCCACCCTGCAGGAACCCATGCTACGTGGATTTCCACTCTATTATAATATTACAGTTTTCTTTTCTGTCATCTGGAATATTCACTTTTCCCTCAAATCTCTGCTTCTGCTCTGTATCAGCATATTTGATCCACTCCTAAGTATAATATGTGTGCAAGACAAAGGGGGACACATGTCCACAGAAAGACCTGTTCATTAATGTTCACAGCAGTTCTATTCACGATCGCCCCAACCTGGAAGCAACCCAAACGCCTATCAACAGGCCAGTGGCTAAACCAGTTGTGTCGTATCCATACAATGGAATACTACTCAGCCACTCAAATAAACTACCTATACATACATTCAATAACATTAGTGAATTTCAAAAGTGTCATGCTGAGCTTAAAAAAAGCCAGATACAAAAGATTGCACATGAATCCATTTATGTAAATGTATGTAAAAGATTACCGGAGTCCATGTACGTAAAAGACTACATATGTGCCCATTTATGTAAAATTCTGTAACAGGCAAACTAAACTATAGTGATGGGAAGCAGCTCAGTTGTTGGCCAGGGTGGGAGTGAGAGAGACTGACTGCAAATGGACACAAGAACACTATGGGATGGAAGAAATGTTCTATCTCTTGGTTAGGGTGGAGGATGCACACATGTATCATTCGTCAAATCTCAAAATGTGCATATAAATTGGGTGTCTTAGTCTGTTCAGGCTGCTCCCCCAAAATATCACAAATTGGGTGGCTTATTAACTACAGAAATTGACTTCTCACAGTTCTAGAGGCTGGAAGTCCAAGATCAGGGTGCCAGCACGATCAGGTTCTGGTGAGGGCCCTCTTGACAACTTCTTGCTAAGTCCTCTCATGGTGGAATAGATAGAGGAGCTCTCTGGGGTCTTTTTAACAAGGGCATTAATCCCACTTACGAAAGCTCCACCTTCATGATCTAATAGCCTCCCAAAGCCCTCACCTGCTAATACCATCACACTGGGGCTTAGGTTTCAACATACGAATTTTGGGGGGAACAAAAGTAGTCCACAGAAAAGGGCATAGTTGATTGTATATAAGTTATACTTCTGTAAAGCTTATTCAACAAATAATTATACATTTTTGTCTGTGCACAAAATTTGAAATAAAAAAGAAAAACAATAACAAAATGCAGTTTGCTTTCTCAGCCAAGGTGACCTAGTTCACAGATGACAGGAGAGCGACCTTTCTGCAGAGCCCTCTGCGTGCATCACAAGGGTTGCCCCTAGCCCATCCCCAATCTCTGAAAAGATGCAGACAGAGAGCTGGTCATAATAACCTGCAGCTGGGAGTGATGTGCTCCCAGAGTTCTTCTCCCGGGAAAGCCGGCATTGTCAGGAGAATCACATGCAGCCCACAGCTGGCGGGCTTTGTGTTGAATCATGATGCTTTTATAGGAAAGAAAGGGCTGTGATTCACATGTGTCATCGTTGATGGGAATATTAAGGGCTCCCTTCTCCTGGGGGAAAAATAGAAACCTCTCTCTTTAAATATTGCATTTCTTTCAAAACAAAAAGTCACTTCAGCTCCTCCCCACTGATTCATTTGAGAGAAAAAGCTGTCAGGCCCCGTATTTGGTTAAGGCAAATCCTTTCTCAGAACAAGATAGTGCTGTGTGTAGGAAAATCACCTAACTCTTGTCAGTGTTTATCAGATGTGGAGAGAAAACCTGCTTCTCTCTTTGTCATGTGACCCATCGCTCCTGCTGGCATCGTGCCATCAGCTGAGGGGTGACTGGGTTTCCCACCCACAACAAGGGTTCAGGTAGGGGCCATGGGCCTGAATTGTAATTCAGTGTTTTGAAACAGATAGCACAGTTACTAGAGGCTGGGAAGGAAGGATGAAGAAGGATTGGTGAATGGGTGCAAATATGCAGTTAGATAGGAGGAATACGTTCTAATGTTTGATAGCACAATAGGTGACTGTAGTTAACAACAATGTATTATGCATTTCAAAATAGCTAGTAGAGAAGACTTGAAATGCTCCCAACACAAAGAAATGATAAATACTCAAGGTGATGGATTTCCCAAATGTCCTGACTTGATCATTACACATTGTGTATATGTTTCCAAATACCTTATGTACCCTGTAAATATGTACAAATACCATGTATCATTTAAAAAATGAAAAATATAAAATAGACATCACGAAGTCAGCAGATATCAGAATGGGATCTGAGAGAGATTTTAAAAGAGGCCTTTGTACACAAATCAGATTTCTATTCACCTTAAGTATGGGCTTCCTTGAAGTCTTAAGGAAAGAAAATGAACCAGACTAGCATTTTTCAGTCCAGAAATCACGGGCTGGCAAATGATCTAAATTCTCTCCAGTAACTCCAGGAGCAAGGGAGCTGAGAAGAGGATTGGAGGGCCTGAGGCAGAGGGGACTAATATGGATATCAACAGCCTGAGGAGCTGCTACTGGGGACAACTTGAGGCACACCAAGGTTACCCTCTACCCTGCCATCCTCAAGTCCCTCTTGGTTTTGGAAACCTCAAGTCTATGAAGCCGATGAAGCCTCCTGAACCACCTCAGAGTGGTTGGGTTTACTTTAACAACCAAACCCATCGCCCTGTCCCCAGGGAGCTTAAGACAGAGGCCAAGGTGATTGAAGAAAAAAAAGGAAGGAAATAGAATAAAGACAAGAGTCAGCTCAAAAGCTTCCCCTTTCCTGGAATTAATGGCAGCCTCAATTTATTCTCATCTGTATTAAAAATTGTTAAGTAATTAATGTGCGCATCTCTTCTGAAGCTGATGTCATGTAAGACACTAGGAAAACTGAGACCTAGTCCTTACTCTCAAAGAGTTCCCGGCTCAGTAGGGGAAGCTGCTACAGAAACCCGATCTCATCATTCAGTGTTTTAGAAACAGTAACAGTGATAACAGGCTGGTGGGGTGGAGTTGTGTTGAGAAAACAGAGACAGCATCCATGGTTCCAGACATCCTGATGATGACAATAATAATAGTTTACATTTATTAAATGCTTACTGTGTACCAGACATTGTGGTAGGTTTTTATGGCATATCTTCCCTTTTCCTTCCAGCAACTCTTTAGAGGAAGCAGTATCATCATCTTCAGGGTCACCTTGATGGCAGAGCCCACTCTACTCTGGTGGCCCTGGGGGTAACAGGCAACCCTTCAGGAAGGACTGTCCTTTCACCAACACCACCTATGGCTGACAGCCAGCATGGTTCGTTTCTAGCTGTGCTTGGCCGTGAAGTTCAGCTGATCCTGCTCTAGCTATTTGGTCTGGTGTTGAGCTTTGAGATGGCCCAGGGAGAGGGAAAGCAGAGACAGAGGTTGAGACCTGAGTAATGAAACGGAGCTGTCAGGGAGGTGGGGGTGGGAGTGAGAGATTTGTGGACAAAGGCAGTGGTTTTGGGCTTGAATTGTGTCCTCCCCAAAAGATAAGCTGAAATTCTAACCGCCTGACTCCCTGCAGGATAAGACCTTATTTAAAAATAAGATTGTTGCAGATGACTTTAGGTCATACTGGAGTAAGTGAGGCTTTTAATCCAATATAGCTGGTGTCCTCCTAAAAAGAGGAGAAAGACCCACGGAGAGAAGATGACCGCGTGAGAATGAAAGCAGACTGGAGTGATGCAACGACAAGCCAAGGGACACCCAGCATTGCCTGTTGTTGCCAGATGCTAGGAGAGAGGCATGGAACAGATTCTCCCTCAGAAGGAACCAACCCTGCTGACACCTTGATTTCAGATACCTCCAGAACTAGGAGGGATCGATTTCTGTTTTAAGTGCCCAGTTTGTGGCCCTAGGATGCTAATCATAAACGCTAGCATGAGAAAGGGCTTGGTGTGTCTGAAGAAAGATCAGAAGGCTGGCATGGCTGGCGGTGCTGAGTGAGAAGATGGGAGGGCCTCCATGACCCCTCTGGCTGGGCTGTGGGCCGCTGTGGCCAGCGTGCCTGTCACTGCCCCCTGGTGGCCACCGTGGGATACTCCGAGCTGCACACTGGCCTTGGGCCAAAGAAAGAACGTTCAGATTGAGTTAAGAGAGCTGGGTTGAGCCTACCCCTCAATCTATTTCTAGTTAGGTAACTCGCATTGCCACTTTGCTCCTCTGTCACATAGGAGGATGATTATGACATTTGGCCCATCCATCTCTCAGGGTGTGAGTGGGGAGCAGGGGAAACTGTGTTTGGATGCTTATTGTGAATCATTTCTACCAGGATGTTAGGTGCAATTTCTCCTGTTACTCCACAGTTTCAGCAGAGACCCAGAGGGAAAGAAAAATAGCTGCTTATCTATGCAGGACTCATTAAACGATTATAAAATCCATTTTGAGACTTTTAGGTCTTGGTCCTTACCTACCGGGCGACTACACAAGAAGAGGCTGGGGGGACAGAGCAAGGGACGGGCAGAGGGGAGTTCTTTAGAATGAGAGCTGTTGGAGGGATAAGGCAGGAGCATCTCCCTGTGCCCTCTTCCTGTCCCCACCACCACCCCACAACAAGCCTCGTGAGATTTTGAGGCTTCAAAACACCCCGTAGAGAGCTTGACAGGTGCACTGGGGAGTTGCAGGGACAAAGGGACTCATACTTGAGCCACATTTCAAACCCTAAAGGCCGAGCCTGGTTAGAGTGGCCTATGGTGGCAGGATGAAGAGAGGGGGCATGCAGTGAGCTGCACTCATAGCCCAGGATGCAGGAGGGTGCTTCCCACGGCTGGATGAGGACCCCACAGAAGAGAGCAGGCACTGAGTTAACTTGAATGGGACTCTGCCCCAAAGGACCATCTGCAAGGCAAGGTGATCCCAGCAGAGTAACTCAGGGGGGAGTGGACTTCAGAAGCCAGGGGCTGGGGAAGTCATACATGACAAAGCTTGAGGAACATCATCGGGGACCTCCAAGGAACCTACAGGAGTCCACATGGGAGAGAGTGAGCATGGGGTGTGTCACGCCCAGGGCACTGATTCCAGAAAACTCCTGCAGTCATCAAAAACTGCACTGGAGCTTTCTGCTCCTTATCCACATCCCCAAAGTTGGAGGTGCCAGGAAAGTATTTGAGCAAGATAAGGAAATGGAGAGAAGTCCCCAGTCTTCTCCTTCCCTGTGTTGAGTTTTTGAGCCCATATCGGTTCTGAGTTTTAAAGTGGATGTGGGATTATAGCTTTGGTAGTCGACCAAACTATCTCAGAGTAGACTGAACTATCCCACAGTTTTATGGGGCCTCATTCTGCCCTATTCTGGACTTTCCAGTATCTGAAAAAGAAGACCCTTCATTAATAAAAGGGATGACTGGAAAAGCTATGGGACCTTTCTGAGAATTCATCCAGGCGCAGGGAAAAATAATATGAGAGAAGTTGCTCAAAGAGGTAGAGGTCAGAAAGAGTCAAGACTTTTTCTGTTGGTACCATTTGGAATATTACTCTCTCAACAAAGAAGTGTGGTTAGGTAAATGTTAGCCTTGGAACCTTCTTTCCCAGAAATAAAAGGATCAACAGGGCCCACTCTCCTTATTGTATAGCCCAGTGAATATTTACTTAAGGGAACTAGCCCAGTGAGTATTTACTTAAGGGAAATGTTTTAAACAGTTATCAAATATGGAGTATTAGAAGCCATTGTTCTCTTTCATTAATTTTATTTAGATTGAATCCTGATTTAGCAATAAAAATGCACGTCTCCACTTAAGAAATGCTATTTGCCTTCAAAGAAGGAAATGAGACTTTCTTAAATTGTGCTTTGCTATGATGTTGTTGAATTGAGATGATTGGAAGAGATTATGATTAAGATATCAGTGTCATATGTCATATAGGTTTGTAGGCACTTTGAAATGAATAGGAATGCATTAAGTCATAAAATATTATTAGAACAGCTGTATAGTTTACAAACAATCTGATGCATACTGAGTACCACAAATTCTGGTGCTTGAGTCTCATACATACTGCTGTTGGCATTTGTCAGAAATTCTTTGGCTAAGAGTAAAAGGAACCCAATTTAAATTAGCTTGAGCTGAAAAAGAATACATTGGTTCATATAATTGGGAAGTGTCTAGGGGTGAATTTGCTTTCAGAGATGGCTGAATATAGGGCTGCCTCTCTGTGTCTCAGCTCTGCTATTTATGTTTCCCTTCATTTCAACAAACTTTCCTCTTAGGTGGGCAAGATGTCTCTTGGTCCTTTCTGACTCCCATGTTCCCTTCTTCCCAGCTCAGCAAACACAGTAGAAGGGAGGCTTGTTTCAGCAGAGTCCACAGAGCTATAAATCCCAGAGGCAATTCCACCCCTGAACCAACCTCTTTGGCCAAGAGATGGGAAGCCCTTATTGGCCAGCTTGGGTGATGTGGCCATCTCTGCAGTGGGAAGCTGGTGCACAATGATCTACAGTCCTATTAGGACCTCACAGAATGGGCAAAGATCCCTAAGGGGAACCAGCAGAAGGGGATGGAATAGAGTGCTACCTCAGCCAATACAAGCCCATTTTTCCCTTTATTCACAGAATTGGCACTTTCTTGCCTGGAATTGGAATTGAAATGGCATCCCTTCACTGTGAGCCACTATTCTTCCCATCCACTGAGTTAGTCTGCCTGTCTGAGACCAAATCATGCAACTACTGGCCTAGAGAAAGAAACTACTTCGAGTATGTGTAGTTTTCTCCCCAAAGCACCAGGGTTTTATTTTTTAACCCATCTATCCATTTGTTTATTAATTATGTGCATACATTTGCATTTGGAGAGGATTCAAGGCATCTTATAACAGCACAAATATGATATAATCAGTAAGATGAGGGCTAAAAACAGCAAATACCAAGTAAGAAGGGCATCAGGGAGATGATTGTCTAAAAGAGTCTGAGCTAAACATGGCAACTTGCAGTTCTGCTTTTGATACTGGCAAAAGAAGCTCTCGTTAGACCAACCCTCCCACAAATTGTACCTATAAACTCTGGACAATCAATACTTGGAAGATGGAAATAGCATGGGGTGAGTTGTTTTTTTTTTTTGTTTTCATGGCTTCTCAGCTAAAGGCAGGCCTCATTGTACCACATGGCAGATAGCTAAAATGCCAATCCAAAAGCTACAATCCTTCTGGCCTGAAGAATCAGATGATAACATTCAGGGCAACCACAACTGGAAAGTGAAAGAGGGGAAATCCAGACATGGAAAGAGCCAGAGAGCCCCAAATTCCTTATATTTTGGCCGACTCTCTGACTGACCATTAAATCATGCATACATAGTGCAAATTTCAAGCAACCCAGTGAACTGAGATTTGAGCCGCACCCTGAGAGGCAGAGTTTGCAGTTGGAATCCAACCAAGTTAATTCCCTGCTAAAAGAAAATCAACCTTCACTGGAGGAGTATGGCAGAATCCAGACTCTGCACAGCCCAGCATTCACAATGTCCATGATACCATCCCAAATAAGTCAACACACTAAGAAATAGGAAAATGTGCCACATTCTCAAGAAAAAAAGATAATTAGTGGAGATTGATTTGGATGTGACCCAGATGTTGGAATGAGCAGACTCATAAAAGCTTAAAATAATTTTCAAAGCAGGTATTATAATTGCGCTAAATGATACAAAAGAAAATATGTTGTGATGACTTACAAAAGAGGAAATCTCAGCAGAGAAATAGAACAATAAAAAGAACCAAATGAAAATTATAGAACTGAAACAAATATATACTTGAAATAAATTAAGTCATTAATGGGCTTCATAGCAAAATGGAGATGAAAAGAGGGAAAAGTCTGAATTTAAAGATAGTCTAGTAAAAGTTATCCTATCTGAAGGTAGGTACTTTCACTTAGCAAAGTGTAGCCCTAAGTTTACTGTCCACCAAAGCACAGAGGGAAACCAGGTGGGTTGTCAACTGAGTTGCTCACCTGAAGAGTTGTGACATTATGTTTAAGGGGCTCTAACAGCCAGCACTCGCATATCCTGAGACACACCTTGGGCCAATTACTAATCTCTTTTCCCTCCACTCCAACACCCTCCTATTCTCTGCTCTGTGATGCTGGGGTGGATATTCTGCAAACTGCATTTCTTTTTTGCCAGCTAATTCTTTGTTAGGTTCTGGCACTTGGGCAATAGAGGGAAACTGGAAGACTGAAGGACAGAGAAGGGACCTCCTTTCTATTTGTTTGTCACTCTGTTTGCATTTCCCCTGTAGCCCCCTTCCCTACAGCTGTAAGTGGTCTGGTCTCCGGTTTGTTCCAACACGCTCCCTCCAGAGGTACCAGCACCTGCTGGGCAGTGCAGTGTCTTCTTCTTAGAGGTCTGTTGTGCCATTTGTATGGGTCCGTTTTTTAAGCATTTAATTTCTGACAACTTCAAACTCTTTTCTTTGTTCCCGCAACCTTAGAAATGATAGCTGCTTCCTGCATTTACGATCTCTGTGTAATCTCAGTTTTTCTTTTGAAATTTTCAGTCCTCTAATTCTTATTTTAAATTTTCTGTTAAAACAACTCCTGGGGTTTCTATTTTCCTGACTTACCCCCAACTGATCTATATCCCTTTTTATTGACTGATGTAGATCTCTGATTACCATATGTAGGGCTGGCAGTGGAAAAAATTGTGAAGAACGAAGTTTGTTCTTGGATCCAAGATACCTCCTTTCAGAGCTCTGATGCCCAGATATCCACCACAATTATGCAATGTCCCAGGCTCCTGCCAGCCCTAGACCCCTTCCATTCCATCACTCATACCCCTAGGGACTGCATTCTGATAGGTAGCAATAAGTGATCATGGATTTTGGTGAGATAAACTAGTTCCCTAATATGCAAGCTAAAGTGTTTCCCTCCCATATAACCTACTTCCTTGGCTTAGATAAACATACTTCTTAGAAAGGCCTTAATGGAATGTCAAAAATGGAGGAAATCTCAGATGTAGTAGCTAACCCATGGTTTTCATGCAGTAGACATAGAAATAGCCATCTCCTCTGTTCACGTGTAGAAACATGAGTGCTTGGATATTCCTTCTTCTTTTGACACCTTTTTATCTGGGCCACTGGGAAAGTTAAAGGAGCTCAGCCATGAAAAAAGAAACAAAACAAAACAAAACAACAACAACAAAAACAAACCCTAGAGTTTCACAGACACTATTTGTTAGAAATACAGCAAATTATTTTTAGCTGGTTACAGATAAATTAGTTTAATTTTCTCAAGTAGTCAGTTGAAATAAAATGTTCTAAACTTTGCTTTGAGTAATTGAATGTAATTTGAATTAGGGGTTGTGTGTAACTCTTGTATGTTTGATAATCAACAACTATCCCCACTTCTTTCTGTAGAAAAGAAAGGATTTTATTTTCTGTGACTTTCAGATCACATGCCTTATGTATATTTCCATGCTCAGAAATATCCTCCTAACCCTGCAATTTAACCAACAAATCCAATGCTTTAAGATACTTCGAGATAATACAAGCAAGTCACAAGGCATATGGCTCAGTAAATGGTAACTATAATAACACTGTGTCCTATTGTATTTTCCAAAAATGGTCTTAACAATCTTTTCCTCCCCACATATTCTTTTGAAACCTTGCCACATCTCCATCAAGAAGGGGAATCTATGTCCCCTCCCCTTGAAACTGGATGGGCTTTTGTGACTGTCTTCCCTGGTAGAGCAGGAAGAAAGTGATATCTGAGACTTCTGATGCTAGGGCATCGAAGGTGATATTGTGCCTGCCTTCGCGCTGGACAGTCTTCATTGCAAAATGACATAGAGATAGAGAGGGTTGCTGGAGGAACCGGTGGTTCCAGCCATCAGCTATTTGAGGCTTCTCATCCTAGGTGCAGACACACCAGTGACCCTTCAGAGAATTCTAGCCCCAGTCACCATCTGACCGTACCTGCATGAGAGACAGAACCCCTAGACTCATGAGGTAATAATAAATTATTGTTATTGTTTGAAGCCATGAAGTTTTGGGCTGATTTGTTATGCAGCACTGGCTAATGGATACAATATTTAATGTTTGGCAGGTATTGATGATGAGTCACTTACTATGCTAAATGCTTTGCAGGGATTACCTCATTTAATTCTGATTATCCCAGAGATAAGCATTTTTATCCACCCTGAGAGAAGTTAAGTGATCTGTCCAATGTCACACAACAGTCAATCTGATATTTCAATCCAGACAGTCAGACTCTAGAGCTCCGAGCATGCAAATACTAAGCCCTACCACATGTAGCGCTCCCCATATTCACTGCTTTTCTGCTGGGTAACAGCATCCCCTCTGACCCTGGCACACCCATTGCTCTGTCCTCCAGCAGCACAGAAGCATGGTGGGTGAGCAGACAGGTGCCAGCAAGGCCATATGGATCCAGCCAATGCTGAACCGCAATATTATCATTTTATTCCTTTGGCTTTAAGACTATGTGTTGTGTTTTTTAACTGGTGGTGACAGTGGTGGATGGAGACATGCTATGTCATATTGCCCGTTTGCACTTGATGAGTTTGTAGGATGTCTTCCTATTGGAAGGTTTTAATGACATCTGGGGACAGGAGAGGGAAAGAAAAAGAAAGAAAGAAGAAAAAAGAGAGGGAGGGAAGGAGGGAGGGAGGGAAGGAGGGAGGAAGGAAGGAAGGAAGGAAGGAAGGAAGGAAGGAAGGAAAATAGTGAAAACATGGAACAGACACCCAGAAGGGAAAGGGTTTGGAGGAGGTCGAGGTGCCAGAGGCAAGCATTCATTTGTGTAAGATTCATTCATTCATTCATTCATTCATTCATCGTCATTCAAACATTGTGTTGAATGTCCACTGTATGCTGTGCCCTGCGTGGAATGCTAATGATGGATCTACCCTCTAGCAAAAGGTAAGTCCTACCCTAGTTCATTCGTACAAATAGAGGTGCACACAATGTATCATGGGAGCACTTATTCCTCAACAGGCAGATGGATCAGAAAAGGATTCCTAGAAGAGGCGACAGCTGAGCTGAGGCTTAAAGGATAACACAGTTAACCAGGCCACAGGTGGTGAGTGTCAGGCCAGGAAACAGCACGAGCAAGGGCATGGGATACGGCGCATGGGAGCAGGAGCACTTTTGAGCTGTTGGAGGTAAAATGCAAGTTAGGAAGCACTGAGAGATGAGCCTGGCTTAGAGGTGGCAGCGAGGGCCTTGGTGGTCATTGTCAGAGTTGGAGTTTTGTCTTGTGAGTGATGCGGAGCCACTGAAGGGTCTTCAGGGGACTGTGAGAGACCATACATCACCAGGTCTTCCTCTTTCTTCTGCCAAACTCTGCCCAGGAGGATTTGGTGTCTAAATCCTGCACATTGAAGACCAACCCTTAAAATGAAATTTGTTCAAATTCCAGTGGCAAAATCAGAGAGGAAAATGTTCTATCAGAGAGAGGAAATATTTCCCACCATGTCTGCAGCCCTTAATCCGTGAGGTCAACATGCCCAGCTGCATGGTCTTCTGGCAGAAGTGTTATTGCAGTCATCCACAGCATGCTTCTAGGGGCAGGACTTAATTGAATTTAACAGCAGCTAAATGCTCAGCTAAAAAGAGAAGTTATGGGCTGGGTGCAGTGGCTCACGCCTGTAATCCCAGCACTTTGGGAGGCCGAGGTGGGCGGGTAATGAGGTCAGGAGTTCGAGACCAGCCTGGCCAACATAGTGAAACCCCATCTTTACTAAAAATACAAAAAATTAGCTAGGCATGGTGGCGGGCACCTGTAATTCCAGCTACTCGGGAGGCTGAGGCAGGAGAATCGCTTGAACCCAGGAGGCGGAGATTGTAGTGAGCCGAGATCATGCCATTGCACTCCAGCCCGGGTGACAGTGCAGGATTCTGTCAAAAAAAAAAAAAAGAGAAGTTATGGAAAACTGTGATGCTGCAGTGAAATGAAATCAGGCTGCTATGTGTCAGGCTGCGATGTGGGGCCCTGTGTCCTGAGTCACACACCAAAACAGGAAATCCCCTATTCTCATCTTGAAAAATTTATTAGTAAAATAAAGTAAATAAGACCAAGAAAAATAAGGCTGCTATTATTTGAATCATTTAGTGAAAAAGAAAAGCTTTCTAGAACCAACAGAACATGGTAATGAACACTCTGCCCCCATACTTATCAGTCTGTATTGGCATTTTCTGTGTAACATACCTTTCTTTCCTACTAGAAACAGTTTCTCTAGTTCAGGATCTATGTCTTATTTATCAACTCCCAAAACTGTCCCTTCTTTGAATTCCTTTGATACTTAATACCCAAGTCACTCATTTGGCATTTATGTTACCTTGTATGGTCTATTGTATTTCTATTCTGTTTATACATAGTGACTCTTGAACTAGACTATAAACTCCTTCGAGGTAGAAGTCTTGCTTTGAACATTTTGTGTCCCCATTTGTTATTTGTTGAAAACAAGGCATGCCAAGGAAGGTGCTAAGGGCTGGATATGGGATAAGAGACCCTGGTCTACCTTTGGGGATTCACAATCTGGGGAATTTCCTCAGGCAGGGCACAAAACCTATGAGACAATCCTGCTTTCCTGCTGAACTTGGACCTGGGACAGGGTGGGGATGGGTGAGGCTGGAGCTGCTGCAGCAGCGTGCCTCCAATGCCTATAAATTTCCTGTTGGCTCTCATCCGTCTGGGCTGAATTTTCTATCAACCAATAGAAAATACAGACAGGTATTATGAAAGAGGGTGTTAGGAAATCCCATGCAATTATTATACATGTCACAAATGTGTGGGTGCATATGCACCTGTGAGTGTGTGACAGACAGAGAGGGAGGAAGAGCACTAGGAGGAAATGCCATCTGAACTGAATCTTGAAAGACAAACGGGAGTTAACGAAAGATGTTCCTGAGAGAGTGGCAGGTCTGTGCTTGCATCCTGATGTCAGAGTCAGATAAACTCCAGAAGCCTCAGGGCCTCTGCACTCTATCCCAGTGCTTCCCCAAACTCCTGTTGAGGGCAGACTCTTTTAGAATATGTTAACGAATGGATGTGCAGAAGAAAACTATCTTCTGAGAACAAAATTGCTCTAGTTTCTGCATTGCTGGTTTTCTCTGAACCTTTAATATGCTGATAGGCACTCAACAACAGAATCCTTTGTTGGCAGAGCACAAATTACCCTCTGTCTGTTGAACAGTTTCAGAAAGTTTATGAAGCACTTTTCAATGAGGTGTGGAGTAATAAATGATTCAGCAACACTTAAGTCCTGCCACCCTAGGCCTAACTGGTTACACTGTCATGAAAATTTACAAATTACATGGTACCAAAGACAATATAAACACAATCTATTGGGTAAACAATTGCATGATGGATTACTGTAGACTTATCAATAGTTATGGCATAATTCAGTCTTTATTTTTGCATATGAAAGGCTCTCACGCAAGCATTTTTCTGTAGCTCATTGGAATACAGTACAGATGGCCTGGATCAGTGCAATGTGCAACAAGAGGACTATATCGTCTCAGTAAAAACCTTGAAGAGATGAACCCATTTCAGAGACCCAGCAAGGGATCACCTGCATATACAGGCATCAGCAGAAACAGGAATTTGGGATTTATCCTGGAGGTAGTGGAAGCTTTTGGAGGTCTTAACCAGGTGAATGCAATGATTGGGTATATTTTAGAAAGCTCATTCACAGGGAGAGAGGACTTGAAGCGGGGTTGTTACTAGAGACAAAGAAACTAGTTAGGAAGTTATTTCAGGTAATGAGGGAGACATAATTTAGGGGCTAAACCAAGGAAGTGACAATAGGAATGGAGAGAAGGCACAGCTTGCGAAGCATTTAGGTGGTAGAACTGATTGACTCAGCTCTGAGGCAGCTGTGGGGGTGAGAAGCTGGGGTGGGTGAGGGTGGGAAGAGGGTGGGGAGGGTTGGAGGAGTCAAGAATGAACCATGACTTCTGGTTCGTGCAACAGAGTGAAGAGCTGAGGCCCCATGGTTTCCAGGCAGCCTGTGCCAGTGAGAGAAATGCAGAATAGAGTTTGATTTGAACTCTGGCTCTGTCAACGACTTGGTACTATGGCCTTGTGCAAGCAAGTTAACGTCTCCAAGCCTTACTTTTATCTTTTGTAAAATGGGACGATGATACCCCGCTCTTGCATGTGTGAAATAACTAACACATAGTCTGTGCTTCAGAAGTGAAGTCACTGCTACTCAGAGAACACAGAAGGAGAAGCAGTTTACAGAGAAAGATGAGTTTCATTTCAGAAACACTGCACTTGAGGTGGCTTGGACAGCCATGTGGAGGTGTCCAGTAAGGCATTAGATATATAGGTATGGAACTCAGGAGAAAGATCTGGGCTGGAGAGAGTTCTAGGGGCCACTGACTTTTTGATATTAGGCCAAGGCAAGGAGGTAAATGAGAACAACCAGAGAGAGTGTGGAGAGGGAGAGAAATGCAGGCCCTAACGGACGGCCTTGGGAGCATCACCATTCAACAGCTGAGGAAAGGAAGCAGAGCCGGCAAGGGAGATGTTCTGGAGCCTGCAGGGCTGTGCAGTCAGAAGGAGGCGCAAACCAGAATCTGAAGACGCAGGTTTGAGTCTCAGCTCCCTTGCTGACTAGCTGTGTGATCCTCGCAATTCAGGTAACCTCTGTAAGCTTGTCTTCTCATTCGTCAAATGGGAATGCTGCTGATAATGTCTACTTCCTGGAGACTTTGGTGAGCTAAGGTGTATAATTTTTTTTTTTAAGCTAGAGAGCCTTATAAGTGGTTCCATGTGGTCATTTTTTCCCCCTAGACTGAATCGGCTTACATCTAAAAGCAAGGTCACTTTAAGAGGGTCTCTGTGACTCTGGCCTTGCTTGCTCAGCAGGAATTCCAGCCTGCTCAAATTCCTCTAGGCAGCTCTGGGATCCCTGGGCAGGAGGTACAGTACCTGATGCCTGAGTGCCCCAAACCCCTTCCGAGGAAACGGGGCCTTAAGCACAGGCCCTCACGTTGTCCCACTTGACTTCACCACCCTGGCTACACCTGGTGGGAATTGGGATGGGCCCTGTTCCCAGGGGAGCTGACCAGCTGACCAGCCGACCAGCCAGCAGCTCCCCACGTCTGCCCGGGGTGAGACAGGAGAATACGGTCTGGAGGCAGGGAACATAAGACTGATTCATGCTGACTTCCTAGAACTAAATCAAATGGAAATACTTCAGCTATTACAGGAAATATCCTCACCATTGACACAAGGCGTAAACCCAGTAAATGTCTTTGTAACTTTACTTGATCCTCTTCATTTACACAGGGCGTACACCAAGTAACCAATGGAAACCTCTAGAGGGTATTTAAACCCCAGAAAATTCTGTAACAGGGCTCTTGAGCCCCTATGCTCGGGGCCACTCCCACCTCATTTTCAATAAATCTCTGCTTTTGTTGCTTCATTCTTTCCTTCCTTTGTTTGTAACTTTGTCCAGTTCTTTGTTCAAGACCCCAAGAACCTGGACACCCTCCACTGGTAGCAAGGGGGCCATGTGATAGAGATCCTGCCCCTCTCCTGTATGGACATTTGGACTCAGCAAGCGAGGCCAGAGTCACAGAGACCCTCTTAAAATGACCTTGCTTTTAGATGCAGGCTGATTAGTTGCCAAAGCCCAGCAACTGGCAGGATGGGAGACATGGTGACAGTGTCTGGGTGGCTCATGGAGCCCCTCACAGCCATGGGTGGTGGCAGGAAATGGGCAGAGGTGCCTGGTGCCCAGGGTGGGGCTACTCTCCACCTGCCTTTGTCAGGCTGCTTCCCAGTTTCTTTTTTTTGGTCTGTGTTCTTGTGTGTCTCACAATGCACTCCATTTGTTAAAGTAACTTGAGAACGTGGCCATGTCTTGTGGCTTAGAGGAGGCTAATTGTCACGGGAGACTCTCACGATCTCTCAGGAGGGAGTGGAGTTTTCTCAGAATAAAGAGCATCAGCTACAGTGAAGAATGGAAATGGGGCTAATGTCTATTGACTGGGGACTGGTGAGCAAGATCATGGCACCTCCGCACACGATGAAATCCTGCAGCTGGAAAACAGAACAAGGAAGCTCTTTGTGTACTGATAAGGAGTGATCTGCAAGATATTTTCCTAGGTGAAAAATGTGAGCTTCAGAATGGTGTAGCAAAATGAAACTCAGAAAATATCTCTAGAATATTACACCTCATCTAATGACGCTGGTTGCCTATGAGGAGGGAAGCTGGGGGCCTGGGGGCAGTGATAGGAGAAGAAATTTTCACTAAGCATTGTGTAATAATTTTCCTAAATCTTGAATCATGAAATTCAGTCACCTCTTTAAACAATCAAATCAGAAAAACATCTATTAAGAACATGACCTATAAAGTTGAGCAAGTCCTATGCTTGGGCTTGCCCCCACAATTTATTGCTGGGTAAAGTTGAGCAAGTTACTCAACCTCTCTGAACTCATTTTGCTCATCTGTAACATAATCACAGGCTTGCCTCCACAATTTATTGCTGGGTAAAGTTGAGCAAGTTACTCAACCTCTCTGAAGTCATTTTGCTCATCTGTAACATAATCACAGGAATAATACCTGCCTGATAGGGCTGATTGGTTATTGTTGTTGTTTTGTTTTCTTTCTTTCTTTTTTTCATTTTTTTTTTTTTTTTGAGACGGAGTCTCACTCTGTTGCCCAGGCTGGAGTGCAGTGGCACAATCTTGGCTCACTGCAGACTCCGCCTCTCGGGTTCAAGCGATTCTGTTGCCTCAGCCTCCAGAGTAGCTGGGACTACAGGCGTGTGCCACCGCGCCCAGCTGATTTTTGTATTTTTTAGTAGAGACGGGGTTTCACCGTGTTGGCCAGGCTGGTCTTGAACTCCAGACCTCAAGTAATCCGCCTGCCTCAGCCTCCCAAAGTGCTCAGATTACAGCTGTGTGCCACCACACTTGGCTGTTGTTACTGGTTTTCACACAAGGCATTTTCCATTTCCCATTTTCCTCTTAGCCTAATAGCATGCTCCTTAAGCTACAAAACTGCAAAGCAGTGCTATCCTTTGTTTGCAGTTTTCCTTTTTCTGTTGGGTGCTCTCCATAAGATAAGGGCCATTGAGGTTGGGCCAGGTAAATTAAAACCAGCCTCTACTGTACTCAAAATTATCTCTTCTATTTGGAATGGGCTCATTGTCTTTGGACCCAGCCCATGCCTGACGCTCTCTTTCTTTAAAAAGAGTTCTTTTCCTAGCCCCTTCTTGGTCCCCACTGCAAAGTTTTCTATGGATTACATAAGCACTTCTAGATTCCCGGTGAACACAGTTTACCTTAAGCTATTAATTAAAACATTCGTTATTATTACGGTGCCCATTTCCCATTATCTTCAATCACAGTATTTTGTGCATTGTAGTCACTGAAGTGTGACCAACATTTCATTCCCGCATAGTGATGCCTCCAGGGCTCGTGGACTGGACAGTCTAGGGTCGTGCTCTGCTCTGCAGGAGACAGGGAGCACCCAAGCCAAGTTGGTTCCTACCTTCCCGGCACTAGGGGGTGCTGTCTTGTTTAGCTATTTTCTTAGTTTTATTTTTGCCTTTGAATAGATGTGCCTGCTGCACTTACATCTCCCTGCAAGGATAGCAAAAGCTATAGGAAGATGATTGTGGAAAGGAAAATAGGGTCTGTGCAACGAGCTGTCTGGCTTCCTCTCTGTGGGGAATGAGCATTAAGACATTCCCAGGCTCAGTAGGTCTGGAATGGGACCGAGATATGTGCATTCTAGTAACTATTCAGGTGATATTCAAAGCCACAGATGGGTCTTTTATTTCATTCGTGATTTGCTTTTCCCATCTTTTCTTTAAAATGTGTCTGCCGACTCTCACTCATGGTGGTATTGCCCCTCCTGGGCCTGCTGATCTCTGACTGTGTATTTATTAGATCTTCATCTGTGGGAGTCTTCTCGGCTTAGGTTGGGGGTGCTCTCTTTAGGGAAGATTTGCATCTGCTTCTTCTGAGAGCCATGGGTCACTGCCAGCTTGGAACCATTTAGAGCTCCTCGTGAGTTCTGGTTTAATGAAGGTCTTAGGTTTGGCCTCCCCTCCTCATTGCTGGCCCAAGAGTGAGGATCTGGATCATTTGCTCTTAGGGTAGTTCTGCTCCTCCCTGCTTGCTCACTGCTTCCAGCTCTAATTTCTACTTATAGTTTGCTCCATTTCATGTGGAGGAGTCCCTTGGCAACATCCTCTATCTCCTACAAGCCCATCTCATCTATGTTTTATCTAGGATGTAATTGTTTTGCAGAAGGAGAGCTGTATTAGTCCGTTCTCATGCTACTAATAAGGACATACCTGAGACTGGGTAATGTATAAAGGAGAGAAGTGTAATTGACTCATAGCTCCACAGGGCTGAGGAAGCCTCAGGAAACTTATAATCCTGGTGGAAGGGGAAACAAGCACATCCTTCTTCACATGGCGGCAGCAAGGAGAAGTGCCGAGCAAAAGGGGGAAAAGTTCCTTATAAAACCATCAGATCTTGTGAGAACTCACTCACTGTCAGGAGAACAGCATGAGGGTAACCGCCTCCATGATTCAATTACCTCCCACCGGGTCTCATATGTGGGGATTATGGGATTACAATTCAAGATGAGATTTAGGTGGGGACACAGCCAAACCATATCAAGGGCCTATGAGAATATTTGGTCTGAGATGTTATCAGTGGAAGTCTTTTTTTTTTTAATGCAGATGTTCTTATTTCTATGAGACAAAATGGTAATACATCTATTGTGAGGGAATTATTCATCAAACATATGCAGTTTTATCATTCTGCACTGTAGGAAGGTTGAAGGAACACGTGTCTGGGTGTAGTTTGTGTGTTACTTCTCACAGAATTACTGGTGTATTATATTATGTTCTATTCTGGGTGTCTTGAGGCCTGATAAGACAAGCATGGCCATGAGAAATTCTATAATTCCACTCGTGTCTCCACCTACCTTTTTCTTCCCTTTTGTCCAGTAAAGGAGGTGTCTCTGTTGCATCAAAGCCCACCCCACACAGTGGGTTCTAGATCCCGTCCCCTTCATCTTCTCAAGGACCCTGCTCCATTGGAATCCTCCCTCTGCTGCACCATCAACTCCCTCGCAGGGAGACAGTTCCCATCCCACATTTTCCCATCTTTAAAAAACCCACCCTTGGCCAGGTTTGGTGGTTCACACCTGTAATCCCAAGACTTTGGGAGGCTGAGACAGGAGGATCACTTGAGCCCAGGAGTTCAAGACCAACCTGGGCAACATGGTGAAACCCCATCTTTACAAAAAATAAAAAATTAGCTGGGCATGGTGGCACCCAGAGAGCCAGGGGTCACTGCCAGCTTGGAACCATTTAGAGCTCCTAATGAGTTCTGGTTTAATGAAGGTCTTAGTTTCGGCCTCTCCCCCTCGCTGCTGGCCCAAGAGTGAGGATCTCGATCGTGGCACATCTACCATAATTTACTCTTAGGGTAGTTCTGCTCCTCTCTGCTTGCTTACTGCTTCCAGGTGCTTGGGAGGCTGAGGTGGGAGGATCACTTCAGCCCAGGTGGTCAAAGCTATAGTGAGCCATGATCATACTACTGCACTCCAGCCTGGCTGACAGAGCAAGACCCTGTCTTAAAACAAAACAAAACAAAACAAAACAAAACAAAACAAAACCCACCCTTGACCCCACCTACCCTAATTCACTTTTCTATTCCTCTTAGGAACCAGATCTCTCAAAATATATGTCTATAGCTGCCACTTTCCCTTTTTCACTCTCCATTTGCCTTTGCTTTTACTTGGTTTCTATTTTTAGCAAGGTTATTTGCACATATTTTAAAGACTCAAGAGTTCTATAAGACTTGTTATGAAAACCAACAGTCCTCTGCTTTCCCCATCAGAGACAACTACTTACAACTCTTGTAGCTGCTTTTTCTTTTTGGCATTTAGCTCTGTGTTTCTGAATAAAATGCTAGTATTGGGCTACTTAATGATCCCTCAATTGTGAGCAGTAGCTATTGACTGCCCCTACAGAGGAGGAGGATTTAGCTCTCATTCTTTCCCCTTCCCACAGCATGCACATACATTCTTTCCACCTCCTACCATTCCTGCATGGTTACATCTTAACTTTCCTTGGTTCAGTAATCCATGTTTACTTTATTTTGATTATATAGTGATATCGAGAGCAGAGTCATCTAGTAAGCTTAGACTACTTTTTCTTCCTTACACAACTTTTAATTTTCCTTGGGAATAATTTTTTATTTGCTTAGTTTTCTACTTATTACCAGTCCAACTTCAAACTGCCATAATTTATCTTTCTGCTCAAAACGTCTAGATTTATGCTATTAGTTTTGTCCTCTTGAAGAATCCCTTCCAAAACCTCTGACTTTCTCCAATTTGGATTGTCTCCAAACCACCCTCAAGACCTGGTGTAGCACTGTTTTGTTTTGTTGTGTTTTCTTTTTCTTTTAACTTTTATTTTAGGTTCAGGGGTACATGTGCAGATTTGTTATATGGGTAAACTTGTGTCATGGAAGTCTGGTGTACAGATTATTTAGTCACCCAAATACTAAGCCTAGTACCTGATAGTTATTTTTTCTGCTCCTCTCCCTCCTCCCACTCTCCACCCTCAGGTAGACCCCCGTGTCTGTTGCTACCCTCTTTGTGTCCATGAATTCTTATCATTTAGCTCATACTTATAAGTGAGAACATATGATATTTGGTTTTCTGTTCCTGTGTTAGTTTGCAAAGGATAGTGGCCTCCAGCCCCATCCATGTTACTGCAAAGGACATGATCTCACTCTTTAAAATGGCTGCATTTAATGGTGTGTATGTACCACATTTTCTGTATTCGAGCTGCCGTTGATGGGCATTTAGGTTGATCCTATGTCTTTGTTATTATGAATAGAACAGTTTCTTTGGAGGTCTTTTCATCAGTCTAGGGATTCCCTTCATCTTTTGCCTGGGTCCTGGCTCCAAACTTTTCTTTCCTGTTTTGGTGGAATGCGTCTTCTAGTTACTTCTTCAGAAGTGCATGTGAGGTAAAATTTTTGAGACCTTGCAAATATAAATGCCTTTATTTTGACTTTTCACTTAATTGATGGCTAGGAATAAAAAATCTAGGCTTAAAATAATTTATTCAGAATTTTGAAGGCTACAGTCCACTGTATTCTAGCCTCTAGTCTTGTGATTGAGAATTCCAAAGACATTCTGATTCTTTTAAAACTTCTGTTTTTTATTTTTAGATACAGGGTCTTGCTATGCTACCCAGGTTGGATTTGAACTCCTAGGCTCAAGGGATCCTCCCACCGTAGCTTTCCAAGTAGCTGGGATGATAGACACTTGTCACCATTCCTATCTGGCATTCTGATTCTTAATCTTATGTATGTGACACATTTTTCTCTTGGAAGCTTGTAGGATCTTCTCTTTGTCCCCAGGTTTCTGAAAATTTATGATGGCATTCTTTGGGGTACGTTTAATCCGTTTTGACAGTTTAATTCTAGAAAAATTTCTTGAATTATTTCATTGGTGATTTCTTCCCTTCTGTGCTCTCTTATCTCTTTCTGGAATCCCTATTATTTGGGTGCTGGATCTCCTAGACTGATCCTCTAATTTTCTTTTCTATATTCTGTTTTTTTTTTTTTTTTTGGCCTTTTCATGCCTCAGTTTCGTTTTTCTAGCTCTCTACTAAGTTTTTCACTTCTTCCATCATATATTTAATTACCAAGGGCTTTTTGTGGTTGTTGATTGTTCTCTAAAGGTTCTATTTTATTTGTATTCTTTTCTTTTTTTAGGGTTGTAACATCTCCTCTGATCTCTCTGAGGACATTAAATACAGTTTTCTTGACGTTTTCTTCCTCTTATATAGTTCCCATTTTTTTCCAAGTAGCTCTTTTGCATTAGAGTCTTTCTTCAGATATCTTTTAATACCTGCTGTCTGCTTATCCTTGACTGTGGAAACCAAAAAAGCTGATTTGAAGCTTTGTTCACCTGAGTGGAACTTACCCACTATGAGCTTCACAGTAGGGCAATCTGGCTTGACTATTTCCTTGGGCAGCCCTGATGTATCGTTAGGTGTTTTCTCTGGATTGGTTGGTTTTCCAAGAGAATCTTTCCTACGTGTGCTCTGGCAGGTGAGGAGGGAAAGAAGCCTGAAAGTCTCAGCACAGGTAAGCATACAGTCTCTTAATTGTCCTATTTGATATTCCAGTCAAGAGACTCATTGTTTGATCTTTTCCAGAGAATGAATCCAGTCTTCTGCCAGGATGGGGAAGGGCATCTATTAAGAGTATGGTAGGGGTCTGCAAATATAATTCCTTTTTAAATTGCTTTCAACTAATTCTCCTTATTTTAATGCCAATTCCCACCCACTTGCCCTACCTCTATTTTTAAAGTTTCCGGTGCCACTAACTCCTGAGACTTTGAAAAATTTGAGGTGCAAATGGTGTTGGTTTTAAGTTTCCTCACTACTGACATAGGATTCCACCTTCTTCAGCCCACTAAATTAGCTAAAACTTCTCCAAATGGTTTCCAGCTTTCAAAATACTGTGGCATTTTTGTCCTCTCCCCGTCTTACCATCCTCATGGGTTTATGTTAAAGATAATCACTTTAGTGTTTGTGTGTGTGCGTGTTTGGCTTGAGAAACAAGTAAAATTACATGCATGTGTTCCCATCTACTCATTAACCCACTTGCTCTGGCTGTGAAGCTACCCCTCCACTGCCACTTTTACCAAATTCACCAGTGATGTTCATGTTCCCAACAATGGGCTGTTTTTCATCCTTGACTCACACAAACACTCAGGAGCCTTAGTCAAAATTGAATGCTTTCTTCCTGACAGGTGCTCTTCTCTGGGCTTTTGTGACACTATACCTTTTTGGGTTTGTTTTCTGCTTCTTTGATTTCTCCTCCCCAGCTTACTTCTCAAGTTCATTTTCCTCTGCCAGTCCTCTAAAGAGGGGTTTCCTCAAAGCGTGATCTCAGGCCATCCTCTTTCTCTCTCTCTATGTCTACCACTTTCTCCTTAGGAAATTGCACACTTTGTTCATGGCTCCAACACTGATCTTCTTTTGATTCTTCATCTTCTCTATCTAATTGCCTACTTGTCTCCCAGGCATGTTTAACTCAAAATATCCAAAACAGACATCCTGATTTTTTTTTCTCCAAATTTATTCCTCATTAAGTCTTCCTCACCTACCTAGATATACAAGCAGAAACTGGAAAGTCATTCTTGTTTTCTCCCTCTTCCTTACTTCTGACATTTAAAATATCAGCAAGGCTTCTTACTCTACCTCCAGAATGTGTCTTGAATCTATCCATTTTCTCCATCATCACTGCCACTGCCTTAGTGTATGAATCACTATTATCTCTTGCCTTGACTATTGTAACAATCTCCAAACTGATTTCCCTGCTTTTTCTCTGGGCTCCCCAAATCAGTTCTCCATACGAGTGATCTTTTATTTCTTTTCTTCTCTATCTCTTTTTTTTTTTTTTTTGAGACAGTCTCACTTTGTCACCCAGGCTGCAGTGCAGTGTTGTGATCTCAGCTCACTGCAGCTTCCACCTCCTGGGTTCAAGTGATTCTCCTGCCTCAGCCTCCCGGGCAACTGGGATTACAGGTGCATGTCACCATGCCCAGCAATTTTTTGTTTTTGTTTTTGTATTTTTAGTACAGACAGGGTTTCACCATGTTAGCTAGATTGGTCTTGAACTCCTGACCTCAAGTGATCCACCCACCTCAGTCTCCCAAAGTGCTGGGATTATAGGCATGAGTCATCGCTCCCAGCCACAAGTGATATTTCAAAAACAGAAAATCAAATTATTCTCTCTTTTAATGAAAATACTTTTCATTGCCCCTAAAACAAAATCCAAACTTGTTACCATGTTTTCTGCACCAGACTTGCTTTTCCCACTAGGGCCCCTTGTTAATTCCCTGGATGCTACCACTTCTGGGTACTAGTCTCCTGCTAGGACATGGAGCTCTAGAGGTGCCAAAGCACATCTCTCTCCCACTTTTGTACATGTTGCTTCTGGTCAGAAGAGTGCCAAATGAGTGGAATCTATCCCTGAACATCAAAGAGCTTTGAGTGAAATTATTTTCCAAGTTTCACTTATAGCCTCCTCCTTTCTATAGGATTTGGCCACAGGTTCACGGAGGAAGGGAATTTGGGGAGCCGAGGAATGAGCGGGGCAGGAAGCACATACGAACGTCCTGCACCAGGCTGCACTAAGAACCTTCCCTCTGTTTGATGGCTAAGGCCTTGCTTTGTGAGCAAGCTTGCTGTCCTAAAACCTTCCTCCCGGAAGGATTCTCAGTCTGTTAAGAAAATAGAGGCCACCCAAACCTTTGTCAAGATATGTTTAGAAATATTTGAATAATTTAGCTTTAACCTATTCCCCACCACCACTACCACCTACTTTTCTTTAATTCTCTAATCACCACTATTCCCCCCTAGAATATCTGCATGCATTCTTGAGGTACATTGTCCTTTCTAATGTAGGGCTTATTCAGTAGGGTGCTTTTTAAATATATTTTTAAAAATCCTAAAATTCTGTTCTTTTTTGAGATGCTTTGATAAGAGTAAAACTACCTGCTTTCTGGCCTCTGTGATAGCAGCAGTTCTCTGAGATTCATTAAGTTGCTTGCTGGTAGCTGAGAACTTGAAATGCACATCAGTTAATTCAACCTTGTGAAAGAATGTATCAGGAGACAAAATCAACAATGCAGATAATTCAAACATTCTACCAGCCCACACATCATTTTTCCTAACTTATTTCTCCTCAGAGCTGCCAGGCTAAAACTCTGTGCAACATAGATAATAAACAAATTCAAATCATCATTTTTCTATTCATGGCCTGTTCCTGAATTTGGTCATATGACTGTTTATGAGGGAGTTCTCAACTGTGGAGGGAGTATTTTTTTACCCTGTTTTCAGTAACTGTTCTATTTTTCTCGATTCTGAATAGGATTACTCATAGCATAGATGCTTCTTGGAATTGGAATTTTTTTCTCAAGGCTTTAATCATTTCTGATTTTCCTCCCGTGAACTGTAGGACAGCACATGTGGCTTTCCTGCAATGGGATCGTCCTTCAAGAGGACCTCACAGGCTCTCCACCCGGACTGTGACGTAAGCAGCTGCAGCAGCCTTGGATGTTTCTGGATAGCCAGCCCCATGAGAACAGCTTTAAAATAGGAGACTGGCATTGTGATGAAGTGTGGACTTCGCTGTCATATAGACCTGGATTTAAATCCTGGCTTCAGTGTTTATGGATGACGTTGGACAAGTCATTTAACCTCCTTAAGTCTCAGAGTTCTCATTACGGAAATGGAGCTCTTAATAGTACCTACCCCCTAGTGTGGTTGTGAGGGTTGAGATCATCTATGTTCAAAGTGCTTATTATACAGAGACGGGGACATGTAAGTGCTACATAAATGTTAGCTTTTATTAGTCACTGGAGTGGAGGAGAGAGGACTGTTGCCTCCTTGTCAATGTCCCCATCCTGGGAAGCCTGCCTGTGTGCACCAAGGCCCATCTGACCCATATATCAGAAAAGGTGCCCTTCTAGGGAGCGACACCCCCCACCAAGCCCCCCAGTCGCTGTCCATGCTTTCCTCTAGGTTCAAAATGCAGCTGCATCTGTGCAGAAACCAGGTGTTGCCTGTGAGTTCTGCCTCGCTGGCCAGAGGTGGAAGGAAGGAGGAAAGGAGAGGGGCCTCCATACTTCCAGAGCCCCACTGGGGGTTACCTTCGCTTGCCCCCACTCTTTTTGTCTTGCTCTGAGGATGCCAGGACTTTAAGGACATTGTCAGCGAGCACGTAAGTTCACCCCTGCAAGGTCAAAGGCAGGACAGAAAGAAGACCCAAAGGTCCCAGTTAGTCAAGGAAAAACAATCACAAGAATAAAACATTTTTAAAGATTAAAATAATAGCTGCCATCTGTTGAGCAGTTGCTATGTGTTAGGACTTGTGTGAAACATGTTCACACAGTCTCTCTGCTTCCTCACAATACTGTGAAGTAGGTATTGTGCTTAATTGAACATAGGTTCATTTAAGAAAACAAATGTAAATATCATTCTAATCCTTGATTTAATTACCTCAAATTCAGGCAGAAGCAGATCAGCCCACCCTAATGGGCAGTGTACCAGGAGCTTCGTGTGTAGGGACAACTTTCACCTTCAAAATGCCCTGCGGGCTGCCTCAGCTTCTTTTCCACCAGCCCCTGGGCTCCCAGCTGTCTCAAGAGGCAGTGTTTTGCTGGGTAGTTACAGTGAAAGACCGGATTGTCCTGCTCATGTTACCCCCGTCTCCCTATTTACTATAATCAGGAAGTCATGTTTTTCATTTAGGATAAGGCAATTACTCTTCTGTTGACTGAAGTCCAGCAAAAAGCAAACTGAATCTCATTTCCACATTAATGCAATGGGGGCAGGATGGAGAGGCAGCCTGATTTCCTGGTGTCTCAGCCTCTCTCTTCTATATCTGTATCTCCTCTGATGGAAGCATCTGTCGTAATAGCAACAACCAAGATAGCATTGAGAGAGTAAACTATTGTAGTCCCTTTCCCTCATCTTGGGAAATGATGAATAAAAGTCACCATCTGCTCCCCTGAGCCTTGCTGTGGTGCGACCTAACTTTACACGCAAGTACAACGAATGACCTGCCCCATCCTAAGAAGCAGTAGAATAATATGAAAAAGACTTTTTTTTCTGCTCTGCCTGGGTAGACAAGCAACTCTTTGCCAAGGGAAAGGAATAAGACATATCATGTCTCTTTAATGATTGAAGATCCAGGTTAACTGTGGTAGAATTAAGCAAAGAGCAAACAAATGTTCTGAATGTGTTTTCTTTTCTCTCAGAGAAAGAATCTCAGTCATCTGGACTGCTTTGTGCTATATGAAAATCTCTGAGAACCTTCAAGAGCCCAAAAACAGTTCTCCTCCATGCTGTATGCCATGGTCAGTGGTTAAAGAGAACATTTTGTTCCACTCCTCCAGCTCTGCCTTAGAAACCCAAGCCCTGCACTCCAAGGCTCCTGGCATCGTACACCAGCACCAGCAATTTTCTGCCAAAAGCATCAGCCAAAATCTATTCTATCTATTTCAGTTCCTCTCTTTTCATCGGATTGTATTTTTACAGGTGATTGCTGATTCTCACACTGCTCTTCAGATTCATGTACAGCTGTGGTCTGAATGTGTGTGTTTTCTCAAAATTCAAGTTTAAAACTTAATCCTCAATGTGATAGTATCAACAGCTGCGGCCTTTTGGAAAGTGAAGGTGGAGCCCTCGTGAGTGGGATTAGAGCTCTTATAAAAGAGATTGAAGGGAGCTACCTAGCCCTTCCATCTCTTCTGCCTTGTGAGGACACAGTGTTCATCCCTTTTGTCTTCCCACCATTTGAAGATGCAGAAAGAAGGTGCCATCTTGGAAGCAAAGAGCAGCCCTCACCAGACACCAAGTCTGCTGGCACCTTGATCTTGGACTTCCCAGCCTCCAGGACTGTGAGAAATGAATTTCTGTTGTTTATAAATTACCTAGTCTAAGGTATGCTGTTACAGTAGCAGGAATGGACTAAGACACACATTGTCAAAATCTTCATGAGTTAAAGGTGAAGGTACAATCAGAACTGGTGCATGGAATTGGAACCATAGGTCTTAGTAAACACTGTAAAAATGCACTATTCAAATCTACAGAAAATGCTCTCTCTTCAAGTTCAGAAAGAAGCTACAATCTGCTTTTCCTTTTTTTCTGAAGGGAAGTAAAATTCTATGTTTCTGGACTAAGAGGTCTACACCCCAGTCTTTCTCTTTCTGACATGTATAGTAATCTTTGGCAAATTACTCAAGCTTTCTTTGTTCTGGTGAAAATAAAGTGCACAGGACAGTATTACTAAGAGGCCTGAGCAACATTAGAGGTTGATAACGATGGTTCCAAAGGCCTTTAAGAAGGTGTAATGCTATGTGGATGTTTTTATTGAAACCTTCCCTGGGTTTTCAGAATTCTCTTTGGAATTAGTCCTGTGGGAATATGCCTTTTGGGATCTATTCTCACCTCTTATTCAGTCCCCCTTTTCTTGCATTACAATCTACAATTTGAAGTTATTCTGTCATTTAAAAATTAGGTCCATGACCTCATCATCACCGGGTTTTCCTCTCCAGGCCATTTCCAGTAGAATGTTGGTCATATTCTCATGTGAGAGAACAAATCAGTTATTCATTACATCTGATCAATGAGCTAGTACTACACCATAAGGAAGTGTAGTAAAACCAGAAACTGGGAAACACCCGAAAAAATTTGCTTTGTCCTGTGTTTTAATTTGGGGTATGATAAAGTGCCACAGGACATTAATCCAGGGACTGAGATAGACTCTTAAGTTTGGCAATCAGTGAAAGAACTTGCTGAATCTCTCTAGAATTAACCTAAAGGAGCCAGCCTCTTTTCTCATGAGAACAATTTATTTTAGGGTTAGTGGTGAATTAATTCTACAGTGTTTAATTCCACATATAAACTTCATTTTCTATATAAATGTTTTGTTGTAACATATTCAATTACTTCCTTTTGTTGTTTTTCTGCAACATTCCCTTTTTCACCTTTTCTAACCTCTTAAACCAAATAAAAAACTCACTTATCTTCTTGCTGTTGTAATATTTGCTTTCCTTTCTTGTTTATACTCTGTAATGATGTTTACCCGATCTGTCCACATCACCTGGATTCCAGGTGTACCATTCATGCCCTGGGGAAAGCAGTCATTCTTCAAGGCAACAGATGCAAGAATGAGCTCATGTCAAATGATATTTTCTGATTTTTTTCTCCAGATGTGGGGAACGAAATTGGATCTTGTGCTTTTGGGTGCTAACTTTGAGCCCTCTTCCTTTACATCTAAATGACAATTTGTGGATCAATGAGGATGTGTCAACTAGCCAAGATCGAGGACCTGGAGGGGTGCTCTGTGGAAACTGCTTTAAAATCCTTCAGAGGGTGGGCACGGAGCTCTGGTTCTGGTATGTTCACTGAATCTGTAGCAGTGGGGAAACTTGCTGAGATTTGGCATTCAAGACCAAAGAGATTTACCTAGGATCTGTACCCTGTTGGCCAGAATTATTGCTACTGTTGTTCTTCAATTATGCTACTTTTTCACTTGGAAAGAGATGGAAACTTGTAAGGCAGTGAATCTATCTTTACTCCTTTTCAGATGGCTGATTCTAAAGGCAGGTTTAGGTTCCTGCTAACCCTTCTGTTCTGTCCTGATTGTCCGCCTTACTGAAGGTCTGTTTTCTACAGCTCACAATAGTCGGGTAGAGTCCAGTGATGCCAAGCCACAGAAATGAGACCTTGGAGGGAGAAGCACTACAGGCCTTTGCTTCAGTTTCCATAGAAATGAGCCAGAGGTGGTACCAGTCACAGGGGTTCTTAAAGCCAGAGAGAATTTATTTTGAGAATCCCATCATATAGCAAATACCACTCTGCAGTAGTTTTTACAGGTGTAATTTATTTCATTGCTCTGGATGGCTTTGGCTCAGGCTTTCCAATGCCCTGTTGCAGCATTTCTCCTTAGGAGAATTCTTTTTTTGTTGCTTTCAAACTTGATGGAAAAAGATAACCAATTCATGCCAGTCAAGCTACAGATTCTGAACAGAGGGTTTAAGATAATGTATTACATTTTACATATTTACATTTAATTTATGACATTTATTCCTGAAGGTTTAGGAGAAAATTCAATCCCAACTAAAGAGCTGTAATTAAAAGAGCACGGAGCCAGCAGCCACAGGCCCCCAGCTCTGGCTGAAACTTCAGCTCTGCCAGAGATAACATTTCCTGTGTGACCTTGGGCAATTTTACAGCTTTCTGAGCTACGATTTCCTAGTTGGTAAAATAAAAGGACTGGATTGGCTGCTCTTTAACTTTTTCTGGCTTCTGAATTTCTCTGAATCAATGGTGTTACGTAATGCCAAGAAAGAGATTCCATGAAAAAATCTAACTGCTCTGTCGATGATGATTACTTAGAAATGGGGGTAAAAAAATTTATTTGCAGGAAGGTTGTTAGCAGTAACATCATAACGGAAGGAAAAAGAAAGGAAAGAAAAGAAAAAAACCTACCTATTTACCAAACTTCTGCAGTGTGCTAAGCAAATTCACAAACATTATCTCATGTGAAAAGACATAATAATTTCAGGGATTTCCCTCTTAAGGAAGAGAGATGACATTGTTGCTTGTTGCCCCAAAAGTGTTGTGATAGCAACATTCATGGAGTGTTTCTATGTGCCAGGCACTCTTTGAGGCCCTTTACACATACTGACACAATTTATTATTCCAATTTACAGACGATGCAGTTGAGGCATAAAGAGGTTAAGTAGCTTGCCCAAGACCATCCACTTAAGTAGCAGAGCCAAACTTTAAACTCAGAGAGTCAGGCTCTTGAAATTGCACTGTTAACTGTATCCCCACCTTGTCTTTTGCTATTCATTCATTAGGCAAACATTTGATGAGCACTGACTCTATGAAGGCATTAAGTTAATCCCTTTTGAAGATTCCAAGCATGTCACCATATCTTTGTCTTTAAGAAGCTTAAACTATACACAATAGATGATCAGAAATGTGTGTGAAATGAGTGACCACACTCAACCTTAGCCAGGCAGTACTTGATAACCATCTCCTGTATTCTGGAAATGTTCATAATTCCATTCAAGTAAGTAGACAGGGCCTGGCAAGAGGGGTCCCTGCTCTGGGCTCCTGCCCCAGAGGTCCCACTCTGGTTCTCCAGCCCTGGTCCTCTCTATGGCCAAGGAATCCAGGGATCACAGAATGCACGTACCTGGAGCCTGAGTCTCAGCCCCTTCTAACCTCCCTGTTGGGTAGTTGAGACCTTGCAACTCTCTTCTCCAAACCCACTGAGCCTACTTCCAGGGCTTGTACTGGAAGCAAACCCCATGAGGGCAGACCACATCCCCCAGGCACATGCTCCTCAGCCAGAGGGATGGCCAAGGGCAGCTATTTGTGGGAGGGGAGTATGGACAGACCTTAGACCCATGGGCCCACAAGGACCCGTGTGTAGCAGGACTGAACTGAGGATAGAAAGAGGAGTGGGTGGGTCAATTCCACCCACAATCCCACTGCCATGTTCAGTGCAGAACTCCAAAGACTGAGAGAACTCTACATTAGAACCTGGCCTTTTAAGTTTTTATGAAGATAACTTGTCAAGGTATGAGGACAGCCCATGTTTCAATTAAACTTGCTCACTTGGTTTATAGCTTTTACAATTTAGACATATGGGCATGTGGGTTTCTATTTGGCCCCAGGATACCCCTCCACTTCACCTCACGTTTACTCTGTTTCCTGTGCTCACCAAGCTCTAGCTCTTTCAGTTTCTTTCGTTTTCTAGAACTCCCCCAGGACGGTCTAACTCAGACACTCTTTCTGGTCTGTCTGCTCTTTGGGTGGTGACATCACGAAGTGGCTGGTTATGAAAGGAGCACTGTGCCGTAGAACTGAGGAAAGCACAGGCTCTGCTAGAGATGTTAAGTATTCTCTCTCCCTGAAAGCTGGTTCTTCTGAAATCAAAATATTCAGGGGGGAAGGAAAAGAGGCACAGGGCATCTGAATTCCAAAGGACTAGGGAAGCCACCACTTCCCGGATAACTGCACTCCCTCCACCTTACACCTAAAACAAGGTTGAAGAGTCCTGTCAAGGCCATCTCAAAAGGAGAAGCAAAGCCTGCAGAGGAGGCCAGCCTGAGTCCTGGGGTGCGAACGGGTGCTGCGCTCAGCATGAGGAGGAGGAGACCCTGGCCACAGTTCCATGAATCTTTGCTCCCTTCCACATTATGGATTCTGGTGAGTGCCTGCCAGAGGAATGTCTGACAGCTCTACCCTCAACTGGATCATCTTTAGCCCAAATTACAATAATTTAAGTGAATCAAATTACTATAAAAAGATACTTCATTATTAATTCACTGGACATTTACTGAGGGCCTACTCTGTGCCAGGCAATGCTCTGAACTTGCCCTACCTATTGGATGCTACGTGCTAAATGTTATAGACAATGTACTCTCGTACATTCTATAAATTATATAGGATATAATGAGTACTATATTCTCTATGCTTTACATGCTATATTAAACATCACACCCTATAGTCTACATACAATGGATAATATACAAAATATATTATATATGTATTATGTCTACTAGAACAGTCTTTTGCCACAATAGGAATTTAGTAAATATACATTGAATGAATGAATGAATGAATATGATACTTAATACCATATTCTAGCAGAGCTTGGTCATTGAAGAGTTATTCTTCCAAACCCTTCCCTTTCCTACCCCCCTCTTGAAGGCTAAGAAGATTTTCATCTTTCACCACCTGTTCTGGATTCTTGGAACAGGTAAATTCATTGGCCTACGCAAGTCTGAGCTCTAGGTCTGAACCCGCATGGACCTGAGGGTGCACCGAGAAAAGAAAGGCTGACAACTGGATCCCGGGAATGTCAAGGCCACCCTGGGCTTGAAGGGACCGGCCATGCCTCCAAGCCTTGCCCAGAGAGGGGGTTCAGGATGCTGCGTGGTTCCAGGTGATCTATTGCTTTCTCGAGTTTAAAGTTCAGAGGATCATGAAGTACCACAGCTGGAAGGGGTGTAAGTGACACTGCCTAGCCTAACTCTCTTAAAAATCATAGCCCTACTCCTGCCTCCCCAAATCAGATACGACAGGCATAGGCTCTGACTGTTCCTTAAGTCTTAGTGGCAATACTCCCTGACCAGTTTTGCGGGGTTGCTCCCAGTTCCATTGCTTTTGTAACAGGTGGCCAGAAAGCCTGGGGTCCCGTGATAAGAGTTTCAGTTCTTTCCAGGATGGATGGAAAGAAGGAAGGAAGGATGGATGGATGGATGAATGAATGAGCGGGTGAGCGGATGGATGGATGGATGGATGGATGGATGGATAGATGGGCCAGAGACTGGGAACGGTAATGCCGGCCAGACGGGTCCGAGCGCCTCGGGAGCCCCAGCCCTCCTCCGGCTGCGGGGCCGCTGCTCCTGCTCCCGGGCCGTCACGGAGCCCTGAGGGAGGGGGCGGGCGAGCGGGGGCCTTGGGGCGGCCAGGGCGCTGGGAGGGAGGACTGGGCGGTGGGGACCGGAGGGGAGGGAGGGCCTTGGAGGCGGAGAGGAGGGACGGGCTGGGAGAGGGCCCGGACTAGGGGCGGCGGGCACCGCAGGAGCTCCGCGCGGCTGCAGCGCGGGCGGGAGCGGGGACGCGATGTCGCCGCCGCCGCCTCCTTGCGGGCCGGGGCTGCGCCTCCGGGGCTGAGCCGCCGCCAGAGCCGACAGCCGAGCAGCCGCTGGGCGCTCCCGCGGCGCAGGAGGATGGGCTGCGGCGGGAGCCGGGCGGATGCCATCGAGCCCCGCTACTACGAGAGCTGGACCCGGGAGACAGAATCCACCTGGCTCACCTACACCGACTCGGACGCGCCGCCCAGCGCCGCCGCCCCGGACAGCGGCCCCGAAGCGGGCGGCCTGCACTCGGGTAAGTGGCCGGGCCCCTGCAGACCCTCGCCCGCCCGCTACCCCGGGCGCCTTGGCCCGGGCACTGAGAGAGGAGCCGGTTCCCTGAGGAATTGATGGCGCGGCGGGGGTGGCTGGGAGGAAGCAGAGGCAGGACCTGCCCACTGATCAGTGGACAGATGCAAGCCCAGGGAGTGGGGTCGACCAGAGCCCCTTACCGAAGGCTGCGCCGATGCCCCAGCTTCCAGCAGCCCAATGCTCTTTGGCCTTGTCCAAAGCTTGCTCGCTGGTCGGGAGACCGGTGGGTGGGAGGACAGCCCACCTCCTCCGCACACATATCCCTCAGCCACCCACCCCCTGATCCGCCCAGGGCCGCCTCCGCCCCGCTTTGGCCCATCTGCCATCCCCTGGCCACCTGCGTACCCAGCCGGGTGACTTCTCATCCATTGGCCACCTGGTGCCCCTCTCTCCCTGGATTTATACACAAGGCGCCTGCCTGGGATCGCCTGGGTGGAGTCTTTCTTGTCGCTTCCCCTTTTCTCCCTCTAGGAAATGAGCCCACTCGCGGGCTTCAAAGACCAGAATCCCAGTTTAGGTCAAAATAAATGCACCCCGCCCCATCGCTAGTTCTGCACTTTAGGTTACTTTTGGAGCAGTTGTTCCATAGCAAAGGACTTCTCTCCCTACCCTATGGTGTCCCAATGCTTTGCAGGAGGCAGGGCACACATGTGGATTTTGACTATAAATTAAATACTCTTGCCTAGGTCATTCCTCATCCAGCAGAAATCTGATAAAAGGAGATGCAAAGAATTGTCTGGTCAGGTCATAAGTCAGGATTTTATTTTATTTTATTTTTTTATTTTTTAGCAGAACAAGTAATTATAGCGCAGAGATGCAAACTGTTGCCACAGACTGACCTTTAATCATAAACATATTGGTGACATTAAAAGGAAAAAATCTCACTACTTATTACATGGATGTTGTCCAAAGCAAGGTCAATATTTGGATAAAAATGTTTTAAGTGTTTCTTCACCCACTGATATTATTGGCATTTTTGAATAATGAAATCTAAAATGGAAAATAGGGTTAATTTGAAGCATAATGTATAACATATGGAAGAGGAAGGAAATGCGAATTACTTTTACAAGGTTAAGAATCTTAAATCCATGCCTACTAAATAGAGCTGTCACTTTAATCAAGAATAGGTTTCTCCATTTTTAAGGACCAAAGCTGGCTCCTTTTCCACATTAACTTTGTGACTTGGTTTTATTTTAAAATTGAGGACTGTCTGTGAAAGCTGTACAATACATTACACTATATTTGTCTCCAGTTTTTCTGACTCACAGTGGCAATCAGAATGGTTATTTTGTATTGCCAATGCTTTTAGCAAGTCACCAAATGGTGTGTTGGCTGAATTCAGTGTCAGCATGAGGATAGATATGAGCCTTTTAGAGGGACCTGGTAAATGTTAGATGTGACAGGGTTTCCCAAGGAGGTATGGTACTTCTCAGCAGAGAGTCAAAGGCCAGAGATGTACTCCGAAGAAATAAGGGTGAAAAGATCTAGCATGAAAAAAATAATAATAAAAAACAACCAAAACCCCGTAAGTACAGCTTTAAGAAATGGTTGCCGTGGTGACTGGGAGTATATGGTGTGTGTGTGTATGTGCGTATATGCATATGTATGGGTATGAAAGAGTTATTATGGGATGGCTCTATATGTACATACATGTTCCTCACAACTTTCCTGACACTCCTTGATTTATTACTCTGCCATACTAATTCATATCCCATCCATCATGAGATCTGGTCACTGCAACAGGTGGGGCCTGGGACAGACACACTCATTCATGGTACCCTGCCAAACATGGGCCAGCCCTGCCAGAGAGGTGGTCCTGAAGGCCTGCATCCTCCAGAGGAGAAGCTCCACTTCAGCCCCAGGACAGCACCCTGAAATTGGCAAGACGCTTGTATGGGCAGGGTCATTTTAATTCCCTGGGAATTTCTGTTAGCCTCAGGGGAGAGGGATATTTCTGAAGACCAAGATTAAATCAAGGCCTTCTTTGGGGGTGTACTGGCATTCCCTAGGGCCTTTGGGAATGGCTTGACTTCTGTGGGTTTTTCAGACTGGGAGCTGGTCATCTTTAGTCAGAATGGGTCATCCGTGAAAGCTACAGATCTCCTGGGTTTCAGCCACCCTGGGAGACTGGCCAGGATTCTGTATTCCTTTCATCTTCTCTGCCCCCTCACTTCCACCTCACCCACCCCCTGCCAGTGCTTTACTCATGATTTTACTCCCAAGCTGCTGGGGGACACCTAACAGCCCCCAGTGGCTGCGTTGTGATAGGAGGCCAGAATGCCACTTTTTCCTGTTTACAGAAGTTGTTTTCTGATGGGAGAGGTGGGTAGGAGTAAATGAAAGAGCCAGTAGATTCAGGAGAGTCCAGACTGTGAAATCAACAAAAATGGCTTCACTACTAGAATTCTAGAGCTGGAGAAGGTCTCTGGAAGTCAGCCACGTGAGTCAAATGAGACTCTCAGGGGAATCATCCCCATCTGAACACTCCTTCAACCACTCACAGACTTTACCCTCAGCTCCCAAGAATCCCTTCTTTCTGGGACCTTAGTGATTCTCCTTTGGTGTCAAACTGAAGCCACCTTTTCTCCTGGCTACTTCAGGACTTTTGAGGGCTAGGGGAGAAGCTAATTCATCTTTGCATCTTCTGTGCTGAACACATCTGGGACTTGTAAAAGTTTTCAGAATGAATGGATGCTCTGTCTGAACCTGTCCTCCGTCCTGTCAGCTCTTCCTAGAGCCCCTTCTGCCTCTTCTTTGCAGTACTTGCTACTGAGGTTTTCCCACTTGAATCAATTTAGCCTGAATTCTTCCAACGGCCTTTCTGATCGCACAACTTCTCTTTAAAAAGTTCTCCCCAACTTTACCCTACTCCATTCAAACACCTGGCCCAACCCAACGATTCCATTTCTTCTGTAGCCTCCCTGAACCCACAACCTCAACTCCACAAACATGTCTGCCCAAGAAAAGTCCCATTTAATCATATCTGCTTTTAAATCTCACTTGTGTTTCTCTTAGCCCAATCCAGATTGAGGGTGTGTCACATGACAGGTGTTCAGCAAATATTTGTTGAATGAATTCTGAATTTCACTGCAGGGAGGGGGCATGTTTTTCTCCCAGTTCCACAAAGAAGAAGGTTTCTTGCATCTTCTTACTCAAAAAATGATCCTGAGCCTGTGGTTCCTGTTTTTGGAGATCATCTCCACTACTCAATGGAATTGAATTAATTTTTTAGATTTGACTGTTACGTAGGCTAGAATTTAAAAGCTAGCTGAAGCCAAGGTATGTGATATCCATTGCTTTCCTGTGTCACCAAAGTCTGTCCCTCTGTTACAGAAGGAAATTAAATTGGTCTGACATAATTTAATCCTCATAAAATCAGTCTGCTGGATTGATTTTTAATTCTGTTGCCTGGTGGGGGTCTCCAAGGAGAAAGGAAGTCTCTGAGGTTGCCATGACCCAACCTAGCTCAGTCATTCCATTCATTAATAACTTCCTAGCTTCATCTCAGTGTAATCACAAGCCCCAAAAATTGCATCCTTAAGCACACTTTTTTTCTAATTTCTCCAGAGAAAACATTTCAAAACTTTCTAAAGGACTTGTACTTTACATTTTTAAATTGCTAAATCATTGTCTTAGTATAATAGAGGTTTGCAGAATTACAGACAGCAAAATGATTTACCTAAATAAACTGAAAGATAGTCAAATAAAATGGACAGCATTTAATATCACCATTACCCATCATTTATTAATGACTTACTGGGGCCTGGTGCTTTATTGGGCACTTTGAATTTTCTCATTGAATCCTCACTTCAGGAACGAGGCAGGAACTATAGCCACCCTCCTTTTACAAGTGAGGAAATGAGGCTGGAAGTCTGCAAGTAACTTTTCCCAGTTCCAGCCTGGAATCTAGTTCTATCCATTTCCAAAGCCTCTACTCCTAAATACTGCCTTCCTGATTAATAGGGGATATGCTATGAAATTCTTGATTTTACAGTTCACTAAACTCAAAGTCAAGTCTGATCTCTTGATTCTACTCTGATCTCAGACAGCACAATTGTCTTCTGCATCATCTCTAAGGATGGAATATCTTTTCCCTAAGGAAGGAGGCTTTCCCATAACTTTATGAAGCAGTTCTCCTGTGAGACTCTTCCTGCTTCCTTGTAATTTCTACCCGGTGAACTCCAGACCCATGTGATCAAGTCTTGCACAGACAACTCTTTCAATATTTGAAGATGGCTGTCACATCTCTTACCATTGGTCTTCCAGGTCAAATACATGCAGTTCCTTCAATCACTTCTCACACCTCAGGTAGGCCTGACCACATTCTCTAAATACACTACTCGGTTTGTCAAAGTCCCTCTTGATACAAGGGACCTATGGCTAACTCCAAGCTACTGATGTCAGCTGAACGGCATAGGGCAATACAAGGTGTGCTATGATATGGTCATTGAACAAACCTCTCTTGGTGCATGTAAAATCAGGTTAGGATTTGTTTGTTTTCCTGCTGTTGTTGTTGCCATATTACCTTGAAGACTCACATTAAGCTTATGATTAGTTAAAATCCTTAGATCTTTCTTTATAATCAAATTTAAGTTTTATGACATCAAGGACATTGTATTTTCTCTGCTATGTACCCAGCACCTGGTACAGTGACTAGAACGTAGGTGGCGCTCAATAAACGTTTGTTGAATGAATGAATTTCTTTCCTTATGAATCCTGAATTGGTATAATTGACTTCAGTAACCCAAATAAGGAATTTTTGCATTTATTTCTGTTAAATTTCATCTTATTGGTTTCAGTTTAACGTTTAAATTTGCTGACCTTGATTCATTTTGATAGAGCTATGAAAACAATATTCTAGGTCTTTGTTTCTCTGTGTTGACAGAATAAGATAAAAGACATCTTTTTTTGCTCTTTTGTTCACTGAATAGACATTTGGCACAAAGATGACCTGAAGAAGTTACTATTATAGGGAAGAAAAACATAAAAGTGGACACCGTTCAGGTCAGCATTGTCCATGGTCCATACTAGAAGGGCATGTAGAAAAGCATTAGAGGCATTCAGGAACTAAGCAGTTTTTTTCTGCCTGGGGAGGGGTCAGTGTGTATACAGACCCCTGCAGGAGCCCAGCAGAGGAAGGGGGACTGTCCGAGCCAACCCTCCCACCCTGGAGAGGAACAGGAGTGCAGCCCAGCTGGCCTGACTCCATCCCCGAGAGTGAGAGCACCTGTGGAGAGGACAGCCAGGGCTTCCTGGTGGATAAACCCCCTCCACCCACACCCCAGCTGCCTTGACTTACCTGTTACCGCTTGTGGTTCTATCTTTGAATAACTAGTGATTAATGTCTGCTTCCGTCAAGGATGACTGTTAGGTTTGGTAAGGCAAGGGTTCTGTTGGGTTAGATAAGGTTTCATTTCACACACAGTCCTATCCCTGTACCTAACGCTGTTCTGGCTACATCAGGACCCTGAGTAACTTCTCATAAATGAATAAATCTAAAACTTCTGTTTGTCAATTTCTTCTTGTAGACCCCAGAGATGATGTTCTCTTTCCTCATCAGTTCTCTCTGCTCAACTTTTTGTTGTCTGTCTGATGGGCTGCACAGTAAGAAAACATCCCCACCTTCCTTACACCCCTTTTGCCAAACACAAGCCTTTTTGTTATAAGCTGTTTCTTAAAATCACTGCAAGAGACAAGTGGTAACAAACCTAGGCAGTTTGTAAAGGTTTAGGCAGCCTCATGTTCCCATGGCCCTTGTCTCCTGGGCAGAGTATCATGTTGTGCCATTGGCTCTCCAGACACTTTGAGAGTCTAGTGATGGTACCTGTCACACTGCATTGCCAGGGCTTGGTCATTCCTCTGTCTCTCTAGTTAGTCTGTGAGCTCTTCCAGGTTGGGGATCACATGATTGATATTTGCATGCCTGGCATCTTCCACACATTTGTTGAATGACTGTGAAAATGAATAAATGAATGAATGATCTAGCTGTGCAAATGAAGCTTAGTCTGTCATTCTTATAACCTCTTTCCTGAGTCTCATCTTAGATGCTTTTGTCTTAGATATCAGTCCATTGAACCTTGTCTTCATTGGACATTAGATAAAACAATTCCAACCCTAGCCAAAGATGAATTTAAGGTGACTCCACTGCAGGGTGTAGTAGTATCCTAAGTGCATTCCAGAATTTCCTCCAGAATATGTAGAAAGAATGAATAAGACCTACTATTTGATAGCACAATGGGATGACGATAGTCAATAATAACTCAACTGTATATTTTTAAATAATTTAAAGAGTGTAATTGGATTGTATGTAACTCAAAGGATAAATGCAGATTTTTTTTTCTGCAAAAAACATTGCAGATTTTTTTTTCTTCGGTTAATAGGCCCTGGTGGGAAGAACCTAGTCTTCTCTGAGTCAGAAAGGGGTCTTTTCCTGGCTCATTCTGCACTCAGCAATCCCTCAGGTTTGGACTCCTGGAGGTCCAACCTTCACCCTGGGATCTGTGCACCTGTGATCCATAGCATCTTCCTGCTGATAAGGCCATTCTGCCCTTGTGAAGTTGGGTGTCTAAACCTGTTCTCGGACAATGGTGCTGTGCCATTCATCCCAGGAGCCCTCCCATGTCAGGCCTACAGCCTCGAGACACTCTCAGCAGACCTTTGGCCTCCGCTGCAAAATCCTATCCCTATAAAGACTCCTTCAGAGCCTCTCTGGCCAGTCTATATGCCACATTTACTCTCCTCTGCAGAGCAGACTCGAGGGGTTTACCCTGAGCCCAATCATGATATAGCTCCTGCTAGCTTGGCTACCAGGAACGCTTGCTTCCTCACATGCCTGACTCCCACTCTGTCTCATGCCCAACCACAGCCATCTCTCTTGAGAATGTTGTTCTTTTAGAATGTTGTTATGTGCTGATTTGTGTCTCCCCCAATTCACATGTTGAAGCCCTAACCCCCTCTCTACCCCGGTACCTCAGAATGTGACCTTATTTGGAAAGAGAATCTTTAAAGAGGTAATCAAGTTGAAATGAGTTCATTAGGGTGGGCCCTAATCCAGAATGACTGGTGTCCTTATGAAAAGGGGAAATTTGGAGATAGAGAGACACACAGGGAGAACTCCATGTGGAGATGAAGGCAGAGACCGGTGATGCTGCCACCAGCCAAGGAGCATCAAGGAAAGTCCACTGAAAACCACTGGAAGCTCAGAGAGAGGCAGGGGACAGATTCTCCCTCAGGGCCTCCAGAAGGAACCAACCCTGCTGATATCTTTTTTCATTTTTGATTTCTGTGGGTACATAGTAGGTGTATGTATGCATGGAGCACATGAGATGTTTTGATACAGGCATGCAATGTGAAATAAGCACATCATGGAGAATGGGGTATCCATCACCTCAAGCATTTATCTTTTGAGTTGCAAACAATCTAGTTATACTTTGTTATTTCAAAATGTATGATTAAGTTATTATTGACTATAGTCACCTTATTGTGCTGTCAAATAGTAGGTCTCATTCATTCTTTCTGCCTTTTTTTGTTTGTTTGTTTTTTGTAACCGGCCTGCTGATATCTTGGTCCTGGACTTCTGGCCTCCAGAACTGGGAAACAGCAGGTTTCCGTTGTTTAAGCCATGCGGTTTGTGGCACTTTGTTATGGCAGCCCTAGCAAACTAATGCAAGTGTGTTTATGAGCACTAACACTGTGAACATTTGGAAATAATAAGAGAGACGGATTTCCACTGTTACTTCCTCACACTTTTTTCTGAGATTGGATCTATTTCCTGGCTGTTTAGATTCAAATAGCATTTATTTGTATCTACTATTTGCATTTACTATATGTGAGAATTTTTCTTTTTGACACTAGTTTATATCACCCTCCGAAATAACCTCATAAACCATTGTTCTCATCACTTGCCAGATGAGGAGCTGGGATTCAGTGAGATGAAGAGACTGAGCCAGGCCACCAGCTTGGAAGTGGGAGAGCTAGGATCAGAATTCAGGTCTCTTGTTTCTGAATTCAGGGCAGGGTCCATTGTGCTGTGCTGCTAAGCACGAATGTAGTACCCTCCCCCCACCCCATCTGCCTTGGGCTTTTCTGAAAATATTAACCATTTAGCGTGGGAGCCTCCTGCTAGCATTTACAAGGCTGAGTCCTGCAGCTCTGCGGTGCTTACACTGCCCTCTCCCTGTGCTGAGTGCCCGTGCTGCTCCAATCTCCATCTCCATAGAAAGGGTTGCAGGAGGTGCCCCAGGTGTCACCTGCATCCCAGTCACCTGACAGGCCCATTAAACAGGAACAGTCTTTAGGCAGAATCATATATTTTTTTCTGGTTTCAAATGCAGTGCATGCTCCTAATTAAACATTTAAAAAGCATAGAAAAAGCACACAGAGGAAAATAATGCCTCTCTCAGCATTTAGGTTTCATCTTTCAGGTCCCATGAAGACGATGCTGTATTTGCATCTTATACGTGAAGGTGATGTTTAAAGTTCCGGATGGGGGGATGGGAAAAATTCCTCAAACTGCTTGGAAGCTCAAAAACCAAGAAAAATTATATTTGTTCATTTTTGTATTTAGGAAACTATATGGAGGTAGTGGGAGCCCAAGTCTAGTTTGAATGGAGGAAGAGAAAGGGGGAAAGGTCATGGAGAAGTAAAGGGATTTTTCTTTTTTTCTTTCAATACTGGGCAAATATACTTGAATTCAGGCAAATTACATACCAGGTAATTACTGTAGGTGATTCCTCCATGTTTCCCTCTTACCTCCCCCTCAAGCCCCCACAACAGGCTCAGGCTGAGTATGCTGTTCTATATTTTTCCTAGCTGTTTTCTGGGATTTAGTCTCTTTATGGGTTGTATTAGTCTGTTTTCATGCTGCCGACGAAGACACACCTGAGACTGGGTAATTTATAAGGAAGAAGAGGTTTAATGGACTCACAGTTCCATGTGGCTGGGGAGGCCTCACAATTATGATGGAAGGTGAAAGGCACATCTCACATGGCAGCAGACAAGAGAAGAGAGCTTGTGCAGGGAAACTCCCCTTTATAAAACCATCGGATCTCATGAGACTTATTCACTATTATGAGAACAGCATGGGAAAGACTCACCCCCATGATTCAATTACCTCCCACCTGGCCCCTCCCACAACACGTGGGAATTGTGGGAGATACAATTCAAGATAAGATTTGGGTGGGGACACAGCCAAACCATATCATGGATATAGAAACATGGCTGTGTGTGTGTGTGTGTGTCTGTGTGTCTGTGTGTATGGCTGGGTGTGTCTGTGTGTGTGTGTGTGCAGGGACCAGCTTTCTGAGTCTCAAATGCCCTTGAGGTCAGACAGGTTGGCTGCCCAGAGCTATGGCTGGTACCACTCCATAGGCTTCCAGCTCTAGGTCTTTGTGTCAGATGGGATAGGTACCTAATGTCTGCCTACATCTCACCATGTGGCTTCTGTGTAATGAAGCAAAACCAAAAGTCTGGGTAGGTTTTTCTTAATCTAACACAATCTGCTTTACAAATGATGCCAGCTTCTCCTAGATTCTGGGATTAGGTTGCCTACCAGTCTTCACTTGTGGTGATGTTGTGAGTCTTGGTCTTTTTCTATGTCTTCACAGGCATTTTAGTGGGCAGTTAGGCAAAGCTGATGCCCTTTGGCCTGGATATCCAACCCAGGGATTCTTGACCTTCTTCTCTAAGCCATTATCCTGAATTCTGATACAGCCACACCCACAGGATCACCCGGCCAGATCCGGTCTCTGTTTACAATTTCATACACTTCCTCCCCAACTAGTGAGCCAGCTTTTAACAAGGATCATGACCTCGGGTCCCTGGGCCTCAACCTGCTCTCTTCATCCATCACCCTCCCTGCTACTTTGTTTGGAGATAATATAATAGTTGCAATGTTAAAGAATTTGATTTTTTTTTTTTTTTTGAGATGGAGTCTCGCTCTGTTGCCCAGGCTGGAGTGCAGTGGCTCAATCTTAGCTCACTGCAACCTCTGCCTCCTGGGTTCAAGCGATTCTCCTCCCTCAGCCTCCCGAGTAGCTGGGACTTCAGGCACCTGCCACCACGCCCGGCTAATTTTTTGTATTTTTAGTAGAGATGAGGTTTCACAGTGTTAGCCAGGGTGGTCTTAATCTCCTGACTTCGTGATCTGCCTGCTTTGGCCTCCCAAAGTGCTGCAATTACAGGTGTGAGCCACCTCACCCGGCCTAGGAATTTGATTTTAACAACAGGCATTTATCAGCTGTGTGACCCTCAGCAAGTTTCTTAGCCTCTCTGGGTTTCAGTTTCCACATTGTAGGATGGGACTTATCGAAGAATTAATGCATTCACAAGTACAAAGGGCTTAGTGTTTCAGTGTTGTGCATTCTAGCAGCCAGGATCCCCTCACATCCTCACGCTTGCACCAGGCTTGTCATGCCAATCTCAAACCTTGGGTCACCCTTCCCCTCTGTTCCTTACACTCTTGTTTTGGAGCTGCCCAGCATTTCTGGAAAAAGTCATGCATGTTATGATTGCCCCTATAAGCAATTCATGCTCTAGAACAATGATCTCACCACCTCTCAGCAATTCTATTCATTCCTCATTAATATGCGGTGACAGACCCCATATAATAGCCCCTGATGCTATCCTATACTTTCCCTCTGAATATAAAAAAAAAAATCACAGACTTGCCGTGAATTCTCCCATTTTTCCTTCCAGTGACCCAGCATACATCCTTCTTGCCATCTGAGCATTTCTAAACATCTTTAGCGATCCTTTCCTCCTAGTCTGTCCATTTGAATTCTAAGTGCACTGACAAGGTTGCCCCTTGTTGTAACCATATACGGGAACCTCACAGGCAGCTCCATTTGGATGAAGGTCTACTCTGCATCTCCATGGGCCCTCCCCAAGCCCAAGCCACATCCGTCTTCCACTTGAACATCTGCCATAGCCTGCTTCCATTCATACCCTTGACAATTCATTCTTCATGTCATAGGCAGAACGATCTTTTAAAAACATATGTCAGGTCCTGTCACTCTCTTGTTTAATGCCTTCTGATAGCTTCCTGTTCTACTATGTGTAGAATAAAATCCCAGTCCCTTCCTTGGCCTCCAGGGGCCTGCATGACGAGGTCCCTGCTGATTTTCCAGCATGATTTCATTGTTTACTCTGCTCTGTTTTTTGCTCAGCGTGTTCCGGCCACGCTTGATTCCCCTCTGTTCTCTGAATACATGGAGCCCCTTCCTGTCACAGGCCTTCACACTTGCTGCAATGTGCTTCCTCCCCACACCCGCCCCCTCTGTGTGGTTAACTCCTCTTCACCCTTTGGCTCTCAGTTCAGATGTCACCTCCTCAGAGAGACCAGCCTTCCCCAGTGGCCATCTGGTCATTTCCTTCCTAACACCACTGCCTGTCATTGTCTTGTTCGTTTACTGTTTATTTCTTGACTCTCTCGCTTCAAGAGGTCAAGGATCTGATGGACTCACCCACTGTTACAGTCCAAGTGCTTAGAACAGTGCCCAGCACAGAGTAGGCACTCGGTGGATGTTTGTTGAATGAAGGGAACCCTCCACACCTTTTGTACCAGTTAGGGATTGCATCTGGCTGCCTGAACAGAAACCAACTCCAGGAATGGGATTTAGCCCATGGAAGGTCTGCACAGAGGTCTGGAGGTCGGCGGCCACACCCAGTCACGGACACTGTGGAGGAGCTGGGCTCCTTTGGCTTTATTGCTCTGCCATCCTTAGTGTGTGGATTTCATCCTCATGGCTGCGAGATGCTGCACCATCTTATTTCAAATGGGAAGAAGGAGACGGGCAGAAAGGGGCATTCTGCCTGATCTGTTCCTTATCTGTAAAATGACAGTTTTCCTCAAACCCAGTAAACTTTGCTTGGGTCTTATTGGTCAGAAGTGTATGATGTAGGTGTTCTGGGCTACAAGGGTGTCTAGGAACTCAAAACTTTTAGCTTTTTACCCTATATTGACCAGGCATTGGATGTGGGCTTCCCCAGCAAGGGGATGTGATGTTGTGTGAGGTCATTTCCTTCCACACAGGGAACTTTCAAGCTACCCTAAAAGTATCAGGGTCCTCTTGGCAAAGGAAAAATGGGGAGAACAGATACTGGGCAGGCTGCCAGCAGAGTGGTCACTTCTTTCATCCTATAGCTGTGGTCAGAGAGGAGAGAAGATTTCCAGGAACAAGAAGGGGGAAAGGAATTAGGTAAGTGAGGAGGGAGAGAAGTTCTGCCAGAAACCAAGGTGACATGATTGCTAGTGTTACAATTTTGCCGTAACAACAATAATAATATTGTTTTTAATATTTTCATGTTTCAAGTAAGTTCATAAGGTGAACATTCTCTGGAAAAACCACATATGCTAATATTGAAATAATTTTTAAAAATAATGCAATACCTTAAACTTTAATCTTTTAGAATGGTCTTTTAACTTCAGACTGTGCTGTGTACGTGAAATGCATGGTGGACATTCCCTTGTCTTCTGCCTTATTTTCCTGCAAGATTAATGCCAGCCAGAGACTGATGTGCCAGCTAATATTCCATGGCACCAATTTCCAGTTAGTGGGAACATTTGTGGGTGTCTGCTGTGCAGGGTCACACTGCTGCTCAGGCTGGGAGCTTCTGTTGGAGAAGCAGCTCGCAGCCAACTGGCAAATTTAAAGAGTTGACAGTGTTTTCTGTGGAAGTTCAAAAAACCCAACCTGCTGCTGTCTCTAGGGCTTGTGGACTTTAGGGCGTTAAGAAACTGGAAAGGCTTGCAGAAAATAGCAGGGCAGTTTGGGAAACTGGTCACCATGACAACAGGGCATGGCAGCGGTTACAATGGAAGCAGAGACCGCCTGTGCACCCTTCCTAAGAGGAATGATTCAGGCTTAAGCACCTCAATAAACAACTGGCATGTTTGAAACCGAGGCCTCATTAAACGATTACCTCCAAGAATCACTTTTCAAGGGCAGTCTTCATAGCAGTCAGGCTCACACTTTCTTGCTGGGGTGATAAGTGATGATGTACAAGCACAAACGAACACAGCTACGACCTCATGGTGTGGCTTCCATTAATTGGGTGCTCAGCATGTGCCGGGCTTTGCAGATTTATTAGCTAACTCTGTTATTTCCATTTTACAGAAGGGGGTAGTCAGAGCGGTGGGATGGCTTGTCTAAATGTACACGGGCTGTGAGCAGTGGGGTGGGGTTTGGAACTCAGGTCTGTCTCATTCTGAGCCCTGTGGTCTTTCCTGTACACCAGCCCCTTCATGGATTGCTAGCTTCTGTCCTCACCGCCTTTCACCTAGACATTTGCAACAACTTTTGGACTAGTCTTCACACCCCCAGTCACTCCCACTCCAATCCCCTTCACATTATTGCCAGGTAAATACTCCCAAGTACAGCTGGGATCATTATTGTGTTATTCTTCCACTCAAAGCCTTTCATGATTTCCCACTATCTACTGAATACAAATGTCTTAGTATGGAATTCAAGGCTTTCTCTCCAGCCTCTCCATACAACCTTTGGGGTGATGGGTGGGGCAATGGGATCAGGTGCCTCAAAGGGCATCCCACCTGATCCCACAGCCCACCTGTCACCCCAAAAGCCTGCTGCTCCTGCCCTTCTGCTTCAGTTATGTGTTCCCTGATAGCACACACCATTTAGGACACTTACTCCCTTTTGAGTTTTCTTATTTATGATTGTGACTTATCTCTGCTATTATACTGTATACTCTTAAAGACAGAGCCAAGAAACAGACTCTGAGGTAAACCCTTACTGGAGAGAGCTCTAGTAACACCACCTGTGATGTGGGCCTCTTACCTATCTCAAGCTATATATATATATATATATAATATATATGGAGAATAGTATAATAAACCTCCATGTACCCATCATCAGCTTCAACAATTATCAACATATTGCAAAGCTTGTTTCATCTCTGCCTCCATTCCACTTCGCCAATTAAACATTTTTGAAGCAAATTCCACAAGTCATGTAACTTCATCCATGAATACTTCAGTATGAATCTCTAATAAACTGGGACTCTTTAAAAAAGATATTAGATTGGACCATATCTATTAGATTGGACCAAAAAGATATTAGATTGGACCATTTTGTTATTTTTGTAGGTTGAAATAGTGTAATATTAGCAATTTCATATACTTCAAACTAATATATAACCATGATACCATCATCACACCTAAAAATTAATGAAAACTTCTTAATTCTCTAATGTAATAATAATTCAGTCAGCATCCCAGTTTCTCTAATAGGGTGAGGGGCACAGTCCAGGGCAGAGGGAGGAGTGGAATGGCTGTTGTAATAGGGGCTTCAGCTGATGCCCTGGGGAGCTCTGGAGCTGGGATGGCCATTCAGCAATTGAGAAGACTGGGCCTTTTTACCCTGTATCGGCCAGGCGCTGGATGCAGTCTTCCCCTAGCAAGTAGGTGTGACCTTGGGTAAGGTCATTTCCTTCCACAGGAGCAGTGCCTGGAGAGGCACTCAGCTGTGATCCTTTAGCGGCTAACTCTCCTAGCAGCTGGAGAATCTGGTGCTGCCGTCCCATAGGAAGACCTGGCAGTAATCACCTTACTCATCTTTCTGCTTCCCTAGTGGCTGCATATCAGATTCACCTGGGGAATCTCAAACAAACGTCCCACCCCAGGCACTTCTGATTTGGTAGTGGGAGTGCAGCTAGAAAACCTGCAGTGTCTCCATGTTCTCTAGGTCAGTGGAGAGTGAAATTTCGTGGGTCTGGGGTGGACCTGAGATTCTGCATGTTTGACAGGCTTCCAAGTGATGCTGATGCTGCTGGTCCAGAGGTCCTAGATCAGAGGTTAGCAAACTTTTTCTGTAAAGGGACAGAGGGTAAATATTTCAGGCTTTGTGGGCCACGTGATTTCTTTTGCAACTACTCAACTTCTCTGTTTTTAATGCCAAAGCAGCTATAGACAATATATAAATGAATGAGCGTGTCTGTGTTCCAATGCCCACTCCTGTCCTAGATGATTTTGAAGCACAGCCAGATTTAAGAGCCACTGTCTTTAATCCCCAAGGCAGTGTGGAAGAGAGAAAAAAAAGCATAGGATTTGCAGTTACTAGTCCTAGCCCTCAGAAACATCTCTAAATAGCTCAGCACATGCTGAACACTCAAATAATGTTTCTAGAATAACGAACAGACAATGAATTAATGGAATTAAGTTCATTTCTCACCGTGAAGGCAGTTTTTAAAGTATCTTGGATAACATTTGTTCATCAAAGTATTAGAGATTTTATTATGCAAATCATGCTCTTGAGTTGGGTGGGATTCAGGAAGAATATGGCATCACGCAGAGTAAGGTAGAGGGTGCTTGAAGATCAATTTCATCTTCATAAGGGATTCTCCTTGCCTTGGGCTCTGAGGAATGTTGGGATGCCTTAATCCCTTCAGCACAGGTCACTGTTGATTTAGAGAGTTGGGTGCAGCTACCATGGCCTGAGTTGTTTTCTCAGCTGAATCAGATTCAGACAGGGCTTCTTCTGAGACGGTGGAATGTTCTTCTAACAGGCGTGAGGAATAATTATCTCACTGTGTCTCTCTGAGTTTCACTTACCTTTCCTTAACTCTGTTATTGCCACAGGCTGTAATGCCAGAAATGAGGGTTTTTGGAAAGTCGCTGCATGTCTGCTTGGTTGTGAGTCTGGGCAGCTGATGAATGGGTTGCTGTTATGGTGTTTACTTTTCTGAATCAGGTGTTCCTTTGCAGAGGCAGGGGGCTTCCAGCCATTATGTAAGCTTTCAGAAAATACCCAATGATCTTCTTAGAGAAAGAGCACCATTTAAATAGAAGCTACTAAAATCGTTAACACGGGGACCCAGAGAGAGTGTGCCCATGCCCTTTAGCCATATTTGTCTCTTTTGCACATAAATTCAAAATTCAAACGCTGACTCTTCTTGGGATTGCAAAACCCTGTAGCAGTAAGCAAAAAATTAGTGTGGAATGTATATGATATACAAAAAAGTTATATGAAAAGGTGATCTGAATATGTGTGTAGGTACACACACACACACACACACACACACCACACACAAATGGAGATTATATCTTCAATTGAGCATCAAACACCATCTGGTTGCAATTGCTCAAAACAATTCTAGAACCCCTTAATTGTAGCCTTAGACATTTTTTAATATAACATTTCAAACATATATGAAAATTTGAAACTTTATACGCACATATTTCAAGCTATATATATATATATTTGGATAATATTATATAATAAACCCCCACGTATCCATCACAGCTTCAACGCATTGCAAATCTTGTTTCATCTCTGCCTCCATTCCCCTTCATCAATTGGGTAATTTTGAAGCAAATTCCGGAAGTCATGTAACTTCATCCATGAATACTTTAGTATGAATCTCTAAGAAATTAGGACTCTTTTAAAAAGATATTGGGGCTGTCATGGTGGCTCACACCAGTAATCCCAGCACATTGGGAGGCTGAGGCAGGAGGATCACCTGAGCCTATGAGTATGAGACCGTCCTGGGCAATATAGTGAGGCCTCATCTCTATAAAAAAATTATTTTTAAAAAATTAGCCAAGCATGGTGGTGCATGCCTGTAGTCCCAGCTATTCTGGAGGCTAAGCCTGCTTGAGCCTGGGAGGCAGAGGTTACAGTGAGTTGAAATTACACCACTGCACTCCAGCCAGGGCAACAGAGCAAGACCCTGTTTCAAAAGAAAATTTTTAAAAAGTAAAAAGATATTGGATTGGACTATATTAAATTGTCATTTTTTATAGGTTGAAATGGTATAATATCAGCAATTCCGTATGCTTCAACCTAATATATAACCACAATACCATTATCACATCTAAAATTAATGAAAATTCCTTAATTCTTAATTCTCTAATGTAATAAAAATTCAGCCAGTGCCCAAATTTTCCCAATGGTCTCATAAATGTTTTTCTCTCATTGGTTTGTTTGAATTGAGATACAAACAACATCTGCATGTTGTATTTGGTTTATATTTTTCTTGTTTCTTTCAGTTTATAGGTTTCCCATTTCCTCCCTTTCCCCTTCAATTTATTTGTTGAAGAAACTGGTTGTTTTGTCTTGTAGAGTTTCTAATTTTTTGGATTTTGCTGATTGCCTCCCTGTGGTGTTGTTTAAAATGTTGCTATATTCAGTTAGACAGGAGGAAAACCTTCAGGAAAGCTATTGCGCAACATGGTGACTAGCGTTAATAACAATGTATTGTATAGAGTAGTTCCTCCTTATCCATGGAGAATAAGTTCCAATACTTCCAGGGGATGCCTGAAGCCACAATTAGTACAAAACCCTATATATATTGTTCTTCCTTTCTTTATTAAATAGAGAACTTTCATACTTTATTTTAAAGAAGCACTTTAGGGCTTTTCTTTGGCATATCAGAATTGCCAGCATCACTACTCTTGCTTTGGTGCCATTATTAAGTAAAAGAAGGGTGACTTGAATGTAAGCACCATGATACCTGGACAATTGATCTGAACACCAAGAGGGCTACAAAGTAACTAACAGGCCAATGGTGTCTACAGCACGGATACATAGGACAATACATATATACAATACATACAATACATACATACATACATACATACATACACATCCCAGGCGAGACAAAGCAGGACAGCAAGATATTTCATCATGCTACTCAGAATGGCACACAATTTAAAACTTAAGAATTGTTTATTTCTGGAATTTTCCATTTAATATTTTTGGACTTTGGTTGACCACAGGTAACTGAGACTGCAAAAATGGAACCTGCAGGGAGGGAGGGACAATTGTATTTGAATGTTTAAAAAGTAGATTTTAAATGATCTCACCACGAAGAAAGATATCTGAGATCATGAATATGTTAATTAGCTTGATTTAGCCATTCAAGAATATATACATATATCAAAATATCATGTTGTACACCACATACAAAATTTTGTCAATTTAAAAATTAATTAATTAATTGAAAAAAGTTTCTGTATTCTCTGTAAACTGATAGAACAATAGGCTTGACGGAATTCTGGTTTGCTTTTTCAGTAGGAAACTTCATAGGTGATGAGGTATTCTTTCCATCGTGTGGTTCTACATCAGGAACCACACATCAGGTTATATCTTGTTTTTTGTGATGTTAAGATTGGCTTAGGCCACCTGATCTATCCTTTATAAAGTTTCTCATCAGCTTTCTACCTAATGCTTTTAGCAGTTATTGATAATCATTGCCTACATCAATTATTTCATTAGGAATTACAAAATGGTGATAGTCTAACATTTCTTCAACATTTATTACTTGGAATTCTTTTATAAAGAATAACTTTTCCCCACATCCTTTTTGGCTTTCCTGAAAAGTCTGAGTAAATGCCAAATGTTTTCCCTTTAATGATCAGTTCTCAGTTTCTCCCCTAGTATCCTCCAAAGGTGGCCCAAGGAGTGTTTCTTAAAGCGTCATGATGGATTCATGGCTCATTAGCATATTGGATGGGTTTTAACTCATTGCACTTATTATCTTGTATGTGTATACTCAGGGTTTCCCATCTTTGGCTAGTGGGATCCCCCGTTTGACTCTTGACTCCTTTTCACACACTTCTAGTAGTCTTTGATAGTCCTGGCTTTCTGGTATGGTATGTTTTTCTAGGCTTATTATTATTTCTAGGCTTATTATGTTTTTATAGGCTCATTCTTTTATTTTTCTGGGCTAGGACTTGGAATTACCGATTTCTCTAAGGAGCCCTGGTTCCTCTAACTGAAGTACTATACTTAGAGCCTACAGCCTGGGCACCTAGGCTGCTTGTTGCTACTGGGTTGGCTGTTGTTTATATCTCTTTTCACTGGACAGAGCTAGAAACTATTTTTAAAGAGACTATGTGTTTGTATTGATATTATCAATTCAGATTTTTCATCCTTTTAAAACTTTATTCTTTTTTTTTAGATGCTAAATATCTTGGTTCCTAACAACATTATAAGTAAGAAACTAAGGTTGCTTTGTCTTATATATGTAACAGTATTGTTAACAGTGGAGGGTGTCCAGGTTCTTGGCATCTTGAACACATAATTGGACAAAATGCACAAACAAAGCAAGGAAAGAATGAAGGGATTTATTGAGAATGAAAGTACACTCCACAGTGTAAGAGCAGGCCCAAGCATAGGGGCTCAAAGGCCGCATTACAGAATTTTGGGGAGTTTAAATATCCCTTAGAGGATTCCATTGGTTACTTTGGGTATGCCCTATGTAAATGGAGAGGATGAAGTAAAGTTACAAAGTCATTTACCACCTATGCCCTATGGAGAGGATGTTTCCTGTTATAGCTGAAGTGTGGATAGGCATTATGTTCCCTGCCTCCAGACTCTATTTTCCTGCCTCAGTGTGATTACTGAAAATGTTTTTAAAGATTTTTTGGGAGTTTTTTGTCTTTAGGGTATATCCCAATAGGGACATACAGTTAGATTACTGTGTTTTAAAGTAAATTGAAATAATTTATTGCTGGGTGGCTGTATGAGGGTTCTCCAGAGGAACAGAACTAATAGTCTATACATATATATATAAAGGGGAGTTTATTAAGTATTAACTTACATGATCACAAGGTCCCACAATAGGCTGTCTGCAAGCTGAGGAGCAAGGAGAGCCCGTTTGAGTCCCAAAACAAAGAATTTGGAGTCTGATGTTTGACAGCAGGAAGCACCCAGCACGGGAGAAAGATGTAGGCTGGGAGGCTAGGCCAGTCTTGCCTTTTCACGTTTTTCTGCCTGATTTATATTCACTGGCAGCTGATTAGATGGTGCCCACCCAGATTAAGGGTGGGTCTGCCTTCCCCAGCCCACTGACTCAAATGTTAATCTCCTTTGGCAACACCCTCACAGACACACCCAGGATCAATACTTTGCATCCTTCAATCCAATCAAGTTGACACTCAGTATTAACCATCACAGTGGTTAAGCCATCAACTTGCTAGACAGGTAGGTTCATTTGTTTCATTTTACTTTTGCATTTCAGGAAAAATTGCTGTTTCTTTCATTTCAGTTTAATTTTGTTTTATATTGGTCAAACATTTACATGGTTCTAAAGACAAATCTATAAAATAAGCTACATATAAGAAGTTTGGCTTTCATTATCTCTGCCCCCTTTCCTCTGATTCCTTTGTCATCCTATAGATAACCATTTTATTAGTTTTTGGTTTATCTTTTTTTTTTCAAATAAGCAAACATATGCACACATACACAGAAATCTCTATATCCATATCTGTATCTATATATTTAGATGCTTTTCATTTTTAAGATAAAAGGCAGCATACTATACCTACTGTTCTGTCCCTTGACTTTCACTGAAGACTATATCCCAGATATCACTTCAAAGCACTACATAAATTCCTCATTCCTTTTTATAGCTGCATAGCGCTCGATTGTGTGGATGTGTCCTGGTTTATTAAACCAGTCTCCTACTGATGGCCATTAGGGCTGTTCCCAATCTTTTACTGTAACAAATAGTCTTGTCCATGTGTCTTTTCATTTTTTTCCAGTGTAGATTTAGGTAGATCCCTAAAAAGTGGTACAGCTGGGCCAAATGCTGAATGCAAATGTAATTTTGCTAGATATTGCCAAATTTTCCCCCAGAGGCCTTGTGCCATTTTGCATTCCCATCAGCAGCATATGAAAGTGCCTGTTTCCCCATAGCCCTGCCAGTAGGGTAGATTATCAAACTTAGGGATTTTTATCACTTTAGTAGGTAAGGAATTGTAGCTCACTTAGTTTTAGTGTGCCCTCTAAGAATGAAGTTGCCATCTTTTTATACAATTCTGGAAAAACTGCCATTTCTGCCCTATATACAATCTGTTCACATCTCTGGGCCTGTTCTTTGTTTGTTTTTTGTTTTTGTTTTTTTGAAACAGGGTTTTGCTCTGTCACCCAGGCTGAAGCACAGTGATACGATCAAGGTTCACTGCAGCCTTGATCTCCTAGTCTCAAGCAGTTTTTCTACCTCAGCCTCCCAAGTAGCTGGGACCACAGGTGAGCCACCATGCCCAGCTAATTAAAAACATTTTTTTCATAGAGATGGGGTTTTGCCATGTTGCCCATGCTGGTCTCCAACTCCTGGGCTGAAGCAATTCTCCCACCTTGGCCTCCGGAAGTGTTGGGATTACAGGAATGAGCCACCATGCCCAGCTTGGGCCTGTTCTTTTGACCATATTCACTAGTTGTAAATCTTCATCCTTTGAAGGTGACTGAGATATTTTGAAAAGCAAAAAGTCTAAAAGCAAAAAGTTGAAAAGCAAAAACCTGAAGTTATTTGTTGAATAAAATTGCTGGGGTTTTGCTGTCAGATGGAACAGCTGGGACTGGTTGGGCATCTCTCTCGGTACAGTCCCAGCACTTCTCCATATGCTCTTTCTGCAAGGGCTAGTTTGGGCTTCCTCACAGCATGGTGGCCCAGGGCAGTCAGCATGTTTGCATAACTGCTCAGAACTCCAGTGCAAGCCCCAGTTAGCAAGGTAGAAGCTGCATTGCCTTTTATGTCCTAGTCTCGGAAATTATACAGTTTATTTCTCCTGTATTCTATTGGTTATAAATGAGTCACAAGCCTGCCCAGATTTAAAAGGAGGGGAATCAGACTCCACTTCTTAATGGAGGAATGGCAAGTTTCTAGAAAAGCATGGTAGTTTTAATAATAACTATAAAGGACCTGAGATTTTACCCTACAAGTTAGCCCGTCACAGTTTCTTGAATACTGGTAAGACACGAGACTCCAGGGTCAGAAACAAAGGACGTTACAACTGTAGCATAGCAAACCTTTTGAGCATTAGCATATTTGCATCAGTCCCTGTTCCCCCAAGTCTCACTGGGGAGAAGCAAATGGGTCCAGATAGATTCCTGCACATGTTACAGGGAATTTCCATTCCTATTAATCTACTGAAACTCTTATCACAAAGAGTACCAATTACCTTGTAAATGGAGAGTCAGCGCCCATGTCCCTTTCTGCAGCTTTCAGCACCACTGACCTGGCCAATCTCCTCTGCCTACCCTTACTCCACATTTTGGAAATGGACCTTCTCCCTCAGTTTCCCTACACCACCATTTCCCTTCCACCTCTGATTATGTCTTCTCTGCCTCGTCCTCTTTTTTAGTTCCTCTTTCATGATTTGTCCCATGCTCTACCCACGTCTCTTCACGCCCTTGCCCAGTTCTCTTCTCTTATCCAGCAGGCTCTCCCAGAAGACTCACCTGCTGCTGACGTTATCCTCCCAGTGGCTGCTCCCCGCCATATCTGCTCTTGATTCCAGACCACATTTCCAACCATCACAAGGCATCCAAATACTGTCAGCCAAGTTCCTCAAATTCAACTTGCCCCAAACCAAATTAACCTCTTGTCCCTCACACCTGCCCACCCTATGGTGCCATCCCTCTCTGTTCATCAGAATCATCTCTGGTTGTTCAGGTGTAAGACTTTGGGGTTATTTTTGTCTTATTCCTATCTTTCTCTGCACATCTAATCAGGCACCAACTTCTACAGTCTGTCTCTGAAATGAATGGTTGCAGTGAATTGTTCCTTTCTTTCCAGGCCCAACTGCTGCCCTAGTTCAGGCCCTCATTAATGCTCCCCTTCAAATCACCTACCACTGCCCTTCCTGAATGTGGGGGCATCTTGGTGGCTAGGCAGTCATTCCCTTCCTCCCCTATTGCTCCATGTGTGTCTCTTACAAAATCACAAGCTCAGTTGAATTTTGTGTATTTATCACACAGAAAATCCTTCCTTCCTTCCTTCCCACAAATATTCTTCAGCACCCACCCTAGAGTGAGTGCTGTTTTAGATGCTGGGGCTGGAGCAGTGGACAAGACCAAGATTCTTCTCTCAGAGCTTACATTTGGGTTTGAGCTAATGGTGATGGGTAGAGAAAGAAATAACCAAGGCAATTTCAGACATTGGTAAGCACCGTGAAGAAAACCAAGATAATAAAATAGAGAGTGACTGGAGATGGGGAAGCCTAGCAGATTGGGTGGTAAGGCGAGGGGTCTTTGAGGAAGGAGCTAACTTGTGAGTGAAGAGCAGGAGCTGCTTTGTGAGCATTAGGGGATAGAGTGCTCCAGGAGGGGCCCCCAGTAGTGCAAAGGCCCTGAGACAGGAATGGGCTTAATGTGATTGAGGCACAGAGTGAGGTGAAAGTAACTGGGGGAAACTGGGAGAGGGATGTGGGGTAGGAGAGGATGTCTGTAAGGAGGTAGACTATTTAGGACCTTGTGAGTGATGAGCAGGAGTTTGGGCTTTATTCCAGTGTCAACGGAAGCAGGGATAGGATTGTGTGTCTGCACTGGAACCTCTAAACCTCTCGTTTACTTCTGACTTTTCTTCAGTTCATTTCTCACATTCCTGCCAAAGAGTCTTTCTGGAGGATGGATGTGATCGTGTCACTCTTGTGCCCAATAATATTTCATGACCACTATTTCCTACTAGACAAATGATGAAATTCTTGGCATGGCATTCCAGGCCTTCAGCCATCAGGTCTGAGTCTTCTATTCCTACCAATACCACACTATTGAGTCCTCACTAGGCCTGCCCTTTCCTTCCTTCTCTATGTATTTAGTCTTGCAACTTCCTCCGATGGAACATTTTACCTTCACCCTTACTCATTGTACAAATCTAACCCAAAAGCCACCCCTCTGCAAAGCCTCCCTAGGCCCTCCCCAAGTGGAACGAATCTCTGTTTTCCCCATACGCCTTTTCTTCTCATTGCTATTTCCACTGCTGTATGGTCAGCCTTGTGCACATGTGCACAGGTCTGCCCTTCCCCAGATGAGTGTTTCTTGGAGTCAGGAATTGGGTCTTGCTCATTACCTGTCCCCTAAAAAGGCTTGCCATTACTGTTGTCTGAGACTGACAAGTAGGAACACACTAACTTTGGTATCTGTCTTGCATTTGAAGAATGTGATAGGCTATTGCTTGGTTTCAAAACTGTGGGATTTGGGGCATGGCTCCATGGACATCCAGCTGTGTGGTTGCATAGCTGCATAATTGTGTGACTGTTTAGCTGCATGATAATATGGAAGCATAGCAGTCTGGCCACAGTTTGCATGGTTTCATGGCTGGGTGGCTCCACAACTTTGACAGAAAACCTTCCCTTTGCATTTCTGTGTTACATCATGATTTCTACCAGCGTTCTGAAGCTGACTGTATTTTCTACAGGAGAGCCATTGGCATCTTGGGTGGGACTGCAGCAAGCGTTGCTAAACACTAAGCATCCCTTCACGCTCCTACCAAATGCAGTATGGTCCCCTTGTCATCAAGACAACCCAAAATGCCCCTGTTCCTTTACAAACTCCCCTTCTGTTAAAATCCCTAGATTATGAGCACAAGGGGAGTAAGGTGAAGGAAAAGCTACAAAGAAATTATGTTCCATTCATTGGAAGAAGCTTGGAGCTGAAAAAGGATCCAAATAATCATTGAGTACAAACGCTGAGGTTTTTAGGAGGCAATCAAGACCCAAGAGTTTCACAGCCTTGCCTGAAGTCCCATAGTTTGTCAGCAACAGAACAAAAACCAGAATGCATTTTCTTACCTATAAGATGGAGATTTATGACTTATTTGTTTTTGCATAACAAATACTTGTATATTTTACTTCTTCAGCCAGCCACTGTTCTAACTGTAAAATAAAACTAATTGAATACTTGTGGCAACCTCATGGGGTCAGATTACCCCTGCTTGGCAGATGAGCCACACTGTTAGTAAGACACTTACCCTCTTTGTGCCACAGTTCTCCTATAAAATACACCCCCAGAGTGTTGAGGTGCACACTGAATTCTGTAATGTAATGTATGCTGAGGACTCGGCCAGTGCTTGATACATGCTAGCCATCATTTATTACAGCTGTGACTGTCTCTTCCCGTGTGACTGGGGCTCCTCCCAGGGGACTCCACTGCACCGAATTGTATAAGTGCAACTCCTTTCAGTTGTCCCAGGTCTAAGTATCATTCAAGCAGGTTCTCCATTGTTCGCTTTTTCTGAAATGACCACACACGGTCAGCGCAGGATGAGGACATGTCCTTGGGAGAGGAGGTCATCTTTGCATCATGTCTTTTAGGGATTCAGAATTTAATTTTCTGCCACTCCATGTCTTGCTTGATTCTTAGAGTCATTCACTTCTGTAACCTTTGTTCCTGCCAGTGTCTGTTCTTAGAATGCCGCAGACCCGCCTGCTGATTGTTTTGTTCTAGAGAGAGAACCAAGAGGGAAGAGAGACAGATAAAGAGAAGGAGAAGCTAAATTTCCATCATTGAAAAAGAGCCAAAGAGCCCTGTTTCCTCACACTTTTTTTTAAGCCTCAGGAATATTTTCTTTGTTTCCAGGGACCTCCTTGAATCCAGGCTTGAAGTGGAGCAGATGTGTGGGAGGGTATGGGAGACAACGGGCCTGAGGGCAGAAACCGTTTTGTTTTTTTGTTTTTGGAATGGACAGTGACACTGGCAAGGAGATTGTCCCACAGTCAGCATGCTGGGGAAAGAAAGATAGTGATTTTACTGTTGTCTTGAAAGATCTGATTTTATTTTTTTGAAAACCTCCAGAATGCTTAAATAAATATATTTGAATGCATCTCTGGGTTGTTGAATTTGTTCAAACCCAATGAACACATTCACTATTAATGAGGTGCTTGTGCTCCTTTGAAAGCCTGGTAATAATCCTCTTAAAAGAAAATTGTACCTATTTAATATCTTTCTTTGTGTATAATGCTAAATACAGCATCTAAACTGGATTTATAATCCACAATGCCCAAAGTGACTTCACTTGGCACAGTCAAAGGATACTTTAAGATGCTTTAAATCTAAATGGACTCTGAAAATACACATCTTCCAGGTTAATTCTAATGATTGGTTTGTAACACAAATGGGGAACCTATTTCTAAGAATGATACCTGGGGTGAAATGGAACGCTTTGCCTTCATGAGTCTCTTAAGTCCACTATTATGACCTAAATGGTCCCATGAGTATTTATTTATTTTGCTACCTAAATTTTAATTTTCTTTGATGTGGATTTTGCCATTGGGATTATATAGAAATAGACATTATTGAAAGGCTTCAGATACTAAGATAGACCAAATATAAATGTCCTTTCAGACAGGGCAGTGGCCTTACCCTAAATGAATGAATGAATTTATTTATTCAACAATTATGTAGGGTGCGCTTTCAAAGTGCTAGACATAGTCCTAGGCACTCAGGCTAGATCTAGGAGGAGTCCTTGTGGAGTTTGCAGTCTAGAGCAGCGCTGTCCAGAGACTCAATGTTCTTTGCATTGTCCAATACAGCCTTATGACTATGGATCACTGGAAATGGAGCTAGTGCTGCTGAAGAACTGAATTTTTCACATGATTTAATGTTAATTTAAATTAGCATAGCCCAGTAGAGCTGGCGGCTACCATATTGGACAGCACAGGCAGAAGAGGTAGATAGCATACGAACTCATACAATTAATTATTATTGTTGCAAGTGCTACAAAAGAGAAGTCAGATATGATGAAAAGTTGGTATGGGGAACATTTCTAGCAAAAGGAACAGCATGTGCAAAGGCCTTGAGGCAGGAAGAGTTTGGCATTTTCCAGCTATTGGAGGACAGCAATGTTATTGGAGCATCATGCAAGCCATGAGTGAGGGGAGGCAGTGCTGGGAGCAGGAAAGGCTGGATCACATGGGAGCATGTAGGCCACAATGAGGAGCTTGGACTTCATCCTAACAGCAATGAGAAGCCTTGGATGGGTTTTGAGCAGGAAAGTCCCTTGATCCAATTACATTAAAGTTTTTTTAAAGATATTCATCAAATATAGCTTCTGTTTTTAGCACAGATGCCAATATCTCAGATAAGTCTTAGCTGACCCTTAGATTAGGTGACATTTCCCAGTTTTATTTTTTCATAGTTCCTGACTTCTCTTTCAGAGCACTTACATTTATAATTAACTAGTTGTGTAAACTAGTTTTTTATTTATTTCTCCTTCTACCTGTGTTGTCCAATGTGGTAACCACCAGCTCTACCGGGCTATATACCACATGAATAAAATTTAGACAAATAGTTCTAAAAGGCTTGCTATGAAAATCAACCCTGTTATGCATCCCACTTTATCAGTTCTCTTGGAGTAACTACTGTCAACTATTTAAGCTCGTTCTCTTGTTTCATTTCCTTGTCTCTAAATAATTGGCAAGTCATACTCTTTCTTGATGTTTCGGTCTAAGGCCTGATCTATTGATTACCCTCATGAAAGGTGAGGTTTTCACTCTTTCACCTCCATCCCACCACTGCCAATACATTGTAGCATAACTCGGTTAGATCAGTGTTCTTTGTTGGTGTTTTGTTGACACTTTTCGCAGCTAAACCAGATTAGGATTACTTTTCCTTTCACAGACAATATTTTATGTTTGCTGCATTAAAAATATGTGTTTGTTTTTTTTTTTTTAATGTGAATGCATCACTAATTCACATCAAACCCTCCTCTGGTTGTGTAAATCTCCTTTCAATATGTTTAAGTAAATTAGGAATTCTATCACAATTTTTTCTTTTAATTGCCCTTGGAGTTTTCTGAACTGCTCCAGTCTGGGCTGGTTGCTGTCCAGGCTGGCTGCATACCTCTTGGCCTTGACTCTTTCTTTGACATTAACCTGAGGATTTCCTTAGCCTCTCTCCTGTGTTGAATTGATCTCATAGTTCCTGTATTCTGTGTCTTTCTCTTCCTTGGTTTGTTCTCTTGTTTGGCCAAGAACATCCTCAAGTAGCTTTCTATGTAAGAGGTGACATTTTTTTGAAACTTTACTTTTCAAAAAATTTTTTATGCCTTCTACATTTAATCGATAGTTTGGCGGGGTATAAAATCTCATTTCCTTAAGGTTTTCAAGGTGTTGTTGACAAGTCTGAAGTCATTCTGATTCTCAATCCTTAGTATGAGATTTGTCCGTTCCTCCTGCCCCCATCTCCCTGTGTCTTTTAAAAAAATCTCATAGCCTTCAATTATGAAAACATTTTCTCAAGTTATTATTATTATTATATTTCTCCCTAGCCTGGTCCTCTAATTTTCTTATCTTTCCTCTCCTATCTTCCATCCTACTTTTTTGGAGATTTCTTCCATATTGTCTTCCAATTTTTCTTTTGAATTTTTCATTCCCTCTACCTTAGTTTTAATTTTTAAGAACTCTCTTTTGGTTCTCTGAATGTTCCTTTTCATAGCATCTCATTCTTAGTTTTTTAGACGCAATATCTTTCTGATTATAACATTAATTAGGTTTTCTCCCCTTATAGAGTTTGTTTATTCAAGTTTATGTCCCCCACCCCGTCTATTTTGTTGGTCTTTCTCTTGTTTCGTGGCTTTCCTCTAATGTCTGCTGGTCCTGAACTGTTGGCTTGTATTTAAGGAGAGGGCACTCCGATGTTGGTTGGAAGCTCCATTTATGACGTTGGGGCTTAAGGTCTGTCATCTTCACTATAGAGTATCTGGCTGGATCATTCCTTTCAGGAACTTTTGATGTCTGTATTTTCAGGCCTTTTTGAGGGAAAGGGAGTGATCAGATTCCACTGAGCAGACTCTCCCAATTTCCTACCTGGAGGGCACATGCCTGACTGAGTAGGGGAAGAAGCCTGGAGTCCCAGTGCTTCATATTTTCAGCACAATAGCCCCGACCTCAATTGTTCTAAGTGATCCTCTGTCCAGAAAGTTTCACCAGGAAGTTTTTTATTAGAAAACAAAACAACAACTTCTTTCAGGGTGAAGGAGGGGCACTCATTCAGATTTGGTATTTTGGGGAGAGGTCCTTGGGTTCTAACTGCTTCTGAAGCCAGTTTTCCACAAATGCTTTCTCTCCCCCTTCCAAAGGTATCTAGTGGCTTCCATTCCTGAGTTCCTTGGGGACAGAGGGATAAAAAACACGTTGTACTCAAGTTTCCTTTTTTTCCCCTTAGGATTCAGATTTCTTGAACTGCTAAGATAGTAAGCACTTGCTTATCTCCTTCCCAGCTTCCAAAATTTTGTAGTACATTTTCTCTCTCCTCTTTTTCCTATGAGTTTATGCCTCTAAAAGTTCCCTTATGTTTGTTTTAGTGGTATTTGGGAGTGGGACAGAGCTCATTGCATTTGCAATGACAAAATTTGCCATTTAAAAACTGGAATTCAATGAGCCTTTTTTTTTTTTTAAAGCCGCTTGGTTATATTGTAGAAAATGGACTTCATGGTTCTGTTGGTTTTGTATTGGATGGTATACAGAGTAGAATTGTATCCCCCAGAAAGACATGTTGAAGTCCTAACTCCCAGTACATGTGAGTGTGGCCTTATTTGAAAATAGGGTCTTTACAGATGTTATCAAGGTAAGATGAGATTATATGATATTAAGGTGAACCTTAATCCAATGGCTGTTGTTCTTGTAAGAAAAAGGAAATTTGGACACAGACACACAGAGAGGAGAATGCCATGTGCAGTGAAGGCAGAGATTGAAGTGATGCATCTACAAACCAAGGAACACTACGGACTGTCCACAGCCACCGCAAGCTAGGAGAGGGTGTGGAACTGATTCTCAGTTCCTCCAGAAGGAAGCAACCCTGCCAACACTTTAATTTCAGACTTCTAGCTCCCAGAACTGTGAGACAGTAAATTTCTGTTGTTTTCAATCACCCAGTTTTTGGTTCTTTGTTACAGCAGTCCCATGAAACTAATACAGATAGGTATTAAGTTACGTGATTTAGTGTTCTTAGAAATGGGGGCCCTTTGAGAAACTTTCAGTATTCTTAGAAATGGAAGATGCTTTGAGAAATGGAAGGTGATTTTTCCCTGAAGCAGCAATTTATTCTCTATATCATTTGTTATCTGGCAGTTTCATTGAGTAAATGTCTTAATTATTCTTCAACACTATAAAATTGTCATGGTACAGAACACATCTGATGTGTCTTCTTATATCTGGCTAACTTTTAAAATGCCAATCTGATTTATTTGGAAAGCTATCAAGCCAAACAGAGCCAGCTGAACACTGAGAAATCTAATCAGAAGAAAGGGAGAAAAAGAAAGGAAAAAAGAGAGAGAGAGAGAAGGAGAGAAGGGAAGAGAAGGGAAGGGAGAAAGAAAGGAAAGGAAGGGAGAGAGGGAGGGAGGAAGGAAAGAGAGAGAGAAAGAAGCAAGGAAGGACAGAAAGAAAGAAAGGAAGGAAGGAAGAAAGGAAAGAAGAGAAAAAGAAAGAAAGAGAGAAGGAAGGGGGGAGGGAGGAGGAAACAGTGAGAGAAAGAGAGAAAGAAGGAAGGAGGAAAGAGCAAGGAAGGAAGGAGAAAGAAAGAAAGGCAAGAGAGGAAGGAAGGAAGGAAAGAAAGAAAAGAGAGAGAATGAAAATAAAAAGAAAGAGAAAGAAAGTAAGAAAGAAAGAAAAGAAAAGAAAGAAAGAGGGAGTCCAAATATATCTTCATTCATTTTGACCTGAACTCTGGAAAATCTTCCAGCAATATGAACCCAATATCCAGATTCTAGTCCCTCCACACAGATTCCTCTAGGGACTTTCTGTTTTTGCAGTTGCCCTGGGGCTATAGCTTTTCCCAAAGAGCTAGAAAACACTAGTTCTAAAGGACACATTAATAAATGCAGGTGACCACAAGGACTTGTGGAGAACAAAGAGAAACAATGATAAGAGCCCCAGGAAAGACCTCACTAGCAGATTTTCTGTCTCCTTTGCATCTGTTTACCTCTCGTGTCAGAGTGAGGACCTAGCTGGATCCAGGAAACCCAGGCAAAATCTGCTTCCCAGTAGAGTTCACTATTGGTGAAGAAATAGCCCCAAAACTAGATTTCACACAGTTCAAAAGCCAGTTCTCCCAAAATAAATTTGCCAGTTAGTGAACCTACCTGAATACCTAAGGTCTTTCCCCAGGTTTTGATTCTGCCTCAACGTTGCCGCAGCTGCCTTGGCTTAGAATTGTTAGTCCAGGAATTCTTCTAAGTGTGAATGACTGGGCTTTCCTTTAAATCCATTTTTGCTGTTTTATGTCCCCTAAACTGTCTCTTTGGGCTTCTGCTCTGCTCCTGTTCCTGCCCCTGCCTGTATCTACTTCTGTTTCCATGGGGAAGTGTTTGGGAAATTGGAACCTTGGGTCCTTTTTTTTTTACCCCTCTTCAATGAAAAGAACATTTGACTAGCTCTTGGCTAGTATTTTTGGCCTTTCAGTGAAATGGTTGTTGGTGAATTACAACTTGATAAAATGATCCAGAGGCCAGATATCCTATCCAAGAAAGCATCTTTTGCTTTAGGAAGGCAATAGAAGGTCATTAGGATTAGGTAGACTGAATTCTATTCTGGCTTGCTTTTTTTTTTTTTTTTTTTTTTTGAGACAGAGTCTCGCTCTATTGCCCAGGCTGGAGTACAGTACAGTGACATGATCTCAGCTCACTGCATCCTCGGCCTCCCGGGTTCAGCCAATTCTCCTGCCTCAGCCTCCCGAGTAGCTGGGATTACAGGCACCCACCACCATGACTGGCTAATTTTTGGTAGAGACGTGGTTTCTACCATGTTGGCCAGGCTGGTCTCAAACTCCTGACTTCAGGTGGTCCCCCTGCCTCAGCCTCCCAAAGTGCTGGGATTACAGACATGAGCCACCATGCCCAGCCTCTGGCTTGTTTTTCACTCACTGAGGTAGAGCTCTATATCCCCAAGCTCCAGTTTCCCTGTAAAATGGAGATAATATTGCCAACTTCACAGATGTAGGGATTAAATGACCCTGGGGATAACTTGAATGCTTTTTTAAAAATTATGATTTACTTAAAAATGTGTATATTAAATCAGGTAAAGTTACTCCTTATAGCTTATAAACAATTATAAAACAAAAAATAATGATTTACAAAGGAGAGAGGTGCAAACCAGGCCAGTGACATTCTGAATAATAGCATTAATCTAATATAACAAATAGTTTTGTTTTATGGAAACTGAATCACAAACATTGCTTTTAGTGGTAGAAAGATACATTTGCTTATTTTCCATTTCACTTTTGCCCACTGGATCCTTTTGATTTTTGAGGCACGGTGGGCCATCATTTGAACTGTTAACACTATCACAGTTATTTTTCATTTTAATGGTGACGCCAGCTTTAGCCATCCACGGCACTTACTGCAAGTTGGTGCATCTAAGGATGGGAACTGTGTGGCCACACAGATGAGGATGCCACTGTTTCCATCACAGGGCTCCTGCACGGGTGATGATTCAATTCTCTCACCCTCTTCTGTATTTAAATGACTCAGAAGCTTTCATCCGTGATGCCATTTTGCCATCATGAAGTATAGAGATCTCATTTATATCTTCCTTTTTTCACACTTCAAGACTATTGAAGGAATTGATGCCATTTCAGCCTTTAAAACAATACATATGTCATCACCAAATCATGGAATCCTAATAAGTTGAGATCATTTGGATGATTCTAAATTTGCTAATAATAGATTTTTTTCACAATTACCATGAAACAGAAGAATGATAGTATATCCTCAGATCCCCCCAGGAATTTGCTGACTGTCACATTTTCAGGCAAATTGGCCAAAATGTAGGAAAGTGTCTGGCATGTAGTAGGTACTTGGTAAAGAAAAGTTTTTTATGAAATTCATGCCAAAACCATCCAGTAAAGCCAGAGATTTCCAAACTTTATACTTAAAGTTCCATCAACTGGACTTCAATGATTCTATGTCTCAAAAAAATTAAAAAGCATTAGGGAAAATATTACTCAACTTAAACCTTGACAAAGTTGAATTGGAATATTAAGTAACTAGCAACACTGGTGCCAGAAGTGAGTAAAGTTATCTGCAGAGTGCAAAATTCGTCACGGTCCTTGCCCACAGACTTGTAGTCTACATAAGAACCAAAAGGGCGTGAAGAAATTACTGTAAAACCTATCACATTAAGGAGCAAGAGGCTATGGAAAGGACACCCATTCTCACAATGAGAAAGGTTGTCCTTGTAGAGAAACTGGAGGCCTTCACCCATAGACGATCCAGAGTGTGAAAATTACAGGGCCAGGACACAGAGCAGCTTTTGGAAGATTCAAACCCCAGAAGCTGATAGCTGCTCAGACTGTGAAAGGGATCCTGAATCCATTCTGCCGGCCTCCCCCATCAAGATGGAGTTCTCTCAGGAAAGGACAAATGGACAAATTCCAATTTGGTTGTCAGGGAAACCTCTGGCAAAGCACCAAAAAAAAAAAAAAAAGTGCCAGTCTGTTCTGGGAATAAAGGACAGTCATTTGTGTGTTTTCTGGGAAGCAACTGTGGTGAGACTGGACCTTTGCACATCGGGCACAGCCAGGGGCCTGATGGCAAAGGAAACTGTATGCCAAGCCCCAGGAAGGGCTTCCTTCACAGACTCATAGCATGGCCTGCTACTCTTCCAGCCATGACCTTGGGACTCTGCTGCAAGGATGCCAGTTAGCCGATTTTCTGGGCTCAACTTGTGAACTGCAAAGATGCAGGCAAGGAACAGAGAAAACCCTGGATGAATGCATTTGGAAATAGATCATAGGCAAAGGGTAATTCATAGATGTTTGGATCTGGAAGACACCTGAGGATAGAGAAAGCCACTTTTTTAGACTCACTCCAAGAAGGCACCTTGGCCATGCTTCATGGTTCGATAAGCTTGGGAAATGCTCCATACCCTGAACTCCTCTTAGAGAGCCACAGTGTACATTCCCATAGTAATGGTTGGAACTATGTCACATGGCCACATCTAGCTGCAAGGGAAGCTGGGGAACATCTTTTAGCTGAGCAGCAACAGACCATCTAAAAGCCAAGATTCTGTTACAATAGCAAAAGCAAAGGCCTCATATTGGAAGGCAGCCAGCAATCTGACAACAGTCCCCCAAATTCTGGGGCATCATTTTGAAAAAATGGTAACCACTGCTAAAGGGGGCTTTTTCCTTCCATTTTCATTGCATGGAATTATACCAGTTGATCTCCACCCAGGATAACTCCAGGACAGAGCCTGTCAGCCTGTGGCGGAACTTCCTCACTCCCTGCAGTTACTCACCTCTCTGCCCTCCCTGCCCTAAACAGTTGAAAGCCCAGAGAACTTTTTCTCAGGCCTCCTCATTTTGACTCAGCTCTGTCTTTCTCAGGGCTAAGCACCAGAGACCTCATCTCTGCTTCACTTTCTTTCTCTCTACACAACCCCAAGTTTACTTACTTTCCTTTATTAACACAATCCTCTAATAGTGTGAACTACAACAAAAGGCAATATTGTGTGCTTTCATGAAAGCAAAAATATAAACGATTGAAAATGTGTGCAATTCAAATAGCTCAGAAATGATTTGTGTTTATTTACTTATGTTGTAATTTCAGAACTGTTTTATCATCATTTCTGAATGATATCCTTCTGTGAGGTTCCTGACATGATTCCTCTCTTTCCTAGTTAAATGGGGAAAGGAATTCATGTGTAAATCCATTAATTTGGGAGAATCTTGGAAGTCACCACCCCCAAGCAAATAGGCTTTACTTCAGCAATTTGGAAGTGGTACCTTAAAACCTTTGATTTCAATGTTCAAATTTATAGCAAGGGAGTTGAATTTGAAGCAGGATTGAATTAAGAATAACTCCACTGAATGCCAGGAAACTGCCTTTGGGTGGCATTTGTCTGGGCATGACCTCAGTTGTGGGCAGTCTCACTGGAGCAAAGAGCTCGAACCCCAAGGTGGCTTTTGAGACAAGGGCTGGGTGGAGAAGTCCTGCCTTGCCCACAGCAGAGCCACACTGGGGGTATCGTCTATTTATACCACTAATTCTACTCTGGACCAGGTCCCTGCTTTACATAGTATCCTCTCAATTAATTTGTAGAACAGTCTCATGAGTTTAGCATCACTATTCCCATTTTGTAGGTGAAGAAATTGAGGGTTCGAGATATAAAAGAAGCTGCCCAAAGTTACACAGTTGAAAGTGCCAGACTCAAGCCAAGCTTTGCTTTACTCTAAAACCCTTTTTTGAGACCACTGAGTCCCAGACTTTTGGAATTCACTGGCCAGCAAAAAGGAAAAAAATATGTGTAAGATTTAAAAGAAAAAAAGGTGTGAGTGTGTGTGCACGCTGATCAAGGTGCTAACTTTTTATTTAGGGGGGCATGAAAAAGACCTGTCATTTATTACTTCTACTATTTCACAAGAAAGGCTCTCTCACGCATACATGCACACACACACATGCACACATGCTGCAGAAAGCACTGTTAAATTAATTCAGCAAGTATGTACTGGCACTTATGATGTGCTAGGCACTGTTCTAGTCATTGCAGAATATAATAGTGACAAAAAAACCCAAAAATTCTTGCCCTCATGCTTAAAGCCTAGGTGCAGGGTAATAGATTTAAAAGAAAGAAGAAGGAAAGGACATAGTATTAATGTTAGAACTAAGTGCCATAAGAAAAAAAAAAGAGAGAGGAGAGGGATAGATATATAAGGAAGCCCTTCCTGAAGAAGGGACAGAAACACACCGATCTTGCTAAGAAAGGGAGTGAGCAATCCTAGCGCCCACACTAACCCACCACGCTATCTAATTTTTCTCATTGTACCATGCGCCAGGGGAATTGTCTCTGTGACCCGCCTTTTGGAAACCTCTGCCCTGTGCTGTCCTAGCTCCACAGAAGTTGAAATGGGAGGGACCTGCATGAAGGGTTCAGACTCTGCTTCTGGTTCGTTTCCTCTCAGGCTTGGTTGGCTGAAGTTTTATCTTGCCTCTGACATGATCCGGGAAATTTTTCATTTTGCCCCAATGTGAATCAATAGTTCGAAGGAAGAACTGTGAATAGAAAACTTCTGCTTTCTGAGGGCAAATGCTGCAGGGCCCTCGCATGCCTTCCTGCTGTGCTACCTCCCCTTTGCTGGACTTGCTGAGTTAGTTTGAGCTGGTGGGTACTTGTTTCATCTCCCCATGTGTTTCTAGCCTGTTGTGGGAAGAAAATTTAGACAAAGTATGCTTGTGCTCATTTTATGAAGGTTTTCCTCTGGGTTTTTGTTGAAGTTGTTAAAAGGGATATTTCTCAAACTTCATAAAGATGGAAAGCATATATGGATCTCAAAATTTCCTTTTCTCCTTTTCTCACTCTTCCTGTGTGCGGGTTTTTTGTTGTTGTTGTTGTTGTTGTTTTGTTTTTTTTTTTTTGAGACAAGATCTCATTCTATTGCCCAGTGGGGTGCAGTGACATGATCTCGGCTCACTGTAGCTTCACTCCTGGGCCCAAGTGATCCTCCCACTTCAGTCTCCCAAGTGGCTGAGACTACTGGTGTGCACCACCACTCCCAACTAATTTTTGTATTTTTTGTAGAGACGGGGTCTTACTATGTTGCCCAGGCTGGTCTCAAACTCCTGGCCTTGAGTGATGTTCCCACCTTGGCCTCCCAAAGCACTGGGAGTTTATAGGCATAAGCCACTGTACCCGGCCTTCTTCTTCTCTAGATAGCCACCTATCCCATGCAAAATTCCCCACCGTCTTGGCAGTCTGTGTTCCCCTAGGACCGCAGTTTCTGGTTTTTACTCTGAGTACAGCATTTCCATTTCTCACAAAATTCCAGTTTCTCACAGTAAATAGGGCAAGGTGGTGCTTGGAATCACAGAGACTAGAGTTCTAATTGTTGCTTTACCTCTTACTAGGCTGAGACCTTGGGAAAATTACTTGAACTTTCTCAGTCCTAGTTTTCTTATCTGTTGTGTTAGGGTAACAAGAGTTCTTACCTCATAGGATTGATGTGGACATTAAATAAAATAATATACCGTAAAATTTATTGTAATTTATATGTGCCATGCACTATTCTAAGAGCTTTGTGTATATTAACTAGTTGAATCCTCCACAAATTCCTTAAAATCAGAGCTATTATTTTAGAGAAGAAGGAACTAAATCACATAGAAGTTAGGCTGCTTGCTCAAGATCACTGTGTGTTCCTAGCATGTAGAGTGATGGTTTTCATTAATATAATCTCTGGTGGGGAAATTAGGAACCATCTGGTCTTGTCATTGGAGCTCAGCTATCAAGTTGCTACTTAATAGGTAGTTTCATTAAAAAGCAGAGGACTATATCAAAGTATATTTCTCAAAATGTTAAAAACTTAATTATCATACAAATAAATAGTGAGCAGGTATCACTATCTTTTTAACTCATTGATGAGGGTCACAGCTGGATGATAAAGTCAGCTCAAAAGAGAATATGAGAATGTGATTAACAGAAGGGCGACATGAAGAATCCTTGTGGTGATGGAGCTGTTCTGTATCTTGGTTGCAGTGGTGGATAAGTAAAAGTGCACATGTAATAAAATCATATAGGATTAAGTACAAATATACAAATGAGTACAAATTAAACCTGGGGAAATCTAAATAGGACGGGTGGATTGTACCAATGTCAGTACCCTGGATAGGATCTTGTACTACAATTCTGTAAGATGTTACCATTGGGGGAAATTAGAAAAGAGCACACAGATCACTCTGTACGATTTCTTACAACAATCTATAGATGATTTTGAAATAAAAAGTTTAATTTAGGCTGGGCACAGTGACTCACGCCTGTAATCCCAGCACTTTGGGAGGCTGAGGTGGGCGGATCACAAGGTCAGAAGTTCAAGACCAGCCTGGCCAACATGGTGAAACCCTGTCTCTACTAAAAATACAAAAATTAGCTGGGTATGGTGGCGTGTGCCTGTAATCCCAGCTACTCAGGAGGCTGAGGCAAGAGAATTGCTTGAACTGGGACCCAGGAGGCAGAGGTTGCAGTGAGCCAAGATTGCACCACTGCACTCCAGCCTGGGATACAGAGTGAGACTCTGTCTCAAAAAAAAAAAAAAAGTTAATTTAAAAACAAAATAAATAAATGGCTCAGAACAAAAGGGAATATGAGAAACTTTTAAAAATAGTTGGTGGAAAGAAGGAAAGCTGAGATAAGATTGCTAAATTAAATACAAAACTAGTTACATCCTAAAGGACAAAACAAAAACAAAAAAATTCCACAAAACCCAAACCCATAGTCTTTGGGGTTCTCTTCTCTATCAGACAGAAAAGAAACTCATCATGCATGATCAGTTCTCAGAATTGTAAACTGTTTGGCCCTAATCAAATGTGCAAACCAAGTTGCACGCTCTAGGCCAGGATCTCTCAATGCCTCCAGCACTATGGAAATTTTGGGCCCAAATAATTCTTTGTTGGGGGTGCTGTCGTGGGCACTGTAGGATGTTTAGTAGCATGTGTGGCCTCTACAGCTGAAACATCTCCACATGTCCACTGGGGGTAAAGTCATGCTGGGTAGGAGCCCCAGAACACCTTTAGGTGAGCTTGTTGGGAAGTGCTCCTAGCATAACGTTAATCATCTTTTCTGCATTATCCCAATCTCTGGATAATTGTTCTTCACAAATAAAACTACCATTTGGAGGGTCACTGTGCTGAATAGAAGCACAATGTGCTCTATGCGGAGTCACAGACTTTTAGCAGAACAGGATCCTTAGAGATTTTCTAGGCCTGCTTCACCCTCCTTGTTTCCCAGCTGAGGAATACCAGTGGAGATGGCTCGGCTAAAGTCACATAGCTAGTTCATGTGGGTGTGTCCAATTCAATCCTGTCTTCTTCCAAATGGATGTGAAGCAGTCACTATGAAGTCTTTAAAACTTTGTGGGTACCAATTATGTGCCAGGCCCTGCGCTGGGCTCACAGCCAGGTGATGGCTAACACGAGGTCCTGCTCTTGAGGCACTGATGGTCTTCCTGGGGAGATAAGGATGTAGGCAAATAATTACTGTGGGAGGGATATTCAGTAGTGCAGGCTGAGGATGAAGGCTGTGATGGCCTTAGAGTCTCAGGGATAAGCCCTAAGGGAGTCTGATGAGGACCAGAGTTCCCAGCTCCATGATCAAAGAGAGGTGGTTGTACTCATTGCAGAGGGAAGTTGTTGTTCCTGGCGCAGAGGGAATGTGAGGCCCAAAAGTGAATCTGCCCACAGTGCAGGCCTGGGCCAGGTTCTGGGATTACTGGGAGGCCCAGAAGACAATGATAAGCAGGGGGAGTGCAGAAATGGGGAGCTGTGAAGAACAAGTGGAAGAAAGGAGCAGATTTATAGCCAAGAGATCAGGCCAAAGATAGGACAGGGTGGGCGAGTGGGAGGAATGCAATTCTGAGATGGAGAAATTAAGACAACTAGAGTTCCAGGAAGAAGAGAACAACTGGGTAAAATCACAGCAGTGTTGAGAGCATGGTGGTGCCCGTGGTTTACTGTTAGTGGTCACTATGGTTTCCAGAAATCTAACTGCATGAATGGCACCCAGGAACTGAATCTGGGACTTCCTGGCTGGCTGCACCCTGCAAGGCTCACGTGCTTGGCCTCAGAGAGGAAAGGGACTGGAACTAGGACTCAGAACAAAAATTTGGCAGAGCATGAATCCAGGTCTGGCTGGCACAGGAGCTGCTTCCAAGATATTTTACATCCAAAGCACCAACCTCACATGTTGTGGCAGTTACAGGAAGGAGGCTTCCAACTTTAGCATCCTTCAAGCCCTTGCCTCGTTCCTCGTGACTCACCAGGGAGAGAGAAACTGGAAAACAGGGACCAGAAGGATGTAGGGAGAGGATTAGACAAAATAAGGGCCAGAGCAAGATGCAAAGTGGAGATGCTGCCCGCCAGTTCTTTGGGATTCAGCAGGCAAGCCTTCCTTGGGGAAACCCTTTCAGGCAAGGAGGAGAACAAGTTGAGATGTAAAGCAATGATTGTGTGAAAATAGATAGGATTGAAAATGAACCAAGACAAAATTGTATCTGCCCAACTTCTTGAATTCAGGTGACTCTGGATGACCAAATATCTATGTAATGGCTTTTCTTTTGTTCCTTCCTTTCTGGATAATTGGATTAGAAAACTCTAGTAAACCTCAGTTATAGCATCCCTGAAAACACAGCTCAAAAGGGGAAAAGTTGAAGAGAGCTGGCTTTCCTTTCTCTGGGATATAAGATGTAGAGTTTAGGTTTCGTGATGAGGTTTTGAGGCCTTTCAGAATATTAAAAGGAAGAGAGAGAATTCTCAGGAAAGGGTGGAGGTGCTGTAGGAACCGACTATCCCACAACGGTTCCTTCCTGCCACTCCCCAGAGGTGAGTGGTTGTGCTCTGGAGGTGGAAGGGGAGGGAATTAGCAATTTTGGAGTGTTCATCTTTGCAAAAGCTCCCTAGGTGAGTCAGGCTGTGAGCAGGGTGTTGTAGGAATATCTTTTTTGTTGTTGTTTTTGAGACAGAGTCTCGCTCTGTCGCCCAGGCTGGAGTGCAGTGGCGCAATCTCAGCTCACTGCAAGCTCCACCTCCCAGGTTCACACCATTCTCCTGCCTCGCCTCCTGAGTAGCTGGGACTACAGTCTCCCACCACCACGCCTGGCTAATTTTTTGTATTTTTAGTAGAGATGGGGGTTTCACCATGTTAGCCAGGATGGTCTCGATCTCCTGACCTCGTGATCTGCCCGCCTTGGCCTCCCAAAGTGCTGGGATTACAGGTGTGAGCCACCTCGCCCGGCCAGGAATATCTTTAGGTAACCCCATGCCGCTAATAAAATTCTCCATGTGCTGTAGCTAAATAGTTTCTGTCTTAGTGTACATTGATTTCCTCGGGACCTAGGGCCACAGCTACAGGGGATTTGGACCTAATAGCCATAACAAAATAAATGAGAATTTGGTTAATAGTAGCTGATATTAAAACTAATATTTATTAGCAGTTTCTATGGGCCAAACATGCTGCATACTGGTGGTGGCACCCACTTAGGTAGCAGGTGAAAAGTTGGCTTCTTTTAACCTGGGATTTTGCAACCAAAGTTAAGAACTCCAAATCCATGTTATAGAACATACCTTATGCTGTTCACTGAACATAAGAAATGTATTCATATATATAACCATACTTTATATACTGGATAGATTTTGCAGTGTCGTTCTGGGGCTGACTCCGGATCCCTCTCCATGAGGATTTTGGGTGAAGCACCTAGCCGGGCATGAGACATGAAATTTCCTTTCTGCTTCATCCAGAGCCTTTTCTTCTTTTATCTTCCTCATTCTGCCTCCTTTGCTGTTTCATATCCCACCCTGGTTTGCCACAGAATTAATTAGCCTCCAAGGAACCCCCATTTCTTCATCTGCAGGTGTGCAACATCTCAACTCTACATTTTCTGAGGCTCCAGCCAGCTCCCTTCCCAGTATCCTACTGTTTAGATCTGCACAAGGCTAGGGCTTTGGGCTTTTGAACATTTACTCCCCTTTGATGTGAACTCTGCAAAGTGCTTGATTCAGCTGCTCTTTTGCCCAAATGGCTTTTATTGCTTTCTGCCTCATTCTGTAGTGTTGAGAAGAGGGACAGAAAGACGTAACATGTGGTTATATACGGAACACCTGGGCTTTTAAGAGAACAAATTTTCCATCTGACAATCAATGATCTCTAGTAAGACTTAAATGTAGATTTAACATGAAGTAAGTAACAAGACTCACACTGTCTTCATGACTTCTGGAATCCACAGGTAGGAGCAGATAGGAAGAGGTTTCCATCCTCACAGTGTTTGACTGTGAAGTCCTGATAGTAGAGACCCTATGTTATTGATTATTATTGTGTTGTCCACTTGGTCCATACATCTCCATCAAGAAGGCGCTAACTGACCAGGAATTCCTGGGGTCTGCATGAATCCCAAGATACTTATCCGTGAGAGAACTTTCACGGATAAGCTTTTCCAGCTGCAAGTGACAGAATGACCTACCAGGCTGCTAAGTAGCAAGGAATTTGTTATCTCCATAGCAAGAAACTCAGAGGCAGGGAGGCTCCAGGGTGAGCTAACTCCATAGCACAGGGAGGCCAGGCTTCCAGGACTTCTTCCCCATGGGGACAGGTCTTCATTCACTCTCAGGCAACACCATTCAGAGGCAGGAAAGGAAGTTTCCTCCATTATCTTTTTCCCAGAAGCCCCACAGAAGATGACCTTGACATATCATGGGACAGAATTCAATCACATTCTCACCATAGAACACATCACTGGAAAATGAGAGGATTTAACCATTATTATCTCAAACCAGTCATGTTTTATTTCCTGGGGCTGGGGGAAGTGCTGCTGGGGAGCTGGGAGAGCCAGGATTGCCATTTCAGCCTTTGTCATAGGAAATGAGGTCTGCCAAGGAGAGTGAAAATGGCTGTTGGGTGGACACCAGCAAGATGGCCAAGAGTCCTTTGTCAGAATCCCAAAGATGATGGGAAGTGGAGAAAAACATGGAATGTCTTATTTCCCTTTTGAGTCCTAACCACTTCCACTGTTCTTATTTTCCTGGTTTTGCCCATTAGCCCATTACCCTCTTGCCTTTGCACTTGCCTGGAGAGACAACAGTTTAGGGGCTCTGCTGGTTCAAGAAGGACTGTGCAGGTAGCATGGCCACACACCATGTACAGGTAAGAGAGGGTATGGGGGGACCAGATCTGGGGAGGTGGGTATGGGACAACTCTGCAAAACCAGGTAATCTATAGCTTGGGAGAGCCTCTCAGGCCCAGGTGTCATGAAGCATATTTTCCGGCAGTGGGTGGACACTCAGGCTTCAGTATGACTGCCGTGGAATTGCTAGCAGTGGTCAGTTCTTTTCCAACAAAGTTGCAGTGAGTAGCTATCCAGCCCCACCACCTCTGCTCCATACCTGCTCATGAACCTAGGCATATAATTATTGAAGCTGGTTGCAGGCATAGAAGTTATGGTTGTGTCACTGGAATACCTAAGTTTACAGAGTACCATTAGGTATTAACTGAATTCCTGGGCATGGTCCCTGAAAACAGAATGGGAAACTCCCATGATGTGAAGTGTGTTCGTTTCCATTGCTACTGCAACAAGCTACCACAACTTTAGTGGCTTGAACAATATAAATGTATTATCTCCCAGCTCCATAGGTTAGAAGCCTGATATGTTGTCATCAGAGCTGCATGCCCTACTGGAGGCTCCTTGGGAGAATCCATTTCCTTTCCTTTTCCAGCTTCTAGAGGCAGCCTGCATGCCTTTGTTCATGGCCCTTCCTTCATTTTCAAAACTAGCAACATTGCATCTCTCTGTGCCTTTAAAAACAGTCATATCTCCTTTGAGTCTCTCTCTTCTGGTTCCCTCTTTTACCTTTAAGGACTTTGGTGATTACATTGGGCCCACCAGGATATTTCAGGATAATCTATTTTAAGACCAGCTGATTATCAACCTTAATTCCACTTACAACCTGAATTCCCTTTTGCTGTGGAACCTCATATATTCACAGGTTCTGGTGCTTAGGAGTGGACATCTTTGGGACCGAGGGTTATTCTGCCTTCCTACCATGTCACCAGAGTTGTGCTAATACACAGAGAGCTTCAGGGGATGAGATCTGCCATTCATTGAGCACCTTCTGTGTGGCAGACAGTGTTAGGTACTTTATAAATGATTTCACTGCATCTCCCAAAATTCAATCCCTAATTTACAAGTGAGACAATGCTGGCTCTGAGAGGCTTAGTGACTTGCCCAAAGTCACATAGCTGGTGACGACAGAACTCAGTCCATCTGTCCTCCAGTCCATGCTGCCTTGTGTTACCCTTTGCTCTCTCCCAGATAGTTCCAGAGACTTCAGAATGTGCATGAGCACATGTGAGTGTATATGGGAGGGAGGACAAAAACATAGTAAAAAGTCATCTTCTGAACTTGAAGCTAAAGAAGTTCAACTTAAAATAGATGAGCGTGGCAACCAGATGTGGTGACTCACCCAGGGCAGAACTGGTGACTGTTCAGCTGCTAACGACCAGGATGCAGGCTCAAGAGAACCATGTGGACTAAACCGCAGAGAGCTGTCGTTTATTCTGTTGATTTATGACTTGCCTGAGTCTGATCAGTGTGGGAACTGGGTAATAAGAATGTCTCAGTGTTTCTCCAGCCCTCTGTAAAGGAGAGATCTGTCCTTGGGCACGGTGACATGATGGGCAGTGGAGCGGTGTTCTTGTCCCCGGCTTCACCACTCCCTAGTCTCCGAAGAATAGCCTCAACACCTAATTCTCTGTGCACTGATTCTGTACGTACCAGGCAGCTTTCTGCTTGATTTGGTATCTTTATAGCTGATTGCCTCTATTGCAAAAGCGTAATTTGAAGCCTCAGCCAGGCCCTGGTTGCTGCAAGATGATTACTTGACTCAATCTAGATGGTCTCTGCTCATTCCTGTCTTATAACCATTCCGAACTCTCCCGACTCCCATCACGGCCCCACCCTCTCCAGGGAGCACCACACTTTCTACTCATGCAAAGAAATGGGCCCATAAAATTCTTCAAATTGTCTCCTCCTACTTTTCTATTTTTTTCCTCTGTGTTTTCATCTTCTTTTGGATTGTTCCTCATATCTTATGTTTATCCCTATAATAGTTTGAAGTCTTTGCATTCTCTTTCTATTCTAATGGTTATCCTAAAGTTTATACACACATAATTTATCAAAGTATAAAGATATCAACATCATTCCCTATTTCTATGTCAATTTAATTTCTTGCTATAACAAAGACATCAGTGCTTCAGAGTAACATATGGGGCTCTGCCCCAGGCCTCAAAATTAAATGACTCCCCAGAGACTGAGACCAATGACACCTCACTGAGCGATCTGGGGAGACTGGAGGGATTGGGATTGTAAACTGGATTCTCTGTGATACTGTGTTTCTTTCCTCCCCAAAATGGTACCATTTTTCATTTGAGAAAGGATTATCATCTAGCACTGGGGATGAACATAACCAAATCATTAATGAAATAGTCACAAGTGTACAAAGGACTTTGAACTTGAAATATAAGTCACTGTGGCCATGGGCCTTGTAGGGACCTTGGGTTACTTGTTCATCTCCTTAACTGCTTAGTACATTGCCTAGGGAGCACAAGCCCAGTCTTCATCTCTTGTTCATATGAAACATTATTTGTCTTCTCTGCTTGTTCTGGTGTCTTGGGTTAGTTCTCACTGTGGCCCACATTGCCCATTTCCACACCTGAGCACAATGTGAGTGTTGAGTAGATCTGGAGAATGGGATGCCCAGCCTCTTCAGGGCAAGGGACCCAGCCTCATTCATCTGTGAGTCTCCCTCAGGGCCCATCTGGTAACAGCATCCAAGGAACACTCATCCCCTTACTGGATGTCCAGGAGTTGCTTCCCTTTATGGGGGGCTCCCCAGCATGTAGTAAGGCACCTGCTAAGTGTCAGGTCTGCTCTAGCCACTTTCTTTATGCTGCCTTCACAATCATCCTGCGAGGAGGCAACTATGGTCTCTGCTTTATTAGATAAGGAAATTGAGACTTGCAGAAGGAACTTGCCTAAGATCACATAACAAGTAGGTGGTGATGAAGGGACTGAACCCCAGTGCTGTTTGACGGCAAAGCCAATTCTCATGACATTATAGCCCCTCAGCGTTAGACATAAAAGCGCCAATAAAATGCAGTGAATAAATGGATCTGGTTACTTTTGAAAATTCCAAAGGGCCTTGCTTCTTCCACCAAGCTCAATGCCTGCCCCAATAGAGACGATTTTTTGTCTGTCTCAAGGCCTCTTCATTCAAGCTAATCTTCCTGCTACCCCAGGGACTCTTGATTAAATTTGCCCAGGAAACCCCTTCCTGCTTTCTCTCAGTATGAGCCTCCCAAACCACACACTGCAATGTCCATGCCCCAGAAATAGAGAAAGCACTGAGTTTAAACAGTGCTTTCTGGAGTTTCTTATCCTGTGGCTATAAGTAAATGAACTTGTGACTAAGCAGATGATAATGGATAATCTTGAGCTGAGCTATTTCATATGGTTCAAGGTTATGCAATTTTCCAAGTTTAATCCAAATGTCCTCAGGTCCCACTGGTCTTTGGATATAAATGAGCTGACATGGAAAGCAGTGAGCTCAGAGAGCTATTTCACTGTTTCATGCCACTACTTGTTCTCTCAGGACCTTAGCCCTTTTGCAAAGTCTCCCAAAGTATTTCAGCTGGCTCTTACAGGTAATATCGGCCACGTGCTGTTCTGCTACCATTGGGGGTCCTATTTTTGCTTTTTCTTCTTTCATTTTCTGCTTTAGAAAGTGCCCCCTCCCTCGATGTTCTTCCTCCCATCCCATACACACACACTGGGCACTATCATATCTTCCAGGCACATTTATTTTTGTGGCTGGGCATGATTGCCACTTCTAGTGGGCACCGAAGTCCCCTCTTTATTATTGCCACAGCCACCAATGCTTGAGAGCAGTGGTTCTCAACTGGTGGCTTCTCAATGTCTAGAGACATTTTGGGTTGTTATAATACAAGGTGGGAGTGGGGATGCTATTGGCATCCAGTCGGGTAGAGACCAGGGGTGCTGCTAAACATCCTGTAATACTCAGGACAGTTCCCTACAATAAGAAATTACCCATCCCAAATGTCAATACTGCTGAGACTGAGAAACCCTGCTCCAGAGCCAGAGTGTGCAGAACAAACAGAGTTGCATTGTAAAGCAGGAGAGGAGACTCTCATCCCTTTTTGTGTTAAGCCGTAAGCTTAGAGTGGCCCCCAGGTAGTGTTGCCTGTACTCTATGTCTTAGTTAATATTTTGGCAAACAGCTTTCTGCTTTTTGCTTATGGTCCCTCATCTCTTTGGGGTCAGGTTGTGGACAGGACACATGCTCCTCCCCTCTGACCTCTGGGGCTTGGCTTATCTTCACACTGGGTAAGGCTTGCTGGGCCTGGGTCCTTCTTCCCTTAGAGGGAGTTATTTTCGTGAGACCCCTTAATCCCTAATGCAGATATGCTTCTGGCACCCACCAGTTGGTCCTGACACATCTGAACCCCAGTGTAGATCCCAGCTTCCATGCAAACAAGATAGAGAATCTTTTGTGACTTAGTGTCCAAGGAGTGCTGAACTTAGGTGAGTGCTAATAAAGATTAGAGCTTGAAGTTTACACTGTGTGTCAGTTAGGACTCTTTCAGTGGCAAGTAATAAATTAACAAAGAATTTGTTAATTTGTTAATAAATTAGCAAAGAAACAGGTCTATATTGGCTCAGGTAACAGGAAGGCCTAGGATAGGGCTGGCTTGGAGTAAGGCTGGGTTCAAGTCACCTGATGTCATGGACCCAGCATCTCCCTCTCTCAAACCCCTTCTTCTGTTGGCTTCATTCTCAAAAAGGCCCTCCCTTTGCCATGGCCAGACCACTGCCACAGCCCCACCTCACAGCTCCCAGATTCAAGTCCAATGGATAGAGCCATTTTTCTAGTAGCTCCTGTAGAAGCCCTAAGATTTACTAACTCGGGCCATGCGATGCCCCTGAACCACATAGTCTACAAGAATGCTGAGTGTGACTGGCTTTGCCCTTGGTCACGGACTCTGACCCCGCACAGTCTGAAAGTGGGGATGGGGTTACTGGGAAAAGGATAAGGGACGTTGAGGGACAGGCGGCTGCACATGGCTTAGAAGTTCAGGCTCTGTATAACAGGCTGTGGTATTAGGTCAGGAAAGGAATCACTAATGAAGAATGTATCCTTTTAAAATAATAAGAAAGGGTTGATAATTTTGTGTTTTAGGAAGTCAGAATGCAGGGTGTGTGGAGCAGAGGGGCTCAGAAATGTAGAGATTTCTAAAGGAATTCTGCGAGATAAAATACACCTGCATGTTCCTCTACTTACAGTTTTCATAGCCCAGTAATCAGGCACATGCTCCCCTTCCTCAACCTTTCAGTATCTTGAAGTTATAAACTGATCTTTGCTCGATAACATGCCAAGATGTATTCAACAGTGAGAAAGGAGTACATATATTTTTAAATCTTTATTCATGTTATAGATTTTCTCTAATTGCTTGTAAAATCTCACATCTTTATTTTAATCAATGACTTTCTAAAACAATGTCTCATTATTTTCTTTGAAACGTTAAAAGTGGAGATTGGAGTACCTTTTAGTTCCATTAGACTTCAAAGTGCATTTTTTGACATATGCAATACTATTTTTAAATATAACTGTTAAATAAAAATTCATTTTTAAGGAAACAAGGATAGTAGTGAGGCTTAAATAAAATAAAGCAACTAATTCAGTGCCTGGAAGGTAGTGTGTTCCCAATGAATAGAAACTCCTTTCTGTTTATGTCTAGGAACATTTACAAATTCTCATGAAGAAAAAAGAAACAGAATACATCCACTACAACTTGTAGACATGGAGATGTTCACGTTTGTTAAGAGGTTATGACCTAAGATATAGCTTCACCTTAAATCTTTGGTTTTAAAATATGTAATTTAATAATTATAATTTAACAGTGTAACATGAATTAGAGATCAAACTGTGCGAGAATTTTCAAACATTATTGTATTTTTCATGCTTTATATGGATAAAAACATAGCATAAATACGATCAAAAACTGAAATACTAAAACTCCCTTGAGATCTTTCTTCTTTCAGGATTAGCAGAGACAGCTGAGCAAAGTGAGAGATTTTTGTTCCCAAGGGAATAGACAGCCCAGCTGGGGGGAGAAAACTTGGACACTTGGAATAAGCAAGGGATCATTTAGAGTTAAGCTGTGTGACACTGACTGCAGATGGCAGGCATCAGCAAGCAAGGCACTGATCAGAGGTTGCCCCCTCACCAGACTGGAAAGGTGAAGGAGGGAGGAAGAGCATTCCAGGTGGGGGATCATGTGGAGAAATAACACCTAGGTGGGCATGAGCCTGACCTTTCTGAGGAGCCTAGGGATACTCACCTGACCAGAACCAAGCTTGGTGATTACCATGAGCCCACAGGATGGAGCTCTTGCAAGCCAGACAGAGGTGTTTGGACCAGATGCAGTGGTGCAATACGGTGTGAGGGAGAAAGACATGCTGAGGGAAGATCCGTCTTCCTGTCGTGATTAGGATGTGCTAGACAGTGGGGAAGAGACTGGAGTCAAGGAGGCCAGCTGGAGGTTACTGCAGTAATCTAGAGGTTAGATGAGGTGAACTGTACCTTTCCAGTGGAAGCATAAATAGAGAACAAAGGGTGATTTGAGGAGATACGCAGGGATTCGTGTCAGACGTGATTATAGGGAATGAAGGAGAAGGGAAGGGAAATGATAGGCCACCAGTTTTTAAGTCCAGAGATTAGAAAATTGGTGGCATGTCTGACAGAAATGGCAGAGTCAGGAAGGGGAACTGGCTTGAAGGTAACATGGTAAATGCAGTTTGGATGTATTGAGTATAAAGTGACTCAAGAAACCTCCATGTGAGAAAGTTAGACTTTCAGCTTGTTCTGCAGGGCTGTCAACATCACTTCCTGAATCTCTCCCTCACATCTCTCTTAAATATCTCTTGAATTCATCCTGTTCCACTCCGCCCCCATCCCATTGTTTGAGTTGAGGCTCTCATCACCTCTTGCCTCCAATTACTACCATGGTAATAGGTCTAGCCAATTTTCCTTCCTCCAGTCTCACCCGCTTTCATCCATTCTCCTCCATGTCTTTGAACTTTTCTCTCATGTTTTCATTAAGCCTATATTTCTGTTTTCTTGACTATTTAGCAATTATCTAGGGGTATTATAAAGTGTTGCAATGGAATATGAATGGGACTTTCTTTGCTTTTCTTTGAAAAAAGCAAGTAAAGGATTTAGATTACTTTCCAATAACTTATGAGTGTTGAACATTATTTCCTTTAGTCTAATGGCACTCCGGGACTAGACCACAAGGATGACATGATTTATAAGGACTTCATTGATTTCCATTTTCAACTCCTGCCCTAGATCTGAGTGTCTGCAGGGTGAAGATGGCAGTTTATGCCTCTGTGAGTCCCCAGAGCCTGGTAAAATTGCTGGCGTGTATAGAGAGTCGGCAAATCCCAGTTGAGATGAACGAATGGGAGCAGAGAGTTGGGTATCAGATGTGAGTTAAATTAGTTGGAAACAGGCTGGGCGCAGTGGCTCACACCTGTAATCCTAGCACTTTGGAAGGCTGAGGCGGGGGGACTGCCTGAGCTCAGCAGTTTGAGACCATACTGGACAACATGGTGAAACCCCATCTCTACTAATAAAATACAAGAAACTAGCTGGGCATGGTGGCACACGCCTGTAGTCTCAGCTACCTGGGAGGCTGAGGCAGAAGAATCGCTTGAACCCGGGAGGCAGAGGTTGCAGTGAGCCAAGATTGCACCACTGTACTCCAGCCTGGGTGACAAGAGTGAGACTGTCTAAAAAAAAAAAAAGTTGAAAACAGACGTGGTTTCTGAGAGAGGAATATCTTAGAACAAAGAGTGGGGAACCACTTCTTAGGCTGACCACCTTCTCGGTGATGCATGAGCTGCGTGTTCTGATTTCTAGGACAGAAACTGCCAAGCCCTGGGTCAGTAGTGTAGAGTCTTGATAAGCCAGTCCCAGTTCTTCCCTAAGTCTCTGCATGACCTTGAGTTCATGAGGTTTTCCACAGGGATTCTTGTATATCTCTGCAGGGTGATCCAGATATTTTGAATGGGAAACAAAGAAATGGAAACAAAGAAATATCAGTTTTGCTGTTGTTTTACACTGAAGAAAAACTACCGTACAGGATTTCAATTTTTCTGTCTTCAAATGCCCCGGTTCTAGCGTGCCAAACCAAGCAGAACTTCTGGTTCAAAATGGAATCCATGCATTTAGAGTGGGGTCAGATCACACAAGCAGGTTACGGACTTTACGGATGATGATGTTCAAACTGTTCCATCAGAAAAACCAGCCCCCTCCATAAATATCAAGAACAGGAATATGATTTAAGGCAAAGCCAACTGCATCTACACCCAGAACTTTGCAGGCACTTGTCAAAAGGGGGAGCTCAAATTAGATTTCTCACAAGAAAAAAGTAAGCTTAAACTTGTTTCCCAAGCTACCCAGGGAAAGCTGCAGAGACAGGAATGGGGGCTTAAGAGTCAATTGCCGCATTTCAGAAATACAAAATCAAATCAGCCCACTTGGAGTTTTTGTTTTATACTTTCAGTAGAAAACCCACAGCATCAGTGTCTTATATGACTGCCACAACAGAGAGTCTGGGTGTCAACAACTACTTAATTATTATTATTATTGTTATTATTATTTGAGATGGAGTTTCACTCTTGTTGCCCAGGCTGGAGTGCAATGGTGCGATCTCAGCTCACCACAACCTCTGCCTCCCGGGTTCAAGCGATTCTCCTGTCTCAGCCTCCCGAGTAGCTGGGATTACAGGCATGTGCCACCACCCCTGGCTAATTTTGGTACTTTTAGTAGAGACAGGGTTTCATCATATTGGTCAAGCTGGTCTCGAACTCTCGACCTCAGGTGACCCACCCGCCTCAGCCTCCCAAAGTGCTGGGATTACAGGCGTGAGCCACCGCACCCGGCCAACTACTTAATTATTGATAGTGAGCTATGTAGTGAGTAGGTTGTCAAACATAATCCTGTTCATCCTGACTGTGTCCTTTCTAAATTGTTACTGAAATCCTTCTCATTTAGATTGTGGCTATAGATACGGGATTATCCTTATTAATTCACCATTGTTTTGCTTTTCCCCCTTTCTTTCTAAATAGTCAGTTGCATTTATCAGGTGAGTTTTTTGGCAAAAGCCATCATTCTGAAGTGGCACAATTCCCAGTTACAGCCTTCTGAGAGAGATTTCCAATTCGGTGAGTCCAGCTGGGAAGATAATACATTTAGATGGCCAAGGGAAACTCTAAAAGGAGGCAGCACCCCCAAGGCAAGTCTCCCTTGGCTGGACTCCCTACCGCCAGGCTTGAGCCCTTCTAATGGATCCTCCACACAGTTCCTGAGCTGCCATTGCCATGGGACAGCATCCACTCCTTAGCGAGATACATATGGCCATGCAGGACTTGGCCTGTGCTTCTCTGTGGCCCATTCTGTGCTTTGCCACCAGCAACACCTCTTAGACTTCTCTCTTACCAGCATCCCAGATATCACCACCAGGGACAAGGAATGAGCTTCTCTCCCTCCCCTCTGCACCCCCAGCCCTAGAGCAGAGTCTAGCACATCAGAGAGGTGCAGTGAGTATTTGGTGTAGAACTCCACGATCTGCAACCCCCTGGTCTGTTTTTCTAGGGCTCTGTCCACTTCTATTCAGCATAACCAAGTTTCAGTAGCTAGCCAAGCCCCCAATTATCTGTCCTTCTAAAGAAGGTGAGGCATAGAAAGAGCTTGTGAACATTATGCTTTATGGCTTACCCCTGTCACAGGCGTCACTTATCAGGCCTCTGATATGCATGCAGTAAACAGACCCTGATAGAGCAGCAATCTGCTCTGTAAATCTGGGTCTCCTGCTTCAGCTCAACCTCTGATCTCCTGGTTGGCCTCCTGGGGCCCCTTAGTATCTGGATTTTAGTTCCTTTAGGAGTCACTACATCCTGGCCAACTTGGCAGAGTTGATCTTTGGTGACATTCCCTTGTCCCTGCCTCTTTTCTCCATTTTCTTTCACCCATTCAGTGCCCTCTCTTGCTCTCAAGAAAGGACCTGAAATCAGCCTTTTGCACATTGTTGTGCCTGGGAGTGGGGAACTGTGAAATTAGCCCTGACCGTGTGTCAGCTCACCTACTCTTTCTTCTTTGATGGGAGCAAATAGATGGGAGCAAGACATCTTTAGAGTCACACAGATCTGGGTTTTGAGTCCTGGATCCATCACTGGTTGGTTGTCTTTTAGCAAGTTATTTGGCCTCTCTGAGCCACTGTTTCCTAGTCTGTAAAATGAGAATAACAATGCCCACTTACAGGAGTAAATATGGCACATGGTCAATATTATTATTTAGCCTCTTCTGAAAGGTCATACAAGGGACAGAGCTGGAATTTGAACCCAGGCCTGCCTGACTCCAAAAGCAGTGCCCACACCATGATAGCACATTCTTCCCTGGTACACAGTGAACCAGCCACCAAAGACGCTTGTTGGGTGAACATGAATTTAAGTCATCAATGCAGAGATGCTTAAGGCCCCAAGAGGTTCACTTTCAAAATGGAGTCAAATTCAGAGATATGCCAATGAAGAAAGAAAAAGCAGCTCAAATCCTGCTTTGTCTCGCAAGAAAAAATATCAAAAAGCAAGTCGTTTTCTTTTGATGCAAAGAAAACCTCTTTGAAATCCTCTTACTCTCAGACTTTCTTATGAAGCAGGGAGAGATTTTCCCCAAATCTTCTTTCCCTGATACCACTCTTCTGCTTCTCCATCCCTTTTCCACCTAAAGCCTATTAAATAAATCAACTTAATGTTTCTCTTTTCTTTGACTTGCTTTCCACTGGCTAATTACCGGGATTCCTTAACCCTGAAGCAAGCCATCAGATCATTCTAGCAAACAAGAATCTTTTGCCTTTAAGGATTAGGGAAAGTAGAGAGACATTGCAAATACACACAATATAATGTAGTCTTTTCTTTAATTTAATTCCTGTCACAAAATGATGTGAATTTATCATTTTCTCTCTCCTTCTTCAACCTAGAAGCAAACCGTGAGGTCATTGTAACAAATAAGAATCCTGTGCCTTGAAAAGATTGGGAGAGCTGAGTAAAAGTTACCATATTCCCTCCCCTGGAGGTAACTAAAATTTAAAGCTTAGTGAGAATCATAGTATAATAAAAGGTCAGATTCTCAGCTGTCAGTTCATTCATGTTGTTATAACAAAATATCTGAGGGTGGGTCATTTATAAATTAAACACAAATTTGTTTCACACAGTTCTAGAGGCTGGAAAGTCCAAGACCAAGGGGCCAGCAGGTTCAGTGTTTGGGGAAGACCCATTCCTCATAGACGGTGCCATCTAGTGCCCTCACATGGCAGAAGAGACAAAGGGCAAAAAGGGCACAAATGCTGTGTCCTCACATGGTGGAAGAGCAAAAAATGGCCTACGCTAGTTTCCTTCGGCCCATTTATACAGTAGTGATTCATAAGACTCTGCCCTTATGACTTAATCGCTTTCCCAAATGCCCTACCTTTTAATACCACCACAGCTGGGGAGTAAGTTTCAACATGAATTTTGGAGGGGAGACAAACATTCAAATCATACCACCTGGGCAAGGAATTTTAAGCATCATTGAAAAGGAGGTGCATTTTTGAGGCTGGAGACCCTTCCTGTTCTGCACAAAGTTGGCCCTGTAGACCTTCTAGTCCCAGAATCAAAAAGTTTGGGAGTCAGGCCCTCAGCACCTTACTGGAGTCCCATCATCAAATCTCCCCTTCCCAGCAGCGAAGTAGCCATCTGTGGCAAGAGGGAAGGAAAGCCCTATATGACTCTGGTCTACATGAACCCTCACCAGCCCCTGTGCAGCATCCCCAGCCCCATCACCAAGCTCTTCCTGTAAGCTGAGTTCAGCGTGATCTTTACCAAGCTGAGGTTGGAGAACTGCTTTTGCTACAGGGCTTTGATGTCCATGAGGAGAAGGTATTTCTCCTTCCTGCAGCACAAACCCCTAAATGGCAAATGCAATCGCTCATAACTTCATGAGGAATCTGGAGAAGGCTCAACATACTGTCCTCAAGTTTTCACTCAGCCCTGAACCCTGGAAAGACACCAGCTTTCATTGGGAGTCCCTGGGAACCACAGCAACCCCTTACGAGGAGGGAGGGATGAGTGGCTGGCACCCTATGACAAGTCTCTGTCAGGGCTGACTTCACTGTTTATGCGAGCTGTTCCTTTCACTCCCTGATATTTCCATAGGAATTAGAAGAGCAAGCATGGTTCATGTTTGCACTTGCTTTCTCTGGAATTTCAGATGTTTGGTACATCAAGGGAAAAAATACTTTAACACATAGAGATCCATATGGCAGCTTCTTCCTGCAGTGATGATACCTACTCTGGCAACCAGCTAAACAGTTCAAGACTCTTTCAACAAATATTGTTTGAGCAACCCAGGCATGGAGCTCCCAGACCAATGGGGCAAGCAGACATGGAACAAATGATACCAACAGTGATGAATGCACCAAAGAGAAGTGCACTACTGCAGGAGTGCAGGGGAGTCCAACCCGGTCTTGAGGAGGAGTCTGGGAAGGTGCCCCTTTCCCAAAAATTCATGTTTAAGTCAAGATGGAGAATTAGGCCAATTGGGAGAGCCTTCAGAGTAGAAGGAACAGTGTTATAAAGACTGTGAGGTGCCTTCAATGTCCTATAAGGCTGGAGCATAGAGGACAGAGAGAAGTGCATAAGCCCATCAGGCCAGAAGAAGCAGGAGAGCTCACAAAGAGCCTTGCAGGGCACATAGGGATCGGTATGTCTATCCCTTAGGTCATTAAGAAGTCTATGAAGAGGTAGGCCATGATCACATTTGTAGTTTTTGTTTTTGTTGTTATTGTTATCGTTTTTTGAGACAGGGTCTCATTCTGTTGCCCAGGCTGGAGTGCAGTGGTGCAATCTCAGCTCACTGCAACCTCCACCTCCCAGGTTCAAGTGATCCTCCCACCTCAGCCTCCCAAATAGCTGGGACTACGGGCATGCACCACCATGCCTGGCTAATTTTTTTATTTTTTGTAGAAAAGGGTTTTTGCCATGTTGCCCACACTGGTCTTGAACTCCTGGACTCAAGCAATCTTCCTGTCTTGACCTCCCAAAGTGTTAGGATTACAGGTGTGAGACACCACACCTGGCCAGATTTTTAGCTCTAAAAGAATGCACTGGCTACCCATTGTAGAATGAAGTCCACAGGCCGCCATCCCTTCTCATCTTAGTTTGGCAGCCTCTCTCAGCCCCCTTAATTGGATCACCAAAGGTCTGCAGCACCCTGGCTTGGTGAACCTCCCTGGTATTATTTCCCACCTCAGAGCAATCCTCCCTGGAGCAGAGATTGACCAACACCAGCTGGCTGTATCCCTGACATGGGAGCTGCTGAGTGCAGAAAATGAGCCTCGTGGTGGCTTCTGAGTATTAGGGAATCAGTGTCTAATCTTTAGTGGGTGACCCAGAGGGTTGAGCTCCTGGCAGGAGAACATTTCATGGGTCTGGGGAGAAGAAAATGCACCAAGGTAGTTTAATTAAATACACTCATTTTCTCACTGGCTGCACTTCAGTGTGACCTACTTAATTCTGAAGGCAAGTTACTTGGATTTTAGATATGCTTCACCCTAGAGGAGTAAGACATTTGAACTATGGATTACCTTTAAAGCAACAAACAAAAGGCTTTCATTTATTTTGATGACACCATACACCCACTAATTATTGCCTAGCTCTGAAAAGGGAAAATATGATTCATTGTAGATTTTTTTGTTTTAATAATGTAAGTTAACACAAATGCACGTGAAAGGAAAGGTTTTAGAGTCTGGCAGATCTGGGCGGAAGCCTGGCTCTGGCACCAGCAGCAGGACCTCAGGCACTTTAAATTGCCTGACCCTGAGTTTCCTCTTCTTAAAAAAAAAAGAGGTGGCAGGGAGTGGGGATCATAACATCTACCTACAACATTGTTGTGACAATGAAGTAGAGCTGGGAATCAAATTCCAACTCCATGATCTTAGATATGAATTGTTTTTCGAGTCTTTCTATCTTTGTATGCTTAGGTCTGAACATAAGGCTGGCACAAACCCACAAATGTATATTTCATTTCATTTCTACTTTCAACTTTTGTATTAGGCCATTCTTGTGTTGCTATAAAGAAGTACTTGAGGCTGGGTAATTTATAAAGAAAAGAGGCTTAATTGGCTCATGGTTCTGCAGGCTTTACAGAAAGCATGGTACTGTCATCTGCTTCTGGTGAGGCCTTAGAAGTTTACAATCATGGTGGAAGGTGACGGGCAGCCAGCGTGTCACAGGGCAAGAGCGGGAGAAAGAGTGGTGGGGGAGGTGCCACACACTTTTAAACAGCCAGATGTCGCATGAACTCATTCATCATCAAAGGGATGGTGCTAAGCCATTCATGAAGGATATGCCCCATGATCCAAATACCTCCCACCCAGCCCCACCTCCAACACGGGATTACATTTCAAGACGAGATTTGGAGGAGACAAGTATCAAAACTATATCAGCCTTCATCCCAACGATGCCCAGTCTTTCCTTTTAAACATTGCTCAAGAATCCTCTGCTCTGTGAGGACTAACCATGCCTGATTTGAGCCATTAAATATCCCACAGTTTCTTACGAACAACTATAATTTTTTTCCATCTACATGTACTGTTAGGGTGCCTTGAGGAACATTACCATCTGACTGCCCTACAGAAAGTTGGGCATCCCAACCATTGATTTAAAAAGGTAGGACTTTTTTTTGTAAAATAGGCATTGCAATGTATTGATTCCTATGTGGTGTTTCTGTTCTTATGTATCATTATATTTGACTACTATTTTTGATAGCATATTTGATGATTAAATGTGATATAATAACTAAAAAATAAATAGCCTAATATTCTGGGTGAGTCTAAAGCTATTACTAATTAGAAAAGACAAAATGTGACATGGCTCTATTTCTTAAAAATCATTCTTATTTCACGAGTAATATATCAAAAAAGGTGGTAGAAATGTTATAGATAATGCCCTTTTGATCATCCCGTGATCCTGGTCCCCTGCCTTTTCCCCAAAGACAAACATTGTTATCAGTTTGTTGGGCATCTCTCTAGTTTGTTTTCTGTGTGTATATGTGTGTGTATGTATCCCTGTACAAAAATAGCATAACATAGATATAATATAGTTTTTTAAACATAAAAGCTGGCCAGGCTCCATGGCTCACACCTGTAATCCCAGCACTTTGGGAGGTTGAGACAGGCAGATTACCTGAGGTCAGGAGTTTCAGACCAGCCGGGGCAACATGGTGAAACCCTGTCTGTATTAAAAATACAAAAAAAAAAAAATTGCCAGGTGTGGTGGTGCACATCTGTAGTTCCAGCAACTCAGGAGGCTGAGGCAGGAGAATTGCTTGAACCCAGGAGACGGAGCTTGCAGTGAGCCGAAATTGTGCCACTGCACTCCAGCCTAGGCAACAGAGTGAGACTCTGAAAGCTGTCATTTGCACATATTTATGCTCTACTTGCTTTTCCATTCATCACTATGTATTTCTATCTATATAAGTCTACTTTATTAGCTTTAAATTGCTATATAGAATTCCATAGTCTAGATAAACCACAATTTATTTAGTAATTATCCACCTGAAGAATGGCTACATTGATTATATTTTTCATTATTACAGTGGTGTAAAGAACATCTTCAACAACCCCGTTTGTGCAATGGTTAAGAGGTTTTCTAAAGCAGATATTGAAGACTGAAATTGCTGAGTTATTTTGATGTGCACATTTTAAACATGAATAGGCTCTGCCAATTGCCCTCCAAAATGGACAGTTTTACCTGCACTTCCACCAGCAGTATATGAGAGAATGTGTTAACACACATCCTTTCAACATGTAATATTATCAGACTTTTTAACTTTTGCCATTCTGATGGGTAAGAAATGATATATTATTTAAATTTTGCATAGCTCTATTTTTCAGTAATTCTTCAATAAGCCATAAGTTCCCAATTAAATTACAGATACATAAAGGGTTCAGATAGGCAAGTGTTTTATATTCCCCTCTAACAGCACAGTGCTAGGCACAGGGTAAGCACCCAAGGGATACTAGATAATTGATTGATTGCTTTGAGCGATTTTAAAATTTTAAGAATTAAAACAATTCAGTTGATTGAATTCAAATTTTGATTGGCCAAAATATATTTCTTACATCTAATAAAGATGTATCATCTAATTTCTTTCTTTTTTTTTTTAACTTTTAAGTTCAGGGGTACAAGTATTAAGTTTGTTACACAGGTAAACTTGTGTCATGGGGGTTTGTTGTACAGATTATTTCATTACCCAGGTATTAAGTCTAGTACCCATTAGTTATTTTTCCTGATTTTTCCTCCCTCCCACCCTCCACCCTCCAATAGGCCTCAGTGTGTGTTGTTTCCCCCTATGTGTCCATGTGTTCTCATCATTAAGCTCCACTTATCAGTGAGAACATGTGGCATTTGTTTTTCTGTTCCTGTGTTAGTCTGCTAAGAATAATGGCCTCCATCTCCATCCATGTTACTGCAAAGGACATGATCTTGTTCTTTTTTATGGCTGCATAGTATTCTATGGTGTATATATACAACATTTTCTTTATCTAGTCTATCACCAAGGGGCATTTAAGTGGATTCCATGTCTTTACTATTGTGAATAGTGCTGCAATGAACATGCAAGGGTATGTGTTTTTATAATACAATGAGATACCATCTAACACCAGTCAGAATGGTTATTATTAAAGGGTCAAAAAATAACAGATGCTGGTGAGGTTGTGGAGAAAAAGGACACTTATATACTGTTGGTGGGAATGTAAATTTGTTCAGCCATTCTGGAAGACAGTGTGGCAAAACCTCAAAGACTGAAAGATGAAAATACCTTTCAACCCAGCAATCCCATTACTAGGTATATACCCAAAGGAATATCATCTAATTTCTAATATCCACCTCAGAGAAAAATTTAGTGCCAACTACAGTTGATGTGGAAATAGCCTAATGAAAAGGCTAGTTGTACTAAGGTCAGAAAATGTCAAGGAGTAAAAAACAAACAAAAACAACCAGGAAAACAGCTGCCACTTCTTTAAAAGGCTAACCACCCCCAAAAATAATTCAACCAAAGAGTAAAAGACAACAGGGACTGTCTTCCTCTGTTCTGGCTTAGACTGAAATACCTATACTGGATAATTTATAAGTAACAGAAAATTATTTCTCACAGTTCTGGAGGCTGAGAAGTCCAAGATCAAGGCACCAACAGATTCAGTGTCTGATGAAGGCTTGTTCTCTGCTTCAAAGATGGCACCTCTTGCTGTGTTCTCACATGGTGGGTCAATGAGCTCCCTTCAACCTCTTTTATAAGGGCACCAATATCGTTCATGAAGACAGAACCGTCATGGCAATTGCTTCCTAAAGGTCCTGCCTCTTAATACTATTGCATTGGGGGTTAGATTTATACATATGAATTTTGGGGGGACACCAACATTCAGACCATAGCAGGGAGGAAAATTGCATTAGAATACTTTTTCCCTAAAGAAAAATTCCAGTGACTAAGAAAAAGAGTCTAAAGTGAAGGCCATCAAGCATCCTATCGTACTAGGTACCTTTGGAGCAGTTTAAGGGAGTCATCTCCAGGGCGTTTTAAAATCTCTGACTGATTAAATCTGCTGACTTTGTGGAAAGAGATCAGGCTACAAGCAGGGAAAATTGTCTGGATATGTAAGGAAATGAAGTAAGAATCAAAGATCAAAGTAGGTCTCCGTATTCAAGCAGAAAGGAGGCCATGATGGGCAGGGCCTTGGCCAAGGAAAGTCAGCAACTCTTCCTGAGTAAATCAGCCACCAGAGGGGCATTATGATTCTGAGGACCACCCCTCATGTGCAACCCCTGGGACTTTGTTCCCAGGCACCTGTTGGTCACCCTAGGGGAGCATTCCATGGTAAGGTTGCTGCTTGTTGGGATTGTACAGGTAAACAATTCCCTGAAGAGACCATTTGAGCCTGAGTAAGAAGGTGAGATCTACACTGTGTCACACGGAAGAGGAAGGAGGAGTTAGACATGTGGATGGATAAGACATATTGCCTTCTAAATGTTCTCCACTTTGCCTTGTTCTCCCTCTCTTAAGGAGAATTAGGTTAATGCCCATTCAAATTCTTCTCTTTCTTCTCCCTCCAATGAGAATTCAGTCTTTGTCATCTATGCCCTGTATCCTCTCTGGTGTAGAATTGAGGAACTAGGCAGAGACAGGGAGAAGCAGCAAGGAAAGGAAGGTGGTTGGAAAAAGGATTTAGCTGAGAGACTGCAACCTACTGCTAAACTAGAAGCCTCAGATGTAAACCCAGCACCCAGCATAGAGCCTGGCACATAGTAGGTACCAAATAAATAGTTTTCAAATAATTAGCTGATTGAAAGACAAGTGACAAAGGAAAGAATAAATCATCTGTGATGAGGAGGAAGCAGATGAAGGAAGAATGAAACAGGAGAAATGTTGGCAGATAAAGGTGGAAAATGGAATCGTATTGTATAGTCTCAATTTTTAGAATCTATACATGTCTATGCACTGAAGTTTTGGGACACAGTAGGCAAAATGTCAATAGTAGTTATTCCTGGTAGATAAGATTATGAGTAATTTTGTTTACTTTTTTCTTACCAATATAGTACAGTTTTCTACATGAAACACCTATTTCTTATGTGAGATCATAAATGTTATTTTATAAAAAGAAATGCAAGGTAATATGGCCTGAGCTGTGTACCCCTAAAATTCATGGCTTGAAGGCCTTTCCCCAGCGCCTCAGAATGTGATTATAATTGAAGATAGGGCCTTTAAAGAGGTAATTAAGGTAAGATGAGGTTATTTGGGTAGGCACAAATCCAGTATGACTGGTGTCATAAGAAGAGATTAGGACACAGACACACTCAGAGGGAAGACCATGTGAAGACAGAGGGAGAAGACATCTATCTACAAGCCAAAGAGAGAGGTCTCAGGAGAAACCAACCTGTTGACACCTTGATCTTGGACTTCCAGCCTACAGGACTATGAGAAAATAAATATCTCTTGGTTAAGCCATCAGTCTGTGGTACTTTGTTATGGCAGCCTGAGCAGACTAATACAGAAGGTACACATTTTAAAAGTGTCAGAGAATGATTCAAGGAGACACAAAGAGGAAAGAGAAGAGCATAAGAGAAGTGTTTTGAGCAATTTGGGAGGAAGGCTCTGGTAAAATATAGAGTATTGTTACAATCCTAGCAATATTGCATACCTTAGAATAGTAAGATATAAACACCTTTGGTGGGATAGAGAGCTGAATTTCATGACCGAGTTGGGACACCCCACAGTAATTAACATAAAGATATGGCAGTACCTGCCTTGAAGAATCTGCTCTGTGGTGCTCTTGAAGCAAAGGTGAAGAAGTTTCAAGGAAGGGAGGCACCTCTGAGAGGAGCAAAGGGAGAGAGGAAAGTAAGTACGCCCTCAGAGAAGACTGGCAGGTCCAAAGGGTAGCACTAGAGAGAAGGCAAGTGAGATTTTTACTTTTCCTTTTGGCTGCCTTCCAGTTCATTAGCTTGTCTGTTGTCTCCTGGGCATCTTTTTGGGAAGAGAAGAATTCAGGCCCATTTCGCCAAAGACAAATAGGACTCTCCTTGCTTCTGCCTCCTGTCCTGTCAGTTCCAGTTGTCGGTGTCAGCAGGCTCCTGCCTCACATGCTGCTGGGTACCATGGGGAAGCCATTTCCCCTACCAAACCCTATGGCCAACGGCAGATGTTACAGGCTGGTGGTTCATCACAGGGAACAGTGGTCTTTCAATATCTTCCTAGTCAGGACCCATGTCCTTTGGGGGCTGTTGCTAGTGCTACATTGTCTAGTATATGAGTCCACTAGTCAGTTTCTCTCCTTGATCATTGCTGTTCAAATCCAAATGTGCTTCTATATTTTCTTTAGTCAATAAACATTCCAAAATGTACTGCTCACCATTTGAAAAATGACAGCTTTGTTGAGGTATAATTCACATACCATACAATTGACCCATTTAAAGCATACAATTAAATGATTTTTTAAATTCCTGGGGTTGTGCAACCACCCCCACAATCAATTTTAGAACATTTTCATTGCATCAAAAAGAAACCCTGAACTTATTAACAGTCACTGTCATTTCCTCCCAAACCCCCAGCCCTACATAACCACTACTTTTCTATCTATAGAATTGCCTATTTCTGAACATTTCATATAAATGGAATTATATAATATGTGGCCTTCTGTAACTGGCTTCTTTCACGTAGCGTAATGGTTTCAAGGTTCATCAATGTCGTAGTATATATCAGTACTTCATTTCTTGTCAAACTGCCAAATAATATTCCATTGTATATACATAAAATACTTTATTTATCTATTCATCAATTGATGGATATTCGGGTTGTTTCTACTTTTTGGCTTTTATAAATAAGATTGCTAAGAACACTCATGAACAAGTTTTTGTGTGGATACAGGCTTTCGTTTCTCTTGGGTGTATACCCTACAGGAATTTCTGGGTTATGGTACCACTATGTTCAACCTTTTACAGAATTGCAGACTGAAAGCAGCTGTACCATTTAGTCTTCCCACCAGCAGTGTATGAGATTTCCAAATTCTCTACATTTCTGAGAACACTTATTCTGTATCTTTTTTTTATTATAGCCCCATCCTAGTGGGTGTGAAGTGGTATATCCTTGTGGTTTTTGATATGCATTTCTTTGATAGCTAATGATGCTGAGTATCTTTTCATGTGTTTATTGGCCATTTGCATATCTTCTATAAAGAAATGTCTACTCAGGTCCTTTGCTGATGTTTTATCTGGATTATTTATCTTTTTTATTATTGAGTTGTAGGAGTTCTTTGAAAGTTAGTTCCTTACCAAATATATAATTTGTAAACTTTTTCTCCTATTCTGTGGATTGCCTTTTCACTTTCTTCATGGTGTCCTTTGAATCACAAAAGTTTTCAGTTTTGATAATGCTCATTATATCTATTTTTCATTGTTGTTGCTTGTGCTTTTGGGGTCATTTCTAAGAAACAATTGGATAATCCAAGGTCATGAAGACTTACACCTATATTTTCCTTTCAGTGTTTTATGATTTTAGCCCTTACATTTAGATCTTTGATCCTTTTGACTTAGTTTTTGTATATGGTGTGAAGTAGGGGTGCACTTCATTATTTTGCATGTAGATATTCAGTTGTCATAGCACATGTGTTGAAAAACTATTCTTTACCCATTGAAGTGTCTTGGCACCATTGTCCAGAAAAAAATGACCATAAATTTAAGGGTTGCTCAATATTTTCTAAGAATGTGTTTGTAATAGCCATGCAAAAGGTCACATATTATAGTATTATACATAGTATGTGGCCAACAATTTCTCATCAGATTGAAGAAATGACACTGTCCCATTCTAGTTCATTTTAAAGATGAAACAAATTCTTAGTAAGTGGCTGAGCAATCACAGCTTGTTTTACTTATACCTCAGTTTAGACAAAATTATTATCTGCCATGTGTTCAGGACCTGAGAGCCCAGACAGTGTTTGATGAACCAGAGTTTCACTGGCTGTGATTTTAGGAGATTCTTTCCATATTGATTGCCAATGTCTTATACTTTGGTTTTCTGTCATTGAGGAGAATGACTTGCAGGTTGTTTCTGATGATTTTGGACCAACTCTCTGTGACCACCTTCACCAAGGAAAGCCAGGTGCTCAAGCTAAGGAGAAATTACCCCTTGACCTGCTCTCCACATGGCTTCTAGCTACCATTTTTAATTTCTGTACTCTTCCCTCCTGCCCAGCTCCATTTCCAAAATAGCAAGAAGCTTTGGCTTGGCAAGGAATCCCTGGGGTTGCAATTTATCAGCAAGCTGTGGACACAGCTATTTCCTATCTTTTGGCAAGGTTCAGTGATTTGACTTGTTTCCTGCATGGAATGAAAATTTTGTGAAGGGTGTCAAACAAGAAATACTCTAGGGGCACATAAATGTCTCCTAATTTACTGGTACAGACTTCACTATGGAAAAAATATACATGAGTACTTTGTGACCCTCAAAACTAACACGAGTGTTGATCTCTATGTCAGATAGATAGATGATAGATAGATAGATAGATCTATATATATCTATAATATAGATGAGCCTCTGCAGTCTTTAGAATCCCCTGCCTTAGAATCCCTGGGGGTGGGATACAGGGAACTTGTTAAGATGCATATTCCTGGGCCCCTACTGAATCAGAAGTTCTGGAGGAATGAATGTAGAGATCTGCATTTTAACAGACACCCCAGGTGAGTTTCATGTAGTTTCATGCATTAAAATTTGAGAACTGCCTACTTGGGAGTTTTTGCTAATACCACAAGCTTTGGAAACATACGGAACCTGGGTTAAACTTCAATTTCTTCTTCTGTAAAATAAGGGTAATTCTCCTGTCTCCCCAGCACGAGAGGAGTGGTGTGGAGTAGACATGCAAATAGAGCCCAGGGTTTAGTACAGTGCAACTTTCACAACAATGTCCCCACTCTGGGGCACTTGATGAGCATTTTGCATAACCCCAATAGGGTTGCCAGATAAAATTGAAGACACCCAGTTAAACTTTTATCTCAGAAAAATAATAAGTTTTGAATATAAGTGTGGCAGCAGTGCTGAGGGCAGTTTCCAGAGTCTAGGGTTGGTGGAAAGATTTAGGAAGTTGTCCCTTGATAGCCTCCATGCCTCAACCTCCAGCCTTCCCAGAAACACTGTGAGCTCCCAGATTATTTTAATAAATCCTTTTTTAAAGCTTTAATTCTCTAATCAATTTCTGTTGCTTACAGCTGAGAACCCTGACTGATACAGCATCTGTAACTCTCTACTCAACAACTGACCATCTGTCTTCCATTCTCCTCAGTTCCCTGAGCTCTCCCTGAAGTCATCAGGGAGACTTAATTGAACAATCTCTCAGGCTTTTCTTGCTGAGAGATTTTCTTGGAGAAGTATGTAGAGGTCATGGTCCACCCAAGACAACCTGCAAGGAGGAAGGAGCTAGGGAAATAAAAACCTGACCTCAATGTGCCGCCGCAGACCCTTCCCCTCTAAAGCTAATTCCTCCCATTGGTCAAACCCCACTAGAAGCCGGTGGACAAGAGAGCCTGTTGACATGTGCATTCAGGTCAGTCGTCTCCTGGGACACAGACCAGGGTAGAGAGAAGGGGAGAGTGAGACTGGAGGGGCAGAAGAAATACATCCAACAAGCAGGGTATGTATATTGTCTTGGCTCTGGTAGTAACAGAGCCTGAGATGGAGATTTTGTGCAAGTGACTCCTAGGGGCATTCCTGGGAGAAGAGTGTGAAGGAGGGAGGGAGAGAAGCAGGATGGGGCAGGACAAGGAGCTGAGCAAAGATGTGGTTTCAGGATTAGTCTAGCCTCAGCCTGATCCTATGGGTCACTTTGGAGTGAAAGGACAGAAATTGCTTAGAAGCAAAGGAGCTGGGCTATTGTACCCACTCTCCCCACCAACAGGTATTTTTAGTTGGTCATTAGCATGGACTGCCACTGATATTAATATAATCGGCAAGGCTTCTCCTGGTAAGGGGGCTCCCTTCAGTCAAGGGCAAGCCTTAGGAGAAGAAGCCAGGGGTGAGCTGTTAGCTACCAACATCCACCACACCTGGGGATGGGTGCAGGGTCAGGTGTGTGGATCTGGGCAGGCACTAATAGCATCTGTTGGAAGGACATACAGCTCTGTTGACAGGTCCAGGGGAGGAAAAAATAACTTTCTTTCCACTCTTAGTTCTTAGCTGTGATTAATTCTGTAATGAAAGACAGATTAATAAGATAAAAGCAAACAGAAGCTCATTAACACGTATATTTTACATATACATGGGAGATATCTAGGCAATTACTAAATCTCAAAGAAGTGGCTTGGAATTCCAGCGTATGTAGCATCTTCAACAAAAACCAGTAAATTTTTAGAGAAGTGACAAGACAAAGGAAAAGGACTTTGAGTCTCTAGGGGTAAAAAATTATGGGAAGGCAGATAGACAGTAGATAAAGGCTAGTTAGTAAAGCTTGTTAATGTAGATTCCTCTGGTGCCCTCTCCAGGCTGATAAGGGTCTGAAGTTGTCTTCAGTGATCAACCTTTGTCTTTCCTGGTAGAGAGGGGAAGAAGCCTTTCCTCTTGTTTAGTGACCAGTGAAAAGTAAATTTATGCCCTACTTTTAGGCAAATGGCAGGGGGAGGGGGCAGGTGGGAGGCGGTGACAGAGAACTACTTCTCCATTGCCTTCAGCTTAAAATAATCCTTATGCCAAAGTGGCACATTTTGGGGTGGCATATTCTGGTCTCCTACACAGGACATATCGCTGGGTGAGGAGGTAAAAAAATTATTTTTCCTTTGTGTTTTTCTGAATTCTAAAAGTTTTCTAACATTGAATCTATTTTTCATAACTAGAAAATATGAGTTAAATAAAATCCATGCAGCAAAATCACCTGGTTTGTTACAGATAGAAGTAACAGAAAATTACCTTATATTCCTAACCCCTTGGGGTGTCCTCTTGACCACACTGGACAGATGACCCCTGCTCATTGTTTGGCAAATGCCAATCCCCCAAGCTGGCCCTGGTTGTCACAGAGCTTCTCTGTTTCATCATACTCAGTAAGCCAGTGGCTTAGCACTTAGCTGGTTGTGTGACTCATAAATCAGGAATGCAACCAGTGTGGCTAATGGAGAGGGGCAAGAGGCGGGGATAGGCTGTGCCACCAATAATCAGTGCAATATGTGTGCAGGCATCGTTAGAACCTTTAGATATGGTCTCACTTAATCTTTACAATCGCCCCATGAAGGTGGCAGTATTATCTCCATTTAATAGATGAGGAAGTCTAGACTGGGGGGTTAAGAAACCAAAGTTGTAATTTTTGTTTGGCCACCAGTGAAAAATGAAAACTCTAGACCAAATGATGGATTTTTAAACTGTGTTTCTAGCAGCGCTTAGGCTTAGCAAAGATGCCGGGGATAGGAGGAGCTGCTGAGAGGGAAGGACTGGCCATCGGCACCTCAGTTATGGCAGCTCTGCCTTGGTCTGTTTTATGGGTTGGCAGGGATAGCTTCACGAATGTGCAGCCAGTGCAGCCTCACGGGGCCTGCTGGGCTCACAAGGGGCCCTGCGCTTAGGACCTAATGCTCTGCAGGCACCATCGTGAAATCCTTCATAATTTTGTCTTTTAATGTGTGTTTTATAAGTAAATCCAATGGACAATGGAGCGTGTCCCCGGGCTTGGAGCTGTAAATCATACTTGGCCCCACTTGCTGTTGCCTTTCTGCCTCCCTGGGATATATTCCCTGCTGCCTGCTCTTGATCCTGGTGCGTAAGGCCTCTCCTTGCTTCCCTGCTGCCCTCCTCATGGATCAGCAACTGGATTGCATTGGGAGAAGGGAGAAGGGAGCTGTGTTTCATGTCCTTCAACCCCCAGGAGGACCTGGCCATAGGCATAGGGAGGATTGGGGTCAGGTGTGCCCCTTGAAGTGTCTCAGGTATGACAAGGGAGTGGCCATCCCCATCCAGGCTGGCAGCATCATGGTGCATTCAGTGGATGGCTCAGTAGGGGCCTCTCACAGACCTTTGACCCGGGTACCAAGTCATGACGCACATAGAAAATGGCAACATCTGGAGGCTGGGTGTGGGGGCTCACACCTGTAATCCCAGCACTTTGGGAGGCCAAGGCGGGTGGATCACTTGAGGCCAGGAGTTTGAGACCAGCCTAACCAACACAGTGAGACTCCATCTCCATTTAAAATACAAAAATTAGCTGGGTGTGGTAGCGCATGCCTGTAGTCCCAGCTACTCAGGAGGCTGTGGCAGTTCAGTTGCTTGAACCCAGGAGGCAGAGGCTGCAGTGAGTTGAGATCATGCCACTGCACTCCACCCTGGGCAACAGAGCGAGACTCCATCTGAAAAAAAACAAGGCAACATCTGTATGGCACACTGGGGGAGACAGCAAGCAAAGGGAGCCCTGGCCAGCCTTGACTCCCATTCAGCAGCCCCAAGGGCTGAAGGCAGTTCTACCCTAGGCTTAGGAAATGGAGTCTCTACCTTGGTCTTGTGCTTCAGACACCCCTTGCCCCTTTCACCCCATGAGCCCCACCCTTCCCACAGGCTGAGTTATCCAGAGGCCAAGGGGACGTATCTACCAAAGCCTCAGCCCTCCTTCAGAATTCATTGCTTTTATTCCCCCAGTCCATTACAGACAAATATATGGTCTTACTTTGTGTGATTAATACACAACTCACCCCACTTGTGACTCACCCCATGAGTTTAAAAGCACTCAACTTAGTTTGCACCCTGCTCAATCAGTAAGTTCAACTAGACAAGTCTGCCTTTGGATGTTCTGGCAATGTCAAATTGCTATAGAAATTTGTAAATGCTTGCAATCAGTTCTTATATGTATCCCACAGCAGACAGTAACAACAGTTTGGTCCCTGGAGGACACTGAGTAGCACTATTCTAGGCTCTTCTGTGGGTGCTGGGACCCTGGAATCCAGTCTGAATGACACCAAATCCAAATCCACACCAAGCCTGCTTCCAGAGTCTTTATGGGCCTGTTTTCCTGATCTCTTCTGCAGGTGTACACTGCCCTAGCCCCAGGCTGTTTGCAGGGAGGAGTGGGCAGAGATGAGACATGTGTACTGTGGTGTTCATACACATGCATCTCAGGCCCCTTTAGGTACAGGATGGAGAAAAGGTGGGAATGGGAAGAGCAGGGGCAGGCTGTAATTGGTGGAGGAAGGAAGCCACAAGGATTTGGGACAAGCCTAGCTGCAGGAATCCATTTCTCTGTTCACCTTGAATCCATCACAGCACCCCAATGTGCTGAGGCCTGCCAGTCAGGGAGCTCTGGACCAGATACTTTCCACTGTGACTTTCAATGTTTTGAATTCTGATTTCTATCCCATGGTCACAGTTGAAAGCTCATTAGCATTTGGCACAGCAAGTGGGTGACACACAGATAGGTGTCCTGTGGACACTGCCATCTCACTGTGTGGGAACTGCAGTCTTAGCAACTCTGCCAGTCAACACCCTCCCGCCCTTGATATACAAAAATACACTGCGCTTCTGATGCCTGCCCCATGGCAAATAATTTCTCAACACCCAGGGAAAGGATTTTGTTTGTTTTTCTTTACGTTTGATTAAAAGCAAGCCCAGGCAAATACCCCAAAGGAAAGAGAAACAAATGACTTTACAATTAAAATATAAACCTACACAATTAGTCATTAGGCATATAAATAATATAACATCTTTAGTAAATCAAGAAGCATTAATCCAAGCAATGAGATACTTTATTTTTCCTCTTAAATTGACAAAGATGAAAACCAGAAAAGAAAATATTCAGTATTTGTCAGGATTTAGGGAATATTGCTGTCTTATATACTGTTGGCAGATGGTCAACAGAAGACAGACTTGTAGAGGTAAATTTGAAAATATATTGCAGAAGACTTAAAAATGTGTATATCCTTTGAAATCTTGAAAACATTGTTTCATAGTCTTCTTATGAAACAATGTTTTCATAAGATGAATGAAAAGTTGATGTCTGTCTCACTCTTGATTTTTTTTTCCTCTTCTTAAGCTGTTCTTGATATCACTGATGTTCTGAAACTTCACTAAGGTCTGTCTTAGGTTGGGCTTCTCTTGCCAAGTATTTGGTAGCCTACTTCAAATTGAGGTTTCACATCTTTCTTTGGTTCTAAGAAATCTTTATTATTTCTGTGAATATTGCTTCCCCTCAATCTTCTCTAGCCTCTCATCTACAACTCTTATTAGATCAAGGCTTAATTTACTGGATTTCTATCCTGCATTTCCTAATAATGTTCAGCCCTCTGTGCTACCATGGAGAATTCCTTGGCCTGCCCTTTCAGCTCACGAAACTGCTCTTTCTGTCTATCGTGTTATTCAGCTTCTCTATTGAGGGTTTTTTCTTTCAACATTTAAGATTATTATTTCAAATATCTCTGATTGAACATTTTTGGGTAACTCGTCCTCATTTTGTGGTTATATTATCTCCATTTTTCTGAGCAGATTGACTATACTTATTGAAAATTCTTTTCTGAATACCATATTAACTCCATTTCTTTTGGGGATCTCCATTGCAGAGTTAGTTGTCTCTTTTTTGTGGTGTTGGCCTTCCTCAAATGTTTGCTCATTCTTGTTTTTGTACTGATTTTTGTAACTGAAGTTTCCTGCTAGAATGTCATCTGCATCTATTTGAGAGAGCCACTTGGAGAGCAGGGATGGGAACTACTATTGGCCTAACTCTTGGCACTATTTTCAAAATACCAGTCTTCTTAACCTGGGTTTTTCTTTCTCGCAGGTGTCTCCAGCTCCTGAGAGCACTGCCCTTCTCTCTAGTCCCTGCCCCATACAGACTCCTCTATTGTTGCTGACTGGCCTCAGCAGGTGGAAGAGTAGAAAGTCCGGGCTACCTTGCTGCTTCTTGCCTCCCTGTAACTATGGCAGAAACTCTGTCAGCTTCTGACATCATACTTGGCATTCCCTGTCATGCTTCCTGGGCCACCTTTTCTCTTTCCAATAAGATTCTGTTCATCCTTTATTAACTCCTCAGTGTAGTCCTCTCCCTTTTCAGTGAGGCTATTTATTTAAACTTCTATCATTTCTTGGCATTTGTTGTAAAAGGCACACATACTCAGTCCAACACTTTGAGCTGGAGCTATTAAAAAAAATCTCTGTATTGGCCAAGCATGTTATCTCATGCCTGTAATCTCAGCACTTTAGAAGACTTAGGTGGGAGGATTGCTCAAGGCCAGGAGTTCAAGACCAGCCTGGGCAACATAGTGAGACCCTGTCTCTACAAAAAAATATACAAAAATTAGCTGGGCATGGTGACACGTGCCTTTAGTCCCAGCTACTTGGAAAGCTGAGGTGAGAGGATCGCTTGAGCCCAAGAGTTTGAGACTGCAGCAAACTATGATCATGCCACTACACTCCAGCCTAGGCAACAGAGTGAGACCATCTCTCTAAAAAACAAAACAAAATAAAAACCCAACATTTATATAACCTTCAAGCCAGTAATCCCACTTCTAGGAATTTATCCCAAGGAAGTAATTTAAAATAAAACTTTAACCACAAGGTGTTTCATCACAGTAGGATTTATTATGAAAATGTGGAAACAAATATCCAAGCAAAGGGGATTAGGTAAATAAATGATGACATAGACATGTGAAAAATAACATGGCAGAATATTTAATGGTATAGAAAAAAGTCATCAAGGTATCATTAAGTAAAAATTTCAGGTTACAGAATTGTTTTAAAATCTCCTTTTTGTAAAAAGCATATATGTTCTTATAGAAAAGGGTAGCTCTGCATGGTGGGATTTCTGGCAACTTTTGTTTTTTCATTTTGACTATCTGTTTCTCCACCATTTTGGGATTGTTTGCAACATCTGCCATGTGCAAGCTTCTGGTTCCATCCTCTGCTTACCTCCCCCAGGCATGCTGGAAGATGGACTGCCCTCCAATGGTGTGCCCCGATCTACAGCCCCAGGTGGAATACCCAACCCAGAGAAGAAGACGAACTGTGAGACCCAGTGCCCAAATCCCCAGAGCCTCAGCTCAGGCCCTCTGACCCAGAAACAGAATGGCCTTCAGACCACAGAGGTAGGGTTGCAGCCACAGAATCAACTGGGGACTGGAGAATGGGGGTAGGGCTTGCTTCAGGGCAGAGCCACCCAGCCGCTATGTCCAGGGAGGGACCAGGGATGGCTCATCTTGGAAAAAAAAAGTCTCTGCCCCACCCATGTAAAAATTGCTGCAAACCCCACCCCAAAACCCTGCCTTGAGGGTTGCTGCTTTTTGTTTCCATGTGTATGTTTGCTTAAGTACAGCTTTATTCAAGGATCTTGTTTTCTGTGGCCACTGTCACCATGTTGATGGTGAGGACTGTGCTGGTTAGAGGAACCAGTCTTAGGCCAGGCAGCTGGCCAGTCTCAGGGGTTGGCAGGGTGGGGAGTGGGCAGAGGAAGGAAAGAGAAGACCAGAGTGGTTGGAAACAAGCCTCGCATTTTACTCAGGCCCTCCAACCAGGTGGACATTGGAAGGGCCCCCAAGGGTGGCTCTCATAGCAGAATGTGGTGACAGCATCATCCCCAGACTGTTGGAAGAGGCAGGTCAGTGATGTCCCAGGACGTGGCGGGTATCCTTTCTTTTCTCCCAGAGCTATTGTTGGGAAGATCCTCTTATGGGTACAGGAGGGGCAGCCCAGAATGAGCGCTCTTAGTAGGCAGGGCTCAGGCATCTGCAGTCTCTTCCTCTTCCACCCAGTTCCTCCTTCTGACTTCCTTATCTTCCCTATGCCCCACCCCCTTCAAAATCCACTGCTTACCCTAGGCTCCATACCCATTTTCTCCTATCTCTTCTGTCAAAATTATACTGAACCAGGTTCATTCTGTCTGTGCACAGCAAACCAATCACTGTGACAATGGGTTTTGCAAAAGAGAAAGTTTATTCATGAGGCAGCCAAGTGAGGAGGCAGAAGAACAGATCCCAAATCTGCCTCCACAAAGATAGGGTTTAGGGCTATCTATGAGATAAAGAAGCCGGGTAATCTAAGGCATGAGGAAAGATGATTGGCAGTGGGGGAAAGTGAGATAATCAGTGGTCTGTGCTTGCATAGTCATGGTTCATGGCTCTTCACAGGATTCATGTTCAGAAAATGGCTGTGTTTGCATGATCTTCAGGAAGAGTTTTGGCCTTCTGACTTCAAAAGGTCACCTCTTGGGCATTTCTACAAACCCA